>NC_000001.11:213184587-213809587 GCF_000001405.40 Homo sapiens | reverse complement strand
TTGGCCAACTAGATTATACATGTACTTTGTTTTATTGTACTTTATTATGCCTCATAAATAATTGCATTTTTTATCAATTTAAGGTTTGCGAAAACCCTGTATCAAGCAAGTTTGTTAGTGACATTTTTCCAACAGCATGAGCTCACACTGTGTCTCTGGGTCTCATTTTGGTAATTCTCACAAAACCTCAAACTTTTAAATTATCGTTATATCTGGTATGGTGATCTGTAATCAGTGATCTTCGATGTTACTATAGTAATTTTGAGGGGGGCATCATCACCCATATAAGATGGCAAACTTAATTACTAAATGTTGTGGGTGTTCAGACTGCTCCACTGACCAGCCCATCCCTCATCTCTGTCTCCTCAAGCCTCTCTATTCCATGAGACATTTTAGGTAGAAACTAGGCCAATAAATAACCCCACAGTGGCCTATAAGAGTTCAAGTGCAGGAAGAGTTGCAAGTCTCTCACTTTAAATCAAAAGCTAGAAATAATAAAGTTTAGTGAGGGAGGCACATTGAAAACTGAAATAGGCCAAAAGCTAAGTCTCTTGCACCAAACAGTTAAGAGAAGTTGTGAATGCAAGGAAAAGTCCTTAAAGGAAATTAAAAGTGCTACTCCAGTGAACACAGGAATGATAAGAAAGTAAAACCACCAGGAGGAGCCAAGATGGCCGAATAGGAACAGCTCCGGTCTATAGCTCCCAGCGTGAGCGATGCAGAAGACGGGTGATTTCTGCATTTCCATCTGAGGTACCGGGTTCATCTCACTAGGGAGTGCCAGACAGTGGGCGCAGGTCAGTGGGTGCAGCGCACCGTGTGCGAGCCGAAGCAAGGCGAGGCATTGCCTCACTCGGGAAGCACAAGGGGTCAGGGAGTTCCCTTTCCTAGTCAAAGAAAGGGGTGACAGATGGCACCTGGAAAATCGGGTCACTCCCACCCAAATACTGCGCTTTTCCAATGGGCTTAAATAACGGACACCAGGAGATTATATCCTGCACCTGGCTCGGAGGGTCCTACGCCCACGGAGCCTTGCTGATTGCTAGCACAGCAGTCTGAGATCAAACTGCAAGGTGGCAGCGAGGCTGGGGGAGGGGCACCCACCATTGCCCAGGCTTGCTTGGGTAAACAAAGCAGCCAGGAAGCTCCAACTGGGTGGAGCCCACCACAGCTCAAGAAGGCCTGCCTGCCTCTGTAGGCTCCACCTCTGGGGGCAGGGCACAGACAAACAAAAAGACAGCAGTAACCTCTGCAGACTTAAATGTCCCTGTCTGACAGCTTTGAAGAGAGCAGTGGTTCTCCCAGCACGTAGCTGGAGATCTGAGAACGGGCAGACTGCCTCCTCAAGTGGGTCCCTGACCCCTGACCCCTGAGCAGCCTAACTGGGAGGCACCCCCCCAGTAGGGGCAGACTGACACCTCACACAGCCGGGTACTCCTCTGAGACAAAACTTCCAGAGGAACGATCAGACAGCAGCATTCGCAGTTCACGAAAAACCACTGTTCTGCAGACACCGCTGCTGATACCCAGGCAAACAGGGTCTGGAGTGGACCTCTAGCAAACTCCAACAGACCTGCAGCTGAGGGTCCTGTCTGTTAGAAGGAAAACTAACAAACAGAAAGGACATCCACACTAAAAAGCCATCTGTACATCACCATCATCAAAGACCAAAAGGAGATAAAACCACAAAGATGGGGAAAAAACACAGCAGAAAAACTGGAAACTCTAAAAAGCAGAGCACCTCTTCTCCTCCAAAGGATCGCAGTTCCTCACGAGCAATGGAACAAAGCTGGATGGAGAATGACTTTGATGAGATGAGAGAAGAAGGCTTCAGACAATCAAACTACGAGCTACAGGAGGAAATTCAAACCAAAGGCAAAGAAGTTAAAACTTTGAAAAAAATTTAGACGAATGTATAACTAGAATAACCAATACAGAGAAGTGCTTAAAGGAGCTGATGGAGCTGAAAGCCAAGGCTCAAGAACTACGTGAAGAATGCAGAAGCCTCAGGATCTGATGCGATCAACTGGAAGAAAAGGTATCAGTGATGGAAGATGAAATGAATGAAATGAAGTGAGAAGGGAAGTTTAGAGAAAAAAGAATAAAAAGAAACAAACAAAGCCTCCAAGAAATATGGGACTATATGAAAAGACCAAATCTACGTCTGATTGGTGTACCTGAAAGTGACGGGGAGAATGGAACCAAGTTGGAAAACACTCTGCAGGATATTATCCAGGAGAAATTCCCCAATCTAGCAAGGCAGGCCAACATGCAGATTCAGGAAATACAGAGAACGCCACAAACATACTCCTCGAGAAGAGCAACTCCAAGACACATAATTGTCAGATTCACCAAAGTTGAAATGAAGGAAAAAATGCTAAGGGCAGCCAGAGAGAAAGGTCAGGTTACCCACAAAGGGAAGCCCATCAGACTAACAGCAGATCTCTCGGCAGAAACTCTACAAGCCAGAAGAGAGTGGGGGCCAATATTCAACATTCTTAAAGAAAAGAATTTTCAACCCAGAATTTCATATCCAGTCAAACTAAGCTTCATAAGTGAAGGAGAAATAAAATCCTTTACAGACAAGCAAATGCTGAGAGATTTTGTCACCACCAGGCCTGCCCTAAAAGAGCTCCTGAAGGAAGCACTAAACATGGAAAGGAACAACCGGTACCAGCCACTGCAAAATCATGCCAAAATGTAAAGACCATCAAGACTAGGAAGAAACTGCATCAACTAACGAGCAAAATAACCAGCTAACATCATAATGACAGGATCAAATTCACACATAACAATATTAACTTTAAATGTAAATGGACTAAATGCTCCAATTAAAAGACACAGACTGGCAAATTGGATAAAGAGTCAAGACCCATCAGTGTGCTGTATTCAGGAAACCCATCTCACGTGCAGAGACACACATAGGCTCAAAATAAAAGGATGGAGGAAGATCTACCAAGCAAATGGAAAACAAAAAAAGGCAGGGGTTGCAATCCTAGTCTCTGATAAAACAGACTTTAAACCAACAAAGATCAAAAGAGACAAAGAAGGCCATTACATAATGGTAAAGGGATCAATTCAACAAGAAGAGCTAACTATCCTAAATATATATGCACCCAATACAGGAGCACCCAGATTCATAAAGTAAGTCCTGGGTGACCTACAAAGAGACAGCAAAGCCTGGATGAGAGCATATCTGTTTACAGCATGGTTTACTGATTTTTTTTTCTTTTTATTTTATTTATTTATTTATTTTGAGACGGAGTCTCGCTCTGTCACCCAGGCTGGAGTACAGTGGTGCGATCTCTGCTCACTGCAAGCTCTGCCTCCCAGGTTCACGCCATTCTCCTGCCTCAGCCTCCCAAGTAGCTGGGACTACAGGTGCCCACCACCACGCCTGGCTAATTTTTCGTATTTTTAGTAGAGACAGGGTTTCACCGTGTTAGCCAGGATGGTCTCAATCTCCTGACCTCATGATCCACCCACCTCAGCCTGCCAAAGTGCTGGGATTACAGGCATGAGCCGCCATGCCTGGCCGGTTGACTGAATATTTTAGGCCCACTGTTGAGACCTCCTGCTCAGAAAAAAGATTCCTCTCAAAATGTTACTGCTTATTAACAATGCACCTGGTTATTCAAGAGCTCTGATGAAGATGTACAAGGAGATGAATGTTGTTTTCATGCCTGCTAACACAACATTCATTGTCCAGCCTGTGAATCAAGGTGTAATTTTGACTTTCAAGTCTCATTATTTGAGAAATACATTTTCTGAGGCCACAGATAGTGATTCCCCTGATGGATCTGGCCAAAGTCAATTAAAATCCTTCTGGAAATAACCATTCTAGATGCCATTAAGAACATTTTGATTTGTGATTCAAAAGATGAGGTCAAAATATCCACCTTAACAGGAGTTTGGAAGAAGCTGATTACATCCCTCATGGATGACTTTGAGGGATTTAAGACTTCATTGGAGGAAGTAACTGCAGATGTAGTGGAAATAGCAAGAAAACTAGAATAATTATAGAAGTGGAACCTGAAGATGGGCCAGAATTTCTGCAATCTCACAATAAAATTTGAATGGACGAGGAGTTGCTTCTTATGGATGAGCAAAGAAAGTGGTTTTTTTGAGATGAAATCTACTCCTGGTGAAGATGCCGTAAACACTGTTGAAATGACAACAAAGGATTAGAATGTTACATAAACTTCGTTGGCAAAGCGGCAGCAGGGTTTGAGAGGTTTGACTCTAATTTTGACAGAAATTCTACTGCGGTTAATATGTCATCAAACAGTATTGCATGCTACAGAGAAATCTTTTGTGATTGAGTCAATTGATGTGGCAAACTTCATTGTTGTCTTATTTTAAGAAATTGTCACAGCCACCCTAACCCTCAGCAACTACCAGCCTGATCAGTCAGCAGTCATCAACTGGAGGTAAGACCCTCCACCAGCAAAAAGGTGCCAATTCGCTGAAGGCTCAGAGGATCATTAGCAGTTTTTAGCAAGAAAATATTTTAAATTAAGGTATATACATTGTTTCTTAGACACAAAGCTATTGCTCACTTCGTAGACTACAGTATGATGTAAACACAACTTTGATAGGCACTGGGAAACCAAATAATTTATGTGACTTGCTTTGTTGCGATATTTGCTTTATTGCAGTGGTCTGAAAGAGAACCTGAACTATCTCCAAGGTATGCCTGCATATGTAAAATAAACCCTCAAATAAACATTTTCTGTTCACTCGAGTGTTCACAGAATCACACCTCCCTGAGGATAGAAACCCATGTGTTTCTCTAATTCATTCAATCTCTATTTATTGAGCATCTATTATTATACAAGAGCTATTTTAAATGCTTGGGGGCACATCTGCAAATAAAACGGAGTAAGATCTTATCCTTAAAGATCTGGCAAGTTCTACTGGGGGAGATAGACAACAATAAAAATCATAAAGTTAATTACATTGTATGCTAGAAGGGGACAAGTACTACTGGAAAAGATATTAGAATTGGGTAAGAGGGATAGAGATGCCCAGGGGAGATGGCAGAGAGGCCGCACTGAGAAAGTGACACTGAGCAAGCCTTGCAGCAGGAATCTAAATCAACCACACAGAAATGTGGGGAGAGAGCTTCTGGGAAGCAGGAATGGCCAGTGCAAAAGCCTGAGAGTGCCTGGAGTGTTTTCAGAATAGAAAGGAGGCCTTGGAAGCTAAGGTGGGATTCATTCTCGTTCAGTGAATTAATGAGTGAATGAAATAAGTGAAAGAAATAGCAGAGATTGGAAGGTCCTCTGACCTAACTCTCATACAGTGTTTTGGCACACTCCACAACCACGTTTCCTGATTGTGTTCTCTGGAGCATTGGTCCCTGAAAATATTCCAGGAGAAAGGGTTGTTTTTTTTTTTTTTTTTTTTTTTTTAAGATTAGCCACTGATTTTTTTTTTTATGTTTGACTTCATATTTTTGTAAATTTTTTTTTATTATTATACTTTAAATTTTAGGGTACATGTTCACAACGTGCAGGTTTGTTACATGTGTATACATGTGCCACGTTGGTGTGCTGCACCCATTAACTTGTCATTTACATTAGGTGTATCTCCTAATGCTATCCCTCCCCCAGCCCCCCACCCCCCGACAGGCCCCAGTGTGTGATCTTCCCGAGAAAGGGGTTTTAAGTTCAGATCCAGTGTCCATTTTGTAGATCCCCATGATATAGATTCACAAATCACAAGAGTACGTGAAAGTCTCAGAGAAATTCTCCAGGGAATGACCTGTTTCAACTTGGTACTTTCAGAACTTATTCAATCACAGAACTCATTGTTTGCTCCCACTGTCATTTTTTCCCTGATACCTCTGCTACTTCTCAGACAGAGTACTCTGTAGGACATCTGCTGGTCAGCAATGACCCATGCTGAGTCAGCAGCCAGCAGCCTCCAGAAAGACAACCTCGCCACCCCTGACCCTGCCATCTCTGGACCACTCTGGACCACTCTGAAACGCAGAAGCTCCCTCTTAGATTGAGTGGAATAAAAGCCACTACATTGTTGGCTGGGTGTGGGGGCTCATGCCTGTAATCCCAGCACTTTGGGAGGCCGAGGCGGGCGGATCACCTGGGATCGGGAGTTTGAAACCAGCCTGGCCACCATAGTGAAACCCCATCTCTACTAAAAATACAAAAATTAGCCAGGTGTGGTGACAGGCACCTGTAATCCCAGCTACTTGGGAGGCTGAGGCAGGAGAATCACTTGAACGCGGGAGGCAGAGGTTGCAGTGAGCCGAGATCATGCCACCGTACTCCAGCCTGGGCAACAAGAGTGAAACTGCATCTAAAAAAAAAAAAAAAAAAAAAAAAGCCACTGCCTTGTTATTTCTGTCTACTGGCCCTAGTTTTACCCATGGACCATGTGGAATAATCTGGGGTTGTGGAAGAACTTTAGGATGTTTAGTCATATAGAATCAAGCCTGACCTTGCCACTTGATTACTAGCTGGGCAATTACTAAGACTCTGATTTTTAGTTTCCTTATCTAAATTACCTGCCTCATAAGTTTATTGTGAGGAGTGAAGATATGGTCCCATGCCTAGCAGAGTTTCTGTTAGGTTGCCGTTACTCAGTAAAAGTTAGCTCCCTTATCTGTTTTCTTCCACAATTCCTTCCACAAATTTAGACATAGTCACCATGTCACCTGGAATCCTCTCTTCTCCAGGCTAAACATTCCCGGTTCTTTCACTAGATACTGAGTGTGAACTGGAGACATTGCAACAGTGACAAAAGGTTGGTAGCCTCCCTCACCTCAAGCATCCCAGGAGACACAGGCCAAAACAGACAAACCCATGTATCTTTCAAGGGTCAATTCTGTTTTTAAAATGGAAGTTTTATAATAATAAAGAAATGTCCTTAGGATCTTCTGAGGAAAAGCATCACATTACTACAAATACTGTAGAAATGTCTTCTTTTCCTAAGTTATTGCTATAAAGATTTACATCTAATGAATGTCAAAAAAATCATTCCTAAACATAAAAGTCTATACCCTAAAAATGAGATGCAGATCTGTCAGCCAGAAAGGTGAGTGTTCACATTTTCCCTGAGAGTGCAAGATGTGTCTCTATTGGAGGTCAAGTTCATTTTCTTTTATCAATGTTACTGGAGGTCTTACTGGTACTGAGAATCTTTACCATCAAATAGCCTATAATAGCATTTATACTTTGCTTCACAAAGCAGCAATAGTAGATTGGATTTCTTAGCACTGTTTTTCTAGGTTTACTGGATTTGCTTTTTCCAGTAGGAGGTGATTCAAATAGGTAAAGAGTGGCAGCAGTTAAATTGAGCTGAATGCAGTTGAGTGTGTTTCCTTGACCCTTCTCTGGTTTACTCAATTCCATTAGGGATTCCTCTACAGTTGGCACATAGCTTGTTCCTCACATTTACTTGCTTATTTATGCTTCTTAGAAATGTTAAAGAGGCATAGCAGGTCCTTCTTCACAGTTTACACCATTGTCATGGGCAGCGACCATAACTTTACTTACTCTGTATTCAAATTCCCAGGTTGTGACATGGCGATGAGTGAAAAAAATAACTGAGTATACAAATAGCACACACCTTGTCCTTTTTTGGAAACTGAATTCGGGATAAGTAATCTACTGGGCAGTTGTCTTCTGTGTACACCTTCTTTTTGGTAAGACAGTGCCATTTGACTTTTAGCCACCTACCTCTTCTCTCCAAGTTGTTCCATTCTCTTCCCAATATTCCTGACCGTGAATGTCATCCATGGTAGTGATACTTCCACCAACAACTTGCCCCAAATCCTTGGCTCCTATCTTTCCCACTTCCACATTAAAACACAGAATAATTAATGGAGCATCATCTTAGGAAGGGAACATGGAAGCAAGCCACTCCAACATCTTATTCAATATGTGAGTTTCTTCTAGGAGAACTGTAACTGTGGTCTTCCTCCCTCTTTTGAACACCACCAAAGCTTAAAGAAAACTGTCTCATACAATGACAGCCTTAATAAATCCCAAATGCACATTAATCCACCTGCCCGTCTCATTTTCTTTTCCTTTATAAAACATGTTATTCTTATTGAATTTCATTTTCTTCTTCTTTCTTTCTTCATATGTATTTACATATGTTTAATTTACAACATATATATTATTATACATTTACATGTCTCCAAGTAATCATAAATTTAATCAAGATTTCATTGAAAACACTACATGGAAAAGGAAACAGAATTACAGTTATGTCTTAGAGAAGAGATAAAGGGAAGATAAACTGAAATTTTAAAAATGTGTTTCATATGTGCGAGTATGTGCATATTTCTTTAAGAGTGAGGCTGCTTTTTTTTCTCCTTGAATATGATTTGACCTCTTGGAAGAATATCGTAAGCATGTCAATGTCACTAGTCCATGCAGATGGGGCTGCATTTAGATGTCACTAAGATGACAAAATGACAGCAACTCCAACAGAGAAAAGCCAGGTGATGAAGAGAGGTCCAGCTCAGCAAAAGTCCCTCTGCACTTCACCTTAGCTCCTCAGGACAAGGGAGTGGAGGCTGAGGCTGCAGAGATCCCAGACCTGAGAAGGAAAAGAGCAGCATGCAGTGAAAGCCAAGCTGAACTTGCCTTCTCTTCTCAGATGGCTTTCAATGTGCATTTCATGAAACCACCATGTCTGTTCAACTGAGGTCCAATATCACTGGTGTGGAAAGAAATAGCTCAACTCTAATCAAAATGAGAAGCTAAATAAATAAAAAACGTAATAAAGGTTGCAATCACCTCACACCATAGTAGATACTGAAGTTTTTAAGTAACTTTGATGCTCTCAGATTTAAAAATAAAAGAAAAAATGAAGAATATGAGATTGTTTAATGTCTGCTAAGAAAGAGTGATGACTTATGACCAGGATACCATCACTTCTAGACTCGTGGATCTTCTATTCTTCATTCATGTTAGTCATAAGGAGAATTGTTCTTTACTTACAGGTGGCCAGGTGTCCTACGTATGGGACAGCACAGTGAGGTTGTGACTTAAACATATGAAATTATGCTCATATCTTCCTAACTGATCCCCATTCCCAGCAACCATGACCAGATTTGTCCAACCTGACCAATATTCCTGACCATGAATGTCATCCATGGTAGCAATCCTTCCACCAACAACTTGCCCCAAATCCTTGGCTCCTATCTTTCCCACTTCCACATTAAATCACAGAATAATTAAGGGAGCATCGTCTTAGGAAGGGAACACGGAAGCAAGCCACTCCAACATCTTATTCAATATGTGAATTTCTTCTAGGAGAGCTGTAACTGTGGTCTTCCTGCCTCTTCTCGAACACCATCAATGACGTGGAATTCCTTATCGCAGGAACACCTCCTTCTGGTTTTTGGTAGTCCTGTTGTGATGGACTAAATATTTGTTTCCCCTCACCCCCACCCTGCTAAATTCATATGTTGAAACCCTAACCCCCTATGTGACGGTATTCGGATTTGGGGCCTTCAGAGGTTATTAGGTTTAGAGGAGGTCATGAGGATGGAGCCCCCAATGCTGGGATTAATGTTCTTAGAAGAAGAGGAAGAGACAGCAGAGCTTCCTTTTTCTGCCATGTGAGGACACAGTGACAAGGTAGCCATCTAAAGACAAAAAGAGCATGCTCACCATGGCCTGACATGCTGGTACCTTAATTCCCAGAACTTTGAGGGAAAAAAAAGAATGTCATTTCAGCCACTCAGTCTATGGTATTTTGTTATGGTAGCCTGAGCTGACTAAGATACCTGCCTACTAGACAAGGCATCCTTCAGTGGAGCTGAAGCTCCTCTCACTGTGTCCATCATGGCTTACCTACCCCTGGCTCTGTTTTCTGGAACCACAACAGAATGATTTTTATCCTGTTCTTGTATCTCAGACTGCTCTCAGTTCACCATTTATTTCCTCATGACAAATGAGCACAGCTGAATGGGCCCATGAGTCATTTGCGGATTCCCGCTTCCAGAACTTTCCTCTCCTCAGCTCACAGAGCATACCATAAAGTTTGACAGGGAAATTTCCTATAGTTTTCTTTTTTTAAGTAGAAAATTTTAACTATCATCACATTCATCAAATATAGTTTAGTAATAAGACCTGTTAGCCAGCGTCCAGCCCATTCCCAGCTTGCTAATGGGAAGCTCAGGTCGGGATGATCTCTAGGCCCAATGGCTCAAGTCAACAGTAGCTGCTGCTTACAAAAAGGCCACAAACACCATCCCTAATGATTTAACAGCTTGTCCCCGAAAACACATTAACCAAGGGAGCTTTTAAATATTAAGAAATAATTACACCAACTCAGTGTTGTCCTTCCTCAAAATTACATCACATCAGGGCTCTGCTAGATAAATAAATTCAGTAAGAGAACACAGGTCTTCTTAAAATGAAAAACTGTACCCAATGAAATGATATTTCCAGTTGATGACAGGAGGGCGGACAGAAGGAAGGAAGAATTAATGAAAATATTCTGACTACTTTCCCAAATGAACACTTAGAGTAACCTTAACCCAGCCAAATTAAGTCTCCATTATTGGCATTTCAAACTCTTTCTCACCATCTCCAAACTAGTTGAGGTCAGATTAGAATTGGGAGGGACCAGAGAATGCCCTGGGACCAATATGCTCCAGCCATGGAGTCCATTTTAAGCCCAAGGAATTTGGCACTGACTTGGAGCTGTGGGTCTGTATTACCTTAGGGTGAATAGAAATGGCTTTACCTTTGCCTGAATAGGAAATATGATTTGGGGATAAGCAAAGACATCTCTATAGGAGTCTAAAACATTGCCCCCACGTGAGGCACGCTTCACCCAAAATTCTGTCATTAAATATTGCCCTCTTTCTGCAGAACTGCTGAAATTTCAAATGAACCTGTATAGGATATTTGAGTCATTTTGATTTAAGTCTGATTGAGTTTCATAGCTTCTCCTCTTCTGCCCAAACAAGACACTGGGCAATTTGAGGTCACTGGGCACGTAAGTGGGAGGGGCCCTGGAGGAAGGAAAGGAATAGGCATGCTTCACAGTTCAGCCACAGCTAAGGCTGGGGGTCAAGCTCTAGAACTCCCAGGTATACTGGCCACCTGGGGAGTACCCTATCCGCCTCCAGCCCCTGCTATAGCTGTGTGGTAGAGCACACCTCTGCAATAGTTATCCTAGCCCTGGGTGACTTCTAAGAGTACAGACCAAGCAGATGGGGAAGCCACTTGGCCTGCTTGGGCTGAAGCAGATTTTTGTGGAATAAGCTCCCACTTGGGCAGCCCTTGGGTGTCATGCGACTTCACTTTTTCCATTGCTTTTTCCTCTGCTGCTAAGAATCTCTGCCGTTTGGTCACCTTTTGAAGTTAACGGCAGGGCGTAGCTGCACATCCGTACTTTTATGGGCTTCCTAATGACCTGCTTAATTATTTGCTTTCTTTGGGGCCAGATTTGCTTCTGATAGGCACTGGGAGCCTGGGCACAGTTGCAGCCTGGTCTCCCCGATGATGGGTCCAGCACAGAGTTTCAGGCATCTTGATTACTGAATTCCAAGAGACTATCTCCCTGGGGCGCCCAGGCTTGAATGTGAAGCTTTATTTGTATTTTATTTATTCATTAGATTGGCAGAGGCCTCCTCTCTTGAGAGGTCTAGGTGCCTAATAGGAAATGAGTATCTCGATTTTCCAACAAAGTCAACTGCTTTGTAATCCTTTTCAGCCTTTCTTGTGTTCTGAGATTTTAAAGATTCAGAAACCAAGAGCACTTGGGTCAAATGACTCAGAATGACAAAAGCCTACCAGGTTTTCCATCATGGTTCTATACCATGCTCATGGCAGAAGATTTTGTATTTTTCTTCTGAGTCTAGGCACAGCCTTAAAATAGTTCTCAACCTGGTGATCAAGGCAGCAACCAGGATTTAGCCAAATAATTGTTGAAGTTGAGCCCTCTTTGCCATTCTTCATGTAAATGCTTTTCATTTCCATAGGCACTGGAAAGTTGTACCAAACCCTTTCTTAAGGACTTCCCGTGCAGAGGATAGACGTGGTCAAAGTCTTTTTGGATATTCAGCCTGTAGACAGTAGTATTTCATAGTGTACACTAAAGTTAAATCTGAGAATAACTTTCTGGGACTTCCTTTGAACCTTCCTATGTTTGCATGTGAGATGTCTGGTGCAACACAATAGGCACTAAATAAAAGTAGTTACCACCTCAGCCCAGTATAAATTAGCTGTGATGAACACAGGGTTCATTTGCTACTTTTTCTTCTTCTTTTAGTTAATGTATATTCTTTACCATGGAAAGAGATCCTCTTTGACACAGAAATCTAGATCTACATGAAACAGTTTACTTCAAATTATAAGAGAGTAGTTTGTTGTAAATCGAGATTGGAATCCTGAGTGTTTAGTTCTTATTTTATCAGGAAGTCTGAGGATGTAGGACACATTGAAAGTGATGTTTTATGGTTTCTTCCTCTTGTCTTTTATTTTCCCTCTACTTCTGTGCATTGCCATGGATTCTGTTGACTGTTTTCTGGTTGAATTTGATACTTAGTAGTCATCAACTGATTGCATCCAATTAACAGTCATTATATTCTTCAGTTACTTTCTGTTTGGACATGCGTTTATTGATCTGGTAAGATTTTATTCTCCAGAAACATAAACAACATGCCATTTAATTTGGCCTCAGGACTGTCTCTAAGCACCAGGAGGGAGACGTTTAAAGATACAGTGCATGGGGGCGAGAGGATGGGGAAGAAAACCTATCTATTTCCTCTTTCAAAGAAGAGGGGAAAGAAATCGGGTTAAACTTTGATCACTATCATTTCACCTTTGGACTTTTATTACAGCTGTTTGACACAGCCGTGTTGGCAGATCGAGTAGGAAGATAAATGTGCCTGTGTGAATGGGTTTAATATCAAAAGTGGATATGAGACATGGCACATTATTTCATCCAGGAAATGTTCACGTCCACAAGATTCGCCTGTGACTGTTGTGATACTTTCAGGCTCGTGGGGCCAAAAGGTGAACATGATTGAGGTACCTTTTGCTATGAATATTTCACAAACCAAGTATCCCTTTTTCTCTTGGGGCTGTGTGCTGACTGAGGGCTTCTTCGGGATGAGTCCTCAGTTGACTGATGAATACAAAACGCCTCTCTGAACAAAAGGCATTCAAGATTCGCTGAAGACAAGACAACCTACTTTGGTTTCTGTGTCTGGTACCGGGGTATCAACAGAGATAAAACACTGAGTGACAGGGAAGCAAGATACAGAATAACACAATCTATTGTTCTCCCATTGACTGTAAGTATAATGGGAAAGTTAGCGAGTCACCGTAATGTCATGGACCGCTGTGAACTTGGGAGAACTCAAGGATCAGAAAGTAACATGAAACAAGAAGGGAAATGAAGATAATATTGGGTTACTGAACATTCTCAAATTGTACTGAAACGCATCCCATCCCTTTGGAGGGGGCATGTTTTTGACAAGGAAGACAATGGGAAGAAACTGGTGGCTGTAACAATATCACCATTTTCTTTTACTACAGGCCGTAATGTGAACTTCTTAGAAGACACCTTCTTTCACCACGGCTTTGTTGTACAGTCTATTGAGGAACCCAGAGACCAAAGTCACTGCCTTGTTCCAGGGCTGTCTAAAACCAAGGAGCCTGGCTCTCCCAGCCAATGACAGCTGCTCTGTTGTGAATTACAGAGCAGGTTTGCAGCCAAGGGCACAGGAAAAGAACTGAGAGAGAACGAGAGAAGCTAAGAGACGAAACCAGCGGGGCAGAGAATTTGGGGCATAAGCACAAGAGTAAGAAGAGAAAAATAAAGGTAGGGGAGGAGTAAAATGAGAAAAGGAATTTTCATGGTGGACGTTTGGGGGAGATGTGGATACTCTACTATTCCAGGGTCTGAGCAAGGTTCTCCTCAAAAAAATAAAACGAAACAGAAACAACAGAATAAAACCATGGAAACAACTAAATCACTTTTGGAGTGATTTTGTTGGAGCCAGAAATTCACCTTTGAATTACCTATTTTCCAGGACAAAATTAGCTAATGTTCAGTAATAATTTTTTAAAAATCTGTGACACTCTCACACTAAAGCATCGTTTCCCAAGCACATACTATAGAGAAAGCATCTATTCATTTAGATCCTGACATATGTAACTCCCCACAATGCTATGAAGGCTATGGGCTTTTCTGTAGCAAAAGGAACATAAATATACAAAATTTTGCACACAGACACAGTGGATTCACACCCTGAACTCTGTTCATAGACCTCTCAGAAGAATTCCACAGCCCTAGGTTACAAAGTCCTATTCCAGAATGTCTAACAAAGCTGGCATAGGGTAGATGTTCAATAAACTCTTACAGCTTTGAATTATGCAAATATTGTGATCAACTGAGTACAGGATGGATAGATATACAGAGAAATCAATAGGTAGATGGTAGCTAAAACATACACACATATATTGAGTTGAATATCAAAATAAGCACAGAAATTTAGATGATGGTCCAACTAATCAATTTAACACATCAGCTACTAAGGACAACTCATGTGCTTTGGGGCATCCCTAAACTTAAATGGGAAGTCCTTATTGTGAAATCTTGCTGACATCACCTTTAGAGGTCTGGAAGATTCAAGTCTGACCTAGACGTGCATTTATGATCTATTTATATTTTAACATTTGGGAGGCCTAAATCAACTGGCAATGAGTTAAGTCCTAAAAATGTCAAGATGCTGTCTACTAAAGCTTCCAATTAAATAGGTTAAAGGTCACTATGGCTTGACTGTCACTTATGCCTTTAAACATGGATGTGGGCACTTTGGGGCTTATAGAGCTATTCTCCCCGGGCAAGACAATAATACTCCGTCTTCCATGTGCTGAAAGGGCCCTGGGAAGCTCTCATCAGACACAGGTGAGCCTCTACACCTTTGTTTTTACTAACAGATCTTTCTGCTTATACATTTTTAGAAATCCATCCTTGTCATCAGACATGCAAATGGAGTGATTTTTTAATGGAATTTTTATTTAGACCAGTCTAGGTTTTGATACAGGAAAATTTATTTTTTCCCTTCATTAAAGGAGGAGTAAGGCTGTGACTCCAGAATGGCTATCTCACCTTAAGCCACTTGCCCAGTGCTGACAAAATCCCAAAACCGTCTCTGTGTGGGCTTCCTGATACCTGTCTTCTAATTAGCATTCTCAGCATCTGAGAAGAGAAAGGGCAGAGAGGAGAAGGTTTTATTCCAAATCTGGGGGAAAGTCACACATTATGAGAAACAACAGTCTCATTGTTGTTTCTACCTTTATGTTTATAGAATGGTTATATTTTGTTTTTGTATGCATGGGGCAATTTTTAAAAAAATATAAGTAACAGACTTTGAGTGAATTAGAATACTTAATATGGGTTTTGAACTTCTGCCAGGAGTAGGCTCCAAAGCCAGTTCTTCCTATTTGCATTGTTGCATTTATCCATTTCCAAACATTAGAAGATCCATCTATCAGATTCTGTGTAAATCCAGCACACAGATAATTTGTAAAAAAGCTTTCTTTCAAAATGTTCTGCGGTTTTTCTAATCTCGTCGCTTTTCTAATTTTCTAATCACATAACCTTGAAGTCGAAAGACACAGCCTGTGATAATCTGTGTACACTGTCTTCGTTATTATCACAGACATTTCTGGGGAAAAAAAAGAAAACACACACACACAAAACACACACACAAAAAAACCCTTTCCGCCCTACACACATTCAAAGCTGCCTTTAAAGTCCTACTTTAGTCACAGTTCAATCAGATCCACATTAGTCCTACTCATCAGACAGAAAAGTGTTCATGAGCATAAGGGGGATATTGACTTTAAAAATTTACTGGCGAGGCGTTCAGAGCCTGCAGGAATGTCAAAACTCCAACCTGCATTTTGATGTTTTTGCCTCCGGTTAGTCTTGACTGACATGCTTGGAGCACTTTGGTCTGTGCTCTGGCATCCATTAACTGTCCTTGACTCAATGTTATCCAGGCCGTTATGGGCAGCTCGGTGCCTAATGGTTTCAGTGGATTAGACGCCCCAAGGTGTAAGGAAAACTCACGCCCTGTTTTAAGGGATTACATTGGCTATTCTTGGCTTGCTTCATTAAGGGGGCATTGTTTGATCCTAAATAATGAGAGCCTGTTAATTATTATTCTGATAATTGGGCCTCATGTGGGAGCACGGCAGTCGCGAGGTGTTTTAAAAGGAAGCAAGTTTGGAAAAGGAGAAAGAAATGTCAAGGTTGAGGTGTCTTTGAGAGGAGTTTGTTTACATGCAAAGTATTTTCACCTACGTGAGGACCCAGTGCTGGATGGAGGAGAGAGAAGGAGGCTGGAGCAAGCCCAGGTCTATACTTACTTCAGCTGCGGTAGATTACAAAATTACTACCTTGGGCATGCCATTCTAAAAGGCTCACCAATGTCACGACCGAACCTGTAATTCCCTGGGAAGAGATTGGGAATTGATCTCTCTTGGAGGAGGGAGAGATTATATGGAGACTGGGGGTCCTGGTGGAATCCCATCTGCTCTCTGGGGAAAACTTTGTTTCTTTATATGCTGTTGTTTTTGCTATTTTATTTCTCATCAACAAATGACAACCAAGTCCATTAAGGGCATAGTGATAAGACTGCTACCTGGTCAGACAGTGGGGCTGGCTGTTCAGGATGCAAAAATATCGGGAGTGCTGAGGTGGCAGAGGCCAGGTGACCTTTGTGTGAAGGGTGGGGGTGGTTGTTGGTGGGGTGGGGGTTCCTTAAGTCAGTCCCAAATGAACCTCCGAGTTGCTGTGAAAATGTTGTTCTTTTAGGCTATCTATAAGTTGAAAGTAATGCTTTACAGTATTAACTCTGGACTTTGTCTCTTTGTTCTCAGTGAGTACTGTGCTATACCATTCATATGCATTTTTCATTATTTCTTATGCCACTCGCCCATGTAATTGTGGGAGAGAAAATTCCATAATCTATAAGTCCACAGAATACTGTCATTTTCCTAGCATCCGATTAAGAGCCCATAGTGTCTCTATCCATTTGAGGGAAGAATTGGGTTTAAACAAATGTCTCAATTTAAAAGGAGGAGGGAGAGCTCTGGGAAGGTAAACTTGCATTTGAAGCTTTAACCTGGGTTTTTGTCAGACTTACTTATACTTCAGGTAGAGCTGGCCAGCTGAGATGAGAGCTGGCCTGCCTGTAGACCAGGTGACAGTGACCGACAGGAAGAGAAGGAATAGAGAGAAGGTCCATACTCATTTTGAGCTCCAGTGCTATGTTCACATGACTTTGCTTGCTTCTAAATCGCACTCTTCCAATTAAACTGGAGAGACTATCAAAAGTGCATGTTCAAAACAGTTACATACCCTGGAGTTTTGGACTTGCCTGAGCCTTCTTCATACGGCTCTGTGATTCTCTTTTGTATGTGTGAATGTTCTTTGAGATGCACCATGGGCGGTAGAGCAGGAGGAAAGGGTGGGAGGGCCAGGGGCACAGTATTGGGGAATTGAAGAGTTAGTGGCCAAAACAGGTGATCTTGCCTGTGATCTCTCAACTGTTCCTAATAGCTTCAATGCGTCTCATAGGTCCATCAAAATGCCACTGCACTTTGCCTGAACATGGCGTACTATGTGCAGTTATTAGACAGCAGAGCCATCTTGGATCCTGTGCACAGGGAGGTATTAACGTCAGGGTTGGCCGACAGTTCGGTAGGTAATGCCAACAAGCAAGTGGAGACTGGGACCTGACTTGAACATCATTCATTAGGTAACCTTGAGAATAACTAACTACTCTTGGTCTGACTCCTCTGTGAGATGGGGTTATACGTCTGCCATCAAACCTCATAGGGATGTTATGAAGCTAGAGTAAGTTTATAATCATAAAGCAATTCATAAAAGTGAAATACTGTCACAAACTTACAGTAATAATTTCATTTCCAGGTAAATTAGGACAGCAGGAATCCCTAACACTATTCCTTCCTCCCTCTTTACCTCCCACCTTGTTTCTTTTGCAGTCTTATATTTTCATTACTGAATGGATCAGGCTATTGAAATTCCCATGAGAATAGAAGAAATTTCTCCCATTGGAACAGACTAATGGCTGTTTAGAAATAGTACCTAGCACAGGTATTAACAAACATACTTGCATATGTTTGTTAGATTTACTGTAAATCATTGAAACTAATGTTTTGTTGGTGTCTGGAATACAACGAGTTTGTTAGCAAAGAATTATGTCACTTTTCTGCTCGAGATCTTCCCTTTATAGGTGAGGAACATAAGGCTGACTACCCTAACTTCCCTTTAAAAAAATTCTATAAGAGTTATTCAAACTATTTTCCTATTTACTTATATTCTCAGCCTATATCACTTCTTAGAATTTCTAGTTCTGGCTTTCATTTAGTCTTTTTTTTTTCTTTTGTCCTGAAAATCTACTTCATGCTTCTATGAAAGACAATGAGCCAAGTATTCCCAGGATTATTGAATAGGTGTAACATTGTCCTACCCAGATTCTTATATTTCATAGATTTGCTACCATGGTTCTTCAAGTCCTTGACTTTCCCTACTGAGGGATCCTAATCTTTGCAGAGCTCACAATGTGTTAAATTAGACAGATGATGTGTCATCATGGGCCATGGGGTTGGAGACACACCCGGATGAAAACACTATTTAAAAGAAGGAATGAGGCTTGATTTATCCCCAGAGCTTCCTTATTCCAAATAGAAGATACTCCTCAGGTTTGTCAGTTTGTATTGATGTCACCTTATGTCTTGACATTCACTAGGGCACATGATTGCCAAGGTCTCTGGTGCCTTTGAACTTGTACAAATATTTCCACTTCAGTGATGGTGACTCAGAAGCCACTCTTCACAGCTCTCTGTTCTCTGGATGGCAGGGTATTTGTGTTTCATGGATGAGCCCTGGATAGTGGATGATACGGCAAAACGTTTTCTCTCTTTCTTCTTTTTCTCTCTCTTTCTCTTCCCCCAGTCCCCAATGCCTCTCCCTCTCAAAATAGTTATGGAATTATGAAGTACTTCTTTCTTTCCTTCTTCTTTTTACCTGGACAGATGTTGACAACTCTTCTAAATTTAACATTTCCTGTTGCACACAAAATACCATAGTTTTTTCTGACTGCATGTTCCCTAAGAACAAGGACTATGTGTACTCCATTGTGCCTCTAACTCTGTCTTCTTATGCCCTACTCACCAATGATGATAAAGAGAAAGTCATACATACTGTTGACTGTAGGCTCTCTCAAGTCAAAGATCAACCAACTGATCAAGTGACCATAGGATAGATTAAAAGCTGAAGTAAATATTTAGAAGTAGGCATTTGGGGTAAATAAGAATCAGGTATAAGCAACTTGGAAGGTAGTTTATAGCTACCACTACCACCACTCTACCTCCACCCATTATCCACTTGGGACACTGTTATGGAAAGAATCTGTGGTGACTTTGGAATGCTGGGTTGGTTCACCCCTTCCCAGAAACTCTCCTCCTCAGTCAGCTTTGTGTCCCAAGGAAAGTGATTAGGCTGGATGCTTAAGGAAGAAACCCCTTCTAGAACTTTTAGACTATAATGTTTTGGATTATCCATATCACCAAGTTCCTCTTTCGTTACAAACCATTGAAAGTTGTTAATTTAAGAGAAAATCATTTTTTCCTGGCCTTGAACACAACACTTATTTAATAGTCACAAGTAGCAAAAGCCTATCTCAGCATTTGACTTATTCAAAAGTCTCCAGTACAGAATGATGTGAGAAGCGAATATGGATGGCATTAGGCAAATTCGTGACAATGTTATCATGAATCTTTTTCTCATTTTTCTTGTCACTGCTTTCTTGTCACTGTTCTAGTAGATGTGTGACTTAACAAGCAATTGGTCACATTGTACTATCAAGTAGACTCGATAGAGTACCTTATCGTTTTAAGGGATGCAATTTTGTCCCATCACCTGAGTCAGAATGATTTTCCAAAGCTTGTGTGACTTTGTAAACAAATTTATCTAAGATTAGGAAGGGCTGACCAGGTGCATGGGCTATGTGCTCACATGGTGACGTAGCTACGTGTCAGGACAGATCACCTGAGTTACAGCTGTTAAACCCAGGCATAGGAACTTTGGTTCAACCTGTGGTCCTTGACAGCTCATGAAATAGCTCAGATTATTTCTCAAGAATTCTATAATACTAAACTCTTTCAGAGGCTGTGCCATCATGCACAAATATGTTCATTAATTAAACAAATATTTCACATCAAATTAGAATGTGCCAAGAAGTATCCAAGGTGCCGGAGTTAGGGTGGCTGAACAAAATAGACACCATCCTGGCCCTTTTAGGCTCTTACTGTCTAGAAGAGAAGAAAGACATAATTAATAGTTGGTGTGCAACCACAGGAAAAAACTACACAATCTCTACTGACTAAATTCCAACCTTTCTTTTCCCAAGTAAATTAATTCAACTGAATTCCACTCTTGGTCATCATTTTAACTGACTTCTCATGGCTCCTTCTCACTGGGTCTAGGGCAAGGTCCAAGTGGCTGTCAGGAGCCTGGCCGAGACTTGGGCCCTAGTTTTCCACAAAAATGTGCTGTCCACCCCTGCTACTTTTTTCCCCTCTGCTCTGGAAAGCTTTTTGAGTGCAGAAGGCTGTAGCATCTACTCTCATCAAAGAAACTTTGTGTGTGTGTGTGAAACTGAGGAATTAGTCGCTATGTCTTATATAGAGAGTAGAAAGCTTAGAGATTATCCATACAACTTTGTATTCCAAATTCACTCTCCTCAACTGTCCAGCTGAGGCCAAAGTACCTACATCCCCAAGCTCTGAGGGTTCCTTAGCAGATTAGTTTGGGGGTCAGACCCAGGAATGTTAAGAGAGATTTTGTAGCTTGGGCCATCCGCATGGTGTCAGATGAGTGACCAGAATTGCCCTCTCCTGAGTATATGTAGCCATTTGGCATGACTAACTCTGAAGTTTCCTGTAGTTCTCATTTCCATCACAGCTGCTGCATGGAACTGATAAATGTGTGCCCAGGGTATGGGGAGGGAGTCAGGGGAAGAAATGGAATTTCTGTGGTTTTGTTTTCGGTGGGTTTTGCTTTTTTCATACTTAGAAGAAACGCATGATAGAAAATAGGTCGTGTTTAGCAGATCTTGCTGGTAGACCTAGAAGGCAGTGGCCTTTGATAGTCATCTAAGTAGATGACAAGCAGCAACTTCTAACATTAACAGTTTGTATGCCTGCTTGATAAATAAAATTTTTGGCATAGATTTACTGCACCACGGAAGAACAAAAACCATTTGTCTTTTGGGAAGATGTGTTTTGCCACTGCTTAGAGCAAGCACATCCCCTAGGCTGCATCTTCAGTATGGAGTGAGCTGTTTAGTGGTAAAGATCATTTCAGCATCCTGGGCCAAGGCAATGTCTTCATGACCCCCAATGTGCTGTTAAGTCAGTCAGTTCAAGAAGAAAAATAAAAACCAATCTTTGTACAGAATGGACTATTGGATCTGGTAACCTCTTGTAAATAGCTTCTTGGTTTCCACCATGCCCCACTGGGTAGAGTGAATGCAGAATGTGAAGCATTCAAACCATGTCTTCAGTCCTCTCTTGCTTCTCCTGCTTATACTTGGTTTCATTCTACTGGTGTCCTGGCCTCCACTCCCTCATTATTGTGTAGTTTCTTGACTGTACAAAGATCAGTTCCACCCCACAGCTTGGTGTGACATTCCTGCTCAGTGTTCCATAGAAGTACAGTGTATTGAGCACTTGTTCCACATCAGATCCTGTATAGGCCCTTTCCACACACTATCTCATCTACTAATAGAGAGGTACTATCTCCATTTGTCAGATTGTTAAAGTGTTACAAAATTTTACAAATGTATTATGTCTAAAGCAGAACTCTTATTCCCTCCCCCCAATAAATCCCATCTTCCTTATCCACCTAGCTATCAACCAGATCACCGAGTTATCTTTGACTCTTCCCTGTCCCTCATCCCCATATCTAATCCATCAATAAGTACTGTGAACTCCACCTGTAAGATCAATCTCAAGTCTGACCATTTCTTATGAACCCCATTTTCATTCCTTAAATTTAAGAAAGACTTTGCATTAGCATTTCCTTTCTTGAATACTCCTCTCTCAGAATTTCCCCTGGCTCACTCCATCTTTTCATTAATAGCACCTCCTTGAAGAGCTTTCCTCCTCCACCTTATTCCCCCTTTTTCACTCTCTCTTTAACCTGCTTAGTTATTTTTATGTTAGCTTTCACTTTTCTTATTTTTTTTTAGTACTTACTCTACTGTGCTTCTCTGTTTACTATATTCTATCTATCCTGGTAAAATTCAAGCTTCATAAAGTCAAGGAATTTAACTTTCTTACTACCTAGGACAAGGCCTAACACACAGAAGATGCTTGATAATACTTATGAATGAATAAATAAACAGACGAGGAAACACAAGCCAGCAGAGATCTAATAGCTTGATGAAAGTTATAAGGTTAGTAAGTGGTGGATCCAGGACAGAAGCCGTTGTCAGTTTATCTCTTAATTGCTTAATCATTTCATTCTCTTTGTCTCCCCATCAAATCTCCCTTTCATTCTCATTTATCTGTACTGTTTTCCCAAGAAATCCAATGACTAACCTAGTTCTTCCTAAGTAAATGCCTTACTTCTTATAAGACTGTAGACTTCTTTGAGAAGCTACCTGATGATGTCATTTGGTTACTCAAAAGAATAAGTCTCTAATTCCATGAGAATTCAAATCACTGAGGAAGAAGATTTGGGGAGATATTTTAGAAGGTTGTGAGGCCAGGGGCCACTGAAATAATGAAGAATATTCTTTCCTAAAATCCCGCCAGAAAAGTGGATCCATGTCTGCAAAGCCTGGGACTAGTTGTCATCATCCATTCATGCATGCATCAAAATATACAGTTGACAAAGATGTTTCATACATATTACCTTTTAGCTGTTCTTCTAATAACCTTTAAGGTTAGCAGATGAGATTTCCTTATTTCCACTTTATAAAAGAAGAAACAGTCTCAGAATGACTATGTGACTTTATCCAAGGACACCTGGCCAGTATGTGGCTACACACGAGATGATGCCTGTTACTTTCTGAGTTCTAGTCAGAAGGTATCTACTCACTGTACTATGATAGAATTTCATTTTCATGTTGTCCTTTTGACAGTGGGGACTACAGAGATATGGAAATATATATTAACAATGGGGAACAACTATGAAGTGTGGCTAATGAGATGGGGGAGAATCATCTTTTTATTCAAAATAGAACAATTTTATTATTGGCCAGAATGCTGGGGCTAAGGCTTTTCAAAAAGTCTAAGAACAAATCTTTTTATACCTCAAGATGTCCAGTACTTTGTCCCAGTCCTGCTCATCTCCCGCCAACTTCCTGCTGGATCTGCCACTCTCCTATTCCATCATTGAACCTTTCTTTTCTCCCTCTTTCCTTTCTATTCTTCCCTCCCTAGCTTTATTCCCATCCTCACTTCCTTCCTTCTTTTTTAAATTGTCAGACTAAGGAGAAGAGTAGAAACATTTTTCCTGGCTCAAAATTCTTGCATCTCATTCCCTAGAGAATGATGCCAAGGGCTTCCTTTACCTATTCTATAAAGTCTTAACTAAAGGGAAATAGTTTTATTCCCTCCATAATAGCAATAAGAGCTTCAATTTTTTTGATCATCACCTACCGTATGGCACACAGTGGGATGATGGCTTTCTACTTACTGTGTCATTCAAATCTTAAAACACAGTATAAGGTGTTACACCCATTTTACAATGAGAAAACTAAATGATTTTTCCTAAATGATTTTCATTGCTTCCTAGTAAGTAATGAAAACTAGGCTATAAACCCATGGATAACTCCAAACTCATTTTGACCACTCTATCAGGTCTTAAAGCTACATACATATATATCTCCCCATCCACGGCAGGCATTGCTAATCATTCATAATAGCTTTACTATTGAGTCCCAAATCCTTGTTAATTCAGCCCTCCAAGACATCACTAACACTCATTAAAAGTTGGCATGGAGATAAACTATTGGCCCTTGCTGTATTGTTTTATATCTTCAAAACTGACCTGATCTTTTGGGCTAAAGATCTCATAATTTTGTTTTGGGTTTATTTTCTGGGTTTTTTTTTATTTTTATTTTTTAGAGCAGCTGTCACAGTCCCAGTGTTTCAAGAACAGATCCACGGACATCTCCAAGGATACTCTCCTTCATCTGGAGACCAAACCTCTGCTTCCTATTTCTAAAGGTCTGTGAGGTGTCCAGGAACGAGCACCCTAAGTAGACCACTTAGGGTTCATGGGTTGAAACTCCAGGCTATTAAGCAATCATTGATATGGCTAATTTGATACGAACAGCTTTGTAAAAACAGCTATAATACATAAGATTTTTGATGCTACACCCAACAATGCTGTGTAATAAAACAGCAAGTTTGGGTTAATAGATTATAAAAGGAAGAAACAGATGATCAAGTGTGTTTGGCTTATTTCAAAGTGATGACACATCAGAGCAAGGCACAGATGAAATATTTTGCACTTGATAACTTCTAAATGAGCAGCTTCACCCTTTTTCCATTTTTTTTTACTTCTGAAAAGTTTGCCAGGGATCAGCAGTTATTGCCTCCACATTTTAGTATAATATCTCAAGGCCCTAAGGGGCTAGGGAAGAAGGAGGATGTAGGAAACTCATCACTCATGGTATCTGAAAGTTTATGAAGAGTTTTACTCACTTAATGGGGGGAAGCAGATGGGAAAAAGCTAAGTGAGGCAGTAACAATAATTTGGGTTACTATGACTGGCATCTTTGAAAGCAGATGCTCAGCCCAGTCCATAGTGAAAAGCGCCATCCAGTTGGCACTCTCCAGCTTTCATCTGTGGATCTACCATAGAGATGTGGGCATTGTTCTGGGCTCCCATCACTTAGTCTCAGTCCAGCTCTGCCACATACTTGCTGTGCAACCTTCAGCAAGTGACTCAAGTTCTCTGATTCTCAGAAACCTCATCTGTAAGGGTTCATCTTAATCCTCTTTGGAAATCAGAATCATCAGAAGTTTTAAAAATACAGGTGTCTGCAGCACACTCTCTGAGTTGTGGATTCAAGCAATGTGAGAGGAGCTCAAGGAAGCATCAATATTTTTGCAAAAGTTCTTGGGAGAAACCAAATCACTGGATTGGGTAATCTCTAAGGTTCCTTGTGGCTTTGACCAACTTCATGTGTGTGAGGTTCCAAGCAGATCACAGGATTAATCAGTGGGCTGGTGGACCCAGCTTCCATGAACACAGTTAGAAAGTCCTCTTAGGTCCTGTGGGTTTGGTGAGAAAGCCCAGAGCTGCTAGTCCTTGGGAAAGAGCATAACATGGAGCAACCTTCTCTTTAGAGAGAGTTTGCAATGTTTGCCTGGCTGTCAGCATCAAGTGGGTGCTCAAAGTGTTAGAAAGTCAGTGAAAGTGAGCTGGTAATTAGCTGAGCGGAGGCACAAGCAGAGGTCGTTTCAAACATTTCATGATAGCAGCAGCTTCCTCTTCTGTCTGCAGTAGCAAAGCCTTGTTGTGGCTTGAGGTTTTTTTCCTCCCCACTAGTCCTAACAACAAAAAGGAACTTCTCAAGGAAACTCTAAACTGGAATTCAAAAGGAACAATAGAATTGGATTTGATTTGTTTAATTCAGAAATCAAGGTCACTAGAAAGTACTACAGCTCTTATTTGTGTGGTTTGGATTTTTTTTTTTTTTTTTTTTTTTTTTTGGCAACATCTTTCTTTTCATTTGACGGTCCTGTCATCCCCAGAACTGTGTATGTTACTGATCCTGCCTGTATTCAAAGCTGTTATTAAGTGGAGTCTTTTAGATTTTAGAGAAATGATAATGGCTCCAAAGATGACAGAAAGTGGCAGCTGGTGACAAAAAAAAATCCCTTGATAAGACGACAACAGTAAATCAAACTACCGCCACTTTTTCGTTTCATGTTTGTTAATACCACCTCGCCTTTTGAAGTTTAAAGCAAGGTTCAAAAAAGCCAGGTGCTGAATCATAATATTAAAGCAAGGAAGGAGCTCCATGAAAGCGAGGAGATCTGAGGGGGGGAGGCAACAAACACAGCTTTCAACTGCCTTTTGTCGGCCTTTCTGCAGATGTCACCAGTGGTTATCCCAGCAGAGGGTTCGGCTTGTAGCAGCGCCTCTGGCTGATTCCCGCGCTGCGTTTCAAGTGTCAATCAAAAAGGAAGGACGCAGCTTAGGTCCTGGTCATTGTCCTGTGAAAAGAGCCAAGCATTTAACATTGATTTAGCTCCCTCAATATACAAAGATAGAGCCAGCTTTGTGCATCGAAAAGGGCCTTTGGCAAGGTTGCTTGTAGAGCAATTCCATCGCATCCGATGCGCCTTGGTTTAGCTGTCATACTGCGGTGTCTGGAGCCCTCTGAAAAGTTATTCAGGACTGAGTGAGCAAATTAAAAAGAAATAACACGTTCCCCTGAAAGGGTGGGGCTGCTTGTGGAACAGCCCTGTTCATACCTCTTGGTCTTGAAAAGCATTTTAAATAATGATAATAACAATAGTCCAGCGCTTCCGAAATGGTGAGTTACAGCAAGCTAGGAAGAAAGCCAGAGGAGGCCTGAGAACTCTGGGGGCAACTTGGAGTTCAACATTTATTCCTCCAACTTCACTCCAGCCTGTCTGCGTCCCATGTGGCCTTCAGGGCTGCAAGTTTAGACCAGTGGCTGTTGTGCCTTACCCTTATTTATGTTCCCATTTCCTGTGAGCAGCCACTTCTTTGGCCAAATTTAGGGTGGAAAAATGATTATAGCAAAATTTGACTTTCATGAAATGACCTCGTTGCTTTTGTGCATGTCCTTCTTTTTCTCCTCCTTCTTCCTTTTCTCTGTTTCTCTTTCTCCTCCTGCTCCTCCCTCTCTTCTTCCTCCTCTTCCTCATTCTTCTTGTTGCCTTTGTTTTCCTACACAAATCCAATTAAAAATTAGAGTTTGGCTAGCCTTTTTTTACTTTTTAACTGCTTGCTTTGGAGCTACGTGGACACTATGTGTCCCGAGTAATGTTCTACTTCTCATTTTCTAAGCCTTTTCTTCCTCATCACAAAATAGTCAAGTTCCCTGGAATGGTGTTTACCAGGTGCAGGTTGAGCATTCTTGGTGGTTGACCCAGGTTAACAGAGGCAACTGATGCTCCCTGAATGCCTGTGGACTCTCCTTCATTTCCTAGTTTTCTCTGAAGTTCATTTGAAGTCTTGGGATGAGTTTGAGCTCATGGGAATGTGAACAAATTCTTGCATCTCTACATCTGCTTTGAGGTGCTAATAATCAGTGTGCCTAGTCCATCCTTTCTGCCCCTTCAGGGGCTGTGTGTTGAGATGGTGGAGCCCCAAGATAGAAGCAACTTCTATCCCTGAGTGAAGTCAGGCTGCCCTGGACTTTGCATGAGCAAGACATAAACCTTTGTTGTGTTAAACCACTGAACTCGAGTCTCACCCATCATGTTTGATATACCCAGTTTAGCTAGAAATATCTTGATAAGGCACTCCTCGAAAAGGGGTGGTTCGAAAATTTTGGTTAGCTATAGAGTTTTTTCCAACAGCTGTTCTAACCTGTGTAAATATAGCAAGGTGATAAATGGAAACACAGCAACACAAAAATGGTTCATTTTCCATTTGCCAATGTTCTGAATCCTCAACAATGATTTGGACTGAGCCACAACGAACCACCCCTTCTTCTATGCCCACCCATATCCCCAGTTCCTTTGCCAAATTGTCCTTTACTTACATCTGCCTGACCACACCTCAACTAAGAATTAACCAAATCATCTGCCTGTCTTGCTCTTGAACCCAGAATAGGGAGTGTGACTTACAGGAAATAAATTAGCCTTGCTGATGAGTGCCACTGTTGAGTTTGGGTCTCCAGTCTCAGCTGTCCCTCAATAACAATTGACAATTTCATCACATGTCCATAATTAGTTTCTTCCCATTCTCTTAACGGATCATATTACTTCCAAATTCACACGTGGAAAAAAATGAGGCTAAATGATATGATTTCCCTAAAATTTCCATTCATACCCCACAAGCTTTTCTGTGTCTTTCTCCCTTGTCTTAAAGGAGTCTTCCTTTCATCCAAGGATGGTCCACACACCTGCCTTCTGGATCCCATCTCCTAGGGCTTTGCTCTGTTAATTTCCCCTCTTATCCCTGGAGTTTCCATCTTCAATGGCTTCATCTTCCCAGCACATAAATGAGCTCCCTCTGAAGGCTTCAAATAAAGTGATCCACACTCCCATTTTCCTTTTTCTCATTCCCCTGCTACTACTTGATCCAAAATGATCTGCCTTTTATCTTTTCTGTTTAAACTGCTCTGACAAAGGAAATTTATAACCAGTGACCTTTACGTTATTGTGATAGGAACAGTTAGCGCTTCATCTTGCCTCCACCTGTCTGCACTATTGGTTTCCACGATTTGCCACTCTTCTCTGGCTTCTCTTTCTCAATCTAGATTGAGATTATTTTTTGTTTGTTTGTTGTTTGTTTTTTGTGTTAAGACAGAATCTCGCTCTGTTACCCAGATTGGAGTGCAGTGGCATGATCTTGATTCACTGAAACCTCCCCCTTCTGGGTTCAAGTGATTCTCATGCCTCAGCCTCTGGAGTAGCTGGGAAAACAGGTGCACGCCACCACATCCAGATAATTTTTGCATTTTTAGTAGAAATGGGTTTCACCATGTTAGCCAGGCTGGTCTCAAACTTCTGGCCTCAAGTGATCTGTCTGCCTCGGCCTCCCAAAGTGTTGGAATTACAGGCATGCACCACTGAGCCCTGCTGTCACTTCCTAGATTCTCGTCCCTTTGAACCTCATCCCTCCCCGAAGTGCCATCTCTCAGGTTTCAACTAGGGCCTTCTTCTTTTCCAGCTCATGGTTTTTCAAATAGCCTTCATGGTGCTGGTTGGAATAAAGGAAAGGACTGGATTCAAAAACTCAAAATAGCCTATAAGAAGAGAATTCTTCTTGGCCCAGATTGTGGCTCTGTAACAGAGTACCAGTTCCTCTAATATAATCGGGTTGTAAAGTTTTGCACTTAGATATGACTCAAATTGCACCCAGGGCTGGATCTCCTATTTGGGTAGCATTAGGCCTCTGCACAGAGCTCCTATAGATGAAGATCCTTAGGCTTCTGTCCCCACCTTGTGCTGTCTAGTGATTACAGAAGTAGAGCTGAAGGAAGAGGGGCAGTTGGGCATCTGGCCGCTGCTTTTTGCCCCAGCATAATTTGGCAATGCACTTGTTCACCCGTGAACTTGTGGACTTATATACCTACCCGGGGGTCAAGCCTCAGGCAATTCCATGAGAGATAAATCTATACACCTTCTTTGGCTTTGCTCCAGAAGAGCATTTCCAGATACCATCTTACTTGATTCTTCTTTCTGCGTTGCATTTTTCCTTCTGAAAAATTCTTTACTGCCTCTCAATGATAATTAACATTAGTTAGTAAATTTACATGTAAATGTTTTACTTCTTTTGACCCTAGACTCCCTGAAATAGGGAGCATGTTCTGTCTTCTTTCTAACCCTTACACCCCCATTCCTTTGCACCCATGTAGACAAGTACTCAGATCACACTAACAAAGACATCATAGGACACAGGGAGAGTCTTCTCCTCAATCTTCTTCCTTCTTACTATAGACATTTAACATTTTACTATAAAGGTGATCTGATACCTCTATATTTGAGAAAAAGAAAGCATGTTGGTCCCATCAGAAGCAGAACTTTTCTGCGCATCTCCTTGTGGCAACTAGTTCCACCCTTTTGACTAAACTTTCTGGTCAGTCTGGTATAACAAGTCATCAACTTGAACTAACTGGTTCTCATGGTCCAAATGGTCACACTGGATCCGCATTCAGATCCACATTGATTCTATGACTTCCTCCCGGCTTCCTAGCCATGATGCAACTCAGCTTTGGATCTTATGTTGTGATTCATTTTCAACCATCCATCAAGTTTTTAAACCACGACAGACAACAAAGACACAAAGTCTGCGATCTCGGAAAGGTGAAGTCACTGAGCATTAAAAGAAAAAGAAAGAAAACTGCCATGAATCCATGAGTAAGCTAAAGCAAATGTCATACGACATGTGATTTTGTTTACCATCACTGGGTGTGTCATACCTGAGCACCAGGAGTTAGATAGGCAGCAGGGTGAAGGAGACTTGTCCGGAGATATGAGTCATCTACATATTGAGTTTATTAAAGATTTAAGGGGCCCTTTGGGTCTTTCCATCCAAAGACTATTGTTTTTCCTCCAGGTGTTCAGTTGCTATGCCTCCTTATGGCACTCAGGGCCGTGGCATAATGAGTCTGATTTAACCTCATCTCTGGCCTCCTTACAAGTTCTCATCCTTTCATTGTGCTCCTGAAATGGGGAATATTTATTTTTCAGCAGCAATTGATCATATCCCTACTTTTTCTTTCCCATATTTTTCTTTTAGATGCTCAGAATTCCTCAGGTGCTTAGAGTGAGGCCTCTGAAATCACAGAGAATGGTGAAATAAGAAGAGAATGGAGGTCACCACTCTCTTGACCCCTCCAAACACCCAAATAAACATTGGTGTGCTTGGGAAAGTGTTGGGAGCCTCAGGAGCCCTTAACAAAGTGTCAGAGCTTCTACGGAGTGGGGCGGTGGGGTGGAAGCCTGGTGGGGGTGCTTTGGCTGTGGGCATCTCAGAGACTAGAGACCAAATCTAATCCTGAGCATGGGGGTTTAGGATCCTTCCCTCAGGACAATGAACCCCTTGGTAACAAGACACCAAGGTACAGGTTCTGCTTGTCCTTGTCCTGGTCGGCTTTTGTCTGGGCTGCACTTCTTGGATCTCACTGATTCCTGCTTGTTGTACTCACTCGACTTCCCTAGTATGTGTGGGTCTTGTGCCCTTTTAGTTCACAGACAATGAAGAAGTTTGTGTTTACCTCTCACCTAAACAACCAGATGGAAAGTGAAAAAAAGAAAAAAAAGGATCAGGCCACATTGTTGCAGTCACGTAAATTAAAAACAAAACTCTCCCATAGCATCTTGATTCAATCCAATTTTTAGAGCCCCCGAAAGGAAATTTATATGGAGGAGGAGAAACCAGGTATGAAGAGAGGAGAAAGGAGATAAATGCATTTTAGTACAAGTGCATTTGTGTCCACATATACCAAAACCTGGCCTTGCAGTAAATCCTGTTTGAATTATTGCAATTCATCAGAGCAGTCAAAATTGGTAGGAAAATCTGCATACCACCTGGCCTGGAATAAAATAGCCACCCGGGAAGTGGACAGATCAAATACTTTCATTGTGATTTCATTTGGCCTTTGCTATATCAATATTTATTGAGGCAATCCTCTTGATAATTCCTGATAACTCCTTCTACTTTCCACCTCTGAATATCAACTAAAAATGAAGACCATGAGGCTACACTGGTCCTCTGAGGGGAGAGGGCAGCTGTGGCATCGTGTTATGATTGGGATTTCGGGTTCAGACTGCCTGAGTACCCTGGCTGCAGCGCACACTAGCTGAGTGGCCTTGGGTTATCAACCACTGCCCACCTCACCTTCCTCAGCTGTGGAATAAAGATGGCAATAATGATAGCACCTACCTCAAGATGTGGTGATGAGGATTAAGTTAGATAACGCACATAAAGCACTTGAAAGTCCCTGGCACATACCAAGTGGTCAATAAATATAGAGCTATTACCATTATTTATATTGGCTTTTAGAAAAAGTACTCAATTCTGAATAGATGACTACTTCATTTGAAAAATTAAAAATAGCCCACAAAAGATAAATACATGACACAAAGAAACTAATGTAGGATTGCTATACAGGCATACTTCGTTTTATTGCACCTTGCTTTACTGAGATTTGCAGACATTGCGGATTTTGGGGATTTTTCTTTCACAAATGAAGATTTGTGGCAACCTTGCATTAAGCAAGAATATTGGTGCCATTTTTTATATTATAATATTTCAGATATATTTGTTATGGTGATCTGTGGTCAGTGTTCTTTGATGTTATGATAATAATTGTTTTGGGGTGCCACAAACCCACTCATAAGACAGCAAATTTAATCGATAAGTGTGTGTGTTCTGACTGCTCCATTGACCAGCTGTTCTTCCATCTCTCTCCTCTTCCTTAGGCCTATTCCCCAAGAAACAACAATATTGAAATTAGGCCAATGAACAACCCTATAGTGGCTTCTAAGTGTTCAAGTAAAAGGAAGAGTCACACGTCTTTCACTTTAAATCGAAAGCTAGAAATGATTAAGCTTAGTGGGGAAGGCAGGCCAAATGCCAACAAACGCCAAAAGCTAGGCATCTTACACCAAACAGTTACCCAATTTGCGAATGTGAAGAAAAAGTTCTTCAGAGAAATTACAAGTGCTACTCCAGTGAACACAAGAATGATAAGAAAGCAAAACAGCCCTATTGCTGATATTGAGAAACTTCGAGTGGTCCACAGAGAAAATGAAACCAGCCACAACATTTCCTTAAGCTAAAGCCTAATCCAGAGAAAGATCCTAACCCTCTTTAATTCTATGAAAGCTGAGAGTGGCTAGGAAGAGGCAGAAGAAAAATCGGAAGCTAGCAGAGGTTGGTTTATAAGGAAAGAAGCCATCTCCATAAAATAAAGTACAGTATGAATCAGCAAGCACTGATGTAAAAACTACAGCAAGTTATCCAGATCTAGCTATTGTTGAAGATGGCTACACTAAGCAACAGATTTTCAATATGTATGAAACAGCCTTCTATTGGAAGAGAATGCTTTCTAGGACTTTCATAGCTAGAGAGGAGAAGTCAATGTCTGGTTTCAAAACTTCAAAGGCCATGCTGATTCTCTTGTTAGGAGCTAATGGAGCTGGTGACTTAAGTGGAAGCTAATGTTCAATGACCATTCTAAAAATTCTAGGGCCCTTAAAAATGATGCTCAATCTACTTTTCCTGTGCTCTATCAATGAAACAGTGAAAACGTGGATAATAGCACATTTGTTTACAGCCTGGTTTACTGACTGTTTTAAGCTCACTGTTGATACTTACTGATCAGAATAAAAGATTTCTTTCAAGATATTACTGCTCATTGACAATGCACCTGGTCACCCAGGAGCTCTGATGGAGACATACAAGGAGATGATTGTTGTCTTCATGTCAGCTAACACAACATCCATTCTGCAGCCCATAGATCAAGGAGTAATTTTGACTTTCAAGTCTTATTATATAAGAAATACATTTTTATGAGGGTATAGCTGCCACAGAGAGTGATTCCTCCGACAGATCTGGGAAAAGTCCATTAAAAATGTTCTGGAAAGGAACCACCATTTTAGATGCCATTAAGAACACTCGTGATTCAGGAAATGAGGTGAAAATGTCCACATTAATAGGAGTTTGAAATAAGTTGATTCAAACCCTCATGGATGACTTGATGAGTTGAAGACATTAGTGGAGGAAGTAACTTCAGATGTGGTGAAAACAGCAAGAGAAATACAATTAGAAGTGGAGCCTGAAAATATGACTGAGTTGCTGCAATTTCATGATAATACTTGAATGGAAGAGGAGTTGCTTCTTATGGGTGAGCAAAGAAAGTGGTTTCTTGAGTTAGAATCTACTCCTGGTGAAGATGCTGTGAACATTGTGGAAATGATAAGAAAGGATTTAGAATATTCCATAAAGTTAGTTGATAAAGCAGCAGCAAGGTTTGAGAGAGATGATTCTAATTTTTAAAGAAGTTTTACTGTGGGCAAAATGCTGTGGAACAGTGTCACATACTACAGAGACCTTTCATGAAAGGAAGAGTCATTCAATGCAGCAAACTTCATTGTTGTCTTGTTTTTAAAAATTGCCACTCTTGCCCCAATTTCCAGCAACCACCACCTTGATCAGTCAGCAGCCATCAACATGGAAGCAAGACACTCCAGCAAAAAGATTATGATGTGCTGAAGGCTCAAATGATCATTAGCATTTTTTAGCAATAAAGTATTTTAAAATTAAGGTATTACATTTTTATTTAGTTATAATGCTATTGCACACTTGATAGTGTAGACATAACTTTTATATGCACCAAGAAACCAAAAAATTGTGTGGCTTGCTTTATTGCAATATTGGCTTTATTGTGATGGTCTGGAACCAAATCCATGGTATCTCCAAGATATGTCTACATAAAATGTGGAAGTATAAAAAATTTAGGGAAGAAAATTAAATTCACTTGTGATCTCCCTGCCCAACAATAACTCATGTTAACATTAGACCACCTATTATTTGAGAAATATATATTTTATTCTATATAAATTATGTATAAGTGTACATTTATATGTATAAATAGTTTCATGGTATACACAATAATGCCTACATATCAATTTTTTATTTAATGGGGATTATACACAATGTATTGTTGATTAGAAACTGCCCTTTTCATTTAAGGAAAGAGAGTGTGTGATAAAGACTCTCTGTGCCTCATGGTTCACTTTCTCCCTCTCTTCTGTCAGGTCTCCATGTCCCCTCAAAGACCTTCTCTGATCACCCAAAATAAAACAGTATTCCATCCCCTTTCCTCCCCTGGCCCTCCTTTGTTTCAGAAGAGGTGCTTCTATATGTTTGCCATCTTAATCCCCAGAGGACCATAAGCCTGAGTTGCCACGGCATCTCCCACATGGAGTGCGGGCTGCCTCCTGCTCATTGCTCAGTATATATTTGCAGAATGAACACATATTTAATTCCAAATTATTTCTCTGTGGCACACATCTTTCTAGTAACATTGGGACAGGTTTCTTTAATCATCAATTAATGGGCTCTGAGGAAATGCAAACTAATTTCAATCTTTTTCCCAAGCAAAGCATAAAAGGGAAGGGAGCACTGCTAAGAAATACACACACGGACTATTCCACAGTTAACTGCACATGTCTTTTTAATGCCTGCCATAATGGAGTTCATTGTTCAATGTACATGAACTCTCTTACCTATGAAAAGGCAAGTATTTTCTTTGTGTACTTCTGTTTTTACTTCTATTTCACCCCTTGTTTGTATCCACCCTGCATTTTTAGTTTTCTGCTTCCCTGTCTGTTCTGCCATTAGAATACAAGTCCTTGGGGTAGGGCCCCAGGTTCTGGATCTTTCCCATAGCTTTGCTTTTAGGAAGAGCTGACTAGAAGGGTGGATGAGGGATCATGTCAGCCCTTTAGTTTGTATTCTGAAATCACACTGAATCCATACCCAGATTGCAATCCCGAGGACTGGGAGCTGACTTAGTTGGTTTACCTTCAGCCCTAAACTCTCCTCTCTCCAAATATAAAAGGGTCACACTGTAACCAATTTACCACAACAGAGGTTATATTAATTATGGTTTTCTTATGATAACTTGCTGACTGGACAGTAAATTATTTCTAGAAGATGAGATCTTCATGCCCCCCAAACAGGGCAGGATAAACCCAGTGAGAGGGATTAGAAGCCCAAGAGGTTTGTGTCCAGAGAAAGAGGATGTGAGTGAAGAAAATACATGGTGAGAGAAAGTGAGGAAAACCACACATACCCTGACAGCATGGAGTGAGCAGTGGCTTAGAAATGCTTTACACAAGAGGTGGACTTAGGGAATCATTTGTGAAAAGTTGCTGTGATGGTTAGTTTCTTTGTGTCCACTTGGATAGGCCTATAGAGCACAGTTATTTAATCAAAACACAGTAACTGTTGCTGTGATGTTATTTTCAAAATGTGGTTAAGACCTGCAATCAGTTGACCTTAAGTAAAAGAGACCATCCTCTATAATGTGGGTGAGTGTCATCTAATCAATGGAAGGCTTAATCACAAAGACTAAGACTTCCTGAAGAAGAAGAAATTCCACCTCAGGTCTGCAACAGGAACTCCTGACTGCACTGCCCACCTGGCAGCCCGCCTTACGAATTTTAAACTTGCCAGTCACCACAAACATAAAATGCAATTTCCCATAAGAAATCATGTATATGATATATAGATACATATACATATACATAACATATATAGAGATATATATATCTATACATAATATCTATATTATACATATATAATATCTGTATTATATATCTATATATCGATATATGATATATAGATTATATGTATAATGTAATATAGATATATAATAGATATAGATATATAGATATATCTATAGATATATATCTAACCATTCTCCCTGCCCATAACCATCCAGCACTCAGAATCCACTCCATCTTCCTGAGAGGGGACAGTGGTTGGGGGTGCGCGGTGAGAAGGAAACCTCCATGGTCACCTTGCTGAAAGTCTCCCATTCTCTCGCTCCAAAGGGCCTGCAACAGGGAAGATTCCCCTTGAAAGAGACTGAATGGTGTTTCAAACCATATCCAGCCGAATCAAATCAGGGGTCTGCAGTCACCCTCTTCTGCATCCACCTCTGCCTGCGATGGCTCCCTGCCCCTATAAAAGACATTATCTGCTTGAGAACAATCCTGGAGAGAGGCCCTGCTGATCTCACCAGAGGACTGAAGGGGAAAAGGCTTTGCAGAACATGGTCTTTAGAGGGGACGTTGAGCGGTGGCAACAAAAGTTACCCATCGGCGAAAACAGCTGGGGAGCCATCTGTCTGGGAGAAGCCTCCTGCCCATTTCATTACCCCCCTTTCTGCATTTGTGAGAGAACTGGCCGCTGACGGCAGGCAGTTTATAGCAGAGAGAACAGAAGGAAACCAGTTGGCCCTTGGATAACCTTGGCCTCATTAGCATCGAACCAAAGCCCACTGTGCTATTGACTTCTAGTAAATATCCACCCATCAAGAAGATGTCCCGGAGCCCTGCCTCCGGGGTGTTCAGACACCAGACAGAGCCTTCTTGCTCCTCCATCCCCGGCATTGTGATTCAGGAGCTGGTGCCCAACCGTTCTCCCTGCCTGTAACCATCCAGCACTCAGAAACCACTCCATCTTCCCGGGAGGGGACACTGGTGGGGGGTGGGCGGTGGGAAGGAAACCTCCACGGTCACCTCGCTGAAAGTCTCCCATTCTCTCACTCTAAAGGGCCAAACAAACCCTAGAAAGGCAGTTCAGCAAATGAAGTATACACAATTATATTTCCAACTGCTTTGAAAACTTTTATTTTTGTACAGCAAATGACACATTATCTTTCTAGAGGTCAGGAAATAATGCAGTGGAAGTCTTGCGACATTGTGGGAGTTAATGTTTCTATTTGCCATTGTGTCCTGCGCAAAGAAAGGCGGCCGGTCACCTGGGGTTACCACAACACAGCGCCGAGATGGTGGAATCCACCAGAAGTGCTTTGATAATGTTGGACACTATTGTGCAGGCAATGGCTGCCTCCTTACCCACGCTGCATAATGGGCCTCTGAGTGCTAAGAAGATAAGCGATACTATCCTTGGAGTGTCAGAGGTAGGGCTCTCCAGAAGCTGCATTCATAATTTCCTCCAACTTAAGGACTTCAATTTTTTAATAGTAATTGAAACATATAATTCAATAGAAGTGTCACTCTAATATAATAATTGCCAAGGAAATTGAACCACAAAGAAGTACTATAAATGGCAATTTACCTTTATTAGCGTACGTGGAGCTGGTAATGTTTTCTCATCAAGAAAGCGACCCCCACGCCCGCCCAGATATCCTCCCTTTCCAGCTTTTGAATGTTCATCATCGTTCATGCTGCCCTCTTAAGCAATACCTTCGCTTCTTCTTAGATTTCCAGTAGGCATATTTGGCCCCTCTTAAAATGCTTATCATTGCTAAGTGTTCATATTAATTGCTTTGGTGAAAGCTTTATAATATAAACTTCAGCTAAACTCTTTATTGTCAATTGTCAGCTTCCTGACGTTCTACCTAGAACATTTGCTTTTGTGGTTATAAGTAATATAAAGGTGTTTTGTGTATTTAAAGGACTATGTAAGTATAAGTTGCTGTTACTGTGATTCTTCACATCTTTCTTAACATGAAACAATATTTACAGAGGATGTATTATACCACTGAACCGGGTCCAGGACCCAGCATAGAACAAAATAAGAAGCCATTTCCCTCTCCTCCGGAGGTGTTGTTTGGAGCCACCTGAATTACTAGTATCATTATTATTTCTGATTATTGATAGGCAGGGGAGAACTTCACCTCCTATTCCTGTGGAAATATACAACCTGCTCACTTCTTACCCCACCCTCATAATTACTGAGCGGTTCTGTCATCCGTTTCCTACCTTGGATTCTGATCCATGGTTTTAACCACCCCCTCCCCTCTTTCCACTGACCTACCTTGATTTCTTCTAGGACACATCTAGCAAGAGACTGACCCAAGACAGGATACCACTCGGGACCTCAATGCACTCACTCTTTCCTGGAAAGGGTCTTTATTCACAGGAATCCCAGGAACCTGGGGCAAGCTTTAGGTTTACTTAGAGGAGGAAAAACAAACAAACAAACAAACAAAGGAGAGAGAAGGAGACTAAGGAACAAAGAAAGAACAGAGGAATGGAGCAAAAGAAAAGAAGGGAGAGAAACAGGAAGGAACAAAAGAGAGGCTGACATACACATCCTGGACAAAGCCCCTGGCCGGGAGTTAAGTGAAGAGAAGGTGAGATACAAAGTGTGTGTCCATTAGGATTGTTACTATGTAACAGCTATATTTATGAAGACAAAGAATAGCAACAGAATTTACCACAGTGAAAGTAGATATGCTTGGTTGACAGAATTATGAATAGTATTTTCTTCATTTTCTGGACTTCCTATTAGGCACTGTCTTTATAATAGAAAAGTGGAAGAAATGAGATCTGAAAGGATGGCATAAAGAGCCAAAAGCATCCCATTACAGGGTGAACAAATTAATCAAGTACAAAAAGGCTGGCCTCTGAAGTCACCCAGATTGAGTTGTCATGTCTACCTGGCAACTGCAGTTCATTAACCCTACTGGTTGCCAATTACCTCCATAGCTAAATGAGGGAGGGTCTTTCCACTGCCTTGTTGGGTTGTTACGAGAATGAATGGGACTTGTAATGGGCATAACATACCTTGTGACTCTCAAGTACTCAACAGGTGTGGGTCTCACTTCCTTCTGACCCAAGTATTCCTATGCACTCCAGCAGACCACTTTTACCTCAGAAACAGAATAACAACCGGAGACAACATTACTTATTTTCACATACATTTAGGTATGCTATTGGGTAAATCGTGACCCATAAAATGTTCTAACCATATACAATCAGTGTTGTAAAACACACTGGCTTGACAAGTTCCAGTATCTACAGGGGGCGGCTGGGTGCTCTGGGGTCCAGATGCTCACTGGACCAAGAATAAGGAGGAGTCCCAAGCTTGAGTCCCAGTTGCTGCAAACATGTTGCATGACCTTGGGCAAGACACTTTGCTTCTCATGGCCTTGGTTTTCTCATCTATAAAATGAGGGGAAATGGCCAGAATCAGGAATTTTAAAAAACCCATTTAGCAGCACTTCCGTGTTCAAAGTGAATCTTACCCAGAACAGAGATGCTCTGGTTGTGGCCGGGCAAGCAGTGGTAGCTGGTGACCTCCTCCCCACTTGGTAGCCCTGGCTCCCCAGTGTTGGACCTCGAGACTCATCTGCAAGGCCACAGAGAGCAGTGCTGGAAGCCACAGATTTTCACACTCTCCAGAACCACTTAACAACTAACAGTCCACAATTTGACATATTTCTATTCTACTTTATCAACACCCGGTCAGCTGGCACGACTATTTTACTTATTTTTTTTTAAATCTTGTCAATATATAACAAAGCATATTATTGCTTTCATTTGGGGACAGTTCAAAGCTATTCCACTCAGAATTGTGCACTGCTGAGTGCCTGTCATTTTCTTTTTCTTCCTCCTTTTCTTGATTGGTTGTTTTTCTTTCTTTCATTCCTGCCCTTTTCCAAAAGGACTTCTCCTCTTGCTGACACTATATGGAATTCCTCAATTTAGCTCCCTGGATAGACTTGTGCATTTGAGAGTGAGGACAGGCAGGACCATTAGATTCTGCCTCCTTGTCATTTGGGAATCTCTCTGTCTCTCTCTCTCTCTCTCTCTGTCCATCTCTCTCTCTCTCTCTCTCCAGGTGGAGTTTCTATTTCAGATTTCTATTTCTGGTACCTTCCTTCTTCCTCCAGACATCCTCTAAACTGGTCCAAAAGGACCATCAGAGCAGCCTTACCTTGAAGGCATCTTAAAAGCACAGATTCCTGGGTCTCCTCCCATACTATCGAATGAAAATCTCTAACATTTGAGTTTAGGAAAGTATGATAAAATTAGCTCCCAAAGTGATTTTCATCTCCACTAAATTTCAAAAATGACCTTTCAAACCCCTTTCCCCAAATTCCTGTCCCCCATTTCTCCATCTCCCTCCTCTTAGCTTCCTTCCCTTCAGTTTTCATCCTAATTACCAGCCAACTGGTGGATGTTACTGCTACTTAAATGCACTCCCACTCTGGATCCCTAATCATGCCCATTGTGCTCCTCAAAGCTAAGTCAAGAATTGCTGCCTTTTTATTTCCCTCTGTCTATATATTGTAGAAGGAAGCAGGTCCCTGCCGCTTTTGTTGTCCCTACTTCTGGGCTGAGCTCCATTTGCTGGTGAACGGGGCTTATCTTCACTCTCCCCTTTAAATACTGTAACATTCAGCATCCTTTCATGTCTGTGCTTTTAAAGTAAATCTTTGGACAATTAAAGATATGAAATGGCTAAATAGAGTTCTGCAGGCGTTGTTCTCTCCTTTTTAAAGTTTTAATCACACTTAATGGCTCTCTTCAAAACTTGAATTTTCCATTTTGGTGTTTTGACTCCATTGAAAGAGTTTACTAATATTCTTTCAAAAGTATTCTCTGTTCAAATGAGCTATTCAATAAAGTTTTATGCCATGCTATAGGATTCATGCTAAATGGAAAATAATTTAAAGGGAGATCAGAGTTGGGGGTGCCATTCCTCTCTATAGGTTTTGTTAGCCAAACCGTAATCACCAATATTGAGTCCATTAAAAGTTGCTGTGAAGGAACAGGAATTATCATTTGGATATAAGGAGGAATCTTTCAAATGCAATTTCTATACCTCCTTTTCTTGAAGATAATTTCCTGTTCACCTTGTGATTCTATAAATAGGCGCTTGTGATAAATTCCCCTTCCTCCCTCTCTCCCTTCCTTTTCCTTTCTCCTCATTCTATTTTTTTTTCTCCCTGAAAAATAGTGGACATAGGAGTAGGGGAAACTAAAAGGAATCCATTTGATGAGCTATCTGCCCCAGATTGTTTTAAACAGATTGTCTTAACTCTTTCCAGTCTTGGTCCTGCTGAAATACATCTTGCTCTTTAACTGGTCAGCGTCAGGAGTGTAAAGCCAGGTGGACACTGAGTCCCCGCTGGATCATACTCACAGTCCAAATGATAGAATTTGCCACATGAAAGGGAAATTTTGTGGAAAATAAAAGCCAGTACTCCCTAACAGAATCTTTATTAACCTCCAAACTCTGGTAGTTTCAGTGATATAGATAAATACCCGGCACTAATGAGATATGTAGGCTCAAATAAGGAAAAGTAAGGCCATGCCTATGACCAAATAGGGACACCCCTTTTCCCTACCTGCTATCTGCTTGCCTTTATTCATTTTTCCTGCAAGTGACCTGTGAATGCTTGCGGCGTGACCAGTAGTGTGCTAAGTGCCAGGACAAATGATGACCTGACCTTGAGAAGTTTCCCAATGTAGTTAATGGGAAGAACACAGATGACAATGATGTCTGACCCAGCACCATCATTCACTAACCACGTGGCCTCTGGCCAGGCATCTACCTTCTCAGAGACTCAGAGTTTCTCTTCCATGAAGAGGGCTGCTGAAATTAAGTAGCATTTATGGTTTTCTGAAGGTATGTCATTACTTTGTTTATTTGTTATTATATGTCTTCTCTCTCCTTCCCAATGTCTGCTCCCTTAGAACAGGGCCCTTGACTGACTCTTCACCTCTGTACCCGCAGGGCCTAGGCCAGCGACTGACAGAGAGAGATATTGAACAGAGAGCTGCTGAATGGGTGCACATGTTCTATGGGTAAAGGAGTCTTCATGAAGACTGAGGTACTGACCTTGACCTGGGTTTGCAGGCTTGGTAGGATTTGCATAGGTCAGAGGAGGGGAAGAGTATTTCAAGAAGACAGCAGAAGATGGGGAGGAAATGTGGCTATATATATATACATATGTAAAATAAGGGATAATGAGGATACTATAATGAGGTCAAAGATACTGAAGACACCACCAGCCTGCTTTCAGGGGTAATGGCATATGCCCTGGGAAAAGTGGATTCAGACTAGATTTTGATAGGCCTTAAGTGACAGGATTAGCCAGTGGAGAGATAGCGAAGGGTTTTGACCAGGGTTGTTTCTTGAAGAAAGTAATGTTTTGGGAAGCTTAGTCGGGAAGTGATACATAAAGCTAAAGGCGGCAGAGAAATAAATTAGATGTAGAGTAACTGAGGCATTAGGTAACAAGGCCTGGATTAGAATCACAGGAGTGGGAATCTAAAGGGAGAGAGAATTGGGAGCATTTACAAAGCAAGGATCAATGGAACTGGATAGCTGAGGAGCTATGAAAAGGTGAAAGGAAAAAAAAGCATTTAAAATATAAAAACCGGGGTTCTGGTTGAATCTGGTTGAATGGCGAGGGGAGGCCATTTTTGAAAGAAAATGCCATCTCCTTGGAGGTGACAGAGAAAGCCATGGGAGGAAATGAATTCTTTGACAAAAAGAAAGCAAAGGGGAGGTCCAACGGCATAATGAGATAGAGCCAGTTAGGGGTGAGAAAAGGGAGAGGAATAAGAGGTAGGAACAGGAGTAATCAGGGAGGTATGAGAATGACACATAATTACTATAGAAACTATGTCAATAAAAATCCTTCTGAAGCATGAGGAAACAGTAAAATTAACTGCTGCAAAAGAGACAGTAAGGAGAATTAAAAATTAGAAAACGTACATCTGCCCACCAGGAGGTCATTGAGAAGAACAGGAAAAAGACTGGAAGGTTTTCCTATGTGGGAACTTATGTCACAAGGTAATTTTACACATTTCCAGCCTTTCTGTAAGAGTGTACACTGGAAAAATCCTGTGTTCCCTCATCATCTCCAGTCCTCAAGGAGTGTTGCATGGGTAAGTCTTACGTGCCATGTGATGGCAGCCTGGTTTGTGCTCTTGATGACAAGTCAACAGAGTTACTGATTAATTTCACCCAAATACAAGAAGAGCAACTGACTTCCTGTCCCAGCAACTTCATCACCACTTTCTTAGTTTTGCCTTCTTCTGGGACCCTGAAAAATTGCATGTTTTTAAGACTCGGGAGGAAAGAAAAACTACAATAAAACGTTAAACAAGCCTTGGTCAAACGCTGGGCTTCTACAAATGCCATTTCATCCCCAGAAAGACACGTTGGGAAGTTGGATACTATTAGCTACAGATCTGGTCTAACACTTAAACCTACTAGGTTGCTGTCTACTTGCTAACATTATGGATTGAATTTTAAAATATCCCCACCTCCAAAATACTTCCCCCAAGCTTCCTAATCTGTCCACTTAGGCTGAGAATTCCTAAAAACAAAACAAAGCCATCAATCCACAGGTAGAGATCAAGCTTAAAATACAGAAACTCTACAGTGTCCTACCCCCATCATCACTTGGTTTAAATTAATGTGAAGAACAAATAACTTACAGTAAAGTATAAAAACCACAAAATGATATTATAAAAATTTTTTTATAGTGTTTCTAAAAGTTGGTGATAGGGAATGGTTTCCAGTTTCTTAGTGCAGCTGACTTGGGTTACTTATTCTGCTACAGGTGTGGGTTGGTGGAAGGGTGGAGGGGAGTAGTAGGGAGAGGGGCTGGCGAGGGTAGAGTGGGTAAGGACTTGGGAAAGAGGGAGGAGTGGCCTTATGTGCCTGACGTTTATTTGCCTATTGAGTTGGGGGAAGTTTTGCGGTTCAACAAATATTATGAGTCTATGACAGAGCTGTACTGGGGGCCAGAGATGCAGTCATGAAAGCAATACCTTTGCCTTCAAGAGGATCTAATTCAATGGCCCTGGGCAGACTCATTAGCAGACCGTTTCAAATCTAAGGGAAGTGCTAGGAGGGAGAAGAGCTGGCAATGCCCTAACAAGTGGAGCTCCTAGCCCTGACTGGAGGTGGGAGAGGTCACAACCTGTTTTATGAGGGTGAGTTAAAGGGAACTTAGAGATGAGATTCCTGTCTTTTTCCCCGGAGAGGGATTGGAGTAGAGATGCCTTCTTAGGGGCGCTATGGAATTGTTCTGTCTCCATCTCTCCCTACATCTTTTCTCCCTAATCAGAAAGGGAGTGGAGAAAAAACAGTCACCGCCCAAGAAGGCCAAGGAAGTTTATGGTGTTTGTCAGTATTTTCAGGCCTGCTCCTGCATCCAGACTTAAACAGGGTTGGGATCCACCATCTCTCTGAAAGGAGCTTGGTGCACCAGGATGACCACTTCCCTCGGTGGCTGTGGAGAGGGTGTCCAAGGGCTGGTGGCCTAGGCCTGCCACAGAAGCCTGAAAACTTGCTGGAATAGATCCTGGAAAGGCCATGGAGAATGGATGGTGAGAGAGACACCCCACCCCTGCCCCCTATAGGGAGATTTCATGGAAGGAAATGGACTGCTTCTGACTGGTCTCTTGAGGAGTAAGAAAGTGGTGAGAGGGGCAAGCCTGACTTGACCAAGACTGGAGAAAGACACTCGCCCTTCTAATTTTTTGGAACCTTTCTTGAAGAGGCAGGGTTTTCAGCTTCAGGCATGGCTTGGTCCCTTCCACTTGCTTGCTCCAGGATATGACCTTGAGAGGAACCAACACTCCAGCTTGCACCTGGGGTTGCCTTTTTCAAGGCTTTGCATTGACTCCCTGACTCCCTGTCCCCAAGAGCGTCCACTGAAAAGCTGTCAGAGGCATCCATGTGGCAGAGGAGGACTGAGGCCAATGCCAGCTGGAATGGTATCACAGAACTAGAGCTTCTGAGGTTGTAGGATTCATGAGGCATTGGGAAGAGACAGAGGAGGTCATTTGAGTCTCTTTCTGAACTTCATCTCACCTGTATCTTTTGTTCCTTACACTCTGATAGCAGGGACAACCTAAAAGAGGGTCTGATGGAGGAGAGAAAGCAGGCTGATCCTGGGCCCTTGGGTGCTGGAGGAAGAGGCCCCCTGAAGGGAGCAGGAGAAGAAAGGACAGCAGAGGAGTGCTGAAATTCACCTTGCTGACTGCCCTGCTGACTGCCCTGGGCCACTGTTCTTGGCTTTAGGAGATTCAAAGTCTAAGAAAGATCCCTTTCCCCTGATCCGCCAAAGTTTTCATTTCCTGGAGAAATAGCTTCTCTCTCTGCGTGTTTCCGTCAACTCTCAGCAAGACCTGAACAAGTGCATGAAGGTGATAAACCTGCTACTTCACTGGGGCTGTTTATTTCCAGTCGACAAATATTGTGCCAATGTTCACTTCAATTAGGGGACACATTTGACAATCTGACTACTCCATCTGATGCCTCAAGGGCAAATTTCAGCTCTTTCAGGAAGGGATGGGCCAATAACGGATTCGTATGAATAAAATATACAGAGAAGGAACATTCGCAGCAGTTTGGGGAAACCACCTTCTCCAGCAAGGAGAGCAAAATGTCTACATGAAGATAAAATTCACATAAATAAAGCATGGGGCTTAAACTGTTGGGATGCTGGGAATTCAGAGTGAAGGCTCCTGTGCCTGCTTGCCCATCACCTGCCTGGAGTTGGGAATTAAGAAGTGCAAATCAGCACTAAGGAGCCTAAGACATTTGTAATTCTATGGAAGAAAATCATTGTGGCAGAGTTCAACTCGCTAAGAATCTTACTCGTTTATTCCAGTTTTAAAAACCATCCTAGCAACCAGAAGTTTTTTGTGGTGTTTAATTTTTAATCCTTCTGTTTAATTCCCTTTCTTCTTTATTACCCTGAAGATAATCAGAAAAGCTGCTCAGCATCCCCTTTTTACAGCTTTTCACATCCTGGAAGGTAGAGTCAAGGACCAGGTCCCATGAATAGAGCTCTTCCTGCTCGGAATTGACCTTGGGTCCATGTTACCCTTTTCCTGGCAGCAGCAGACTAGAGGATGAGTTAGGTCTTCTGTAGCACCTGCCTTGGGCAAGTGCCATCAGCTCGCTGGACTCCTGTATTCCCATCAGGGAAAGGGAAAGTCAGTTCCTTCCTCATCTTGGAAGGGTCTCCTGGGAATCAAGTCAGGTGCTAAGAGGGGAAGGAAGTGAAAGTTTGATAGAAATGAAGGGACTCTCGTCGTTTGGTTCCTGTTTTTTGGGCTGACCTGGTCAGTACAAAGAACTCCCAGAGGCAGCTTCGTCACTGAGATGGGAAAACAAAAGCAAAAATTACCCTTAAGGCCAGGCTCAGTGGCCCACACCTATAATCCCAGAACTTTGGGAGGCCAAGGCAGGTGGATCACCTGAGGTCAGGAGTTTGAGACCAGCCTGGCCAACATGGTGAAATCCTGTCTCTACTAAAAATACAAAAATTAGCCGGGCATGGTGGCGGGTGCCTGTAATCCCAGCTACTTGGGAGGCTAAGGCAGAATTGCTTGAACCTGGGAGGCAGAGGTTGTAGTAAGCTGAGATCATGCCACTGCACTCCAGTCTGGGCGACAGGGAGAGACTCCGTCTCAAAAAAAAAAAAAAACGTAAAAAAATTACTTTTAGGTTAATGGCTCTCAAACTATACATTTGTCTAGTTCCCTACTTAGTTAAGCCTGGGTTATCTTAAATACTTGTGTGTGTATTTGTTCAAAAAAGGTCCTCACACAGCTCATAAGCTTGTTAATAGCATACAATTAATTTTATATTTTAATATGAATGACAGGTATTTTCTATTCTTAGAAAGGGCATTATAAACATCTATTATTAGCATGGAAAGAAATCTCTTGAGAGTGACCATCTGCACCACATATTTGACTTATTCTTACAACATTTTTATTTCTATTGTTATTAGCAAATGATCACAAATGCATCTAATTGAAATTAAATTTCTTTATTATAGGAGAGTTCTTGGATTTACACTAGTATTTGATGCATCTCTAGTCATCGTTCACTTTTCTTATTTTCATTCATTCATTCAACAACATTTATGGGAACCCAGAATGGCCCAGGATGCTGGGGGAAGCTGTGAAGTAAAGATGTGTTTCCCTTCCTCCGGAAGACAGAAAGGCAAAGAGAAACAGCGTAGTGCAGAAAGGAAATGAGGCAGAGGGGAGAGGGGTGCACTAAACTCTGTGCTGAGTTGTCAGGAAGGCTTGATCTGTGACTCAGACATGAGGAGGAGCTTTTGATGTGCAAAAGGGTGAAAAGCACGCTAGGCAGAGGGCACTGCTTATGCAAGGCAGAGTCCCTGCCCGAGACAGCGCACCTCTGACTTTGAGAACTGAGTTTGGTTTTCGTCATCCTTCCTTCCTTCCCTCCCTCTCTCTCCCTTTCCCTCTTTCTTCCTTTTCTCCTCTTTTCCTCCTCCCCTTTCCCTCTCCCTTTCTCCCACCCACCATTTTGCTCTTCATTCTTTTTCATCCTCATGACTCTAACAATCATTTTCGTCTCACTTTATCAAATCTAGATATATCTGAATAGAAAAATAATCAAAGATCTAAACTCCAGCCAACACCCCCAACTTCAGACATGGTTCCATCCCTCTAATAACACCCTCAACCCACCACTGAGCAGCTCTGAGACACCTTTTCACCCACTGGGTGTCCCCAGGGGTCTGGAGAGACTCATTCTTCTTGCCTTCATCCCTGCCACCTGGCTGCATATTTTCTACACACTTGAAAAACTCGTTTGAAGAACCCAGGAACCTGGCTGGGCACCTAGAAGATGTCTGAGTGAGCAAAGGAGGCACTGAGCCATTTGGAAGCTCAAAGACTGAAAGGCAGAAGCCATTTGCCTGTCCGCCATTCCTAGCATTAAATGGAAAGTGTGTGGACAGTGCAGTCATCACTGTAAGCCTTTGCACAGATACAATGTCAACAGGACAATTATGATGGAAGTCTTATAGAACAAAGTCCTATTTAAATTATTGGAATCCTTTCCATCTGATCCATCCCACCCATTACAGCCCCAGTTATGAGAGATTATTAAAACTATATCCTCCTGCTCTGATTTTCAAAAGTCTGTAAAAGAGAAATTGCCCCAGATATTGGCTGCTGTGGCCACGCAGTGCAGCATTTCCTGTCACCAAAATTCATCTGGCTGTGCTTTTGAGCTAAACAACATGCATCCTCAGACTTCATAAATTGTCATTCCTCTGCCCATCCAGAGAGCAGAAATTCATGACTTGATCTCAATCAAACAGCGTAAAAACCCAAACAAAAATACATCTGGACAGACAAACGGGATGCCAGGTTTTTGCTTGATGAGAAGGGAAATAGCTCAACCCTGGCCCCTTGGAATGAAGGCTTTATCTCAAAAAATGCTCATGGAACCTTAACAGAGTCACCGAGACCAGCTTCCCTTATAATATACAACATAAACTAGATATGGAGCTCATTTTGTTCCATGCTTTGTGACCTGGAAAACATTTTGTTGGAGCCTTAAAAAAAAAATTAGCCCATGTTCATTTTCCCCCCAAATGCGATGATCATCATTTTCTGTTCCTTTAGCCCAGGTGAACAGCAGCCAGTGAGCTGAGGCAAAAAAAAAAAAAAAAAAAGTAGACTCACACTTTCCTGACACAGTTAACAGGCTGTTAAAATTCTGTCCTGCTCAGCCTTAGTATTAGTGTTTAGGGAATCAGAAGGCTAGATCTACAAGATCTGGCTAATATCTACACACAAAGTAGATTGAAGAGTAAACAACAACAAAACACTATTTACTGGTCAGTTAAATAATCCATTATCCACAAAACTGATTACTAATGTTGTTTGTCTGAATACATATTTTCCTGAAACAAAACGAATTTATCTTGAATTGTGTAGGTAGACAGAAGTGTGGTATGTTTTTTTAACAGAGGGAAATCTGCCATTGAAAGCAGAAGCAAAGCTTGCCTGAGCTGAGATCTTACCAGATCAAGAGGGAAGCCTATAGTTGTGAACTCATATTCCTTCCTCCTGCTCCCCCAGTTTCTCTCTCCAGGGCTGACCTGGGGGAGGATGTCTCTGGGCAGGGACCGGCAGCAGCATATATGCAAATGTTCCCTAATTGTGTCCCAACCATTACTCCATTGTGGAGGCTTTTAAGATAATTTATGAATATTCTTTTTTAACCACTGTAAATGAAGCAGCGGCTGTGGGTGTTTGTGGTGTGTGTGTATGTATGTGTGTGATTTCTTCCTGAGTTATTTATTTGATAATGATATTAAATATTAGAAACTCTAACAGCTGGTGTGTTTATCCTGACTTGAGTGTATTAACCTCTTTAGCCCTTTTTTCCAGAAGAAGGATTCGGCATCACAGATTTGACTGTCAGCTGTGGTGCCTGGCGGCCCCACCGACTGGCATGCTGACAGAATCTAAAGTCCAGAGCAGCAAGTAAACATGGATGACATTGCAGGGAACGAGGGGGAAAGAGAGCACATGATGACTTGAGGCACCTGCAGCTGCTTGCACCCAAATCAAAGTAAAGGCTGCACTCACTGGAATGGAAAAACACTGAATTTACTGGGAGTGCATTGGCTCTGTGCTAGGTGAGGGAGAAGGAGGGGGCTTGCTAGAGGACATGGGAGGGGAAGATGGAGCCTTGATCACTGGCATTTTGCCCACTCACAATACTGACAGAGCTAAAGTACCTTAGGGGAAATCCCTGGGTCCTAAGGACCATTGCCTCCCACATGGTGGGTAAGGATCTACAGCTGCGGAGGCTGGGCTGACAGGTCTGTGGGAAGAAGACAGGACAGAGTAGGCCAGGCCACTGAGTACTGGGGGCTGAGGACAGAGGTGATGTGCACTTACCAGACAGGGTTTAAGCCCTTTTACTGGCTGTGTGAGCTTCAGCAAGTTGTTTAATCCCTCAGCCTCAGTCTTCACATCTGTGACATGGAAATAATGGCACGTGGCCATGCATGGTTAGGGTGGCCCATAGTGAATGAGATAATGAGTAAATGAAACAGAAATATATAAAGAATTACAGGCATATGTTGAAGAAATTGCAGGTTCAGTTCCAGACCATTGCAATGAAGCAAGTATCACAATAAAGCAAGTCACATGAACTTTTTGATTTTCCAGTGCATATAAAAGTTGTATTTATACTATACTGTAGTCTATTAAGTGTGCAATAGCATTATGGCTAAGGAACAATGCTCATAACTTAATCAAAAATACTTTACTGATAAAAAAAAACTGCTAATGATCCTCTGAGTCTTCAGCAAGTCATAATCTTTTTGCTGGTGAAGGGTCTTGCCTCCATGTTGATGGCTGCTGACTGATCAGGGTGGTGGTTGCTGAAGGCTGGGGTGGCTATGACAATTTCTTAAAATAAGACAACAGTGAAGTTCGCTGCACCAATGGACTTTCCTTTCACAAAAGAGTCTCTGTAGCATGTGATGCTGTTTGATAGCATTTTATGCACAGTAGAGCTTCTGTCAAAATTGGAGTCAATCCTCTCAAGCCCTACCACTGCCTTATCAACTAAGTTTATAGAACAAATATTCTAAATCTTTTGTTGTCAGCTCAACAATGTTCACAGCATCTTCACCAGGAGTAGATTCCATCTCAAGAAGCCACTTTCTTTGCTCATTCATAAAAAGCAACTCCTTATTCATTCAAGTTTTACCACGAGATTGCAGCAATTCAGTCCCATCTTCAGGCTCCACTTCTAATTCTAGTTATCTTGCTATTTTCACATCTGCTGTTACTTCCTCCACTGAGGTCCTGAACTCCTCAAAGTCATTCATGAAGTTTGGAATCAATCTCTTCCAAAGCCCTGTTAATGTGGATATTTTGACCTCCTTTCATGAATCATGAATCACATTTTTTTTTTTTTTTTGAGACAGAGTCTCATTCTGTCCACCCAGGCTGGGGTGTAGTGGTGTGGTCTCGGCTTACTGCAACTTCCGCCTCCCGGGTTCAAGTGATTCTCCTGCCTCAGCCTCCTGAGTAGCTGGGATCACAGATGTGCACCACCATACCCAGCTAATTTTTATAGTTTTAGTAGAGACAGGGTTTTACCATGTTGTCCAGGCTGGTCTCGAACTCCTGACCTCAGGTGATCTTCCCTTCTCAGCTTCCCAAAGTGCTGGGATTACAGGTGTGAGCCACCATGCCCTGCTGAATCACAAATATTTTTAATGGCACCTAGAATGATAAATTCTTTCCAGAGGATTTTCAGTTTACTTTGTCAAGATCCATCAGAGGAATCACTATCTATGGGAGTTATAGCCTTATAAAATGTTTTTCTTAAATAATAAGACTTGAAAGTCTAAATTGCTCTTTGATTCATGGGCAGAATGGATGTTGTGTTATCAAACATGAAACAACATTCATCTCCTTGTACATCTCCATCAGAGTTCTTGGGTGGCCAGGTGCATTGTCAATGAGCAGTATTAAAAATATTTTATTCTAAAAAGTAGGTCTCAACAGTGGGCTCAAAATATTGAGTTAACCATGCTGAAAACAGATGTGCTGTCATCCAGGCTCTGTAGCTCCATTGATAGAGCACAAGCAGAGTATATTTAGCATCATTCTTAAGGGCCCTATGATTTTCAGAATGGTCAATGGGCATTGATTTCAACTTAAAGTCACCAGATGCATTAGCCTGAAACAAGAGAGTCAGCCCGTCCTTTGAAGCTTTGAAGCCAGGTATGGACTTCTCTCCAGCTATGAAAGTCCTGGTTGTCATCTTCTTCCAATAGAAGGCGAGTTTGTCTTTACTGAAAATCTGCTGTTTATTGCAGCCCCCTTCATCATTTATCCTAGCTAGATCTTCTGCTAAGATCTTGCTGCAGCTTCCACATCAACACTTGCTGCTCCACCTTGAATTTTTATATTATGGAGACAGCTCCTTTCCTGAAATCTCATGAACCAACCTCTACTCGCTTTTAACTTTTCTTTGCCATTTCCTCACCTCTCCAGTCTTCATCGAATTGAAGAGCATTAGAGCTTTGCTCTGGATTAGGCTTTGGCTTAAGGGAATGTTGTGGCTTGTCTGATCTTCTATCTGGACCACTCAAACTTTCTCCATCTCAGCAATCACGCCATTTTGCTTTCTTATCATCCCTGTGTTCACTGGAGTAGTACTTTTAATTTCCTTTAAGAAATTTTCTTTTGTATTCACAACTTGGCTAAATGGTGCAAGAGGTCTAGCTTTCAGCCTATCTTGGGTTTTGACATGCCTTCCTCACTAAGCTTAACTATGTCTAGCTTTAGATTTAAAGTAAAAGATGTGCAACTCTTCCTTTCACTTGAACATTTAGTGGCTGCTGTGGAGTAATTAATTGGCCTAATTTTAATATTCTGTCTCAGAAAATAAAGAGGCTTGAGAAGGAGGAGAGAGATGGTGGAACAACCATTTGGCAGAGAAGTCAGAACACACAACATTTATTAAGTCCCTGTCTTATTGAATGCTGTTTGTTGTCCCCCCAAAACAATAAAAATAATATCAAAGATCACTGATTGCAGATCACTATAACAGATATAATAATAATAAAGATGTTTGGGCTGGGTGCAGTGGCTCACTCCTATTATACCAGTACTTTGGGGGGGCCGAGGCAGGCAGATTGCTTGAGGTCAGGAGTTCGAGACCAGCCTGGGCAACATAGTGAAACCAGATCTCTACAAAAAAATTAGCTGGGTGCAGTGGTGTGTGCCTGTAGTCCCAAATACTTGAGAGGGTGAGGTGAGAGGATCGCTTGAGCCCAGAGGGTGAGGCTGCAGTGAGCCAAGATTGCACCACTGTACTCCAGTCTGGGTGACAGAGCAAGACCCTGTCTCAAAAAAAAGTGGAAGAGGGGGCATTTGAAATATTTTTCAAATATTCTCAAAAATTACCAAAGTGTGATGCAGAGACATGTAATGAGCACATGATGTTGAAAATATGGTGCTGATAGACGTGTTCAACACAGGGTTGCCACAAACCTTCAATTTATATATATTTTAAATAACCTGAATATCTGTGAAGTGCAACAGCATGAAGCACAATAAAACAAGGTATGCCTGTACTAGTTTTCTGTCTCTCCCTAATCCACAAGGATTGCCTTTGAACCCTTCCCTACAGACAGCCCTCAAATGTTAAGACACTAAGGCTTTTCCAGTCTCCCGGAACTTGCTTTTCTTCTGGAGATTAAGTTAAGATTGCAGAATCCATTTCTGGAAGCTGGGCACATGGTCTTTTGCTCTCAAGGGAGCTCCTTATTCCATGATCTGGTCCAGAGTGTCCCTGGCATGATGACATCAGGAGGAGGGATAAGTAGTAGTACAAAACAGTGTTCAAGCTCACAGGTAAGATTTCTTCCTTGGAAGGGATGCCTCCTCTTCTAGGGCCACCCCACAGCCTTAGGGCCTTGCAGTGTGAGATTTGTGGGCACCTCAACACTTCTTTGTAAGCCCAGCGGTGGTGATTGGCCCAAGTAGGAGTGGAGGTAGTGCTGGAGGGGATGGAAAGCCAGGGAGGAAGCCTAAGTTTGCTTCAGGATGGTAAATAAGGTGCCTCTGTTACTCCAGAAAGCCAGGGTTATTTCTGTTTATCTCAGTGTCTGACATATGGCAGAATGCACATACCTTAATCAAAACTACTTTATTGCTAAAGCACTTCTGTCTTTGGGGTGGTACATGGACTGATTAATGAATGAATGAAGAAATGAATTGTTGAATAAAGACAAAGTTCATGTCTGCATAAGAGCATAATAGAAAGTGCATGTCAGTGAGCAGCCACACTCAGGGTGGAAGTTTCCATATATAGGACAAGTCTGATGCACCATCTTACATCCTCTTGCTTCACCTCTGTCCAAGGCTTTGGGCCCCTTTTCCCACTCCAGCTGCCACTACAGAGACCAGTGAAAGTGCAACCTGATCATGCCACCTGGCCCACACTGCATGACTCTCACCATTTGACTGGAGGCTCTTCTGATGCTGTGGAGGCATGCAAATGTGGGACCTACACATTTGCAATACTAAAGTGTCTGGGAGTTAATGCCCAGTGGGCAGATATTTGACCAATGGGAGGCAGGACATGGTGGATTTATTCTTCTCCTTTCCCTGCTTCCTTCTCCATTGGACTCTCGTGAGACAAGAGTACTTAGGAGTTCTGGGAAGCAAGTCCTGAGACATGGAGCCTTCAGTTGCATTAGGTTGGTGCAAAAGTTTTCGCAGCTTTTGCCATTAAAAGTAATGACAAAAACCGTGATTACTTTTGCACCAATCTAAATACATTATATTGAGCAGAGGCTAGCTTGGTCATGCCCCACATTCAAGCTCTCCCTCCTTTTCTGCCTCACTCCCCCTTTCTCTCCCTCACAATTCCTGGGAATTGAACTCCTTCCTGAAGAAGCACTTCCTAATAATGACTATCACCTTAAGTGTAAGGAACGAATCCTAGAATATTTTTCTATCACTTAACTTGAGTACACAAGAATTAATACATTCTTTGCACTGTGGCTTAAAAAGTTAAATTAAGCAAAAGATAATTGAACTAGATTGCTAAATCATCTACAATTGTGTCAAATCCAGCTGGAGGATTTCTGAAATGCCAGACAGGTTTCTAAGCTACTGTTATGGATTGAATGTTTGTGTTCCCTCAAATTCATATGTTGAAGCCCTGATGCCCAATGGGATAGTATTTGGAAATGGGGTTGTAGTAGTCTGTTCTTGCACTGCTGTAAAGAAATACCTGAGGCTGGGTAATTTATAAAGAAAAGAGGTTTAATTGGCTCATGGTTCCACCGACTGTAGAGGAAGCACGGCAGCATCTGCTTCTGGGGAGGCCTCAGGGAACTTTTACTCATGGATGAAGACAAAGTGGGAATAGCCTTCTTACGTGGCAGGAACAGGACTGAGAGAGAGAGGTGGAAGGTGCTACACACTTTTAAAACAACCAGATCTCTTGAGAACTCACTCACTATCAAAAGAACACATAAACCACTTGTGAGAACTCTGCCCCCATGATTCAGTCACCTCCCCCCAGGCCCCACCTCCAACAATGAGGATTACAATTAAACAATTAAACATGAGATTTGGTGGGTACACAGATCCAAACCATATCAAGGGCCTTTGAGAGGGAATTTAAGTTAGATTATGCCATGAGGGTGGGACCCTCCTTAACGGATTAGTGGCCTTATAGGAAGAAGAAGAGTGAGATTGCTCTTGCTGCCCTGTGAGGACGTAGAGAGAAGACGGCCATCCACAAGCCCTCACCAGAACTCAACCATGCTGGCATATGGATCTCAGACTTCCAGCCTTCTGGACTATGAGCAAATGTATTGTTTAAGCCACCTGGTCTATGATGTTTTGTTTCCGCAGCCTGAGCTGACAAATACAGCCACCAGGACAGGAAGCAGCAGTGAAACGGGGAAGAAAGGGTGTGCCGAAGGATTCAAAGCTCCCAGAGACCAGACTGCCATGTACTCCCATCTCCTCTCGGTGTTCTCCGCCCTCCCAGGGCTTCAGGGGCATGGTGGAGAGGTATTAGTACAGGCTTCTTCCCAGCCTTCTCCAGCGCTTGCCTGTATCCCCTCAACTGGCACATCACAGCAAGGTGATCCATTGTTCATGTGATGTAAGTGTTAAAGTTGTCAATTGCGAATTAATTCCACACACTGATGGAGCACCTACGAATGCTTAGTGTTGGATAATGTGCTGAGAAGATGGGAGTTGAAGTCGGGGAGGAGCAGATTCATAGAAATAGATGTGCCTTCCAGCTACCAGAGGCCCCAGGAAAGGGAAATGGATGCTGTCCTACAGGTACCTGGAAAAGAAGCTGCCTGCAGCATCAGGTGGTCCTGGAAAGGTTTGCATAAGGAGATACTGCAGATGTGGATAACCAAAGAGAAGGTGACACTGGGAAACAAAGACGGTGAGCAACAGTTCTGTGATGGAATGAAGGTGGGACCATCCACAAGACAGAGCACAGGGCAATCTAGTAGGGCCCCAGGAATGGGCTTCTTATTTTGACCCAAAGGATGTGTCTGTAGCTGCCCTTGGGGAGCAAAACCCATTACAGTTTCTTGGACCGAGTGATCACAAGTAGATATCCTTGCTACTCCATCACCCAGAAAGTAATGGGAGATCAACTCCACTGCCCACTGTATCCTATACTTCAAAGATTAATCTACAGCTAATAGTCCATGCCAGATCCACAAGTGAAATTCCTATTTTACCCCTAACATAACTTTGACCTTACACTAAAATAGCCTATGTCCCCAGGCCAACCCTGAATTCTGATTCTTACTCCTATTTTTTCATCCCTGTCCCATGGCTACCACTGGATGCGTCGGAGGGGGAAGGTGAGGTGGGATTGGGAGTTTGGAAAGGGAAGAGAAAGACTTCCATACTAGCATCGACATTAACCTGTGTCCTGATGCATGGAGTACAAAGAAATGTCCCCTTGCACATCTCTTCTAAGACAGGGAAAAACTGGAAACTGACGATGCAGGCTTTAGGAGTTTTTGAAAGCAGTCTCCCACTATCTCAGAAAGAAGGGTTGAAGGATCCACTCTTCTGGTTTGCTCTTTGTGATGAAGGGATCTTGGCTTGGAAGTGGATTATAACATAGCAGGGGAAGGAGTCTAAGTGGACAGATTGGAGGTGGAAGACCTGAGAGAAAGATCAGATCTGTTCCCCTTTTCCCATGCTCAATCCATTTTCAATAGTCCCTCCTGCAGGTGCTGGGTGTCCTCCAGCTAAGTCAAGGCCAGTCAGCAGGAAGGTACACTATATGCCACTTCAAATTAAAGCTTAATCTTTATCAATTATTCCTTTTACTTGCATTTTGATAGGCACCTCTTTTTTTCCCTCCATGGATCAATGCTTGATTCAATGGAATGACTTTCTAATGGTGGAATACCTAGTTCTTGGCATCTTATGGAGGACGAGTATGGGAGCATCAGGGCTGTCCCACTTTTCCCCTGACCATTCCACATCAACCAGTACCTACATGTGAAGTTAGTTTATGACTAGGTTAAGAGCTGGCAAACTGATTGCAGGCTAAACCTGGCATCGATTTGTCAATAATGTTTTACTGCAACACAGACAGGGGCCACCCTTTTTTTTTTTCTTTTACATATGGTCTATGACTGTTTTTGGTCCTGTGATGTGTTTTTGGACTGTGATCCAGAAGGCCCAAAATATTTTTTTCTCTGGCCCAAAGATTTGCCGACCCTAGTCTAGGTCAACTTGTAGCTTAGATTCACTGTAGTTTAGAGATCTGAAGATGGTCCCAACAGAACCTGCTTCTGACCTATCGAAGGGTATTTTCTCTGAAAATACAAAGCATAAAATGGGCCCTCTGTTCAGGCATTTTCAAAAATAATCTAATGCTACTATGAATGAAAGCTTTTTACTTATAATATTTTATCTTAAAACTCACAATAACCCAAAGGGTTAGATATAGTTAACCTAATTTTAGAGATCATAAAACTGCTGTTCTAAGAAGTTAAATAATGTTCCCTATCTCTCATAGCTGGTAAAGGGTAGTGCTGGGATTTGAACCTAGGTCTGAGGTGTGACCTTAACCACTTCTTTACATTCCTCAAATACTACCACTTATTGAGCATTTAGTAAATACCAGACACTATGTAATGTGATTTCCCTATATTTTCTCATTTAACCTCCAAACCAACTCCCTAAGATGGGAATTTGTATTTCTACTTCATATGTAAAGTCTTCATATCTTTTATAAAGAGTGCCCCAAACTAACAACAGTGACCAGTGATGAAACTTCATAAGCCCTCTGTCTTTCTGAGGGAAGGCAGTTCTCTCTCCCTTCCTAGCAGTTAATATCTGCTCTCCTCTGGGGCACTCACCTGCTCTGTTACTGTCTTCCAGGCTGGGAGAGCTCAGCCTCCACCAGCCCTGTCCACATCAGGGCAGCTGGGCTTGTCTTCTAGAGCGGCAGGTGGTATGGGGACTCTGGATGTCTAATTGGGAGATAGGAGTGACAGAATGGACCAAAAGCGTGGTTTGGCTGAAAAGATGAGAGAAGTGTGGTTTCTCAGCTGTCAGCGTGCTCTGGCTCAGGAAAGGAATCATCACTGGTGTTTCCAGCTTCCCAGCTTCCCAGCTTCCCAACTTCCTGATATGTTGGAGCCACTGGGTCACAAAGAAGCACCACTCTGGGCAAATGCACCACCAACGTAACACACTCTGTGCATGCTCTCCTGTGTTCCCAGCCCATCCTGGCTGCCAGGATGATTTTATCATCTCTCTAGTGACTCTGGTGATAACTCATTATACCACCACAGGCACTTTGGGCCAGATACACTCTGATAATCTATTGTCTGTGTAGAAAATTCATGGTGGTAAATTGCTAAAATTGGTATCTATGACTTTGCCCAAGACCTTCAAGATGCTCAGTTCTGCCAGAGGGCCAAGAAGAAGAACAAAGAGTGACTGTGAGTGGCTGCAGTGCTCAACGGTTTGGATTTATTATTACTTAGTTCCTTCACTTACTATAGTTCTTCCCCAGTTCCACATTCTTAATTCTTCTTCTGACTTATCAGTAGGTTGTTTTGTCAGGACTGTTTCTGGCAGAAAGATAAAAGGTGGAATTTGAGAAACTAATATCAAAATAAACCTGTTTCCTTGGTGACACTGCAAACATTTGGGGGCAGAGGGCTGGAACTCAACCATATGTGGGTGTAAGTGTTGATGAAATCACATCTTTGGCCCTCTCAGTCCTACTCACTCGTGAACCCTAGACTTGCATAAGCAGCCACCTATTAAATCTCTACCTGGATGCCCTGGAAGTACCTACACTCCAACAGGTTCAAGAGAGAGCTCCTTTTCCTGCTGCATGAGTGCCAGACCTCATCATCCCTCTAATGCCTCGAGCTAGCAACTTGGAGCCACTGTGGACATTCCCCTTCTCAGCTCATATATCCATCCTTATTCTCAGCACCCTGGCTGGGGTCCTCATCGTCTCTCCTGGGCTCTTACAATAACCTCCCAACGTCCCTTCCAGCTTGTATTAAACTGTAGCCTCCTTGCCAAGCAAGAACAAACAGAGATAAAGATGTCTATCAAGAAAGTAAGTCAACAGAGAGGGGGATAACTCCAGCGAAGGACTGAAAACAAAGATTTTCCCTCAGACTACCAATAAAATGGCTATTTGAAAACTGACCAGTGTATGAGACAGAAGATTCAGAAGATGTGAAAGTTTAAAGCATTGCCCTTCAGGGGCTGGAAAGCCTACCAAGTATCAGCTGGCTGTGCTGTGGTTCCTTGTAACCATGACTGATGCTTGCTACATAATAATCATGGAGACATTGTCCCTAACCCCCGAACAAAGTAAACCAAAACCAGGAGATAGGCACTTGAATTTAACAGTGTCAGATTGTCAAATTTTTACAAAATATTGACTATGACTAAAAAAGCTATTTTCATTTGATATGTGTCTTACCCAGTGTTTCATCTTTGGGAAGATAAGTCAGGCTTTGTCTAAGCAGCTCCAGAGAGAATTTTGAAGTTAGGTAAACAAACAAACAGTGACCGTGGGGATGTTCCCCGCTAACCTTCCTGCAGGATCTAGTCCTCCAACATCAGATGCAATCACTCATCTCCCCAGCTTACTGTGTTCGCTCGTCTCATAGCACCATTATGATTCCAAGTGCGAGTTTGGGGATGCCAGCAGAGCCCTCTCCTGAAGTTGTCCCCTGAATAGAAAAGGTGGCAGTTAAAAGTGGTGCTGACAGTAGCTGCCACAATAGACACCACATCGAAGTGTAGTGCAAAGTGGGCGGGAGTTGGGAGGTGGGGGAGGTGGGAGGTGCTCCCCGAGGTGCTCTTGGCACCCTGCAGTGCCCTTTTGGTTGTGGGGATGCAAGGAGAGTTCAAACACAAGTTGGATTTGTTCCTGCCACAGCCTCTCATCTACAGAAAAACTGGAAAGTAGGTAAAGACCCAGCAGATAACCCACTGCATGCCCAGGGCATGTGCTTGGCAGTTGTATGCCCCAGTCTTTGGCTACCATTCCCTCCACTTAGAGTTCCTGTTCCCTCAATTACCAAAACCTCTCCCCCCTGTTCTATATCCAGAAATCTCTTCACTTTCTATGGATTAATTCAAGGCTACCTTCCTGCCCCAGCTGCAGTAGAGTTGACCTTAGGCTTCTTCGATGTCCTACCTACTCCATGCACATGGCTGTCCTTCTGCCCGCCAAACACTCTCTTACAGATGCTCATCAATGAGTCTGAACCCCTACCTAGACCACCATCCTCTTGAGGATTTACACTCATATGCCAAATGCTTTCCATGGGCTCAGTGTGGAGTAAGGACTTTCTCCTGGCTTATGAATAAATTGATTATGTGGAGTAAGGACTTATTCCTGGCTTATGAATAAATTGATTATCCCAGGAAGAGGAGGAGGGACTGTAACATTTTTATTTTTCTAGGGGTGAAAGCAAATATTGAAAATTCTACAGGCTGTCCAGCCTGGTGAACATTTTCATAGCCAACACTGCGGAGGGTCTGGTTCATTCTCTGGACAATAATTAAGACTGCCATTTACATGAGGTATCCAAACAGATTCTCCTGGGAGATCCAAAACCCAGCATGTTGTCAGTAAACATGTTAGTCAGAAGGAAAAGGAGAGACAGTTCTGCTTAAGCTGGTGTTCAACATCAGTTTGAAAGGTGATATATCTCTCCTCTTGGCTAGAACAGACAGCAGAGGATTGTCATGATGTTATTAGAAAAACAGACATTGCTCTAGTATTGCCTGAGATGGCCTTTATAGCCCAGCATCATTATTTGGTTTTATCTTTCTTATAATTCTAGAACACAAAATGAACTAATTTTCACTAGAAACCCTGAGATACATTCCTGAAGCCTATATAAATAATTGGCATATCCCTATTTGGGATGACTTGTACTTCTCTCCATAATTGTAGATAATCAGGAGTTTTCCATTACAATGAGGATATCAGAGGGCTGAAGAGAACCATGAGTAATTCACCAGCTTCAGGACTATTCTGCCATTGTGACTTACAATGCAAAATCATTCAAGGTATATTTTTGATAATGTCCAGTAGACCTCATTCCAGACTTTACCCCACATAAGCCCTCAAAAATCTGCTCCTTCATATCTATGTATTCACTAACGTGAATTGTTTCTAGACACAAGCACAAAAGAGGAAAGAGACCCTAGAAATGTCATGGCACTTTCTGGAAGTCCCCTCTCAGGTAAAGGTGAGATTGAAGTCTGGCTGGGAGATGAGGTAGGGGAAGAAGTGCAGGGGAGGCTGACTTCTTCCATTTTGGGTTCCATAGCTGAGTCATGGGCCATCTGTGAGCACTTCCAATATCAGTGATGCTCTTGCCTTGGCTATTCTACTAAGCTGTAAAGAGCAGAGATGGATCTAGGCATCTTTGTAACCCACCTGGCTCCTCATACACAGTAGATGCTCAATTAATAGCTTCATAATTAATTAGCATTTCATCACCTAGGAAATGAAGATGCATATGGAACCATGAAAGCTCACCAAAAGGTTACAATATTGTCCATACCATAATTAAGTGCCTGTATATTCTTTTGTAGGCACTTAGTAGTTAATCAATGTCATCCACTGAATTTGAGAAATGTTGTCCCCACTCTATTTGTTCTGAACTTCCATGACACCAGCAGAGTACACATTACCCACTTTCATTCCTGTTTATGGAACATTTTTATTGGGTGCCCCTATAGCTCTCTGATTTTCTTTTCTAAAAAATTTCTGCCTCTGACTAGGTTGTAAAATCTTTGAAGGCAAGGATGCAGTTTAAATTTCTATTTCTTCTTTAAGTTCCTAGCACAATGCTTGGTACATGGCAAATATTCCATATATTGGTTAGTTGATTGCTTATAGCTATATTTTTCTCACCTTAAAACTAAACTAAACCAGACAAAACCAAGCCAAAGAAAACAGAAACTTGCCACAGTGCTATTTCTTCTGCTGGTTGATGCTCCAACTCTTTGATCTCCTTTGCAGTGGAATCCTTCAAAGGAGTTTTCTAAATTATTAGCAATTCCTCTCTTCTCATTTTCTCCTGGACCCCATCCAGTTGAGCATTTGCTTCTAATACTCTTCCAAAACTGCTCATGTCCAGGGCACCAGTGACCTCCATATTGCTAAAAACAATAATATTATCTTAGTCCTCATCTTCCTTGACCTCTTGGCAGCACTTGAACCAGTTGACTGTGATATGTTTCTTTACCTGGCTCCAAGGACTCTACAAACTCCTACTTCACAAGTTTGCTCCTTCTCAGCCATCTTTGCTGGTTCTTCTCTTCCTCCCAGACTCTTAATGTTGGAATGTCCCAGGGTCCTGCTCCCAGGAGTGCCCAGGGTCCTATTCCCTTCTCCATCCTTACTCACCCAGTCTCATGGCATTTAAATATCAGGTGTATGCAAATAGCTCCCAAACTTATATTTAAAACTCAGACATCTCTCTGGAACTTTGTACTTGTGTCTCCAGTTGCACACTCAACATCTCCACTTGGATGTCTAACACAGACATCACAGACTTAACATGCCTAAGACTCAACTCAAGATCTTCCCTAAAAAGCTCCTCCTCCATCTCAGTTGTGAGAATCTCAGCTCTTTCAATTGCTTGAGCCCAAAACCTCTGCCTACTACCAACCCATCACAATCAAACAGCCCCTTGGCTCTATCTTCAAGTGATATTTGGAAACTGACCTCTCTTCACCGCCTCCACTCTGCTGCCCTGCTTCCAGTGTCCATCTTCTCTCTCCTCCTGCTACCACCTCCTTGCTCTACCCTTGCTCTCTATTCTCAATACAGCCTCCCAAATTTTACAAATCTTTTGAAAATTTAAGTTAGATTGTGCCATTCCACTGCTTAAAATTCTCTAGTGGCTCCCTATTGCCTGCAGAATATAAGCCAAAGATCTTACAATGACCTATAATATCCTACAGAATTCAGCCCCTCAGAACCCCTCTGGCTTTATCCATGACTCACCCTCGGCCACCCACACACACCCTGATTTAGTCACACTGGCCTCCTTAGTGTCCACCAGACACCCCAGGTGCCCCTCACTTTAGGGCTGCTGTGCTTAGCAGTTCCTTCTGCCTGGAGGTACTGACTCTGTATCCCTGCACAGCTGAGTCCCTCACCTCCCTGCAGTCTCTGCCCAAATGTGCCCTTCTCAAAGAAGCCCACTCTGACAAGTTGTAGAGCATTCCTACTCTGCCCTTTCAAATTTCTCCTTCTCAACTCTACATTTCCTTTCCCATAGTAGTCATCACCTGATAACATATGAGAATGTGCTGTTTATTCTTTTTATTGCTTATTGCCCATCTTCTCTCACTAGAATATAAGCTTCATGAGGGCAGAGATCTGTGTCTCTTTTGTTCACTGAGGCAAGCTAAGCTCCTGGCACATAGTAGGCGCTCAGTATTTGTTAAATGAATTAAAAATTCATTAATCAATCACTTGGAATCAGATATAGTAGATAGAATGAGGTCCAGAGTGGGTCCTCGTAGATCAAGGAACCTAGTGAGCACAGGGTCCCGGGTACAGGAGAGGAGGAGGATTAATCATTTATCCGCATACCCCTCTCCTTGTGGTGGTGTAAATAGAGATTTAACCTGAGCATCCTTCAAAGCACTGAGCCTTCCCAGGAGAAAAGTGTTGACAAAGTGCGGGAGGACGGGAGTCACTAAGGATGAGATTTTGATTTGCAGGATTGCAGTTTATTGCAAGAGCGTGTTGGGATCCTTCCCTCATCATGGGACTGGCCTCTTTGTCCTTCCTCTTCCATCCATGCCTCACAGCTGCACCCTGCAATCAATCCTCCTTCCCTGGGGGACAGAGGTGGGGCTGGGCGCTCAGACAAGATCAGTAATACAACCCCAATCAATGCTGAGATCAATGCCGGTGTTTGAAATCCAAATCCACTGCGTTCACATCATCCGGCGGCATTTTCCTCAGCTGAGTTGGGACTCCAGGAGCTGTAGCCTTTTCCCCCTCTAAATTGAAAGTGTTTTTTTTTTTTTTTTTAAGTCACAGTAGTGGGTTTCAGAACTGCAAACCAGAGAGGCGTTTTGATTCCACAAACAGCCCCCAGAGGAAACCATTTCAAGCCTGACATTTTTCTTCTTTAGCCAAGGGACTCAATAGCATCATCTCAAAACTCTCCTTCCCTGAGGCCTCCCCCATCCCTTCTACACACATACATAAAGAAAAAAAAAAACCCTAGCTTCCATTGAATTAACTTAAATGGGAAATAAAATCAGTTCCTTCAACCTATTTTTCTTCCATCAGAATGAGGGGGAAAATGTATTATAAAGAAGAGTTCTAATGACCTTACCTGCTTAGTGCTACAAACACCAGAGGATCTTATTAGCTGAAAAATCTCCTTTGTGTTCACATCTGTGTAGGTAGGGACACCACTGCCAGCGTGTTTGTGTTTGGACAGGGCTGCCCAGCCTCCTGATGTCCTGTGGTGAGAGGCACCTTGAAGGGCCTCATGCCGACATCACAGAGCCCTAGGTCTGCTTATCTGGGTCAGCAGAGAGCCTGTTCCCCCCAGGCAGCTGAGCACTTCTGGGTAAATTGAGTATTTGTGAAGAACTGCATATTTGTTCCTGTGCTTTTGTAAAGCCTCCACGCTGACCAGCAGCACACACCTTCCCTTCCCTACAAAGACAGACAAATCCATCTGGAAAGGAGAACGGGTCTCTCCCAGAAAGCTGGAGTGTAAGGAGTATGAGTCAGAAGACATTACGTCTCACCTCTTCTTTTTGCTGTCTTGCCCAAGAGAAATGGGGGTATTAGGGCTGGCAAGGATGTTAGAGATCATTGGATTCATCCTCTTCCCCAGCCCCATTTTACAGATAAAGAAACTAAGGAATAACAAAAAAAGGCTACACAGCAAATAGCAGAGCCAGGCTTGCCTGGAGTAGGACATTGCTTCAGAACTTCCACATAAGAAAGGCCCATGGGGGGACAATATTTTGGAGGGGGCAATAGGGAGACACATTTTGAAGCTGCCTTTGCACAGCAAGCATACTGCGTTTTTGTGTTTGTTTGTTTTGTTTTGTTTGTTTCCCTAAGATGCATGTTTATTTGGGAGGTCTTGGCTAGAGGCTGATAGAGGTTTTTTTTATTTTTTTTATATCATTATTTCAATAGTTTTTGGGGAACAGGTGGTTTTTGTTTACATGGATAAACAAATTCTTTAGTGGTAATTCTTTAGTGGTAATTACTGAGATTATGGTGCACCCATCACCCGAGCAGTGTACACTGTACCCACCATGTAGTCTTTTATCCCTCGCCCTCCACTCCCTTTCCCCCCAAGTCCCCAAAGTCCATTATATCATTCTTATGCCCTTGTGTCCTTATAGCTTAACTCCCACTTATAAGTGAGAACATACAATATTTGGTTTTCCATTTCCGAGTCACTTCACTTAGAATAATGGTCTCTAACTCCATCCAGATTGCAGTGAATGCCATTATTTTGTTCCCTTTTATGGCTGAGTAGTATTCCATGGTGTATACATACCACATTTTCTTTAGAAGCTGATATAGTTTGCAGGGGACACCAAAGACCCTCTTTCCTCAAGCACTCTTTGGCCTATCATAGAATCCAAAAATTCTGATTCCTAACTCGAACTGTGTCCATCACTTCTCATTGAGTTTCCAGGGAGGTTTTAATTGAAGATAATCATCAGCACCTCTCCCAGCGGCATAGGCTGGGTGGTGCCTCTCCCATGACCTGTTGGGTCTTTACCTACTTGCCAGCTTTTCTGTAGATGAGAGGCTGTGGCAGGAACAAATCCAAGTTGTGTTTGGAGTGTCTGATGGCCCTTCAAGCTGCTAGGCTTCAAGGAAACAAATGGCATTGAAGTCAGGCTTTCTCAGCAATCTCAAAACCCTTGGCCTGGTTTAGATTTTACTTATTTTTTTTCTCAACTTTTATTTTATATACAGAGGGTACATGTGCATGTTTGTTACATGGGCATATTGCACTCAGGTAGTGAGTGTAGTACCCAATAAGTAGTTTTTCCACCCATTCCTCTCTCCTTTCTTTCATCTTCTAGTATTCTGCAGTGTCTATTGTTCATGTTTATGTCTGTAGTTGTTCAATGTTCAGCTCCTTTGTAAGCGAGAACACATGGTATTTGGTTTTCTATTCCTGTGCTAATTTGCTTAGGATAATGGCTTCCAGCTGCGTCCATGTTGCCGAAAATGACATGGTTTCATTCTTTTTTATGACTGTGTAGTATTCCAATGTGTAGATGTACCACATTTTCTTTATCCAATCCACCATTGATGGACACCGAGGCTGATTCCATGTCTTCACTATTGTGAACAGCACAGCAATGAACATATGAGTGCATGTGTCTTTCTGGTATAATGATCTATTTTCTTTTGGATATATACCCAGTAATGGGATTGCTGGGTTGAATGGTAATTCTGTTTTAAGTTTTTTGAGAAATTGCCAAACTGCTTTCCACAGTGGCTGAACTACTTTATATTCCCACCCACCAACAGTGTATAAGTGTTCCCGTTTCTCTGCAGCCTCCCCAGCATCTGTTGTTTTTTGACTTTTTAATAACAGTGGCCTGGCTTCAATTTTTACCAACATGGAGAATCCTCATTTCTCTGCTCACTCTGACTAGACCTGCCCTGGTACTTTCTGTGCATGCAGTGCTTCCAGTCTCCAGCAACCAGGGGCCCTTTGGCCTGCATTGCATGAGCCTCATTCCAATAGAGTTCACTTCATGGGCAAGAGCCCCACATGGGTCTGGCAGCTTTGCCCAGACCTTCACAGCCTGAGCCTACATACATTGTTAACATGACAAGCCATCGAAAGCATGCTAGTAAATGAGTGCTAGCTGTCCCTTCTCCTGAGAAAAGACCTGTAAGTTTTTACCTCAGTGATGGCAGGTTGGGGATCTTAATAATCAAACCAAAGGTATTCTTCAGCTAAAATGTTCCCCCGTCCTCCTCTCCAAGAAAGTGATACACATTGGGAATGGGTGTGCACTTCCTAAAGAATATTTCACAGCACATAAATCCTGTAAAATAGTCTTTGAAGAAAGATTCTACGTCAAATAAGTTTTATACTGTAACAGTTTCACTCCACATTAGCCGACCAGAGCTTTAAGTGTTAACTTGGAATGAACAGCAAAATTATCTGTGGATCTTTCTCAAAATACACGATTATACCCACCAGAATCAGAATCTCTTAGTGCCTGTTGAGCTGTGCAGGGTAAGAGCAAATTTTTAAAAAGTTAATTTCTTTTATTTTTTATTATATTAGCATGTGTGTTTGGTTCAAATAATCTAGGAGCACTCGTGGAGAACATGGAGAAAAGCAACAGTCCTTTGATCTCCTCCACCCCCTCCTGGCCATTCCTCTAGGCTCTTATGCCAAAGACAACCAATTTGCACTGGTTCCTCCTCTAGGGATTTTGATAGCTACCATCATGTGTCTATGTAACACATTTCTGGTATTTATTTTTATTTGTGTTATCAACTTTAGACTCTTGTCTATAATGGATGAGGATGTGGCTCATTTATTCCTCTTCCTTCCCTTCCATTTCTCCCAAATGAGCATACCGAGCTTCCCAGTCACCCCAGCTCTGCATCGGGTCATGCAGAAACCTCCACTTCCCACCCCGACCCTCAGAGACACCATCTGCAGATTCTGCAGTCTTAAGGTGAAGACGTTAGCACTGGAGAGAAGGGCGGAGGCACCATACTTGTAAATATGCTGATTCTAAAAGTTGAAAACCAATAAGCAGTGTTTATACTATTATGCTCGTGTCACCTCTGCTCTCCACAGAGCCAGGAACAGTTTGTTCTGCTGTAGTGGCAACTCGTAAAAAGACGACAGCAGAACATGGAGGTTGTATTGGTTCACAGATGATTTTTTTTTTCCAGCACGTTGATGTTTGAAGCCATCAAGCACGCATTTTCTCACAATTAGGGAGAAATATTTGCCATTATAGAAAGATCTTAAGAAAACAAAAATTCTGGAGCGGCGCCTTTAATCTCTTCAAGAAGAGATGGGTTCAATAGCTTCTATAGTAAGTGATCCAGAGAAGCTACAAACGCAGATGTATTAGCTGCTGCAAAAACATTGCTTCTGGTGACTATAATTATAATAATACATTGTATATGTCAAAATTTCTTAAAGATTAGATTTTAAAATGTTCTCACCACATGCAAAAAATAAGTATGTGAAGTGATGAATATATTAATAGTTTGATTTAATCATTCCACAATGTAAACATATAGCAAAACACCACGTAGTACCCCATAAATAATATACAGTTATTACCTATCAATTAGAAAAAGATAATGCCCCTATGTTTCTCTCTATATACATTATTTATATATACTATATATTTTATATTTATTTTTATATTGTATATGTATACACACATATGTGTGTGTATATATATCTGAGATATATATATGTGTACATATATCTGATATATATATGTGTACATATATCTGAGATGTATATATGTGTACATATATCTGAGATGTATATATGTGTACATATATCTGAGATGTATATATGTGTACATATATCTGAGATGTATATATGTGTACATATATCTGAGATGTATATATGTGTACATATATCTGAGATGTATATATGTGTACATATATCTGAGATGTATATATGTGTACATATATCTGAGATGTATATATGTGTACATATATCTGAGATGTATATATGTGTACATATATCTGAGATGTATATATGTGTACATATATCTGAGAGATATATATGTGTATATATATCTGAGAGATATATGTATGTGTATATATATCTGAGATATATATATGTATATATATGAGGCTGTCCTTAGATGGTACATTTTAATTTTGAGGACCCTGGTCTCTATTAGATGTGAATGTCTTCAAGGACCAAACTGTCCAAGGACGAAGCTGAATCCCAAGATATTAACAAACAAACAGTGAGTCTAGTTGCAAATGCCAGCAAAGAGTTAACTGTGCTAATATTTTAATTATTTATTTAATCAATTACTTAAATATTAGCTAACTGTGCTAATATTTTTCTTGGGATTTTCACTGTTTTTGTTAAGTCTCTGGTTATACAGTTCCATAAATTTTAACTCACCAGCCAAACCCTATTTTTCTAATAAGCCCTATTACTTTAATACTGTGATTTTTGTAAATCACAAAATATTTCAGAGATGCATATATGATGTTATAGCAGGAATTTCTGATTGTGTTGGATTTCTGTTTCCTTCTCAGAAGCCCTGATATGGCCACTGTGATACTCAAAAGAAAATGTTCCTAGAGATCATTTTAAATAAATTACTTATTTCTCTGTTTCACCTTTAAAATGTCCATAAGTTTTTTCAGCTCTCAATCATTATCTCTATTCTATTAATTACCCTCATTTCTAGAAACTTACCTCTGGTTTTCTCATTTTGCTCCACCCTGGATTGGTCACTCTCTGGGACTGTTCATAGCTGTTTTCCTCAGGCACAATTAATTTTTTCTTGGATCCCACATTTTCCTTTTCCGTGTTTTAATTGCTTTTATTCACTAGAATATATTCTTAAGAAACATCTTACAATAGAGCACGGGGGGCATACTTTTGAATCTTTGCGTACCTTAAAATGCTGAATTTCTAGCACTTAACTGAAGATTTGCCTGGGTACAGAAATCTAGGTGAGAAATATTTTGCCTTTGAATTTTTAAACAATTGATCCATTATCTTCTAGCACTCAGTGCTTCTGAGTAAGAAGTGTCATGCCATATAACTGTTATTTCTGCTTTTTTCTAAAAGGTTTTAAGATCTTTTTTTTATTCTTAATGTTCCAAAATTTCACATGCTGTGTGTAATCAAGGCTCTGCTTATTCAGTATGCCTGGAACATGGTGTCTTTTTCCATTTGAAGAACCTGCGGAATTCTCTTGTATTAATTCTTTGATAAGTTCTCACTTCTAATTTTACTACAGTTGACCCTTGAACAACGTAGGGGTTAGGGATACCAGCCCCTGCACAGTCAAAAGACCATGTATAAATTTTGACTCTCCCAAAACTTAACTACTAATAGCCTACTGTTGACCAGAAGCCTTACCAACAACATAAACAGTTGATTAACACATATTTTGTATATGTATTATATACTGTATTCTTACAATAAAGTAAGCTAGAGAAAACAAAATGTTATTTTAAAAAATCATAAGGAAATGAAAATATACTTACTATTCATTAAGTGAAAATGGATCATCATAGAGGTCTTTATTCTCATCGCCTTCACACTGAGTAGGCTAAGGAGGAGGAAGAGGAAGGACTGGTCTTGCTATCTCAGCAGAGGCAGAGGTGGGAGAAAATCCTCACCTAAGTGGACCCATGCAGTTCAAACCCGTGTTGTTCAACAGTCAACTGTATTCTCTGTTTCAAGAATTCCTATTAATCAAATGTTGGGCCTCTGGAATTAGTACTAGATGGCTCTTCTATGTTCTCTAAATTCTTCCATTTAAAAAAAAAAAAACCTTCCTTAGACATTTCTTCAGTTTTATTTATTGAGCTTTTCATAAAGCTTTTTATTTATTTATTTATTTATTTATTTATTTATTTATTTTTTAGAGTAGAGGCTGGGTTTCACCATGTTGGCCAGGCTGGTCTCAAACTCTTGACCTCAAGTGATCCACCCACCTCAGCCTCCCAAATTGCTGGGATTACAGGAGTGAGACACCACACCCGGCCTTATTTTAGTAATAATATTTTTAAATTCCAAGAGCTTTTTCTTATGGTTATTTCTGTTGTGCATCAGCTTTCTCTCATTTATAAAGACAACATATTCTCTAATTTTTCTCAATATATTTATATATTTACACATTTTTTAATTTTTCTGTTCTATTTTACTGTTCCCAGGTAAGAATCAGAATCCCTCTGATTTCCCCAGCTTCTCAGGAGCTCTAAGCGGCTCATTACCTCCTTTTTCATGGGACATCCTCTAGTCAGCGGCTTTCTAAACTCCGCCTCATCAGTTGTCACAGCTACATCCACTTTCTCTCTTGCAAACGATTGTCAACAATTCTTGTATGTTTGTTTCTCTCTTTCATTGTCTTTTTGATATGGGTTTATACATGTTATTTTCTTTAATGAGCTGTCTTGGAGAATATGCATCTGTGGTCATTTTAACATCTTATGAGAAACACTGGCACCTAGAGTTTTAACAGCTCTGCAGGCCCCTATGACCCAGCAACGCACCCTGACTATAAAGTTTCCTGATGTCTTTTGTAACTGAATATATATATGTGTGTGTGTATAAATAACTAAAATTTCAGGGCTGTTCTGGCTAGTCTGGTTGTTTTTAGGACAAATATACAAGTGTCTAAGACTTTGGGGAAGTGAGGCCCTATTGCAAACTCTTCTACCAAGTAACCTTGGATAAATAGCTTCACACCTTGGAGACATTATATTCACTACCCTATTTAGAACACCCCAGGCTCAGTTTGGGGTTAATGAGGCAATGGTGCTGAAGCAAATCAAACTGTTCCGAGATTAGCATTCCAAGATGTGAGACCTATTTATCAGCCAACCTAGACTGTATGGTGTCAAATGACAGAAATCAGCCTGGCTGGCCAGGTGGAGAAGTGAGTTACTGCCCTGGACCTTTTTCTTGCCTGTAGGTATAAGTTGCTACTCCATTTGATTGGTTTATAGGACAGGGCTGGCTGCAGTAGTAGAGCCATGTTGATTAGTGAATTGGACCACCTTCCCTTATGCAGTCTGAAACCACCACTCTGCTTGTCCACATTAACCTTGCCTTGTACTTTTCACCAGTTGCATAACCTTGCCCTCCCTCTGTGCTTATGAACTCTGTCTACGGTAGTTTAAACACTGGCTTGTGTTTTATGCTGAAAAGACTAGAAAGTCCCTGTCATTGACATAAGCTGTTTTCAACCTCAAGAATTCACACTTGTCCCCATGTTGTTTTGAAATAACATGTAACTCCAAGGTAAACCTACCTGTTTCCAGGTTGCTGAAATCACCATTTTGATTCCTTAGTAACTGATCAAATCAGATAAAGCTGTCATGGTCATGGTGAGTATGTTCTAGCATTAGCCTAGGTCTTCCCCAATGTGACTGGAAACAAACAAACAACAACCCCCCAAAACCTTTCTTCACTGCCTCAGCACCAAGTCCAGAGCTGTGAATGAGACAGATGGCCAAGAAATGCTCAACTCATTTGGATGGTGTTGTAGAAGAGGTCTGACTTACATGTCAAGAGGCTGAATTCTGCCCCTAAGTTTTTTACAGAACTTGGCTTTTTATATGTAAAATGAAATTGTTAAGGTATCAACCTGTGGCCATGGAAACCACACTTCACACAACAAATTACACCAAATGCACCACGTATGAGCAAGCCGGGAGCTGGTTTGCTCTGTGGTGGAACACGGGAGGGAGCTGAAAAGCCCATCCTGTTGGCATCCTCTCACCATCTCCTTCACCTCAGTGCCCTCAAAGAGCTCCTTGGGGAATAGTTTGACCACCTCTGGATGAAACCTTTTAGGTTTCTCTTTCACCCCTAATATTGGCCTAAAACAAATTAAAGAAGGTATGTTATCTGTTTAGGGTGGCGAACTATCCTCATTTGCCTGGGACCAAGGAGTTGCCTAGAATGCAGGACTTTCAGTGCTAAAACTAGTCCAGGCAAACTGGGATGGTTGTTCACCCTACTGAAGATTAAAGAACACAGATTTGGCTGGTTTGGGAGAGAATCCCAGTAAGGTTGGAATGATGAGGTTGACCCCCAATGATTCCCACCTCCCAGCATTCATGCCTTTGTGTAACCTCCTCCCTTTAAGTGTGGGTAGGACCTGTGGCTTCCTTCTAACCAATAGAAGATGACACAGATGATGGCTAGCACTCCTGTGATTAGGGTGGGTTATGAAGACTCTATGTTAGTAGACTAGAGCTAGAACTCTTCTTGAAGGCTTGGCATAAGCAATCATGTTGGAAAAGGCCTCTTGGCAAGAAACTGTGTGTTGTCTTCAGGCCCTAGCCCACAAAAAGCAAGGACTCTCCATCATACAGCCACAAGGAAATGAATTCTGCCAACAACTTGAATGGGTTCAGAAATAGACTCTTCCCCAGTGGAGCCTCCCCATGAGAACACGGCCTGGCTGAAACCTTACCTGCAGTCTTGTGGGACCCTGACTAGAGGACCCTGTTAAGTTGTGCCTGGACTACTGACCCATGGAAACTGAGATAATAAATGCGTGTTGTTTTCAAGGTATTAAGTGTGTGGTAATTTGTTACCCAGGAATCAAAAACTTTACAAGGTCTTTTCAAACATTTTGATAGGCCTGTGTTAGCTCATCCAGGGCATGGTTACTGTCCCTGCCTTACTGGGATGAGGTCTGCTCCTGGCATCCCTACCAAGAAAGTGGCAGAGCCAGCGGGTGTTAAGGCCAACCTCTGGCCCTGATTCTCTGCATCGGGGCCACCTCCTCTTTAAGCCATGTTCAGTGCTCCATAGAGAAATTACACAGAATCTGTGAGTGACTTCCTTGTTCACAGACTAAGATTCTAAGAGAATCAGGTTTTAAAAACAAGTCACTTCTGACTAGAATCACCTTCCTTGTACAGCAGTGACCAGCTCACATTAGAATGTTACATTTATTTCTAATAAATTATAAAGCCAGTAGTTAAAAATCACCCTTCAGAATGATTCTCTTTCTTCCTCTTTGTCTCTTTTTCTTCCTTCTGTTTCTCCCTTTTCCTCCTCCCCCTTCATTTGTACTCATTTCTCTTGTTCAGATAAGATGGTAAAAGGATTAGAACATGCATCATTGTACCAAATTGGTCTAATGGAAATGAGTGCTCTGCTACTAGCAATGTAGGTAGAACATAAAATAGGGTAATTGACAGTTTTCACATTGTAGGCCAACCTCATAGTTCCTTTGTTTGACTGGCCCGACCCCATCTCAGTGTGATTATCCACTTTAGAACTTAGTGAGGGAAATAGAACAAGGGTGGTGCAGAAGTCTAATATGCCCACCTGTGGAAGCCACAGAACATGGGAGTTGGCAGAGCCCCTTCCTAACACCTTGCCACCATACACCTTAGACTGAACATCCCCAGGCAATTGACTTGGTCTCAGATTAGCATTTAGTATCAGTAGCTATCCTGGACACTCTGAGCTTAGGAGCAACATTGCCAGCAATTCCAGGCTGTTTCCAGTTGGAGAGGATCAGGGAAGCATTCTCCTGGAAAAGCATGCACAGAGACTTCACTTTCACATAAGAAACTCACCTGACTTCTCAAGACCATCCTGGCTAACACTGTGAAACCCCATCTCTACTAAAACTACAAAAAATTAGCCGGGCGTGGTGGTGGGCGCCTGTAGTCCCAGCCACTGGGGAGGCTGAGGCAGAAGAATGGCGTGAACCCAGGAGGTGGAGCTTGCAGTGAGCCGAGATCAAGCCACTACACTCCAGCCTGGGCTACAGAGCGGCTCCGTCTCAAAAACAACAACAACAAACAACAACAACAACAACAACAACAAACTCACTTGACTTCTCAATTACAGGGCAGCCGATGCCACAGGCAATAGGAATGAGATAACTTCAAAACCATGACCTTGTGCCGCCAATGCCCAGGTGCAAGGGCAAAGTAGCTCTAGAGCTCAAATATTAATTATTTACATTGAAAACTAATAGATGTATTGATACTCTCTGTCACTCAAAAAACTATTTGAAATGAACATTATAGTATGTTAATCAGTGGGCCTGGCCAGCCATCTTTTTTCCACAATATGGTACACAAGCATATTTTGGCATTTATTTTAGGGGGTTGGTGTTTTCATACAGCTGCATAAGATATGTCATTACTGCACAGCCTTAATAAAGAGGAGAAGTCATACACACACACATTCACACATGCACTCACACACTCAGTGAAAAATCACAGTCAAACTGCTCTGTGGCCTACTGACTGTACAACTGACAAAATCCCTAATTTTTTGGCGGGAGGCCTTGTAACATATTAGTAAAAGCTAAGAATAAAACATGGGTAATTATTCTATATACCCCATTACCAGCCACTCTCATGTGGCCATTCTGATCACTTGAATGAACAATTGGCTAAAATGATATCATCGAAAGCTAAGTCTATATGACATCTAATGAGGTTATTTCATGACAAAGTTGCCAAGGACAATGAGAAAAGAAGTGGAGCCATAGACCCAGAGCCATACAGCCACCCTAAGAAAAGGATCTGGGCTGTGGTCATCTGGTCAGCTCCTTCTTTAATCTTCAGCCTCCTTGAAAATGGTGCACATAGCTAGTTTCTAAAGAGAATTGTAAATTAGCAATAATCACTTTTGTCACTTGCTGAATCCTGGGCTATATATAAATAACTGACAGTCATTTTTCTTGTGTGTTCTTTTTTCCATTAGGAAGATGGGTTTCTTCAAAGCATTATGCTATTTTAAGGCCTCAAACATTTCCAGCATTTGCACAGGGTTGCTGTGAGCCTTGACTTATTTGCAGAGAGATGTTGAACTGAGATAAGGCTACTTAATAATACACCAGTTCTTGCTAAACACAATTTCTTTCCACATTTCTTAGTGAAAGCCAAGAGCGAGCACTCTCTCATAGAAGCCTTAGAAGAATGTTACCTTATTTTTCTAGAGAAGGCTACTTGAACCTTGAGTTATGCAGAATGGCTTCAATGAATGGATTTTAACATTGGTCAATGGCTAGTTTTCAAAGGCTACAATTTAAGATAAAACCCACGAAAGGGGATTAAAAGAAATTGTCAAGTTTCCAACCTTAAAATAATCTTGCAATATAAATATTTTCATTTCTTCAATTAGTATGCAAAATAGTATGGAGTTTCCTCAAAAAAAAAAAAAAAACAAACTAAAAATAGCCAGGTGTAGTGGCTCACGCCTGCAATCCCATCACTTTGGGAGGCCAAAGCAGGATGATCGCTTGAGCCCAGGAGATTGAGACCAGTCTGGGCAGCATGGCAAAACCTTGTCTCTACAAAAAATAGAAAAAATTGGCTGTGGTGGCATATGCCTGTAGTCCCACCTACTCTGGAGGCAGAGGTGGGAGAATAACTTGAGCCCGGGAGGTCAAGGCTGCAGTGAGCCATGTTCGCACCACTGTACTGCAGCCTGGGTGACACTGACCAGAGTGACACCCTGTCTCAAAAAAAAAAACAAAACCCAAAAACAAAACAAAACAAAAAAACCCTAAACTAGAAATAGAAATACCATATGGTCCAGCCATCCTACTACTTGTTATATATGCAAAGGAAATAAAATCAGTATATCAAAGAGGTATCTGCACTCCCATTTTCATGGCAGCATTATTCACAATAGCCAAGATATGGAGTCAATCTAATAGTCCAGCAATGGAATAATGGGTAAAGAAAATATGGTGTATACACACAATAGAATACTATTTAGCCTGTAAAAAGAAGGGAATCCTGTCATTTCAGACATGATGAACCTGAAGGGCATATGTCAACTGAAACAAGCCAGGCACAGGAAGACAAATACTGCATGATCTCACTTATACGTGAGGGGTAAAATGTTGAAGTCATAGAAATAGAGAGTAGAATGATGGTTACTAGGGGCTGAGATTGGGGAGGGGAATTGAAGAGATTAAAATATATTTTCATCCTCATATTACATAAAAGAAAATTTATGATCAAATTTCTCACTTGTGGCAGAACCAGTATTTGAACCCAGGCCAATCTGACTCATTTATATCACATCAACTACTCCCACTATCCCCATCATGCCATCAACCCACAGTGTCATAGGGATCCGGATGGAAGAGGAGGCAATCTTTTGCCAGAAGGTACTGTAAATAATTGAGGCTCAAAAGTTAATTAATTTGTCAAATGTATATTAAGATCTTACTATGTGTCAGGCACTGGGCTAGGACCTGGGAAAATAAAGGTAAGTTATTGCCTGCCTTGAAGGAGTTGTTGGTTTAAAAGTTTGGACTAGAAACATCAATCAATGATAATCTACAACTAATCAACAAGACAAAGGGCTTTTTCTATTTTAGGCTTACACACACACACACACGCACACGCACACTCATACATACATACCATTCAGGCTAAATCTTTGTGACACTTTTTCCTCTTTAAAGCCACACTTTGACTCACTGCAATCTGCATAAAGTAAAATTAATAAATGGGGAAAATGTTGTCCTCTCCTCCTTCCCCATCAGGGGTAGCTCAGAAAATGGTACCACCTAGATTTGAGAAAAGAAACCTGGACAATTCTAAAGAGTGGAGACTTAAACTTTTTTAATGTATTTGGTTTTTTTTTCAAAAATTCTATTCATTATAGAAAAAATGGAAGATATATAAAGAAAATATTACATCACAGCCTCTCACCCCATAAGACAACCAGTATTGACATCTTGCTATTTATTGTTACAAACTTTCTTAGGCACATGTGTATGAACACAGGATTGTATTCTAGATACTATTTTGTAACTTGTTTTTCTCATAGTACATCATAAACATCTTGTCATTCAGGTATTTATAAATATTATGTAAAATAAGTATATATATTCTACTGTTGACTATCATAATTTAGTTAATCAGTTGCTACTGTTGGACATTTTAGGCTATTTCCATATTGTCATTATAAATCATATTCCACTAAACATTCTTCTGCATTCATCTTTGTGTATTGATCTAATTATTTTATTTTTATCGATGCATAATAGATGCACATATTTTTGGAGTACATGTGACAATTTAATATGTTCATATAATTTGTATAGATCAAATCCAGGATATATTTCTAGACATAGAAGTGTTGGGTTAAAAACTAAGCAAGTGTTAAACAATTTTGCTTTCCAGCATGTTCTTACCTGTGGATGAAGAAGGGGTTCATCTTCCACACTTTCCTAACAAGCACTGGAGACTCTTAAGATTTCAGTGGAGTGACAGAATCCTTTAGGATGAAATGAGAAGCTTATTCCCAATTACCGATCCTTGATAGAATAGGTCCTGCTGCAGAGATGACACAAACAAATGGAAAAACATTCCATGATCATGGATAGGAAAATGAATATTGTTAAAGTGACTATACTCCCCAAAGCAATTTATAGATTCAATGGTATTCCATTAAACTACCATTGTTATTCTTCACAGAACTAGAAAAAGCTATTTTAAAATTCATATGGAACCAAAAAGAGCTGAATAGCCAAGGCAATACCAAGCAAAAAGAGCAAAGCTGGAAGCATCATGCTACCTGACTTCAAACTATACTACAGGGCTACAGTAATCAAAACAGCATGGTATTGGTACAAAAACAGACAATAGAGAACCCAGAAATAAGACTGCATACCTACAACTATCTGATCTTCGACAAGCCTAACAAAAGCCATGGGGAAAGGATTCCTGATTCAATAAATGGTGCTGGGATAACTGGTTAACTATGTGCAGAATATTGAAATTGGACCCCTTCATTATACCATATACAAAAATTAACTCAAGATGGATTAAAGACTTAAATGTAAAACCTAGAACTACAAAACCCTGGAAAACAACCTAGGCAATATCATTCAGGACATAGGCACAGGCAAAGATTTCATAACAAAGATGCCAAAAGCAATTGCAACAAAAGCAAAAATTGACAAATGGGATCTAATTAAACTAACAAGCTTCTGCACAGAAAAAGAAACTATCAACAGAATAAACAGACAACCTACAGAATGGGAGAAAATTTTTGAAAACTATGCATCTTACAAAGGTGTAATATTCAGCATCTATAAGGAACTTAAACAAATTTGCAAGAAATAAAAAACAAACAACCCCAGTAAAAAGTGGGCAAAGGACATGAACAGACACTTCAAAAGAAGACATACATGCAGCCAATAATCATGTGACGAAAAGCTCAACATCACTGATCATTAGAGAAATGAAATCAAAACCCCAATGAGATACCATCTCACACCAGTCAGAATGGCAAATACTTAAAAGTCAAAAAATAACAGATGCTGGTGAGGTTGTGGAGAAAAGGAACATCTATACACTGCTAGTGGGAGTGTAAATTAGTTCAACCATTGTGGAAGACAATGTGATGATTCCTCAAAGTCCTAAACAAAGAACTACCATTTGACCCAGCAATCCTGTTACTGAGTATATACCCAAAGGAATATAAATCATAACAAATAAAGACACATGCACATGTAGGTTCATTGCAGCACTATTCACAATAGCAAAGACATGGAATCAACCTAAATGCCTATCAATGATAGACTAGATAAAGAAAATGTGGTACATATACACCATGGAATACTATGCAGCCATTAAAAAGAATAAGATCATGTTCTTTACTGGACATGGATGGAGTGGGAGGTCATTATTCTTAGCAAACTAATGCCAGAAGAGAAAATCGAACACAGCATTCTCTCACTTATAAGTGGGGGCTAAATGATGAGAAGACATGGAAACATACAGGGGAACAACAGACACTGGGGCCTATTGTAGGGTGGAGGGTAGGAGGAGGGAGAAGATCCGGAAAAATAACTATTGGGCAGTAGGTTTAATGCCCAAGTGATGAAATAATTTGTACAACAAACTCCCATGACACAAGTTTACCTATATAACAAACCTGCACATGTGCCCTCAAGCTTAAAGTTAAAAAAAAAATAACAATTCATTTGGGCCTAAACTCAAAAATAAAAATAAAAATAAAAAAAGAATAAGTCCTGCTGCAAAAGCCAGGGCTCAGCAGGCTTGGAATAAAGGAATCACGGCCCAGAAGCAGGAGACTGGACTTCATGATCTGTTCACAGCCCTCTTGGTTGGAGGATTCTATGAATGGACTGATTTTGAGAGACCAACAGGTTTCCAGGAAGTCTTTCCCTCCCCCCGATCCTTTAATGGTAACAAAAACATGACAAATAAGATGATCTTGGCCAGTTTAAGCCCAAGGAAGCTATTTTTGCATCAGGAAGCAATAAATGATGCTGCATTTGGAAGCGCAGGTACAGTTCTTGATCCCTTGTTACAAAGGAGCATCACAGCCATAAATGGAGGGAAGTAAGCAGGTTGATTCACTGGCCCCAGGACACCAAAGGAGTCGATCTAAAGTTAGAGATGCTTGTTCTGGGTTACAAGAGGGAAATACTGCACGATTTCAAGCCCTCAAACCCGAGGATGTGGATGACAGAAGAGATAAGAGGTAACCTGCTTACTTCTGGAAAAGTCTACCGTCATGCTGACTCTGGCTCCTAGGGAAATAGTAGGTCAATGAGAAAACACTGCAGGTTCCAGGACCTCTGGCATTGAATTGTCCGTTCACTATTGTGAAAACCTAACTGTCGTCTTTTAAACTTTTACCTCTCACTAAGCACTTTGGACATATTTACTGATCTCCCCATGCTCTGTGCTGACCTTTGCCCTCTGTTTTAAAATGTGCTTACCCTGCCCTGTGTCTCAGCATCGTCCACTGGTAAAAAAAAAAAAAAAAACAAAAAAAAAACCCTCATGTTCTGGGGAATAAGGAAACCTAAGTTATACTTCTGACTGCCATTAAATTTTCTGTGCAAACGTAAGCCAGCCCTGTAACTTCTCTGTGCCTACCTTTCCCGAGGCACAGCGGAGGAGCTGTGACCTATATGGAAAGCCAAGAGCGCGGAGGAGTGACACATCTAGATTTGATTGGCAGAAGCCAGAATTGCCATCCCCCCTCCTCCCACCACTACCTCCCAAGTTCTCTGCTCCTTCTTTCAACCCAAGTGTGGAGCTCTTTTTCAGCAGAGCCAATGAGGAGGGAGTGGCCCCGCCTGCAAATGGGTGATGTTCGCTCTTGCCTCACTTTTCCTCTTAGAGTACCGGGCAGTGGGTACTCTTATAATCCCGATTTATAGAAGAAGAAACTGAGGCACAGAAAGGTGAAGATCCTGTAGCGGGTAGGGCTGGCATGGACGTTAAATGAGTCTTTATAAAGACTAGCTCTTGTTTACTACTTGCTGTCACTTCGATTTTTATCACCATGAGCTCCACGAGAAGGGATATTTAATGTACCTTGGGCTGCGCTTGACACTTAGAAAGGACGCAATAAATGCAAACTGCCTTTATTATTAGCATAGCTTGGGACTTGGATTGTTTGATACATGCGGTACATTTTTCTCACAAATGTGAAGTTCCAAGACGCCCCAAGTACTCTAGCCCCTCAGATAATTTCCTCCCAGACTCTTAGTCTCTGCGAAAGGCTTCTTCACCGCGGGTTTATCTCACTCTTTCCCATTATTTTTCCCCCTCCTCACTGTGCACCGCTTATCACGCTGCTTCATATCACTCTGCTTTACTCCTCGGCTTCTCCACTTCCCTCTATTATCTTCTCAGTGGCCCACAATGGCTTCCACTTAGCATACAGCCACTGCATCCTGGCTTCTTCTCCCCTGTGACTCTCTTCCCTTTGTCTCCATTCTCCTGAGTCTGATAGATGCGTTGTCTGAAGGTCAGGCGTTCCTCTTAGATACGCATTTTATCGCCTGCAGTTGGAAAACAATTATTGCTCTCCTCTACACACTTTTTCCCTTTACTGCTAACTTTTCTCTTTCTCTCCACAACTTTCTTTCCTAAAAATCACCAATAGTTTGTTTTCACCATTTTTTGTCCTAAATACCAACTTCATGCTAGTTTTTGCAGACTGCTTCAAGGCATGGGGGAATTGAAAATCTCTTTTAATTTTTTTTTCATATATCTTTGTCCTTTGGAAAATGCACATGTATTTCTGGCCTGGTCCCCTCCCCTTCTTTTGTGAACACAGCCTGGCAAAGAATTACTTTAATATTGTTGGGAATATCTTCCTGGCCTATCAATAAATCACTCCTGTGGCTTCTCAGCAACCAGTTTCTTCACAGACTTTGAGTGCCATTCATACTAGAAGCACTTCTTATTATTTATCTGAAACTTCTTAGAATTCCTCCCATTGTCTTGCTTTGCTTTACTTCTCAATGTTTCCCCTCCTACCTGCAAATGGAAATCCACATAGTCTAAGCTGTAACTGATGTTTAATGCTTTTTCTTCCTTACCTCTGATGACTTCCACATTCTTGACTTCCTCCCTGTACCCTCATCTCAGAAGGCACACTTTCTTAGTATTTGCACAGAGGATATGATGACCTGTGAGTTTCGGTAAGGGCTCAAAATGTCAGCTATGGCCATAGGTAATTCTCAATTATGTAGGTGCAAATTTTCTAGATGATCTATTAATCTCAGACTGGCCTTCTGTGATGTTTACCGAATAGTGCATCCACTCATTCATATTCTCAGCCCCCTTGCAGTTAGGTGGGCTCAGCTGAAAGGGTCGGGTCAATGTGCTGTGGGTAGAAGTGATGGGCCCCACTTCCAGACCAAAGCATACAAGAGTCAGGGCAATTCTCCAGCTGGCCCTTTAGCCGCCCCATGGCTGAGGGGGTCTCATGTTGAGATGGTGGCGCCCTAAGATTAAAAGTGCCTGATTTGCTCTGGACCCCTGCTTAGAAAGGAAAATAATCTGTTGTGTTAAGCCACTGGGTTTATTTGCAGCACATCATCCCATAGCTATTCTAACCTTCTGTGCTCCTGAACTGAGTTGCCTTTTATGGGTTAGCTTCAATATGTTCTGAAAACCTACATTCATTTTAATAATGTTTCATATAAGACATAAGTAGAAAAATATCATTTACTAAGACACACACATAATGTGTGCCAACCTCTCAGCTTAGGTAGATACATCAATAGATAGATACAGACATAGGCACACCAAAGCATCATGGATGGAAAAGATGATGAGAAAGGTTGCAGTATTCTTAGATGCTTAAGCAATTGAAATTTTTTTATTACTTAGTTGAACAAGAGGAGAAAGACAGAGGATTCCCCACAGGTGAGACATAGATTGCAGAATTAGAGACATGTTTGTCTTCTGAAAGCCAACAACACCATCAGGAAAGAGAAATTCCATTCTTAAGGAACATAGTCATAACATCCAAAGGGAGATACCTCTTTTTTATGACAGTTAGTGCCATCTGCCTTTTGAAAATTATATTTAAAACAACAGGCCTGGCATGGTAGTTTATGCCCATAATCCTAGCACTTTGTGAGGCCAAGGAAGGAGGGTTGTTTGGGGTCAGAAATTCAAGACCAACCTGGGCAACCCCTCTCTCCAGAAAAATTAAAAATTAGCCAGATGTAGTAGCGTGCACCTGTAGTCCCAGATGTGCCCAGGCTGAGGCTGAGAAGATCGCCTGAGCCCAGGAGGTCAAAGCTTGCAGTGAGCTATAATTGTGTCACTGTACTCCAGCCTGGGTGACAGAACAAGACACTGTCTCTAAAATAATAAAAATAAGAAAGAACAATTATGGAGAAAACTTTGACAAAAGCTACAGATAGTTTGTGTCAATGGAGTAGAAAATATGGAGGAGTATATAAATGATGTTTAAAACACGAAAAGCAATATCATGAAAGAAAAAATGATCCGTTCCAATTTAAAATTAAAATTGTAACACAATAAAGTAAAAGAGTGAGTCACAAATTGGGAAAACATATTTGCCAGCACTCAGCAAGGGATTAGTGTTCAGAATATGTAAAGAACCCTTTAAAATAAGGAAAAGAACAAAACAGTAAAAGAATGAACAAAGGATATGAACTACAGACCCTTGGTTATGAAAAACAAATGATTAAAATCATGTGAAATATGTTCAACCTTTCTGACTGAACAGGGTTCGATTTTTTCTGGTTGAGCAGGGTTATCCACCAGTGTGGGATTTTTAGTTAACTTCCAGTCTTCATACTTAGCAAAAGAGGATACTGTCCCCAAAGCAAAGATTTACTTTGAAACCAACGAGTAAAGGGCTCTGGATTTCTGTGGTTGAAGCAGTACCCACAGCAGGAAGGCAAGAGGGAGGCCACGCCACAGGACACTGACCAAGAGTCCCCGAAGAGAGCCCGGAATGCCTTTGAGAAAGCAAATGTCTGAAACAAGGGCTTCTCTTGTCCTGGGCATCTGCTGGCTGCCGAGCGGCCTGAGAGCACGGGGAGGATGTGTGTGTTAAGGCTCACTGCAACAGATGCCCACAAGAAGACTTCATTGTAATTGAGAAAGCCAGTGAAAACTTCCTGGAAACTGTTGTAAAATATTTCATGCTGCTGTCAAAGAATGTGTTGCTGGGCTCGTGCCCAGTGTTTTCCTCACCACCGTGGACAGACTGCAGTAGTGCATGCCTCGTATCCAAGTAATGAGTTACAATTGTTGGGAAAATTTATGTTGAGAAATTTTGCATGTTTTAATGTTGGCAGTCGCTTGTTGGAAATAAGATTTATTAGTCCTCTGGTAAGACGTTAAGCTGGCAGCTTTAGTAAAAGACAAAAAAGTGTTAGAAAGTCAATGAACATCAACTTTCAACTCCAGCTGTAACAGTGACCTGCCCTTCTCTAGACAGCTCAGCGTGGTGCCAAGAGTGGCTAAGACTCTGGTCCATCAGATGGATTTTAGGCAAGTTACATGACCTCTCTAAGCCTCAGTTTCTTTGACTATAAATGTGAAAAGAGATAGCACTCTTTGGACTGTTGGGAGGATGCATAAGAGCAGGCACAGCACAGTGCCTGACGTAATCAGACAGCAACAAATGTAAGTACTTGTTAGTAATGAGATTAATGGAGTCGTCAAATTTTCCTTTTGTTTATTATTATTTTTTTAGAGATGGTGTCTTGCTGTGTTACCCAGGCTGGTCTTGAAAACTCCTGGCCTCAAGTGATCTTCCCACCTTCATGTCCCAAAGCACTAGAATTACAAGCACGAGCCACTATACCTGGCTCAAACTGTCAGGCTTTTGTTCATGAGGATAACTGTGTGCCCATCTCCTAGGCTGTCGGGTGAATGCCTTGGAGTGTTTCTCCACCATGGCCCTTGTTTGCTGCCAGCCAGCCACGGTCTTACTCATAGAGCCCCTTGTGATCTCAGGTTTGTATTGGCGAGACAAGTGACCAGGATAGGGAGGGAAAAGAGCACACATTTGTGGCTTTAAACAAAGCAGAGTTAAGAAAGCTACAAAAGGCTGGGCGCAGTGGCTCACACCTGTAATCTCAACACTTTGGGAGGCCAAGACGGGTGGATCACCTGAGGTCAGGAGTTTGAGACCAGCCTGGCCAACATAGTGAAACTCCGTCTCCACTGAAAATTTGCCGGGTGCAGTGGCACATGCCTATAATCCCAGCTACTTGAGAGGCTGAGGCAGGAGGATCACTTCAACCCAGGAGGCAGAGGTTGCAGTGAGCTGAGATCACACCACTGCACTCCAGCCTGGGCGACTGAGCAAGACTTCATCTCAAAACAAATAAAAAAATGAAAAAGAAATCCACAGAGGAAGGATTTCTGCTCTCATGCTCCTACTGCATCCTGCTTCTGCTCCTCAGTGCACTCCCTTCATGGGCAATTTCACTCATTCCTGCCTGAAGGTTGGGGATGAGTTAGATGACACTGTCCCCCCCAACCCCCCAACCACCCCCATACTTTAACTTCCTCCATAGGCTTTATTATTATTTGACATGTCATATATGTTTTCTTATTCATTCCATTTACTGTCTCTCTCTCTGCACCAGAATATCACCTCCACAGAGATGTGGATTTGTGTCTGTTGTGTTCAGTGATGTATCCCCAGCATCTGAGCAGGGCCTGGTGCAATTGGGTGCTCAATTTATCTTGGTAAATGAATTGAATAAAATTCCATTGAGTGAAATTTGACTTTGCCCAAAGTCACTTTTATGGACTGAATTATATCTCCCCAAATTCATAGGTTGGAGTCCTAACAGCTAGTACCTCAGAATCTGACTATACTTAGAGATAGGGTCCTTAAGTAGGTAACTAAGGTAAAATGAGGTCACATGGGTGGGTCCAAATCCAGTAAGCTTGGTGTACTTACAAGAAGAAGAGATTAGGAAACACCCATATACCACAGGGAGACCGTTGGAAGATAGAGCAAGAAGGCAGCCAGCTGAAAGCCAAGAAAAGAGGCCTCAAAAGAAACCCTGCTGACACCTTGATCTCAGACTCCCAGCCTCCAGAACCGCAGGAAATACAGTTGCATTGTTCAAGCCACCCTGTCTGTGATGCTTTGTTATGGCAGCCCTAGCAAACAAATACAGTCACTGAGCAAGATTCCTATCTCAGAACAAAGGTCTGAATTTCATTAGTTTGAAGCACTAATTCTTTAATAGTCCACCTCTGGAAACAGAGAATACTCCCTTTTTTCTTTCAGATGGAGTTCCACTCTTGTTGCCCAGGCTGGAGTGCAATGGCGGGATCTCGGCTCACTGCAATCTCTGCCTCCCAGGTTCAAGCAATTCTCCTGACTCAGCCTCCTGAGTAGCTGGGACTACAGGCACCTGCCACCATGCCTGGCTAATTTTTTGTATTTTTAGTAGAGATGGGGTTTCACTATCGTGGCCAGGCTGATCTCGAACTCCTGACCTCAGGTGATCCACCAACCTCGGCCTCCCAAAGTGCTGGGATTACTGGCATGAGCCACCTTGCCCGGCCAGAATACTCCCTTAAAAAGCAGAGCAAATCCCCATGGAGTTCAGGGACTGGAAAGAGTTTTCAGAGGACCTAGTCATAACTCTTCTCTTTCTTTACTCGAAATGGCAGAGTCCACAGTCGGACTCCTCTGCGGAGTCCCACTCTCCTCTGGGCAGGCAGGACAGACACCTCTCATAGCTGCTCCAGTCCCCTGAAAAGTCCTCATGTGGCATTGCTGATTACACGGATGGTGTCCCTTGTTCACTCTGGGTCTCCCTCCACTGGGGAAGGGAGATGGCCATCATCTAGCAGGAACAATGTGATTTAAAGACTTGAAACAAGTACAAACACAAATACACCCAAGACAGGGTCTGGTAATCCTCATTCTAAACTGTAGGCTAAAAGATGCCATAGTAATTCAGAGAAGAGAGGAGAGTCTGAGGGCTGGAGTGGAGGGGAAGGCAGGCCAGGGACAGAGCCTCCTGTAATTGTAATATTGGGACGTGTAACTGTATTGTAACATCACAGTATCAGGACCAATAATGGAGGGAAGGTAGGGTAGAGAATTCCAAACCCAGAGAATAGCATAAATCAATGTCCAGAGGAAAGTTTGGGTACTGGAGGAGTTTGTCATGTTTCAGCAAAGATTTGAGACATGACAAGACCAGTCACCTTGCCCCTACTAGATTCCTGGAGGAAATGAGCAAAGCATGAGATCTGGGTTCTGGTCTTTTGCCCAAACCCTCATGTAGCCTTCTGGTGAGTTAGAGGGTACCACTATGGAGCTGCCTTTTTCTGCCTGGAGTACATGCAGACTCCAGGCCCAGCATACTAGCTCCACATCTGAATCCTGGCCCTCAAGATCTGACCTCTTGGCAGCATGCACAGAAAATCCAGAAGAGACGGAGTGGGCACGGAGGGGAGAAGCTTTTCTCAGTAGAGGAAAGCTAATGAAGTAATGGAAGCTATTGAATCACCCAGGCTAAGTGTTTCTAGGCAGGGTACAGTCTCAGGTCTGCCTTTCAACACCAGTTGTGTATGAAGGGGGCAGGGGCAGGGAGGAAGGAGAGATAGAGAGAGACATAAAAAGAGAGAGATTGAGAATTCCAACACATACCATGGATTTAGAAGCAAACTAACAATGTCCTTGGACCTCTTCCAGCTATATGAGAACTCTCTTGGGTGGGTGTGCAGTGGTAGGATAGAAGGCAGGCAGAGATTTTAAGATGCCCTGAGCTATGGCAGCAGTTTTGGGGCTGGTCTCAGAGCAGAAGAGGCATGTGAGTGATGACATGGTATATTAGTCTGTTTTCATGCTTCTGATAAAGACATACCTGAGACTGGACAACTTATAAAGAAAATGAGGTTTAATGGACTCACAGTTCCACATTACTGGGGAGGCCTCCCAATCACAGTGGAAGGCAAAAGACACGTCCTACATGGTGGCAGGCAAGAGATAAAAGGACAGCCAAACAAAAGGGGTTTCCCCTTATAAAACCATCAGATTCTGTGAGATTTATTCACTACCACGAGAACGGTATGGGGGAAACCACCGCCATGATTCAATCATCTCCCACTGGGTCCCTCCCACAACACATGGGAATTATGGGAGCTATAATTCAAGGTGAGATTTGGGTGGGGACACAACCAAACCACATCACATGCTGAAGAAGAAGGGGACACAGCAGGCTGAGTCAAGTTTTACAATTTGCCTCTAATACCCATGACTAAGCTTCACCTTCAGTGCCTGTCACCTTCCCTCTTTTCCCTGGACAAGCACAGGTCTAGAAAAGCAGGCAGAAGCTGAGATAGGGATTGACTTTTTAATCTGTGGATTTCCATTATCTACACTTTCCTTTGCCCCACTACCATGGATAAAACATTATTACCGTTATGAGGACCTGCTCAAGTACTTCTTCAATAGTTTCATAGAATTTTCTCCCCTGAAACCAGAATGTTAAATTAACTCTTTACATATATACTTTTAACTCATTTACATGTATACTTTGGAGCTGCATTGGGAGATCTACCTGTGCTTTGATGCATTATATTCTCTTTCACAGTGATGGCAATGAGGCTCAAGGAGGTCTTCTCAGTTGCATAAGATTATACAGTAATGTCACATGGTGTCAAAACACAAGATGTGTGGGTAAGCAGTAGTTTCTTCATTTTTCTTTTGCAAAAGTGTTCTGAAGAATAAGCAGGTACAACTACAAATGAAAAATAAAGGCATAATAGCCCTTAGCCTGAAATGACTATGGGCTATGGGTCACCATCTCTAAGAACCTATCTCTAAATTCTCTGTACCTAAAACAAGTTCTCCTGACATTTTTTATTCTTTGGGTCACCATCTGTAGGAACCCTATCTATCTCTAAATCCTCTACCTATAATGAGTTCTCCTGGCATTTTGATTTTTATCGCTGTGCTGGACAGCACATGAATGAATTTATTTGAATGTATTTGAGTTGCTTCCTTCTTTCTAGCTGCAAGATATGTGTTAGAATTCCAATCAAGAACCTTTGGAACGTTGTACAAATCCCCTTAAGCCAGTTTTTCCAATGTCAAGAAAAATTTGTGAAGAGCCTCCAGGCGATCCTCTGTTGAGTGCGTCAATTCTAATGATAGATGTTGTTACTAGTCCTTAAACACTCCCAGACCTCTCTTAATTGACTGGATTTGGCTCAGGTCCAAGAATCAGCTCCTTGGTAGTCTCTCACCACATACACTGTTCAATATAGTGGAAGAAAGCTGGTGATTTCATGTGACTTTGAGCCCCATGCTCCCTCCTCACCACGACTTTGATCCACCCTGAGGATCATATAGGAAATATGATCCCTCTGTATTTCTTTTTTGATCTATTGAACGTCAAATCCTCATGCCACCTTTTTACTAAAAGTGTGGGGAAAGAGGAAGGCAGGAAGAGCAGGCAGAAAGGAAAGGGGGAATGACTGAGTGGGAAGAAAGGTAAAGAAATGGAAGATAATGAAATAGGATAGAATAGAAAATATCAGAGTATATCACGTAAAGTAGGCACAAATATCTGGTCTAGCTAATACTCTCCTCTTGCCAACCCTCTCCTCCCTATCACCAACATTAATTCATCATCCTGCTCTTGACCGGGATACCACCTTCCACGTACTGTATGACACCTGGGCACCCTTGCCACCATGCCACTGCCCCCGCTTCTGGTTTGGCTTGGCCAATGGGGATCACTGGCAGTAGGTCCTCAGGGACAGAGACCACATCCTTCCATGCCTGCAGCTTGGTCACATGGTCCCCTTCCATGCTCCAGAGCTTCCTGGACGTATCATTTACTTCCTCTTTTTGCCTCTTCATGTTCAAGAGATGTTTAAAAAAAACGAACTAAGAAATGTTAATAAAATGTAAATATTATTTCCAGAAACTTTTGCTTCAGTGTTTTATATATATGCACATGCACACATATCAGGTCACAATGTAACACATACCCCTTATTGTGTTATTGTGTGTCACAGTAAAAAATCAGTTTAAAGTCACTGTTCTAAATGGCGGGCATCGGCCTTACTGTTGGTTTCCCCTCCACTTAGCACTTTGAGAGTACATGACCCTCTGATACTCACCCTTGTACTCCGGTTCCTCACATGATGTCAAATAGTAGGCACTCATTAAATGAATAAAATAAATAACTATATTGAATAATATAAGAAATCACACGTTTCATTGTTGAATTGAATTGTTCTTAATCCCTAGTGATTTCTGAGCTCCTTGGACTTGGCTCCTGCCAGTTTACTCATGTTGGTTTGGAAGTAGGCACTGCTTTCTTATAATTTCTCATTTGTTCAGCCAACAACCTTAAACAATGGCCCATGGCACAGGCCTCTGTTAACTTCAGAGGCATGAACAAACATCTCTGCCCCTCAGGTGTTTGCTCCAATTTTGTTTTCTCTACAAGTCAGGGATTTCTTTGAAGGCGGGGCTGCTTCTTTGCTTTCTCTTCTTCTCTCCACTGTCTTGTCACTCAAAGTGCAGTCAACGCACCAGCAGCCTGAGAATCAGCTGGTTGCTTATTATAGGAGCAGAATCTCAGGTCCCACCCCAGAACTATAGGATCCAAATCTGCGTTGTTAACCAGCTCTCCAGATGATTCACATGCAAGTGCAAATCAGAGAAGCACCTCCTCCCCCAAAGCCCAGCCAGTGCTGGATGAGAACAAGCCGTTCAAGAAACAGAGGTTGATGGGGCAGCTTTTGAGACTGGAGAAGACAGTTACCAGCAGATGGTGTGGAAGGAACAATGTTCCTTGGGCCTTAGTCTCCCCTTTGGAAAAATGGAGAAAACAGCCATTGCCTCCCAACGACCAGTGTCTCTTTCATTCTGTCAGCCATTTATGGCAATAAACATGCAGACTTCAAAAGGTCCCTGAGAGGCTACCATGTATTCCATAATACAGAGCTTTCAAAGCCTCAGAGAGGGTGTTACATATCCAGGAAGGACCCAGACCAGTCTGGAAAAGGGTGAATAACTCAACCTCATAGGGCTCAGTTTTCTCATCTGTAAAGGAGGATAATAATGTCTATCCCAATACTTGTTATGAAGATCAAATAAAGCCCCAGCTGTGAAGAGGTGGGCGAGCCCCAGCCTCATTATCTGGGCAGTCACAGCTGCTGGGCTTTGTGGGGCTAAAGCAGTTCTACCTTTCTGCCACAAGTACCTGCTGGTGCAACAAAGGGTTTCCAAAGGCCTTTACAAAAGTCTAAAGTGTGTGTTAAATAGAGAAATAGGTAATTAAGCTCATTAGCAAAAAATAATTTGCTCAGCTTGTTGAAGGTCAGTGGCTCTGGGCTGCATGTGGAGCACAAGAGGCAATGGAGAAAGAGCTGGAATCAGAATAGACAGATGATGCCTCCGTGGCCTCTCTTTTTCCCTTTTCATATGCATCACAGAGGGGCTGGCAATGGTGAAAAGACGGCAGAGTAGGGATCTGCTGTGAGAAATAATGGTGGATGAGTAGGGTCTCTGGGAAATCCATCTGTATGACCATTGACCTAAGGAAAGAGGGTCTCTGAAGCTCTGGGAAGAGGCTCACACCCAGGCAGAATCTGGTCTACAAACTCTGTTTGTTCAGATACTGGCCTGAGAAAACATCTCTCTCTAAAATATACTCATCATTCTATTCCATAAATATTTATTGAGTGCTTGCTGTTAGCCATGCATCACCTGTCAGAAAATACCATGCAGAAATAAACACACTTTCTGCCTTCAAGTAGCATATTTGATGACATCAATCCCTCTCTTAAAGCCTTCAATGGCTGCCATGACTCAGAAGATGAAGTCTAAACTCCTTTGCTTGACCATTCAAACTTTGGCCCCAGTCTTCTACGTTTCTAGTTTCTTTTCTGGCCAACACCACCCCTGCCATCCCTCTCATATAAACTCAACGCTTTAGCCAACTAATGTACTTTCCAATCCATCAGCTCAGTATGCTCTTTGAGGTCTCATTAACTGCACACATGTTCTTCCCTCTGTCTCAAGTTACTTTTTTCCTTCTTGTTTGCCTTGTCAACTTTTATTTATCCTTCAAAGTCCATCACAGAATTTACCCCTGCTGTGTAATGCCCTTGAAGCCCTTGAGCAATGATAATCATGTTCTCTCCTGTGTTTCTGCAGTGCACACCATGTGGTTCCATTATGCGATTTATCTTTCTGTTTCCTTGCATCAATCACCACTGGACTGTAAGTTCCTTGAGGGCAGGGCTATGCCTTTTTCATTTTCATATCAACAGCAGGACCCAAGCCTCTGAATCTAGTGCCCTATTCATTTTGCCATGCTGCTAGCTGGCCAGCCTCACATGGCTTCCTCAAGCCTGTAGCAAACATCAGGAAAAAAAGATTTGGAATCAGCGCAGAATTTCTTAAACCTTCTTCCCAACCTTCTGATTCTGAGCCTATAAATTTTGGGTTTTCTCTTATCTCTGCCATAATTAGCTCATCTTGGGAAAATGAATAAATCTTTCTAGTTTGCATCGGTTTTCTCATAAGTTAAATAAACATAAACAAACTTCCCCAAGTATTTTTCATAGGGATGTTATAAATATTAGCCAGACGTTTAATAAGCATCTGTTAACACCTATTATGTAAAACCCAGTGTAAAATTTTATCCAAAGGAAAGAAAGATGAAAAAGACATAGTCACTGCTCCCAAGTAATTTATCATCAAATAGATAGGAAACTATATATATACCCAAATTAAATAGTAAAATATAGAATGTACTAAGAATCATAAGAGAAGTACAAATTATGAGCTGTAGAAGTGTGAAGAAGGGAATTATATAAATATTGTTTACATCTTTTGTTATATTTTAGAAAGCAAGATTTTTTCCCCCTGAAACTAAAATTATGTCAAAGTATTTTGCAATAAGATTCTGCTCAAGAATATGAAATACTTTATTCACAGGAGGCCTGAGATTGTTGAAGGAGATTGTCTACCTCCCAAGAATACCAAGAGGAAAGGGGATCAGTTAAGAGCATTTACTGGGCTGAGTTTCCAGGAGACTGAATGTTCTGGAGCAAGTTGTCTTTAGGGGCATCAGAAAAGCTTCTCTCAGAATTAGGCAGGGAGCCCCAGGATGCCTCGTCCACAGAGGCCAGCTGTGGTCCTCAGCACCATCCAAGTGGGTGCTCAAACCATAGCCATGGCACCAGAGTAGAAAGCCTTCCCTGTGGGCACCTCCCACCCCAACACACACACACAGAGCATCCACATTTGAGAAACTCCTATTTAAATAAACTGAATAGACTTTTATATTATAGAATTTCTTGGATTCTTTGATATAGTGATGTGTTTTAGAAATTTTGAAGAGAAAATAAGCATTTCCCAAACTTGCTAGACTATAAATTTTTATATTTTTCCAAAGCATTTCATGGAGCTTATGTTGCACAAAATATTTTAGAAAATGCTGAATTTAAAAAAAAATTAAAACTTACCAGTTAAATCTCATGTACGTTTGCATATTTAAAAGCATTCAAATCTTGAGAGGGGCATTTGGAGACAATGGACCCTCCCTGCCTGTATCTTACTGATTCATAGGAGGAAAGAGGAAAAGGGCTCACAGGGAGAATGAATGGCTGATTTCTAAATCTCAAATGTCTTTCCTGGCTTTATTATATTTTTCCCTCTTACAAATGCCAATAATGATGAAAACAGATGATGGACTAATCTGATCCAATTGCATTACTGGGATCCAGGCTGGTTTTGAACAATTTGAGAAAAACACACACTGCCCAGACTTTACCTCTTCAGGAAAGATGTCTTTGTTTTTAAAGCTCTCTGTGAATTTTCAGACAGCTAAGATATGAACCATGAATGTCAACTAGAATTCTCTGGGGATCCAGTTCTTATCTCATTCTGTTGCTTCTCACTTACTTGGAAGACCTGAACCAAATGCAAGGTTTGAATGTGCTATGCATTTGGACACATCAGTCAAGGATATCTTAGAAATTCACTATATCCCCATTCAACTGACATATATAGAGAACCATCTATGACTCAGCATTGCTCCAGAGGGACAGAAAGATGGTCTTACCCGCTATGAAGATAGGCAGATATACAAGTGCACAGTCAGCTAGCTATGTTAAGAGCTCAGATCTGCCTCTGATTCCCTGCAACATCAGAGATTTGCCATCCTTATAAAAACAAAAAATTAGCTTGTGACCCTTTTATAACATGTATAGCCACTTTTGTGAGCCACCACACATCCTGCTTCCGACTTCTTTACAATTGTCCATGCCTCTCACCCACTGGCCTGTCTTCCCTTTCTCAGTCCTGCCTTACTGCCTAGACCTAAATAAGAATCTCAGCAAACCAGCTCTGGCTCTTTGCTTCTCTTAGTCACAATCTGAACCATCCCTCTGGTTCTGCTGTTCTCTCACCTGTACTTCCTGCACCTGCTGACTTTGATTGGCCCCTCTATGCACCCTCTTGCCCTCCTGCTCCTACCCTACAGAGAATCCTGGGGATTGATGGCCGTCCCTCCCACCATACAGAGCTGCAGTTAGCCCTAATTGTGAGGGTTGATTGGCAAACAGCCTGTGAATGGCTGCACTGTTGGCCTCCTCCACCCCCACCAGCGGCAGCAACGTTTATCTGCAGGTTGAATGGAGGAATACAGGAAATACACTCCAAAGAAATCAAGCCAATCTGCCTAGAAGAGCCTAGAGTTCCCAGGGTGGAAGTTGATGCCCAAGAATAGGGCCCTCCTTGTTTTGGCATTGGTCAGAGGACGGATTCAAATTTCTGAGAGAAATTGTTTGAGCCTAACTTCCACACAGTTCACAATACAGCCTTAAGGGAAGCCCACAATATGTGATGCCCTGCACGCCAGCCCAGAGCTGGCCATCAGGGCTCTCAGGACAGAGAAAGGTCAGAAATGACAGACGAAAGCCATTTATTTTAATCAATTGAATCCTTCACTCCTACGTATAAACGAACAACCAAGGATAAATAGACATTGAGAAAAATAAGCAGCATAAAAGGGAAAGATAATCTACTGGTATGAAAATGACTATTTGAATGAGCATTTTCTCCTTCTTCTTGGAAATCATCCCAAAACTTTAAAATCCCACAAATTACATTTTTGGTGAGGATAACAATAACAACAAGTGCTAACATCTATATAACATTAGCGTGCCAAATACTGTTTCTGGAAATTTGCACACATTAAGTCAGTTGGCCTACACTATGTGGTAGAAACAACTACAATATCTATTTTTCTGGTGACATTATTGAGGCACAAGAAATTAAGTAATTTACATAAGGTCACAGAGATAACGAATTGAGAGGTAGGTCTAAAACTAGGATAGTTTGATTATAAAGTTCAAAGTCTTAACCACTATACACTGTTATCATCTGCCAAGGCAGACAGAGTATGCATATTCTAAAATATGTGTAAAGTCTAGTCAAAGCAGATTAAATCAGGCAGAAGATAAAGTTAAAACAAAGAAATGAAGAGAAGGATGATAGGACTCAGGAAGGGCATATCTCAGAAAGCACCAATGAAATTATACTTGTGGAAAGTAAGGAGTGCATGCTGAAATGCAAAATATGTCTGTAATTTGCAATAATTAGTAAGGGTTCTAAGGTAAACAGTTCTGGTGACAGACAACCTTCTGCATCTGCTTGGTTCAGAGATGCAGAGGAGGCTGGGAAAGAAAAAAATTCTCACATAAAACATACATTTTCAAGAAGTAATCTGTGTCTGTGGCAGCAGGGAAAACTTTAGAAAAACTTTGTGTAAAACAGCTAGTTTGGGTGGCTTGCATACATTTACATACCCTACCCACCCACAGGGACCTAATTCTGTCCTAGGAGAATGCAACTTATGAAAAGATAGTAATTAAACAGGAATTGTCAAAGCATTAAACAAGTATCCAAGAATGACAGCATTTACTAATGTTGATAAGCAATGAACAATACTTACTAAAAAAAGTACTGCTATGAGACAGACAAAAGTTGTGAATAAATATTTCTCCAAGAATTAAAAATGATTAATGAAGCCATTGCCTCTGTGAAGCGAGATCACAAAGCAGAAGTATAAAAATTCAGGGAGAAAAAGTGATAGGGCAACAGGAAGAGATAAAATATGAGCTGGCCGAACTCAGGGAAAAAACATTAATTTGGACGATATGAAACTTTTATACATCAAAAATGGCCAAATATTGGCTATTTCATTTGGTTCATTTCCTATAATTTATCTCCCTCAATAATAGAAGAAAAATACAAAATAAAACCAAAACATCATAGAAACAAAAATAAAATTGGAAGGAGCATCAGAAATTTTCTAGAGGAGGGGTGGACCAAGATAGCAGAATAGAAGTCTCCACTGATCTGGGCCCACCCCCACCACAAGAACAACAATTTAACAACTATCTATTTTTAAAAAGTGCCTTTACAGTAACCAAAAACCGATTCCCAGGCAAGATGGCAGAATAGGAACAGCTCCAGTCTGCAGCTCCCAGCGAGACCAATGCAGAAGGCAGGTGATTTCTGCATCTCCAATGAGTTACCTGGCTTACCTCATTGGGACTGGTTAGACAGTGGGTACAGCCCACAGAGGGTGAGCCAAAGTAGGGTGGGGTATTGCCTCACCAGGGAAGTTGAAGAGATCGGGGAACTCCCTCCCCAAGCCCAGGGAAGCTGTGAGGGATCCTGCAGTGAGGGACGGTGGTATCCGGCCCAGATACTATGCTTTTCCCACAGTCTTCACAACTGCAGACCAGGAGATTCCCTCAAGTGCCTACACCACCAGGGCCCTGGGTTTCCAACATAAAACTGGGCTGCCATTTGGGCAGACACCAAGCTAGCTGCAGGAGTTTTTTTCATATCCCAGTGGTGCCTGGAACGCAAGCAAGACAGAACCGTTGACTCCCCTGGAAAGGGGGCTGAAGCCAGGGAGCCAAGTGGTCTAGCTCAGTGGATCCCACCCCCATGGAGCCCAGCAAGCTAAGATCCACTGGCTTAAAATTCTTGCTGCCAGCACAGCAGTCTGAAGTTGACCTGGGACACTTGAGCTTGGTGAGGGGAGGGGCATCTGCCATTGCTGAGGGTTGAGTAGGTGGTTTTCCCCTCACAGTGTAAACAAAGCTGCCAGGAAGTTCAGACTGGGTGGAGCCCACTCTAGCACCCCAAAGCCACTGTAGCCAGACTGCCTCTATAAACTCCTCCTCTCTGGGCAGGGCATCTCTGAAAGAAAGGCAGCAGCCCCAGTCAGAGGCTTATAGATAAAACTCCCATCTTCCTGGGACAAAGCACCTGGGGGAAGGGGTGGCTGTGGGCGCAGTTTCAGTACACGTAAACGTTCCTGCCTGCTTGCTCTGAAGAGAGCAGTGGATGTACCGGCACAGCGCTTGAGCTCTGCTAAGGAACAGACTGCTTCCTTAAGTGGGTCCCTGACCCCTGTGCCTCCTGACAGGGAGACACCTCCCATCAGGGGTCAACAGACACCTCATACAGGACAGCTCTGGCTGGCATCTGAGGGGTGCCCTTCGGGGACGAAGCTTCCTGAGGAAGGAGCAGGCAGCAATCTTTGCTGTTCTGCAGCCTCCACTGGTGATACCCAGGCAAACAGGATATGGAGTGGACCTCCAGAAAACACCAGCAGACCTGCAGAAGTGGGGCCTGACTGCTAGAAGGAAAACTAACAAACAGAAAGCAACAGCATCAACACCAACAAAAAGGACGACCATGCAAAAACTCCATCTGAAGGGCACCAACAGCAAAGACCAAAGGTAGATAAATCCATGAAGATGAGGAAAAACCAGCACAAAAAGGGTGAAAATTTCAAAAACCAGAATGCCTCTTCTCCTCCAAAGGATCACAACTCCTTGCCAGCAAGGAAAAAAAACTGGATGGAGAATCAGTTTAATGAATTGACAGAAGTAGCCTTCAGGAGGTGAGTAATAACAAACTCCTCTGAGCTTAAGGAGCATGTTTTAACCCAATGCAAGAAAGCTAAGAATCTTGATAAAAGGTTACAGGAATTGCTAACTAGAATGAGCAGTTTACAGAAGAACATAAATGAACTGATGGAGCTGAAAAACAAAGCACAAGAACTTTGTGAAGCATACACAAGTATCAATAGCTGAATCGATCAAGTGGAAGAAAGGATATAAGAGATTGAAGATCAACTTAATGAAATAAAGTGTGAAGGCAAGATTAGAGAAAAAAGAATGAAAAGGAATGAACAAAGCCTCCAAGAAATGTAGTGAAAAGACCAAATCTACGTTTGATTGCTGTATCTGAAACTGACAGGGAAAATGGAACCAAGTTGGAAAACATACTTGGGATATTATCCAGGAGAACTTGCCCAACCTAGCAAGACAGGCCAACATTCAAATTCGGGAAATACAGAGAACACCACAAAGATACTCCTCGAGAAGAGCAACCCCAAGACACATAATCATCAGATTCTCCAAGGTTGAAATGAAGGAAAAAATGTTAAGGGCAGCCAGAGAGAAAGGTCGGGTTATCCATACAGGGAAACCCATCAGACAAAGAGTGGATCTCTCTGCATAAACCCTACAAGCCAGAAGAGAGTGGGGGCCAATTTTCAACATTCTTAAAGTAAATAATTTTCAACCCAGAATTTTATATCCAGCCAAACTAAGCTCCATAAATAAAGGAAAAATAAAATCCTTTACAGCCAAGAAAATGCTGAGGGATTTTTGTCACCACCAGGCCTGCCTTACAACAACTCCTGAAGGAAGCACTAAATATGGAAAAGAAAAACCGGTACCAGCCACTGCAAAAACATACCAAAATGTAAAGACCATTGACACTATGAAGAAACTACATCAACTAATGGGCAAAATAACCAGCTAGCATCATAATGACAGGATCAAATTCACACATAACAATATTAACCTTAAATGCAAATGGACTAAATGCCCCAATTAAAAGACACAGGTGGCAAATTGGATAAAGAGTCAAGACCTGTCAGTGTGCTGTATTTAGGAGACTCATCTCACGTGCAAAGACACATATAGGCTCAAAATAAAGGGATAGAGGAAGATTTACCAAGAAAATGGAAAGCAAAAAAAAGCAGGGGCTGCAATCCTAGGCTCTGATAAGACAGACTTTAAACCAACGAAGATAAAAAAAGACAAAGAAGGGCATTACATAATGGTAAAGTGACCAATGCAACAAGAAGAGCTGACTATCCTAAATATATATGCACCCAATACAGGAGCACCCAGATTCATAAAGCAAGTTCTTTGAGACCAAAATGGAGACTTAGACTCCCACACAATAATACTGGGAGATTTTAACATCACACTGTCAATATTAGATCAACAAGACAGAAAATTAACAAAGATATTCAGGACTTGAACTCAGTTCTGGACCAAGCACACCTAATAGACATCTACAGAACTCTCCAACCCAAATCAACAGAATATACATTGTTCTCAGGACTACATAGCACTTATTCTAAAATCGACCACATAATTGGAAGGAAAACACTCCACAGCAAATGCAAAAGAATGGAAATCATAACAAAAAGTCTGTCAGACCACAGTGCAATGAAATTAGACATTAGGATTAAGAAACTCACTCAAAACCGCACAACTACATGGAAACTGAACAACCGGCTCCTGAATGACTACTGGGTAAATAAGGAACTTGAGGCAGAAATAAATAAGTTCTTTGAAACCAATCAGAACAAACACACAATGTACCAATATCTGTGGGACACAGCTAAAGTGGTGTTTACAAGGACATTTATAGCAATAAATGCCCACTGGAGGAAGTGGGAAAGATCTAAAATTGACACCCTAAAATCACAAATAAAAGCTAGCAGAAGGCAAGAAATAACTAAGATCAGAGCAGAGCTGAAGGAGACAGAGGCACAAAAAACCCTTCAAAAAAAATCAGTGAATCCAGGAAGTGGTTTTTTGAAAAGATTAAGAAAATAGATAGAACACTAGCCAGTCTAATAAAGAAGAAAAGAGAGAAGAATCAAATAGACACAATATAAAATGATAAAGAGGATATCACCATTGATCCCACAGAATACAAACTACCATCAGAGAATACTATAAACACCTCTATGCAACTGAACTAGAAAATCTAGAAGAAATGGATAAATTCCTGGACACATACACCCTCCCAAGACTAAACCAGGAAGAAGTCGAATCCCCGAATAGATCAATACCAAGTTCTGAAATTGAGGCAGTAGTTAATAGCCTACCAACCAAAAAAAGCCCAGGACCAGACGGATTCACAGACAAATTCTACGAGAGGTACAAAGAGGAGCTGGTATCATTCCTCCTAAAACTATTCAAAACAATAGAAAAAGAGGGGCTCTTCCCTAACTCATTTTAGGAGGTCAGCATATCCTGATACCAAAACCTAGCAGAAACACAACAAAAAAAGAAAATTTCAGGCCGATATCCCTGATGAATATTGATGCAAAAATCCCCAATAAAATACTGGCGAACCGAATCCAGCAACACATTGAAAAGCTTATCCACCATGATCAAGTCTGCTTCATCCCTGGGATGCAAGGCTGGTTCAACATACACAAATCAATAAGTGTAATCCATCACATAAACAGAACCAATGACAAAAACCACATGATTATCTCAATAGATGCAGAAAAGGCCTGTGATAAAATTCAACACCGCTTCATGTTAAAAATACTCAATAAACTAGGTATTGATGGGATGTATCTCAAAATAATATGAGCTATTTATGAAAAACCCACAGCTAATATCATACTTAATGGGCAAAAACTGGAAGCATTCTGTTTAAAAACCAGCACAGGACAAGGATGCCCTCTCTCACCACTCCTATTCAAAACAGTATTGGAAGTTCTGGCCAAGGTAATCAGGCAAGAGAAAGAAATAAAGCATATTCAAATAGAAAGAGAGGAAGTCAAATTATCTCCATTTGCAATCCTAGGCTCTGATAAGACATAATTGTTTATTTAGAAAAACCCATCGTCTCAGCCCAAAAACTCCTTAAGCTAATAAGCAACTTCAGCAAAGTCTCAGGATACAAAATCAATGTGCAAAAACACAAGCATTTCTATACACCAATAATAGAAAGAGAGAGCCAACTCATGAGTGAATTCCCATTCACAATTGCTACAAAGAGGATAAAATACCTAGGAATACAACTTACAAGGGATGTGAAGGACCTCTTCAAAGAGACCTACAAACAACTGCTCAAGGAAATAAGAGAGGACACAAACAAGTAAAAAAATTCCATGCTCATGGATAGAAAGAATCAATATCCTGAAAATTGCCATACTGCCCAAAGTAATTTAGAAATTCAATGCCATTCCTATCAAGCTACCATTGACTTTCTTCACAGAATTGGAAAAACTACTTTAAATTTTATATGGAACCAAAAAAGAGCCAGTATAGCCAAGGCAATGCTAAGCAAAAAGAGCAAACTTGGAGGCATCATGCTACCTGACTTCAAACTATACTACAAGACTACAGTAACCAAAACAGCATGGTACTGGCACCAAAACAGATATATAGACTAATGGAGCAGAACAGAGACCTCAGAAATAATGCCACACATCTACAACCATCTGATCTTTGACAAATCTGACAAAAACAAGTAATGGGGAAAGGATTCCCTATTTAATAAATGGTGTTGAGAAAACTGGCTAGCCATATGCAGAAAACTGAAACTAGACCCGTTTCTTACACCTTATACAAAAATTAACTCAAGATGGATTAAAGATTTAAATGTAAGACATAAAACGATAAAAACCCTAGATGAAAACCTAGGCAATACCATTCAGGACATAGCATGGGCAAAGACTTCATGACTAAAACACCAAAAGCAATTGCAGCAAAAGTCAAAATTGACAAATGAGATCTAATTAAAGAGCTTCTGTACAGCAATAGAAACTATCATCTGAGTGAACAGGCAACCTACAGAATGGGAGAAAATTTTTGCAATCTATCCATCTGACAAAGGCCTAATATCTAGAATCTACAAGGAATTTAAATAAATTTACAAGAAAAAAAAACAACCCCATCAAAAAGTGGGTGAAGGGTGTGAACAGACACTTTTCAAAAGAAGACATTTATGCGGCCAATAAACATATGAAAAAAAGCTCATCATCACTGTTCATTAGAGAAATGCAAATCAAAACCACAATGAGATACCTTCTCATGCCAGTTAGAATGCTGATCATTAAAAAGTCCGGAAACAACAGATGCTGGAGAGGATGTGGAGAAATAGGAATGCTTTTACACTGTTGGTGGTAGTGTCAATTAGTTCAACCATTGTGGAAGACAGTGTGGTGATTCCTTAAGGATCTAGAACCAGAAATACCATTTGACCCAGCAATCCCATTACTGAGCATATACCCAAAGGATTATAAATCACTGTACTATAAAGACACATATACACATATGTTTACTGCAGCACTATTCACAACAGCAATGACTTGGAACCAACCCAAATGCCCATCAATGACAGACAGTATTAAGAAAATGTGGCATATATACACCATGGAATAGTATGCAGCCATAAAAAAGGATGAGTTCATGTCCTTTGCAGGGACATGGATGAAGCTGGAAACCATCATTCTCAGCAAACTAACACAAGAACAGAAAACCAAACACCTCATGTTCTCACTCATAAGTGAGAATTGAACAATGAGAACATATGGGCACAGGGAAGGAAACAACACACACTGGGGCCTGTCAACGGGTGGGGGGCAAGGGGAGGAATAGCATTAGAAGAAATACCTAATGTAGGTGATGGGTTGATGGGTGCAGCAAACAACCCTGGCACATGTATACATATGTTACAAACCTGCATATTCTGCATATGTATCCCAGAATATAAAGCATAATAATAATAATTTAAAAATCAGGTGAGAACTCAAAGTATCTGGTTTTAACTACATATTGTTGAAGGAGGCACTAAATAGGTAGGAAAAACAGTCTTAAATCACTGATACCACCCCTCCCTCATCACCCAGCAGAGGTGGCATGTTGCCAAGAGTGTTTCTGTTGCAGCAATTGTGAGGCACTGAACTCAGTGCTGTCCTGTTATAGCAGAAAACAAAACAAAACCAAACCTAGCTGATGCCTGCCCACAGAAGGAGCATTTAAACAAGCCCTAGCCAGAGGGGAATCAGCAATCTCAGCAATCAGAACTTAAGTTCTGCAAGCTTCACCACCATGGGTTAAAGTGATGTGGGGCCCTATAAAAACTTGAAAGGCAGTCTAGGCCATAAGGACTGCAATTCCTAGGAGAGTACTAATGCTAAACTGGGCCCAGAGTTAGTGGACTGGGGGCCATAGGACCTACTGAGACATCAGCCAGGAAGGCTAAGGAAGTGCTTGCATCATTCTTCCCCCAACCCCAGGTTGCACAGCTCATGACTCCAAAAGAGACCCCTTCCCTCCATGTAAGGAGAGGAGAGGGAAGAGCAAGGAGGACTTTGTCTTGCATCTTGGATACATGCTCAGCTACAGCAACATAGGTACAGTAAGAGTTGTGAAGCCCTTTTTCTAGGCTGTAGCTTCTAGAAGACATTTCTAGATACACCCTGGGCCAGAAGAGAACCTGCTGACTGAAGGGAAGAACCCAGTCCTGGCAATATTCATCACCTACCAACTGGAGAGTCCTTGGGCCCTGAATACCCAGTGATACCCAAGTACTATGGCAAAGGCCTTGGATAACATTCTGACCCTTGCTGGCTTCAGCACATCCCCAGCTGTGGTAGTTACAGGGCAAGGCTCCTTCCACTTGAGAAAAGCAGAGGGAAAAATAATGGGCACTTTGTTTTACGTTCTATGTACCAGCTCAGCCACACGGGGATATAGGTGATTCCAGGACTTGGCTCTTGGATGGCATTCCTGGACCTGCCCTGGGGCAGAGGGGAGTCCACTGCCTGAAGGGTGAGTCCCAGGCCCAGGCAGCATTCACCACAAGCTGACTGAAGAGACCTTAGGCCTTAAGGGTACATTGGTAGTAGTCCAGCAGTACTCTTCAAAGGCTGGTGGTGGTGATGGCCACAGAGTGGGGATCCTCTGCCTTTGGAAAGGGGATGGAAGAGTGGAAAGTACTACGTCTTGTGGTTTGAGTGCCAGTTCAACTGCAGTGCAACAGAACACCAGGTGGACTTCTAACGTTTTTGAATCTAGTCCCTGGATCCCGGACAGCACCTCTGGACCTGCCTGGGGCCTAGGGGAACTTGCCACCTTGAAGGAAAGGACACAGGTCTTGCTGGATTTGCTACCTGCTGATTGTAGAGCCCCAGGGCATTGAGCAAACATTGGTGATAGCCAGGCAATGTTTACAGCAGGCCTTGGGCAAAACTCAGTGCTATGCTGGCTTCAGGTCTGACCCAGCACAGTCCCAGTGGTGGTGACCACAGGGGTGCTTGTGTCACTCCCCCTCCAGCTTCAGATTGTTCAGAAGAGAGAGAGACTCCATTTGTTCAGGAGAATCTAAAAGAAGAGAACAAGAGTCTCTGCCTGGTAATCCAGAGAATTCTTCTGGATCTTGTCCTAAGCCATTAAGACAGTATCTCTACAAGCCTGCAAGAGCCATGGCTTTACTCAGCTTGGGGTGCCCCCTAAAGCAGATACAAAATAGAACACAACACCCAAGTCTTTTTGAATATGTAGAAAGCCTTCCCAAGAAGGATTGGTACAAACAAACCCAGACTGAGAAGAATAAAATACCTAACTCTTCACTACAGACACAAATGAACATTTACAAGTATCAAGACCATCTAGGAAAACACGATCTCACCAAATGAACTAAATAAGGCACCAGGGACCAATCTGGAGAAACAGAGATATGTGAACTTTCAAACAGAGCATTCAAAATTGCTGTTTTGAGGAAACTCAAAGAAATTCTAAATAACACAGAAAAGGAATTCAGAATTCTATCAGATACATCTAGGAAAGAGATTGAAATACTTTAAAAGACCAAACAGAAATTTTGGAGGTGAGAAACGCAACTGGCATACTGAAGAATACATCAGAGTTTTTTTTTTTTTTTTTTTTTTTTTTTGAGACGGAGTCTCGCTGTCGCCCAGGCTGGAGTGCAGTGGCGCAATCTCGGCTCACTGCAGGCTCCGCCCCCTGGGGTTCACGCCATTCTCCTGCCTCAGCCTCCCGAGTAGCTGGGACTACAGGCGCCCGCCACCTCGCCCGGCTAATTTTTTGTATTTTTAGTAGAGACGGGGTTTCACCGTGTTAGCCAGGATGGTCTCGATCTCCTGACCTCGTGATCCGCCCGCCTCGGCCTCCCAAAGTGCTGGGATTACAGGCGTGAGCCACCGCGCCCGGCCTACATCAGAGTTTTTAAGAGCAGATTAGCAGAAGAAAGAATCAGTGAGCTTGAAGGCAGGCTATTTGAAAATATACAGAAGATACAAAAGAAAAAATAATTAAAAAATAACAGGATCTAGAAAATAGCCTTAAAAGGGCAAATCTAAGGGTTACTGGTCTTAAAGAGGAGATAGAGAATGAGACAGGAATAGAAAGTTTATTCAAACAGATAATAAAAGAGAACTTCCTAGAACCTAGAGAAAGATATCAATATCCAAGTACAAGAAGGTTATGAACACCAAGGAGATTAACCCAAAGAAGGCCATCTCAAAGTATTAAGTAATCAAACTCCCCAAAGTAAAGGATAAAGAAAGCATCCTAAAAGCAGCAAGAGAAAAGAAACAAATAACATACAATGGAGCAGCAGACTTTTCAGTGGGAACCTTACAAACCAGGAGAGAACGGCATGACATATTTAAACGGCTGAAGGAAAAAACTTTTACCCTAGAATAGGGTAAAATATCCTTCAAACATGAAGGAGAAATAAAGACTTCTCCAGACAAACAAAAACTGAGGGATTTCATCAACACCAGACATGTCCTATAAGAAATGCTAAAGAGAGTACTTCAGTCAGGATGAAAAGGATGTTAATGAGCAATAAGAAATTACTTGGAGGTACAGAACTCATTGGTAATAAGTACACAGAAAAAATAGAATGTTATAACACTGTAACTGTGGTGTGTAAATGACTCTTATCTAAGTAGAAAAACTAAATAATGAACCATTCAAAGATAGTAACTACAACAGCTTTTTAAGACATAGACAGTACAATAAGATATAAGTAGAAACAACAAAAAGTAAAAAATCAGGGCAATGAAGTTAAAGTGTAGAGTTTTTATTAGTTTTCTTTTCACTTGCTTGTTTATTTGTTTATGCAAACAGTGTTAAGTTGTTATTAGCTTTAAATAATGGGCTATAAGATAGCATTTGCCAGCCTCACAGTAACCTCAAACCAAAAAACATACAACAGATACACAAAAGATAAAAAGCAAGAAACTAAATCATATCACCAGAGAAAATCACTTGTACTAAAAGGAAGACAGCAGGAAAGACAGAAGGAAGAAAAGACCACAAGACAACCAGGAAACAAATAACAAAATGGTAGGAGTAAGTCCTTACTTATCAAAAATAACATTAAATATAAATGGGCTAGACTCTCCAATCAAAAGACATAAAGTAGTTGAATGGGTTAAAAACAAAAACAAACAAACAAAAAAAACCTCAATGATCTGTTGCCTACAAGAAACATACTTCACCTTTAAAGACACACATATACTGAAAATAAAGGGATGGGAAAAAATATTTTATGCCAATAGAAATCAAACAGAGCAGGAGTAGCTGTACTTATATTAGAAAAATAAATTTCAAGAAAAAAATTGTAAGAAGAGTCAAAGAATTACACTATATAATGATAAAGGGATCAATTCAGCAAGAAGTTATAACAATTTTAAATATATGTGCACCAACACTGCAGCACTTAGATATATAAAACAAATATTATTAGAGCTAAAAAGAGAGAGGCCCCAAAACAATAATAGCTCGAGACTTTAACACCCCATTTTCAGAATTGGACAGATCTTCCAGACAGAAAATCAATAAAGAAATATTAAGCTTAATCTGCACTATAGACCAAAAGGATCTAATATATATTTACAGAATATTTCATCCAACAGCTACAGAATATAAATTCTTTTCCTTAGCACATAGATTATTCTCAAGGATAGACCATATGTTAGTTCACAAAACAAGCCTTAAAACATTTTTTAAAAATTAAATAATATCAAGCATATTCCCTGACTGAAATGGAATAAAACTAGAAATCAATAATGAGAGGAATTTTGGAAACTATACAAATACATGGAAAGTAAACAATATGCTCCTAATTGACCAGTGGGTCAATGAAAAAAATTAAAAAGAAAATTGAAAAATTTCTTGAAACAGATGATAATGGAAACACAACATACCAAAACTTACAGGATATAGCAAAAGCAGTATTGACAGAGAATTTTACAGCTATAAATGCCTACATCAAGAAAAAAGAAAACTTCCAAAAGCAACCTAATGATGCTTATTAAAGAACTAAAAAAGCAGGAGCAAACCAAATCCAAAATTAGTAGAAGAGAAGAAATAACAAACATCAGAGCAGAAATAAATGAAATTGAAATGATGTAAACAATGCAAAAGATCAATGAAACAAAAGTAGGATTTTTGAAAAGTTGAATAAAATTGACAGACCTTTAGTCAGACTTACCAAGAAAAAAAAAGTGAGAAGACTCTAATAAATAAATCCAGAGATGAAAAAGGAGTCATTGCAATCAATACTGTAGAAATTCAAAGAATCATTAGTGGCTGCAATGAGTGACTATATGCTAACAAATTGCAAAACATAGAAGAAATGGACAAATACCTAGACACATACAACCTGTCAAGATTGAACCATGAAGAAATCCAAAAACTGAACAAACCAACAACAAGTAATGAGATCAAAGCCATAATTAAAAGCCTCCCAGTAAAGAAAAGCCCAGGATCTGTTGGCTTCACTGCTGAATTCTACCAACATTTAAAGAACTAATACTTGAATATTAATACAAAAATCCTCAACAAAATACTAACAACCTGAATTTAACAATACATTAGAAAGATCCTTCATCATGACCAAGTGGGATTTATTCGTGGGATGCAAGGATGGTTCATCATATGCAAATCAATCAATGTGATGCATCATATCAACAGAATGAAGGACAGAAACCACATCATTGTTTCAACTGATGCTGAAAAAACACTTGAGAAAATTCAACATGTCTTCATGATAAAAAAAACCCTCAAAAAATAGGGTATAGAAGGAACATAACTCAATATAATAAAAGCCATATAGACACACAGCTAGTATCACACCAAATAAGGAAAAACTAAAGGCCTTTTCTCTGAGACCTGGAATACAACAAGGATGCCCACTTACACAACTGTTATTCAATGTAACACTGGAAGTCCTAGCTAGAGTAATCAGACAAGAGAATGAAATAAGGGGCATCCCAGTTGTAAAGCAAGAAGTCAAATTATCCTTGTTTGCAGATGATATGACTTTATATTTGGAAAAGGCTAAAGACTCCACAAGAAAACTATTAGAACTTATAAACCAGTTTACTAACATTGAAGTGTACAAAATCAACATACAAAAATTAGTAGCATTTCTATATGCCAACAGTGAAGAATCTGAAAAAGAAATATAAAAGCAATCCCATTTACCATAGCCACAAATAAGATTAAATACATAGGAATTAACTTAACCAGATAAGTGAAAGATCTCTGTAATGAAAACTATAAAACACTGATGAAAGAAATTTAAGAGGGTACCAAAAACTGGAAAGATATTTCACATTCATGGATTAGAAGAATTAATATTATTAAAATGTCCATACTACCCAAAGCAATGTATGGATTCAATGCAATCTTGATCAAAATACCAATGACATTCTTCACAGAAATAGAAAAAAAAAATCCTAAAATTTAAATGTAATCACAAAAGACCCAGAATAGCCAAAGTCATCTTAAGCAAAACAAAAACAAACAAACAAAAAACGTGTAGGGATCACATTACCTGACTTCAAATACAGAGCTATAGTAACCAAAACAGCATGTTACTGGCATAAAAATAGACACATGGGCCAATGGAGCAAAACAGAGAACCAAGAAATAAATGCACATGCACATAAACTCATTTTCAACAAAGGTGTCAAGAACATACACAAGGGAAAAGACAGTCTCTTCAATAAATGGTGCTGGGAAAACAGGATATTTATGTGCAGAAAAACAAAACGAAACCCCTATCTCTCACCATATACAAACACCAAATAAAAAATGAACGAATGACTTAAATCTAAGACCTCAAACTATGAAATTCCTACAAGAAAACATGGAGAAACCCTCCGAGATATGGATCTGGGCAAAAATTTCTTGAGGAATACCCTACAAGCTCAAGCAACCAAAGTAGAAATGAACAAATGGGGTCACATCAAGCTAAAAAGCTTCCACACAGCATGGGAAACAATCAACAAAGTGAAAAGACAAGCCACAAAATGGGAGAAAATATTTGCAAACTACTCATCTGACAAGAGATTAATAACCAGAATATATAAAGAGCTCAAACAACTCTGTCAGGAAAAAAATGCAATAATCTGATCAAAAAATGGGCAAAAGATTTGAATAGACATTTCTTAAAAGAAGACAAACAAATGGCAAACAGGCATATGAAAATGTGCTCAACATCACTGATCATCTAAAAAATTAAAAATAAAACTACAACAAATGTCACCTCACCCCAGTTAAAATGGCTTATAATCAAAATAGAGACAATAACAAAGGCTGGCAAGGATGTGAAGAAAACGGAATCTTTGTACATTGTTGGTGGAAATGTAAATTAGTTCAAAATAGTTTGGAAGTTCCTCATAAAACTAAAAATAGAGCTACCATTTGATCCAGCAATCCCACTGCTGGGTATATACCCAAAAGGAAGGAAATCAGTATATTGGATAGATACCTGCACTTCCATGTTTGTTGCAGCACTATTCACAACAGCCAAGATTTGAGGGCAACCTAAGTGTCCATCAGCAGATGAATGGATAAAGAAAATGTACTTATACACAACGGAGTACTATTTAGCCATTAAAAAATGAGATCCTGTCATTTGGAACAAAATGGATGGAACTGGAGGTCACTATGTTAAGTGAAATAAGCCAGGTACAGAAAGACAAACCTCACATGTTCTCACTTATTTGTGTGAGCTAAAAATAGAAACAATTGAACTTAAGGAGGTAGAGAATAGAAGGATGGTTACTAGAGGTTGGAAATGGGAGTGGGGTGAGGTGTGAGGGAAGTGGGGATGGTTAATGGGTACAAAAAAAATAGCTTGAATAAATGTATAAGACCCGATGTTTGATAGCACAACCGGATAACTATAGTCAATAATAATTTAATTGTTTATTTTAAAGTAACTAGAAGAGTATAATTGGACTGTTTGTAATACAAAGGATAAATGGTTAAGGGTAATAATACCCCATTTTCCATGATGTGATTATTGTGCATTGCATGTGAGTATCAAAATATCTCACGTACCCTCAAAATATATACACCTACTATGTACCCACAAAAATTAAAAAAAATTATCTAGACTGGGGAAAACATAATACAAGACAAAGGGGATATTAATAAGAGAAATGAACAAAATGAAATGGAAACAAAAAGTAAAAACAAATAAAGAAAAGAAGGGTACATACATAAGAAATACAAAAGAAATACAGTATTCACATAATTGCAGTTCCCCAAAAAGAAAACCAAGAACAAGGGACAGAACACATATTGAAAGATGTAATGGGGCAAAATATTTTCTGAAGCAAAGAAAAACTTGAATATATATATATATACAGGCACAAATGGTTGCCAGAGAAATCTGATCAAGGGCAGTCAACACTGAGTCATTCTAGTAACATTTCAGAATTCAAAGATTGAGACTACTTTAGTGAGCAAAACAAAATGACCAAGTCATGTTTAAGTGGTATAAAAGCAAAGATAACTTTGTATGTCTCTACAGTAACATTCAATCCCAGAGGATAATGAAACAATAGTTATATAACATTCAGGAAAAGAAAGTGTGACTCAAAATTTCATAACCATTTTAAGTACATATGATTAGTTACAGAAAAAGTAGTTTTGAGGATGCAAGAACTTAAGAAGTGTTATTTCAATGAGTCCTCTTGAGGAAACCACTAAAAATGAACTTTGGCCAGGCAAGTGATAACAGCGGAAACCACAATAAAATGACATGCTGTGAGCATTAAATACGTTTACCAATATAATTGAGACAAAAATCGAAGGTGAGAATTACAGATAGTCCTCAATGTACGATGGAGTTACATCCTGATAAACACAACATAAGTCGAAAGTATTATAAGTCAAAAATGCATTTAATATTTCTATAAACCCATCATAAAGTTGAACTATTGTAAGTTGGGGATGGTCTGTACAATGAAAAACTAGAATGCAAATGTTGTTAGTCTGGCAATGTAGAAATGCCCCAACTAATAAAATTGGAAGAGGAGGAAAGAAAGAAGGTGGAAAGAAAACTAATTTTATTGATTTAAAAAGGCAAGCTAAGATCATCATTACAATGTTTCTACAATAGCTGGAAATCAAAAATAATACAAAGATAAATACTAAAAATGATAATATTGTTGGCTAATATCAGGTAATAGAGGAGAAAAATGGGTGGCAGGGAAGAAGAGGAAACACACTAATTTCTTATGTTTGTCCCAGATTCTCTTGGCCCCATCTGTATCCTGGCCCTTTAGCTCTTATTCTATACTTCATCTGGCAACAGGACCAAAGTGTGGGCCTACAGAGTTCCTCTGAAGACTTAGGATTACACCCAGAATCCAAGGCTCCTCCCACCACTTCTGAACTCTGGTAAGGCTTCACACCACAAATTGGGGTGTTTGACTTCTCAAGTAGCTGGAGAAGGAGCCAAATGATGCAATCTGAAGTACATGGAAGTTCATCTCTGTGGGGCTAACCAAGGAAGACAGGAGACAGAAGATACAGTTCCTCTCTGGTCCTCTCTTCAGTAACCCACTCCAAAGCACGGTTGTTCCTTACAAACTTTCTGAAGGAGTTCTTGAAGCTGAGTGGGTACATCTGTTGAGCTGCACCTTTATTAGCAACTTGTTCTGAAGCAGGGACCAGTGCAGTAATGCACGACACTGATTTGCTTCCCATCTTCCTCTTCCTCACTTGCCTTCCACCTCGCTCCCACTGACACTCTTCATTATATAGCTTACAGACAGTTGAACACACGGAGGTTCCTGGAGGGTGGCATGCCCAGAGAGGGCATGAGAGTTCTGTGCCTCCACCCACATATGCTGCCCTGTGCATCTCTCTCACCTAACTGTTCATCTGCATCCTTTGTAGTATCTTTTATAATAAATGGATAAATATGTTTCCTTGAGTTCTGTGAGGTGCTTTAGCAAATTAATTAAACCTGAGGAGGGGGCGCAGGGATCCCCCAGTTTATAGCCAGTGGGTCAGAAGTATAGGTGACAGCCTCTTGTCTACTTGCGACTGGCATCTGAAGTGGGGGCAGTCTTGTGGGACCGAGCCCTCCACCTGTGGGATCTAACACTATCTCCAGGTAGACAGAGTCACTTGAACTCAATTAGAGCATGCTCAGCTGGTGTCCACTGGAGAAATGCCTGCTTGATGGATGGGGAGAAATTTTGGTGACTAGAGGTGCTGTGTTGCATTGAGAGGTGAGAGAGAATAGGAAAAAACACTTTGGTTTTTCCCTCTCTATCCTTCAACTGATTAATTGAAGAATAATGGTAGCCATTGATGATGATCAGAAAAGCATGAAAATATGGAATTAAGAGGTGTACTCAATTGGAAAAAGGAGTATTTTAGAAGTTTTAAATAAGTCACAGACTGGACACTTTCAAACTTTTTTCTCTCCCTTTTAGCTTCTTCCCTAAGAAGAGAGTTTCTTTTTTCTTTTTTTTTTTTTTTTTTTTTTTTTTTGAGACGGAGTTTCACTCTCATTGCCCAGGCTGGAGTGCAACGGCGTGATCTCGGCTCACCGCAGTCTCCGCCTCCCGGGTTCAAGCGATTCTCCTGCCTCAGCCTCCCAAGTAGCTGGGATTACAGGCACGTGCCACCATGCCTGGCTAATTTTTTTGTGTTTTTAGTACAGACGGAGTTTCTCCATGTTGGTCAGACTGGTCTCAAACTCCTGACCTCAGGTGATCCGCCCGCCTCAGCCTCCCAAAGTGCCGGAATTACAGGCGTGAGCCACCACGCCTGGCCAAGAAGAGAGTTTCACAGAGGAAGAATAGCAGTAATCAAGGAAGGCAGACTCAAAATCCACTCCTCATACTAAAGTGACAGTCAACAACTATAGGTTGTTGCAAGATGACTGATTCTGAGTGGCAGAAAAATTGAAGGCAGTTTGCTAGAGGAAATTTAGATTTTAATATGATCTAAAGCTCTGGAGGAGTCCAAGTTAAAGGTTCATGATGACATGAGATACCAACTTATTCAACTTTAAGGCTAAAGTAAGGATTACAATAAATTATAAAGTTATTGACAGCAATTTAAGAGGTTGTATGCTTTACTTAATACATATTCTTTGGGTTTTCTACTCAATCCTTTGATGAATGTCCCTAGCTGTTTTAACAAGAGTTATCTGTTTGTGTATTTTTTGCCTCAAAACCAATTGTAATTGGGTAGAAATAATACGAATATCTTTCCTAGATAGACCTATAGGGCAGAATGAGAAAACTACAATCAATAACCTGACAGCAACAACCTATCCTGAGTGAAGGCAAACTCCCCAAGAGGGAAGTCTAGCCTATTGAAAGCTGGACCTGTGATCCTATAAGTCCTGGAATAGAATGCTGATCACACTGAGAGCATCAAGAAAAGGGAAGATAAAAACTCTTTAAAAACTCTTTTTTTCCCAATGGGCTCTTCACTGCTCCCAGCAGAGGGGCCACTTTCTCACTTCTATCTCCTGACACCCTTTCAGTGACACACAGTCAGCCCACCTGACTCTACTTCTTACTGTCCCAGTGTCCAGTTTTGTGCCTGGCCCTCAGTGGGGTTGCCCTCCACCTCTCCACCACTCCTCCAGTGACTTCTTCACAGGTATTGTACCTACTCGCATCTGGCATTTTAAAGTCTTATTTCAATTCTGGCACCATGAAGGAATAATAGCTATTTTCTCCTACTCCCAAGACATTTCTAAGGCATCATTGAACACTGTGCCACTGTAGGACATGTGCCCACACCACTGACCTTTTTCACTGTAATAATTCTTACTCATCTTTCAAGGTTCATCTCAAGTCTCACTCTCATCTGTTCAACGCGTATTTATTGAGTGCCTACTATGTGGCAGGCAGTGTTGCAGACATTAGGAATATAGCAGTGAATGAATCAGACAGAACCTGGGCTTCACGGAACGTACATTCCGTGAGGGAGAGGATTCAACTCTTCCGAGACCTTCCATTTCAGGTTTGCTGCCCTGATTCTGCAATTCCCCAACAATCTCTGTGCCTCTACTGTGCCGCTCTCACACTGGGCACCACTGTCTGTGCTGCCATCTCTCTGTGAGCTTCTTAGGAGGCAGAACCTACCTGGTTTTCCTGCCATCCCTCATACCTGAAATGCAGTAGATGTTCAACAAATGCTTGTTGAACATATGAATGTTGAATAACATGTTGCAGAATATTACTGGCTGCCTGTCCAGCATTCATTCCCTTTATTCTTCCTCCTTTCTAACAAAACCAAATTAGTATTGTTCAGGCAATCTATCTTCCTTCATATGGCTATGTGTTGCCCTAATCCAAAATCATCCAGATGATATAGAATTTGCACCGGGACTGGGTGTTGCAAGAAACAGACCCTACAGTTAGGCTGAATGGAAAAGGTTAAGGTGGGGAGCAGAGAGGACCCCAGCATCATAGTGGGAAAGTTGGTGACTCTTGTCATGTGGTGTCATATTTAACATATAGTTAAATTGTCACCTGCTGAACCCCAGGATATCAGCCATGGGCTTACAGGAACTGTAGTTTTAGGAGAAAAGGCTGGGGGAAATTCAGAATATTGGCATCTCTTATTTCTTGCAGCCTTCAGTAAGGTTATACATGTATGAGATAAGCTCAGACTAAAGGTGACCTCTGAAAATAGAGAGAGGAAAAAAGGACAGCTTTGCTAAGGAATGTGCTTTCTGTCTGTCTGTCTGTACTCTGAGATCTAAATTAATTGACTAAGAGTCCAATAGCTTGAAGCCTTTCAGAGTTGAAAAAGCAGAATTCTCTTCTCTTAAAGTCAGTGGGAGCAGAGGCAGAGGCAGGAGATTGAGCAGGAGATAAGTTTGAGGCAAACTATAATCCCGATCCCAGCCTTTCCTAGCACCTCCTGTTAAGCATTCTCAGTTAGACAAAGGAGACACTCATGCTTATTGTGAAGATGCTGGCTGGGAAAAATCAGATTATGGGTGCTATCGCCCCACTGAGCTATTGTTTCAAATTGCCTCAAGGCAGAAGCCATTGAACCGAGGGCCAGGGTGAGGGATGGAACCCAGAGGCCAGATCGGGGGCAGGAATTGTGACTCAAGGACTGTGTCTAGACAAGATCTTTGCCCCCATGGAATTGACTGGGCACAAATAGATTAGAAAGCTAACCTAGTTTTTAAGATAAATATATTATTGACTGTTTAACACATAAGGCAATACCCAGGCCCTAAACTTACACCAATAGGAAGTGGGCTACTAAATTTCCGTAGCCATCGAAAAAGGTATTCTTCCCAATGTCCTCCTCTGATTTGGCTTTGAAAGGCAATGAACAACAGCGATTCTCCAAAAAGCAGGACCTGGGCTGCCAGACACTAATGGGTCCCTTCCTCAGGCAGGCAGGGTGGTCTCCATTCCTGCTGTGGCTCAGTGACCACTCAGTGTTGTTTCCCTTTCCCGATCCCTCTTCCTTTTTCTGAACGAGAGATTCTATTACAGCTGTTCTGTGCCTTGTCAATCACTGAATGTTGGGTGTTGGGTGCTAGGAATACATCCTTAACAAAACAAATTTCCCACCTTGAAGGAGCTTGTAGTCCAAATTGGAGAGGGTGGGCAGACAAGAAATGGACCATTGGGATACTGGGCACACAGGGTGAGCCATAGCTCAGCATGGGATGGCATGGTCAACGAAAGCTTCTCAAATATTGTGAGTCTAAGCTGAGATCTGAAGGATGAATATGAGTCAGTCAGAAAGGAGGCTGGGGGTTCAAGAGGAGAGAAGGAGGGAAGAGGGCAGCCAGGTGGCACTCTTAGCTTCTTTGGCTGCTGAGAATAGATTGAAGGCTGCTGAGAATAGATTGAAGGAAGGCAAGAGGGAAGGGAGGCTAGAGACCAGAGAGAGAAAGCAGATATAGTCTAGGCTTGAATGCCAGATTTGGGGTTTTTTTCTTGTTTGTCTTTGGTACCATATCCTGCTGTCCTCATTAAGCCCTTTAGGGCAGAGACTCTGGTGTGTTCCAGGACTGGCCCAGGAACTAGTATTACAGTAGGCAGTCAGGCAGACATGAGCAGGGCAGCCAATGGCCCCACGACCACCAGGAATGTCAGGTGAATGTCAGGTGATGGTCAGGCAGTTGTTATACTGTCTCTCTAAAATAATAATTGGTCATAGCCAGAGCCAGGGAAAGTCTCCCAATAGATAGAAATACCTGAAACTGGTGATCAGCAGCTTCCTGATAAGGTCTCAGGAGGAGCTGGGTGAGTAGGCTCAAGCATGTGCATTAAGAGGCAAAATTGCAGAGTTTAACTGGTATATGACCTTCTAGGGACAGTCGACTGGTAAGGGAATAATATCTCAAGTGAGCACATGTACAACTCCAGTAAACACACTGCACATGTGGCCCCTCCGAAGTGCTGGCAGGCCACTGTGCATGTGGACAGCCCACCGCAAGGGAAGAATCAGGGGAGAAGTAAGGCAACCCTGGAAGCATTCCAACATATAACACCCCAAGTCAAAGGTCAAACCATACGCTTGAATCTCTCAAATTGCCCACTTGGCCCTCTTCCAAGTGTACTTTACTTTCATTCCTGCTCTAAAACTTTATTTATTTTTTTTTTTTTTTGAGACAGAGTCTCACTCCCAGGCTAGAGTGTAGTGGCAAGATATCAACTCACTGCAACCTCCACCTCCTGTGTTCAAGGGATTCTCATGCCTCAGCCTCCTGGGTACCTGGGACTACAGGCACGTGCCACCATGCCCAGCTAATTTTTAGTAGAGACAGAGTTTCACCATGTTGGCCAGACTGGTCTCGAACTCTTGGCCTCAAGTGATCTGTCTGTCTTGGCCTCCCAAAGTGCTGGGATTACAGGTGTGAGCCACTGTCCTTGGCCTCTTAAAGCTTTTTAATAAACTTTCACTCCTGTTCCAAAATTTGCCTCAGTCTCTCCTTCTGCCTTATGTCCTTCAGTCAAATTCTTTCTTCTGAGAACACAAGAATGGAGGTTGCTGCAACAACCCATATGGATTCACCACCGCTAGCGCTAGGGCCTCAGAGAAAGTGCAAGCAGGTCTTCTGCAAATGCCCAGGCCTCTTCTGCGTCGCTTGTCCTTGAGCCTTCCTGCCCCTTTGGGAAAGCTCTCCAGCCAGAAGGTCACTGCCTCCTGCTTGCGGAAGATTCATTTCCATTAAGACTGGAGTCCTGATTAGCTTACTTCCTGATGGAGGAACGATTCCTTCCCGTGCATGCTTTCAGGACCCAGCCACCTCCCAGATTAACATCTCCACTAGCCAAATACTAGAAGAAAACACAATTTCCCCAGTGCTATGTTGTTCCCTAGATCTTTTCAATCATTATAACATAGAATAATTTAATGTGGGCTCCCAGGTCAACCACACAGTTTAGAAGATGCTTTGGAGACCGAAACACTTCTCTGAGACTGATTTCAACTAAAAGGAAGTATCCTTGAAAAACTGGCTACCGAGATAGCAGCAGAAGTTTCTAAAATATGGAATCTAATAGAAAATCTTGCCTGAAATATTTATAAAATCTGTTTTAAGGGCACTTACCAACCCACTAAGGAGTCCCTTTGCACAAATGCGTAATGTACAATTGCAGAGTCCTCTTTACTGGGACCCCAAGGTCTCACAAGAGGAGTTTGCTTCAGACAGGAAAGAAAAGCAAGAAGATAAGAGGACAGCATATCCGCTCAAGTATTTGCTTTTGGAGGTTTACATTAAAAAGAGAATCTCTTTGTGCTGTCCTGATTGGGGATTTTCAATTAAAGCTGAGATCGCCAGTTTTAGATTGGCTCGGCACAGCAAAAGATAGGGTACCTTGGGGGTGGCCCTGAGCCAGGGAGGCTTCCACGGGACAAGCTGACCAGAGGAAGGGAAGGGAAGATGGCCTGTTTCCTGGAGCTTGCAGGCTCAGTTTGTAAGAAAAGAAAATGGGCTTCTCCTGGAGTGGGGCCCCTTCCTGGAGGGATGAGGGACTTCTCTCACACTCTCTCTTGCTGTTCTGATGATGCCCTCCAAGAGATGGAGGGAAAAATAAAACAATCAAGGAGAAGTTAGCAGGGTAATAAAGAAGACAACAGCCAGGAGTACCTTGGACTTTCACAAAAGCAGAAAGCCCTTTTATAGCTCCTTCAGTGGCTGACATTTTTGAGTGCCCACTTTGTGCAAGCCACTGTGCAAGTGTTTCAATTGCATTATTTTATTTAACCTTCCCCAACAAAACTATGTGATAGATACTGTATTCTTATCCCCATTTCCCAGCTGAGAAAACTGAGGCTTGCTGAGATTAAGAAATTTATGCAATGTAAGGCAGCTGGCAACAAATAGAGTCACAATCAGAATTTATATCTGCTTGACTGTAAAGCCCAAGGTCTAAAAACACCAAGGTAGACAGCAACCTCTTCAAAGGAGAATGAGGTAATCAGCCCATCCTACTCCTCCCTCTAGGAAAGTAAGGCAGGAACTCCCTTTGATTGGCCAGTCAGTAAACTTGGTGATGATATTACAGGGAGAGTCCACCAGACAAGCAGCCATATGCCTGGTAACTACCGAATGAAATGATGCAGTTTGGAGGGATTTGGAAGGCTATGCAGCACTGGTTCTCTGCTTCCTCCTTGCTTTCCTTCCTCCTGCCCAGAAAAGTCTACTGCTTTGCCTGCCATCAGGAAAATGGCCCGCTAGGTAGAAGTAGAGTGTCAGTTGGTCAGCAGACAAACAAATAGAGAATATCTTTCTTGAGCATTGTTCTGAGCACAGTGGGAAGGAACAAAAGAGAAGAAAAAGATGTCCCTGAGGACCTTGCTGCCAGTTAGAGAGACATGATAAATATACAGGCTGAACCATCCAAAGCCTCTCAAAGCAGTGGACAAATATGAGCCATTCAAACCAGTGCAAAGGAAACAGAAAGCACTGAGCACAAAAGCCAGCTTGTGTGTGGTGGGCTATGCAGGGTGGGATGCTGGGGGCCATGCTTAGAGAAGATTTCTTGCAGGATGAGAGCTTGGAAATGTGGAGCTGGAGCAGAGAAAGGGGGACTCTTTGGGAAAATCTAACAGCAACCACACTCCATGAGACTGCACTTCTGTCCCTGGACCATACATTGAGTGTATGTCAATGGGTGTACATTGATCCCCAGATGCATTCTTCAGAAGGGGTTCTCCAGATTTATGGTAAAATGATTTAGAAGTCTGTTTAAAATGCAGTCCTAGGACCTGCGGCAGAACTATGGCAACAGAATCCTGGGATCAAGGCCTAAAATCTGCTTTTCAACAGCTCTCAAACAATTCTCCTACACACAGGAATCTGAGTGCCTCTGATTTACTCTGCAGTTTACCAGTGAGGAAACCAAAGCTCTGAGAAGTTTGAGCTTGCCTTACATCACTCATCATTAGATGTGCCCAGTGAGGGCTTTCCTGAGTTTAATAGAATGGAATTGGATTGACTGTCACGTGGCCCAGTGTGAGAACACAGACCTTGAAATACCCTGTGGGGAGAACACCTAAGAGGCAGAAAATGGCTTCTTAGCAATACTGGGAGTATTGCTCTTGATCATATGCTAAACAAAAGGTGGATTATTCACGCCCTTTCAGCCAGCTGGAAGTGCTTGAAAGCATCACCAGAGCTAGCCCTAAGGGCTGAGGAGGGGCATGGGATGGGGTGGAGTAGAGGTAGTGCTTTGGAAGTACCGAAGCTGAAAAGGAGACTAAAGAGAAGGGACCTTTGGGATACACACAGAGCTTCGTCATTCCTCCCTTCCAACCAGTGTCCAGCCACCTGTGCCAGGCAAGGGTTGACCCAGCTCTACCTCTAACATCCAGAAAGAGGGAGGAGAAGAGCTTCAGCTTAGTGAGGGATCCCTCCTCTGACTGCTTTCAGGAACCCAGAAGAGAGAGAATGTTCGAAAAGGAATCTTCAACACACAGAATAACATTTCTGTGAATTACACTACTTGGATTCACCTGCAAGGTGATGAAACCCACTCTTATCCCCTTCTCTCCAGCCTCCCTTTCTCCCCTTCTCTCTCCCACAACGTGAAAAAAAGTATTGTTAGTTAGAAGGAAAGTAGACTATAGTCCTGGGGAAATCCCCAGCTTCTGAAAGTCTGTTTTCCTACTAACAGACTGGGAAGGCTTACACAGAGTAGGTGGTGACTGTGGTGTGGTGCCTGGGTCATTGAGTGTGTGGAATGGGGGACTTCAGAACAGGCAAGAAGCTGCCAAGAAAACTCCACTTGCTTCACAGTTACACCTGGGGCTGAATCCGGAATCAACAGAATTTCATATCACAGATACATTCTTTTAAGAACAAGACAGAGGGAAAGCAAGATGGTAAGTGTTGGGGAGTTGAATGTAAGGAGCAGTTGGGATAGTCATCCCAGGAAGAGGGCATTATCACAGTGAGGCAACTTTTATTTATTAGATCTAGCAACTTGCCAATTTTCTAGAAAGTTTTGGAAACAGAGGCAACTTGGTTATTCCTTCCTACTTGCTCCCTACCTGGAGAGGTAAAAGCAAATTGATCCGGCCATGTTCAGAAGTACTTCCTGGACTGTTCCCAGCTGTGGGAACTGAAAGATCAGAGAATCAGAGATAGTTCAAGGAGGGTGGAGACTGAGGAAGAAGTTCAGTTGTGCTTATACAATAAAAGAGGTGATATAAGTATTATTTATGACATCTGGGAGCCTGAGGATTGTCCCAGGTAGGATAAAGCCAAGACAACTAGAGGTGACCTTGAATTGAGCTTGGGGAGAAGGAAGTGGGAGGGTACAGGGGACTCAGACCGAGACGGAGGAAGAACTACTTCCTTTCTAACCAAGGTCTCCGCATTCCACAGGGTGGCTTCCAAAAGGGTGGGGAATGGCAAAACATTTCTTAGAGACAACAAGAGCTATCTTTCCCTGGGCAAAGCTGAAGAAAGGGGGAAGCTAATTAAATGAAAATTGAGGAAGCTCAGGGCCCCACACCAACTGAGAGTAATCTGAGAGTGGTCATCAATCTTCATAAACCCACGCTTACTCAGCATCTTCCCCGCTAAGGGTGTGGGGTGTGGACTCTGGGTAGAACTGAGGCCACTGTGTTCCTCATCACAGAGAAAGAATGAAATAGGAAATCAGAACTAAAAATTCAAAGAGCGACCACTAAGCACATACGCTGGTGTGAACCAGCCAAAAGGCATCTCTCTCTCTACGCTCAGAAGATAACAATAAGTTTATCAGTCCCCATGATTATTGATAAATAATCACGGTTGTATTAGGGACTTTCTTATTAAAATTTTTAGTTTTCCATATACTTATGCTTTGTCTCTCCTGCTAGATTGTAAAGTCCTTGAGACTAGAGACCCTCTTGTATATTTCTCATTCCTCCAACCATCCACCCATCTACCATTGTGTGGCATTTCCCTCTATGGTTCTCACTGCTAGAAATGCAGAGGAAAATAGAATTCAATCCCTAACCTTGATAAATTATGATATTGTATAATATAAATGTAAATGTATGTGATATTAGACATAATTCAAAAAAATGCTGGTAAAAGTGGGGTGTTTAAGCTGTTAAAAAGTAGGTGTGGACATCATGGAATCTCAAAATAAACAGGTATACTAGACGGGAAGAGCTTAGACACTAGAATAAAAAAACCCTGAGGTTTAAAACCCAATTTTTCCATTCACTAGCAATGAGACCTTCTGTGTTATTTAAGCCTCTCTATAACAGGGAAATTGTCAGAGGCATTCAAACCAGAGCGACTCCATCTTGAATAGGGTCTGGGTGAAATGAGGCTGAGACCTGCTGGGATGTATTCCCATGAGATTAGACATTCTTAGTCACAGGATAAAATAGGAGGTTGGCACAAGATACAGGTCACAAAGGCTTCGTTGATAAAACAGGATGCGGTAAAGAAGCAGGCCCAAACCTGCCAAAACCAAGATGGTGATGAAAGTAACCTCTGTTATCCTCACTGCTCATTATATACTAATGATAATACATTAGCATGCTAAAAGACACCCCCACCAGCACCATGACCATTTACAAATGCCATGGCAACATCTGGAAGTTACCCCATATGGTCTAAAAGGAAGAGGAACTCTCGGTTCCAGAAAATCCTTGCCCCTTTCCCAGAAAACTCATGAAGAATCTGCCTTTTGTTTAGCATATAATCAAGAAATAACCATAAAAATAGCCAACCAGCTGCCCCAAGGGAGCTATGGAGTAGGCATTCTTGTATTCCTTTACTTCCTTAATAAACCTGCTTTCACTTTATGAACTTGCCCCGAATTCTTTCTTGCATGCAATCCAAGAACCCTCTCTCAGGGTCTGGATCAGGACCCCTTTCAGGTAACAAAAAGATGGAACCTCCCTTAGGGAGATAAGTTGAGAATTAAACAGATAAAAACATGTTATATGCTCATTTATGGGGTCTAGCACAGATAAGTGCTCAAAAATTAGTAGCATTTTTAAAAAATAAGGAAGTTCATGAACCATGATGGCAAGTTTAGACATTCACTTCTCCTGATTCTCTACACAGAATGATTTAGCAACAACTATTTCCTTAGGGCATTTTCAAATTCTCTGAGTGAAGTTCACCTGGGTCGATGGGTGAGTGGCCAGGAATCTAAAGAGGGCAAGGCTACCAGGAGCTTGCCTTTGAACTACACTGACCTCAGTTTCCAACTCAGGAGTTCTTTCTCAGCTGGAACCAACAAGGAGCTAAGGCCACCACGCATTCTCCAAATGTGCAAGTAAAAGCTTTTGTGACTGCCAAAGAAGGCCTACAAAAAGGCTATAGAAATGCATGGATGTCTTCCAGAGGGCAATGTCCCAAGCTGATCTTATTTCTCTGTTTGTACTTTTTTATTGTTGGGGAGGGCTGGTAAATGGTTGAAACTAGGAGGCTGGAGTGAGCAATTATGGCCTAAGATGGTAGACACTCCCTAGTCTAACTCCTCTCCAAAACCAGCTCCTATAAGATGGTGCTCAAGCCACCATTCTGTGTGGTCTCATTGAAAATGGAAGAGCTAATGAGGAACTCTAGGCACAAATTTGCACACACACAAAAAAAAATCACTGAGGCATCTAAATGCTTGTTCCCAATTTACCATCAACCTGCTCTTAAAGCACAAGATTTAAGCAATGTATGGCAACAAACAAAAGCTGAATTTAAAAATTATTTTTATTTATTTTTCAATTTAACAGACACTTTTAGGGTGCTTATTTTATGCCAGACACTGTTTTAAGTAATCCCTTACATTGGAATAACTAGCATTTTAACAGTTTGAAAAGGACTTTCATATATGCTACCTTATTTGATAGTCATAATAAATGTGCGATGTAGGTTTTTTTGCTTAAAGTCTTATCTTTTTTTTTTTTTTTTGAAATGGAGTCTCACTTTTTCAGCCAGGCTACAGTGTAGTGGCACAATCTCAGCTCACGGCAACCTCTGCTTCCCAGGTTCAAGTGATTCTCCTGCCTCAGGCTCCTGAGTAGCTGGGATTACAGGCTCCTGCCAGCAAGCCTGGCTAATTTTGTATTTTTAGTAGAGAGGGGTTTTCACCATGTTGGCTAGGCTGGTCTTAAACTCCTGACCTCAAGTGATCCTCTCGCCTCAGCCTCCCAAAGTGCTGGGATTACAGGCATGAGCCACCATGCCCAGTCTAAAGTCTTATCTTACAGATTTTTTAAAATGATTTTTAAGAAGAAATTAAAGTTATCCATTCAAGACCATTCATCTTGTGATAGAGGCAGGACTTATAAGTGTTCTGATTTCAAAGTCTGTGCTCCTTCCACCGCACAAATAAAAGAGAAGAAGAGAATTAGCGCAGTTCTTGTCCTCAAACTGGTTACAACAAAGCAGGAAGAAGACTCAAGCATGTAATGTTGACAGCATTTTCATCCAGGGCAACAGGTAGGCAGACCATACAAGGAGAAGATGTAGAAGCAAGAAATAAAAGGAGAATTTCCAAAAGGAGAGGGTGGGGTGAATTAGTTAAGGCTCTGTTTTTTGATGCAAGTGACAGAAATGCAACTCAAACCGGCATTCGGGAACTGGCTCAAACTGGCTTCAGGCAATGCAGAATCCAATGAATTGAGCAACATCTTCGGGATTCAGCTCCCTTGCATCCTCTTTGCTTTACTCTTTGTCAACTTCATTCGCAGAAAGGCATCTCCATGTGGTGGCCCAGAAACTTCATGCCTACATCCTGCAGGTTTAGAAATTGCAACAGAAAGAGTCTCTTTCCAGACAACTCCAGCAAAAGGACCTGCAATTGCACTTCATTGTGCTGGCTGGTCACGTGTTCTTCTCTGAGCCAATCAGTATGGCCAGGGGGCCCTGGACTGCTCTGATTGGCTAGCTCTGATTATGTTTTCACTCACAAAGCCAAGCGATGAGGTCAGTCCACCAAAATCACATGACCTGAGGGCATGGGGACAGTTCCTCAAGGGAAAATTGGAGTAGTGTAACCTAACAGGGATGGACATGCTGGACAGGTGCAGGCAAAAACAACTACAGGGGTTGAGATGGGCACAGGCACCTAGTGGGGTGTTTTAGGGGTAATGGGGACACAGTGACTGGTGGTGAAGAAACACTAGGACTGAAGACACAGAGTCGTTCTAATTCCTGCTCTTTCTGTAACTACTGATGTGACTTTGAACAAGTCATTGAGCCTCTCTGGGCCTCAGTTCCTCAAATGTAACAGGGGATAATAATTTAAATAATAGTAATAACAAAAGCTCCCCGGGTTGCTGTGAGGATCATGATATGATCCAAATGGATGAGATCATAGACAGAAAGGCCTTTTGAAATGCTAAGTGAAAAAGATTTATAAATATCAGAGTGTATTTGAGGCAAGGGACTAGCATCAGCAGAGACATGAAACAGGAATAAGTAGGGTGTGTACAGGGAATAGTAAGCAGACTGGACTGCTTGGAAGGAAAAGCCAGGGCAATGCATGCAAAATCTAATATGTAGCAACCCTACATGCTTCAAGGCTGAAACTGAGCTGGCCTCAGTAAATCAGGGTCTTCTTCCTTTAGATGGTGCTGGGAAGAGGGCTCTTTGTTATGGCTATAAAGTGGTGCCTGGAAAGGTGCCCCAGGTAATTCCAGTTAGCGAGGACTTCCCAGTGCAGAGCCAGCTTTCCCAGGGTGAGGAGGGAGGGAGGCTGGCTCTGCCCCTGGCCAATATTTGGTTTCAGGGAGGCTCTTTCCCCTGCCCACCACCAAAGAAATCACAGCAACAGGTGGGGAACGTGGAGTTGGGACGGGCCGGGCCAAGGTCCCTAGTGGGTGGGGCAAGGGGGATGAGGAGGATTAGGAAGTAGCAGGTGGAACTCGGACAGTTAGGGCTCTCATGTGTGACCAGCCCTGATTAAGGAAAATCACTTTTGTTTACTAACCAGTTTGTTGGGCCCTTCCAAGCCGAGCTAAATTGCTGGGTTTATACCTGCAGAGTTTTCTCGGTCCATGAGGACCTGCTGAGGGTGCTGGGCAGGCTGGGGGGAGGAATGTACTTTTCCAGGCTGTATTTTGTGAAAAGAGTACTAGCCTGGGGACCTCAAGATAGGGATTTCTCATAACAGAGGGTTGGTAGGTGTGTTCCCCCTCTCTCTAACTTCCTTAGGACAAATGCAGTTTGTCCATCCTTAAGACAAATACATTTTGACAAGGACATTTTCTCAGGAAAATGGAGAGGCATGCCCATTCAAAAAATCATGACAGGAAGCAACTGAGGAGATTCAGTTCCTAGCCTAGCTCAAAAACAAACTAGAGAGACTCCTGACCCCGACAGTCCCCAGGCAGACTCAGATGAGATTCCAGAGAGAAATCAGCATGATGAACTTACTTGCTTGGAGCACTTTACAGTTTACAAAGGACTTTCAAATACCTTATGTATTTTTAAGGATGTTTATTGCAGTCTTATTTGTAATTGTAAAAAATGAGACATGATCTAATTGTTCAATAATGGTTAAATAAATGAAAAACACCCACGTGATAAAGTACATGCAGTTATTTTAAATGGTGTGGCAAATGTTTGTAATTCACACACACAAGTGTGTGGAGATGTCTGTTGTTAATATTGGGTTATAAAACAGTATGTCTAGTAAAATCTCGTTTTGTTTAAAATCTGTATCTTCATTTCCACATAAAATCTGGAAGATTATATACCAAAATGTGAACAGTGGTTATCCTGGGTGATGCTATAGTGCATGCACCCAAAAACACCCATAAACATGTATAATATCCTAAATTTTCCAAAATTACCATATATTGTTGTTGCACTAAGAAAAAGCATGGATTTTTTTCTTCACAAATAGAATTATGAGTGAACTCAAAAGAATTTCCAGTTACTGTATTAATAATGCTAGTGAGGAGATATTAACAATGAAGATCTCAGATCTACAGGGAATTTTCAGAATTTTTAGAACTTTACATCACTTTTCAGCAATTTTTCTAGTCCTAAATCTCTGATCTATCTTTGACAGTTTTCACTTTCCTCTTAATTTGTGGATAACCCTTTTAATGATTTATTCCACTCTATTGTAAGTACTGCATTATCATTTCCCTCCATAGACTGTGAGTTCCCTGCAGGCAGGGTGCCTGGCAGAAGACGTGACACGTATGCATTCTCCATGAATGTTGGTTGAATGAATGCTGGGGTAGAGAGAGAAGCATAAATGAAGGATGTTTATTAGAAGTTTGTGGATGCAGATAAATCAATGTGAAAAAAATTACAAAATGAGGGACGGAGAAGAATGGACTTTGAAGGATTTATACAGGCACAGAGGCAGAAAGAGAGGCCATCCACTGCAAGCAGAGGGAACAGTAAGGTGACCAACTGACCTGGAGAGCTTAGCACTGAAGTGTTCACTGAGGCGTTCCACTTTCTGTGCTAAAGCCAGTACTGTCCTCAGCAAACCAGGATGACTGGTCCCTCTATGGCAGGAACAGCGTAATCAAAGGCAGGAATAGAAAAGCAATTTCAGGAAACATGTCATGCAGTTTGGCCACAGTATGGCTTAGAGCAGGGAAACCATGGACAGCAAACCTAGGAAAGTTGGGCTGGGACTCATTGAAGAGGACCTTGAATATCAGAGTGAGACTCTTGTGTTGAATTTGGTGGAAACAGAAAGATCAAAGGCACTCTAAATCTTAATGCTCAACTCTTCTAGCACATATACACATGTATTCTAATTTTTTATTTTTTTTTGAGACAGTCTCACTCTGTCACCCAGGCTGGAGTGCAGTGGTGCAATCAAAGCTCACTGTAACCTCAAACTCCCATATTCAAGCAATACTCTTGCCTCAGCTTCTCAAGTAGCTGGGACTACAGGCATGTACCATGATGCCCAGCTAATTTTTTAACTTTTTTGTAGAGACAAGGTCTTGCTACATTTCCCAGGCTGGTCTTGAACTCCCAGGCTCAAGTGATCCTCCTGCCTCGGCCTCCAAAGTGCTAGGATTACAGGCATAAGGCACTGTGCTGGGCCCAGAACATCTATATATTTAACACCTTCTCTCTCCCTCCCTCCTGTCTCTCTCTCTCTCCATTATCTCCCTTCAAAGGCATCCTTACACATTTGGCTCTTATCCCTTGACATGGTTTCTTCCCCTTATAAAGCACACCTTGGGTTTTCAAATGCAATAATCAAATCCAAGTGAGAACTGCCTTGTTAGAGGAAAGGCTGTTTTCTACCTATGGAGACAGACTCTACTGAGCCCTCCATCTTCACACCCAGCCCCACTGTGACCAGCGACATGTGCGAGTGATAACTGGCTGAGATTCAAGACATGGTTGGCGGTGTCTGGGGAACAGAGCAGAGGTGGGGGCTCCTAGGGAGTGAGAGCTAGTGACCCTGGCCTCATTAGCACCATGCTACTGAGCGGGAAGCCACAGGCCACGCCTGGAACATCAGAGGAGCAGCTCAGGGTGTTACAGCGTCAGAGTCTACACAGAAGGCCATTGCCATCCACATCCTGGTCTGTCTGTCTGTGCACTATAAAAACTGACAAAAAGGGCCTCACCGCTGAGTTTCAGACTGAATGTTTAATGCAATTAATGCATATTTCATAGCACAATAACTGCCAGCGCTTTGCTCTGCCATCCTCCCTGGCTGAGTTATTTACACAGCCATTTTGAGCCCAGTCACAGAGGAAGTTGACAAATGAGTGTCTGTGCAACATGTCTGGTTTTTTCCCATGCAGATCAGGGCCTCACAACTTCAAAAAGTCCCTGAGCAGCATCTCAAACCTGCCTTACTCAGTATACACTCCATATACTCACCTTGGAAGATATATTCAGTCCAAAATCTCTTGCCTTACATCCTTCCCTCCTTCCCCCTCCCGAGCCCCAAGAATAGTATAAAAAAGGCGCTTTAGGATAATATTATCATGTCCTAACATGGATCTTAGTGATTTTCTCATTGCAAAATCCTTAAAAATGAAGAGAGTGAGCTGTCCCCTGGTCAGTGACTTCATTTATTCATTGATCAGTTCTGACAGTCCTTTTGCAAGGCAGTTCTGCCCCTAGGATGGTTTGACATAAATCAGGGGCCCCTCAGCTCACCTGCTCATCATGGGTGATGGATTTGGCAGGTTTTCAGGTTCCTGTGAAACAGATCTCTGGACCAGGAGAGCCGGGCTGGGACTCAGAAGGCAGCTTTCAGCACTAGAGGGATATCGACTGATTCACATCTCGTGCTGTTTTTCACGTAACAGGCACAAATCCAGCCCTTTGAGTCTGCGTTGTAACCTCCGATTCAACATCAAGAAGCTTCAGGGGTACTTCTCTTTGTGCAATACTCGTGTTCCCGAAAAGTTGTAGATAACACAATTTCTTTGGGTAAACATGATCCCCTGTTTCCAGCGACTCTCATTATCATTTAGAGACATTCTGGATCGTTCCTTCTTTAACGTGAAATTTTTCTGCCTCCCTCTTTCCACTCCAGTCTCTTTGACAAATATTTAATAAAAGAGAAACAAATTTCGAGAACACTTAAAAAAAATTAAAGCAAATCTTTCTATAATGTGTAATTATTCACCCTTAAATATATCTGTTTTGTCACTATGGAGTCTTACATGCCAAGTTTTCCTAAATAGAGGCATATCTACAACTAAGCACTCTAGCAGATCAAAACAGCTGGCTGTGTTATTTTTTAATGAATGTACAAAGCTAAATTCATAAAGTTGATTTCATGAGAATTCCTTAAAGTACAGTCCTATGTAGCAAGCTCTCTTTAACATGCTGCTTTTAGGTTTTAAGTCTTGCCATGGGAGAAAGCAGTAGGATAGTAGAAAAGCTAAGGCCTTGGATTCAAGCCTGAATTGGACATGGAAGAAAATGATATTTAGCATTCCTGGCCAATGGGTGGATTTAATTTGAGAAGGAACATGATGGGGTCTGGAACTCTGGTGAGTTGTGATGACATGAGGACTATAGAGGTTATGGCTATCTGTCTAGTCTGAATGGCCTGGGTTTGAATGCCAGCTTCACCTCCTATCAGTAACTTTGAGTTACTTGTCTTCTCTAAGCCTTGCTTTCCTAACTATAAAATGGGTACAACTTGGAACCTACTGATAATGCCATGGCATGCATGAAATAATGCACATACACCACTTAGCACGCAGCCTGACTGTCACAAGCATTCAATAACTATCTGTTTAAACAAGGTAGAACTGTGGTTTGGTGTGTTTTTAATCTTCCTGGATTCTGTGAGTATGGAAGGACATAGGGCATTATTATCCCCATTTTGCAAAAGGATGTTGAAACCCAGAAGTTCAAGGTCTTGCCAGATCACATTGCCAACGAGTGCTAAGAGGGCAAAGACTGCAGCACTTTACTTGGCTCGTTTTATACTGGAAGACACTTTATAAAATGCAAGTTCTCACTTCCTTCCCCTGGTATTCAGTTATCTGTCTTGAACTGACCAGGGCCAGAGAGGGAAGGACCCACCTTCCAAGTCCCTAGACCTCAGGCCACTGAGACCCATTCTCCAACATGGAAGGAATGTTCAAATAGCAACAGCTTTCAATTACTGAGCGCTTACTTTCTGCCAGGAATTGTGCTAGTGTTTTACCCACATTAGAGCCACCCTTTGCAGATTTACAGGTGACAAAATGGGCTCAGAGAGGTAGGACAACTTGCTAAGGAGGAACAGCCAGCAAGTTTTCACATCATGCCAGAAATTCGTTAGTTTAGTCAGCGTGACTCCCAAGTAAAGATTAAATCACTTCACTGTGTAGTGACTCAAGTTCAGGCTTAAAGTTTCCTCAAGCAGAAATTATCAAACCTCACTGATGATTAGAAATGCCCAAGACACTTATAAAATAATGCAGACTTCCAGGTAGCACCCTTGGGAACCCTGACTCAGTATGTCTGGGTCAGACCAAAAATCTATATGGGATTTTGAAAATCCCCAGCTGAGGCTTATGATCAGCCAGGTGTGGGAAGTTTGCTTTGGGGCACATGCCTAGCTGCCCTCTGGGGAGCCTCTGACCTTACAGATGGGCTAATTCACAACAGTTCCTAACTGTTCTATTAGATCATTTTTATTGCCAGTTCCTTCCTCAGCTTCAGGCTCAGAGTTTCAGCCCAGACATCAAGCATTTATGGAGTGCCTACTGTGAGCAGGACCCTGAATGACACCTTGGGCTTAAGAAGCCAATAATTCATGGCCCTTGGGCCAGCTGTGTTCTTAATGCAGGGGCTAGTGTGTCTGCAAGCTTCTGAACACATGTTTCCTTGTAAAGATGTTAAGTTATTTTGCAAGGGTTTCCTATGTGATCTATTGTTTCAGAAATCAAGGGCCAGTGTCCTTTTGTCTGTGTCTTCACAATTAATAACACCAAATTAATAACACCTAATACCAAGTTCCATGCCCAGCAAAAAATGGTTGATAGCCCTGTGCCGGTTTAAACGAAACAAGAAACTCCTTCAGAGGGAATTAAACATTCCTCGTTAGGGATCTCTGGTCTGGCCAAAATATCTTTTTTTTTTTTTTGAGACAGAGTCCTGCTGTGTCGCCCCGGCTGGAGTGCAGTGGCATAATCTTGGCTCACTGCAACCTCTGCCTCCCGGGTTCAAGCAATTCTCCTGCCTCAGCCTCCCGAGTAGCTGGGATTACAGGTGCCCACCACCATGCCCAGCTATTTTTTGTATTTTTAGTAGATACAAGGTTCCACCATCTTGGCCAGGCTGGTCTCGAACTCCTGATCTCGTGATCCACCCACCTCAGCCTCCCAAAGTGCTGGGATTACAGGTATGAGCCACCACACCCAGCCTGGCCAAAAGATCTTACAGAGTTCATTTCTGCTTCTCAATATACAACAACCCAGCATTCTTCTCCCTAATTACATCTCCCCCCACATACAATGCCCAGTGAATCTGAACAGAGTCTGGAAAGAAATTGGGTGCATTCAGTTTTTCTGAACTCCGGGTTTACATTAATGCCACATGGGGAGTTCCTAAAATCTACTGATGCCTGGGGTCTGGGCACAAGTGTTTTAATTTTACTTTTATTCTTCTTCTTAAGATCCCCAGATGATGCTAATATGTAGCCATTTGAGAAGCTGAAGAGAACTGGGCTGGTAATTGGCAGATCTGGGTTCAACTCTAGTCTATCTGACCATTTATAAATGGATCTCCCGAGCTGAACTCTCTTCCACACTTGTAAAATGATGATACTAGACTAGACCTCTTGTGGACTAGATCTTTTCAGCTGTCACATTCTAAGTTTTGATGGTCTGGTACCAGTTCAGGTGAGGAGTGAGAGTTGAATGGGGAATAACAAGAGACCTTGTTCCTTTAAAAGGGCCAGATGCTCTTAGGGATGGAGAAGGCAAGAGAGAAAGAACATGAACTAGATGCTAATTGGAAAGGATAAGGGGCATGTCGAGTTGTCATTTTCATTCTCTGGGACCTGGTCTGTAAGTGCTGGAACTGCATCGTATGGATCACAGGAAGGATCCTGGGCATGCCAATTTCTGTCCTCTCTCCTATCTATCTATCTGTCAGCATGCTGCTCCTCAGCAGAGGGCCTCTGTTTGTTTTCTTAAGATGATTAAGTCCTAAGTCTCCCTCAGCAGAGCCTATGATTGAAAGTGACAACTGGAGCCTCCTGTATTTAAAAGCTGCCACTGTGTATCAGCAGAAGAATCAACTTAGGTTGGGGGACATTTTATTGATGCATTTTAAAACTTGATCTCAGAGAAGTGAGCAGGTATACAAGGAGGTAGGATGGGGTATACAGAAAAGAAGTCTGGTTGGAGAAGGGGCATGCCCCCATTTTTAGTTCCACTTTTAAACGTAGCTCCACAGGGTCAAATTTGTTGCCCTCATTCAAAAGTGCAAAGTGAAATGGAAGGCTGGGCAATGAAGAGGTAACTTGGTGCAATGTGAACAGCTGACTGAGGGTACCTGAAGCCAATGGGGCCGGGGAGTATATAGTCATCTGTCCATTGCTGAATTAGAGTTCAACTCCCAACTCAACTATAAAGCAAAACATTCTCAGAAGACATCCTCTCCTTCCGTCTGACACGGGACTTCTCCTCCCACGTATGCAGTTTCTTTCTTTTTTCTCCATTCCTCAGACAAAGCTTGCTGTGAGACATTTGTTGAGCATCTCCTATATGACAGATACTCTCCTAAGCATTGGGACACAAAGATGCATGACTAGGAGCCTTTAAAGGACCCCAAGGGCTCTACTAGCTGGGAGACAGAATGATAAGCCACAGTTAGAGCAGCATGTGACAGGTGTGAAGAGAAGGGGCCTTGGTGTTTTGGGGACACAGAGCTTGCCAGCTGAGAGAGTAAAGAGAGATACCAAAGCTGATTTTTGACATTAGCAAGAAGAAATTTGTTACAGCAAGAGAGAACAACACGTGTAAAGGTATAGAAACCCAGACATGCACGTTCTTCTCAGGGAACTGCATGTGTTTCAATATAGCTGGAGTAAGAATTCCAGAGGAAGGGAAGTGGAAAGCAAGCTACAGGGGAAGGTAGAAGTCAGATCACAAAGGATGTAATAGGTTTAGCTGAGTTAGAACTTTATCTGAAAGGTAAAGGAAATCAGTGAAAGGCCTTAGAGAAGAATATGATATTAGATGTATACTTTTTTAAAAAAAATTCTTTCAGACAGAGTCTTGCTCTGTTTCCCAGGCTGGAGTGCAGTGGTGCCATCTTGGCTCACTACCACCTCCGCCTCCTGGGTTCAAGTGATTCTCCTGCCTCAGCCTCCCAAGTAGCTGGGATTACAGGTGCCCACCACCATACTCAGCTAATTTTTGCATTTTTAGTAGAGAAAGGGTTTCACCATGTTGGTCAGACTGGTGTCTAACTCCTGAGCTCAGGTGATCTTCCTGCCTCAGCCTCCCAAAGTGCTGGGATTACAGGTGTGAGCCACCATGCCCAGCCTAGACATATAATTTAGAAAGACCACTCTAAGAGCAGTATGCAGGATACCTTAGAAAGGGGTAAGACCAACAAAAATAAGCAATGGGGCTGGGATAGCTGGCTAGCCATATGCGAAAGAATAACACTGGACCCCTACCTTTTGCCATATACATGCCAAAATTAACTCAAGTTGGATTAAAGGTTTAAATGTAAGACTTCAAACTATAAGAATCCTAGAAGAAAACCTAAGAAACACCATTCTGGACACAAAGATGAATGACTAGTAGCCTCCCGAGGACTCCAAGGGCTCTACTAGCTAGGAGACAGAATGATAACCAACAATTAGAGCAGCATGTGACAGGTGCTAAGAGAAAGTCTTTGCATTGGCCTTTGGAAAGAATTTATGACTAAGTTCTCAAAAGCAATTGCAACAAAACCAAATATTGACAAGTGGAACCTAAAGAGCTTAAAGATTTTAAGAGCTTCTGCTCAGCCAAAGAAAGTAACTATCAACAGAGTAGACAGACAACCTGCAGAATGAGAGAAAATATTTGCAAACAATGCAACCAACAAAGGTCTAATACCCAGAATCTATAAGGAACTTAAACAATTCAGCAAGCAAAAAACAGGAAACCCCATTAAAAAATGGGCAAAGGACACGAACAGACACTTCTCAAAAGAAGACATACAAGTGGCTAACAAACATGAAAAGATGCCTCACATCACAAATCATCAGAGAAATGAAAATCAGAACCACAATGAGATACCATCTTATACCAGTCTGAATGGCTATTATTAAAAAGTTAAAAAAAAGATAAAGCAGATGCTGGCAAGCCTTCAGAGAAAAAGGGAATGCTTATGCACTGTTGGTGGGAATGTAAATTAGTTCAGCCCCTGGGGAAAACAGTCTGGAGAAGTAAAATATAACTACCATTCAACCCAGCAATCCCATTACTGGGTTTATATCCAAAAGAAAATAAACTGTTCTACCAAAAAGACACAGGCATTTGTATGTTCATCACAGCACTATTTACAATAGCGAAGTCATGGAATCAACCTAGATGCCATTCATCAGTAGTGGATTGGATAAGAAAATGTGGTGTATATATACACAATGGAATACTACATAGCCATAAAAAGAATAAAATCATGTCCTCTGCATCAACATGGATGGAGTCATTATCCTAAGGCCATTATCCTAAGCACACTAATATAGGAACAGAACACCAAACACTATATATTCTCACTTAAAAGTGGGAGCTAAACATTGGGTACTCATAAACATAAAGATGGTACAAGCCAGGTGCAGTGGCTCATGCCTGTAATCCTAGGACTTTGGGAGGCTGAGGTGGGTGGACCACCTGAGATTAGGAGTTCAAGACCAGTCTGGCCAACATGGCAAAACCCTGTCTCCACTAAAAATACAAAAAGTAGCCAGGCGTGGTGGCATGTACCTGTAGTCCCAGCTACTCGGGAGACTGAGGTAAGAGAATCACTTGACCCTAGGAAGCCAAGGTTGCAGTGAGCTGAGATCATGCCACTGCACTCCAACCTGGGCAACATAGCGAGACTCTGTCTCAAAAAAAAAATGGTACAATAGACACTGGGGGCTGCCAGAAGGGGTAGGGAGAGAAAGGGTCAAGAGTTGAAAAACTACTGGGTACTATGCTCCCTATTTAAGAGATGGGATCACTCATATCTCAAACCTCAGCATCATGCAATATACCAATGTAACAAACCTATACATGTACCCCCTGAATCAAAAAGACAAATTGAAATGACTAAAAAAGAAAGAATAATTATTTTTTAAAAGAAAGGGATAAGATTGAAGAAAGGAAAAAAACAAACCCAATTCACACTAAATGGTAGAGGGCTATTCTAATGGAGCTATAGGCTTAAGAGGGAGAAGGTTTTCCAGGACATTCTGAAACCACATAATACAGGCAGAAAATTTCCCTTAGTACTAAAAAGTACTTCTCTCTCTTTGAGGCCCTATATCTGGTCTTGGGATAGGCACTGTGGCCTCAGAATTTCTATAGATAGTGCTTGTAGGAGTTCCTGACCTTGATCAGGGAACACTTATTTCATGCTCTGGGATCACACCTGTCAGGGATGTGTCTTCAAGTTGTGGAGTGAAACCATCATCACTTCCAGCTGCTAACGTCCACTGCAGTATCTCTAACCTGAGTTCTGTACATCTGGCTGACAAATTCACCTCTTTTTTCTCTTCAGCCCTGATTAGGTTTACCAACAGTGAAAGTCTAGGCAGTTCCTTGGAGAAGCAATTGAATCCACTGTCTTTTAGAATATCTGATTGTGTGTTATCCAGAGACAACTTAACTACTCCTGACTTATTCCAGCTTATCTCCTGACAGCTGGGAAGTAGAAGAAATTGTTTCCATTGGGAATAATAGTGTGGGACATCTCACTGAGCTGCTGATCCATGTTTATGGATCTGTATGAATCCCAGTTGCTGTCCACCCTGCTCAGAGGCTCTAAATCAGAGTCACATGGAAACTTCGGTCTTAGTAGCTTCAGGTCTATGACATATTCTTAGCGTGGAGCCTCAAAAGCCCTCCCATGTAGAACTCTATCTCTTTTCCCAGAGTTTGGGGTAGGAAAGATAGTGAAGATGGGACAGATTTTGATAATTTTTCTTATAAGGTACAACTGGAGGCACTTGGGTGGAGGGAGATGTTTCTCAGGTTTCTGGCCTGATGGGAACCTGAGATGGATGGAAATGCCAGCAACTGAGATTGGAAATGGTGAAGAAAACGTACAGGGATGAGATGACGAGTTTAGTATTGGATATGCTGAATGGTCCATCCAGGTAAAAACATCTAGCCCACTGTTGGTTATGCAAGTGTGAAGCTCAGGGGAAAGCTCTGGACCGAAAATAATGATTTGAAAATTATTAGTTTATATGTGGGAGTTGAAACACTCAGAGTGGATAAGGCTAGATGATAAAAGAGTGTAGAGTAAAACTCTAGAATGATGAATTTTATGAGTGCATAGAAGAGGTCCCCACAGAGGAGATAAAGGGGTAATAAGAGACATAGCAGGAAGGCCAAAGGTGCATGGAATCACAGAGGCTAAGATAATCTAACATCTGAAGTAGAATGGCATTTTCACTGTCTCACTTTCAGCAAACAGGTCCTCTATGGTAAAGATTTGAACTTGGCAATTAAGATTTTCCAGTGATTTTTTCAAGAGAAGTTTCAGTAGAGCAGTGAAGGCTGGAATCAGATTGAAATGTGTTTGAAAATGTGAAATACAGAAATGGAGGCCCAGAATATGGACAAGGCTTTCAAGAGTGGATGAGAAAGGGAGAAAAGAGATCAGGTTGTGGCCAAATATGGGTGTGGAGAAGAGTTTCAGTTTGCTTCATTTATAGGAGAGGATGTGTTGAGTATGTTCCCAGGCCGAAAGGAAGGCTCACCAGGCGGGCAAGAGGTTGAATACAACCAGTGGGACAAGGTTTTGGAGATATGGGATAGAGTACAGTCCAGAGCATCCTGGAAGCTTTGAGGAAGAGAAGGAACAACCTATCCTTGGATAGTAGAAGTAAGAATGAATGTGGCTAAAGTGACCTGTGTGGGTAGGGTTGGGGTGGAGAGCCAAGGACCATCACTCTTGCTAGCCTCAATTTTCTTTTTTTTTTTAGCTTTATTTTTAATAGACAAGCAATAATCATATATATTTATGGGGCACAGGTGATGTTTCAATACTTATATACACTGTGAAATAATCAAATCAGGTTAATTAGTATATCCATCCCCTTGAATAGTTATCATTTCTTTGTTTTTGTTTTCTTGTTGTTGTTGTTGTTGTTAAGACAGATTCTCCCTCTGTTGCCCAGGCTAGAGTGCAGTGGCACGATCTCTGCTCACTGCAACCTCCACCTCCCAGGTTCAAGCGATTCTTCTGCCTTAGTCTTCCGAGTAGCTGGGATTACAGGCATGCGCCACCATGCCCAGCTAACTTTTGTATTTTTAGTAGAGATGGCATTTCGCCATGTTGGCCAGGCTGGTCTTGAACTCCTGATCTCAAGTGATATGCCCGCCTCGTATCATTTCTTTGTGATGGGAAGGTTTTAAATCCTATTTTGTAGCTTGTTTGAAATATTCAATGCATTGTTCTTACCTGTAGCCAACATACTGTGAAATAAATCACCAAAACTCCTCCTGTGTAACTGAAACTTTATACCCACTGACCAACATCTCCCCGTTCCCCTCCACCTCCCCACCCCAGCCCCTGGTAAACACCATTCTGCTCTCTACTTCTAAGAGTTTGACTTTTTAAATTTCCACATATATGTGAGATCATGTGGTATTTGTCTCTTTGTGCCTGGCTTAGTTCACTTAATATAGTGGCCTCTGGGTTAATCCATGTTATTGCAAATAACAAAATTTCCTGTTTTTAAGGCTGAATACTATTCCATTGTGTATGTATACTACAATAACCTAGGTGTCCATCAATGGATGGATGAATAAAACTTCACTGATGAATAAAAAAGTCTGGTTGGAACCGAGTGCTGTGGAAGGCTTGGGTGTTCTCCCTTCTTTTCTGTGCTTTCTGGTCAAAGCCACATGAATGGCTCCTTCCTGATCACAGAGCAAATCCCCCACCCATTGTCCTGACTGAAGCTCAGGATGGAACCCCTCACCAAACCCCTGAGAGGGAATAAAACAGAAGATCTGAAGCCACAAGACTGTTGAGGAAACCTAATTGAGCTAGGGTCTTTCCCAAGGTCACAGAGGAAATGAGTAGAAGTGCTGGAACTGGAGGCTGACCAGCCCTGCCACATCCTCAGCCAATCCCCAAATGGAGAAAGGAGGGATATTCAAGGTTCAGTGGAACCTGTCCCCACCACCGATGAACAACAGGAAATCAGAAGAGCAGGTGCACTTTGCAGCTTCCAGGTCAGTCCTTGCCTGGCAGGTGCAGCCCAGGTGCAGATGTTTGTCAACACAGCCAGGCCCCTATCCTGGCCTGGGGGAGGGTGGCAGCCACTCTCTATTGTTATGCTTAGCTCTTCTTGCAAGAGGAATCTTTGCTGTCTGTTCCTGAGAGCAAGGAGCCTTTGATTCTGGAGGAGTGATGCATTTCCTGACTTTGATCTATCACAAATCAGATCTTTGCACACTCTCAAGAGAACACTTTCATTTTAAAGGCTCTGAGCTAGCTGTCTCTGTTGCTCACCTGTGGAGCTGCTCTTCCCCCTACTGCTCATTCTTCCAGCAAAACAGGCCCCTAGGCAGGCTGCCTGGGACAGTCAACGAAAACAGGCTGGCCAAAAGGGCTCCCAAGTGAGCAGTAGCCCAGATCCCACAGACTGGCACAGCCTCCTCCCTCTGGCTTGGGGCTGAGGACAGCATCCACTGTTAAGGGCAGATGAGTTGAAATAACAGAAAATGGGAAGCCTCTCTCACCTACAGGAACAGCACAGGGACCTCCTCGAAGGATTTGCACACTCCTGCCCTGGAGCCTTCAATGCCCCCTGTAGGATGGAGTGGGTGCATAATACCTGCTTCATTTTGCAGATGACAAAACTAAAACCCATAAAAAGTTTCCTGAGCAATTTGGGACTGCAGAGCCAGGATAATAACACAACATTAGACTCCTTTCCCTGTACTCCACTGACCATTCCACAGGATCCCTAGGTGAGGCTGGAAGACCCCAGACAGGCATTCCAGGGGAGGGCCAGACTGGGCTGAGAAAAGTGTGAACCTTATAGGGTTTCAGACTCCAAAGCAACACAGTACTGCACTTGGGAGTTAGAAGAATTGAATTCTGGTCTTGGCTGTCCCATGTATCAGCGGTCGGAATCTTGAACAAATTACACAAACTTTCTGAACTGCTTCTGTAATCAAACCTGTCTGCTTGTACCATAGGATAAATCAAATAAGGTGAATGATGGGCAAACCTCATTTTATTGCTCTCTGCTTTATTGCGTTTTACGGACATTGTGTTTTTTACAGATTGAAGATTTGTGGCAACCGCACCAAACAAGTCTATCGGTGCCATTTTTCAACATCGTGTGCTCACTTTGTGCCTCTGTGTAACATTTTGGTAATTCTCACAATGTTTCAAACTTTTTAATTATTAGTACATCTGTTATGGTGATCTGTGATCAGTGATCTTTGATGTTATTACTATAATTGGTTTGGGACACCACAAACTGTACTTATATAAGATGGTGAACTCAATCAATAAACGTGTGTGTTGCGACCACTCTGCCCACTGGCCACCCCCCTTTCTCTCTCCCCTCGCCTCAGTCCTCCCTATTCCCTAAAAACAACAGTACTGACATTAGGCCAATTAATAACACCACAATTGCCTCTAGGTGTTCAAGTGAAAGGAAGAGTAACATGTCTTTCACTTTAAATCAAAAGATAGAACGATTAAGCTTAGTAAGGAAGGCATGTTGAAAGCCACAATAAACCAAAAGCTAGGCCTCTTGGGCCAAAGAGCCAAGTTGTGAATGCAAAGGAAAAGTTCTTGAAGGAAATTAAAAGCACAACTCCAGTGAACACATGAATGATAAGAAAGCAAAACAGCCCTATTGCTGATATGAAGAAAGTTTGAGTGGTCTATATAGAAAATCAAAAAAGCCATAATGTTCCCTTAAGCCAAAGGCAAATACAGAACAAGCCCCTAGCTCTCTTCAATTCTGTGAAGTCTGAGAGAGGTGAGGAAGCTGCAGAAGAAAAGTTAGAAGCCAGCAGAGGTTGGTTCATGAGGTTAAGGAAATAAGCTGTCTTAATATCATAAAGGTGCAAAAAGAGGCAGCAAGTGTTGATATAGAAACTGCTGCAAGTTATCCAGAAGATCTAACTAGGATCATTGATGAAGGTAGCTGCACTAAACAATAGATTTTCAATGGAGGCAAAACAGCCTTCTATTAGAAGAAGATGCTATCTAGGACTTCCATAACTATAGAGGAGAAGTCAATGCATGGTTTGAAAGCTTCAAAAGATAGGCTGGATCTCTTGTTAGGGGCTAATGTAGCTTGTAACTTTAAGTAGAAGCCAATGCTCACTGATCGTTCTGAAAATCCTAGGGCCCTTGAGAATTATGTTAAATCTTCTCTGCCTGTGCTCTAAAATGGAACAACAAAGCCTGGATGACAGCATACCTGTCTACAGCATGGTTTACTGAATATTTTAAGCACACTATTAAGACCTACTCCTCGGGGTGGGGGTGGGGGTGGTGCGGCGGGGGGAAGGTTCTTTCAGAAGATTGCTGCTCATTGACAATGCACCTTGTCACCGGAAAGCTGATGGAGATATACAAGATGGATATTGTTTCCATGCCTGCTAAAACATTCTGCAGCCCATGAATCAAGGAGTCATTTCAACTTTCAAGTCTTATTATTTAAAAAACATATTTTGTAAGGCTTTAGCTGTCATAAATAGTGATTCCTCTGATGGATCTGGGCAAAGTAAATTGAAAACCTTCTGGAAAGGATTCACCATGTTAGATGCCATTAAGGACATTTGTGATTCATGGCAAGAGGTCAAAATATCCATATCAACAGGAGTTTGGAAGAAGTAGATTCCAATGCTCATAGATGATTTTGAGGGACTCAAGACTTCAGTGGACAAAGTCAACGCAGATGTAGTAGAAATAGCAAGAGAACTAGAATTAGAAGTAGACCCTGAAGATGGGACTGAATTGCTGCAATCTTGTGGTAAAACTTGAACAGGTGAAAAATTGCTTCCTATGGATGAGTAAAGAACGTGGTTTCTTGAGATGGAATCTACTCTTGGTGAAGATGCTATGAACATTGTTAAAATGATGACAGAGGATTTATAATATTCCACAAACTTATTATAGGCAATACAGCAGCAACAGGGTTTGAGAGGATTGACTCCAATTTGACAGAAGTTCTACTGTGGGTAAAATGCTATCAAACAGCATCACATGCCACAGAGAAACCTTTTGTGAAAGACAGAGTCAATAGATGTGGTAAACTTCACTGTACTATTTTAAGAAATTGCTACAGCCACCCTAACCTTCAGCAGTCACCACCCTGATTAGTCAACAACCATCAACGTCAAGGCAAGACCTTCCACCAGCAAAAAGATTACCACCTGCTGAAGGTTCAGATGATTGTTAACATTTTTTAGCAATAAAGTATTTTTAATTAAGGTATGTACATTTTTTAAAAACACAATGCCTTATTCCTATTAAGTCATACTTAATAGACTACAGTATAGTGTAAACATAACTTTTATATGTACTGGGAAGCCAAAAAATGTGCATGCTTCACTTTATTATGATAGTCACTTTATTGTTGTGGTCTGGAACCAAGCTTGCAATGTCTTTGAGGTATGCCTATATATAAAAATTTGCAAAAATTAGAAGAATTTATACTCCCTCCCATTTTCCCTCTGCTGTAACTTCACAGAACTTCTTTTTTTCTTTTGTATTTTACTCAATATGTACAGTGACAAGATCCTTCAGGAAGCCCTGGGTTCCAGGCCTGGTTCTGTCACTTGTTGCTTCTGGAACTTGAGCATGCCCAACAATAAAGGTGTGACTTACAAACCTGTTTCGTTTGCCCACCTCACTGATGAAACCAGGTAGGAGTGAGCCCTTTGAACCCTGTAAAACAAAGAAGAGGCTTCTCCTCCATACGTCTTGGGTCTGAGCTTTTCTCTTCCCATCACTCACGAACTGGGAAACAAGGACACTTCTCACTAAGAACCAGCTCACGTGCCTCTCCCGGCAACATACGGAGATCTTCCTTTGGAGAGCTTGGTAGGCCAGGTGAACAGCTGTTGCTGGTGCCCTTATGAATAAGCGGCAATAACTCTGCTAGAGTGAGCTTAAGAGGACAGCTTAACTACTTTGCCGTAAGAGCAGGCTTGTTTTGGTTTTGCCTTAGCTTGTGCCACCCCTGGATTTATTTCTCCTGCTTTTGTGTATTTGGTGATCATGGAAATTGGAGTTCACTTAGAAAAATGCCCTTTGGAACTCCAAGTACATTGTAACTTGACAAAATATATATTGGCTGGCAAAACATACAGAAAAACTAGTTTTTATAAAATATAATTAGATAAGTAAACATTAGTATGTATCAAATGTCTTTAAATATGTCCATCCTTTGTCCCAGGAATTCCACTGTTAGAGCTTTTATCTGTCAGATAATATTGGATAACTGCAAATACTGTCTGTAATTAGAATATGTCTGGGATACTTTTGCACTGCGGGAGGTGATGGACTGCTGCTGCCAGGGCCATGCGATGTGGAAGTTGTGAAATTCTGGCTGGCTAAGGACTTGAGGAGATAATTGGTCATGTACTTAGCACCACCTTGTGTTTCTAGACAGATCTCAGTTTGGTCATCTGATAAATGGGAATAAAATATTTACTTCTGAGGGTTTTTGTGAGCATGGAAATGCTTCATTCAGTAAGTACCTAAGAGCACCCTGGACCATATTGTTTATCCTTTGAGGTCCCAGCCAGCTTCATTTTCTCTCTTAGACTATAAGCTCTTGAGAGCAGGAACAATCTGCTGCTACCCTCCCACCCCACTGCCGAGAGGGGGTCATGGCTAACATTCCTATGTTATAAAATTGTAGCATAACATTATATATTTTACATTGTTGTATATAATATTTAACAAATATATAGTTGTCTATTAAAAGTTTTTATATAATGGGTTTACAGTGTAGTTTTTTAAAATCTTCTTTAAATGTAACAATATAACTTGGATGTCTTACCATGATGGTACATACCAGTCTTTCTTATTCTTTGTATTTACTACACAGTATTTTATAGTATGGAAGAAAGTACCATGAATTAACTCTCCTTCTACTAATGGATTGTTAGATTTTCAGATCTGTCAATCTACAAACAACAGTGTAGTGAAACCTTGTGTACCTATACCATTGTTCACATATATATGGGCTTCTTTAGCATCAAACCTAGAAGAAAACATTTAGGGTCTAACTCATGTATTTTTTGTATTTTGATAAATATTGTTAAGTTGATCTTCAAAAGGCTGCTCCAAAATATCCTTTTGAACATATGAGTAATTCTGTTTCATATAGACATGTAGATCAGATTTGGATTTTATCACTTTTTCATCTTTGCCAATAGAGAGAAAAATTATGCTTATTGTTGTTTTAATTTTATTTTTAATGGAAATTATATTCTAATTTCTTTTTTTAATGAAGTTGAACATTTTAATGGCAATTTGTGTTCGTGTGTGTTTATGTGTGTGTGTGTAAATTCTCTATGCCTGTTGTCTACCTTTCTATTGATTTTTTTCCCTTATTGCTTATTTGAATATTTTCTACATTAAGGATCTTAACCTCTTTGTCTACATTTTGGATACTTTTGTTAAATTTTTAATTTTTTTTATTTTGACATCGAAAAATGTGTTGTTGTTGTTGTTGTTGTTGTTTTTGCTTGTTTCCACAGTTTTATTTATTAAGATGTTCCTTTATTCTTCCTGGCTTTGGCATTATGCTTTAATTGCCCTATTCTGTCATGTCCTAATGAATGTATTGTGTATCTGTAAAATGATAAGAATTAAATAAGATAATCTCTAAAGTATGTTCTATAAAGCCCATGATTTTACATGATCCAAAACCTCATTAATTCAGACAAAATCCACGGTAGCCAGTATAAATGACTGAATACAATGTTTACCAAAGTATTCATTTTAACAAAAACATTTCATCCTTTTCATATATATATGCTCTTTCATATATAAAGCATAACTATGAATTAAGCAACAAAACATTGCTACGTAGAGGTCTCATTCATTTTTTACCATTAAAAACAATCAAAATCACTCCTTCAAATATATTTATTCAACACCATACTAAAGATCTTAATTATTGCTATCCTTTCCTCAGCCCCACAAAGTCGTGGACCAAGGAGGCCATGCAACATGGACCAGGCAGGGGCATTGTTTCCATAGTAGCCAGCCCATTGGCTGGACAGCAACCTATGGCCTATATGGTTTATTAAAAAACAAAACAAAACAAAAAACTGATGAACAAAAAACTGATGAACAAGAGTTGGGCCAATCAGATTTCTTCTTTAGTTATATGTTGTTTGGAAACTGATAGAATAAACCTGTTAGCAGTAGCAGCTGCAGCAGAAGGGGCATACTAGAGAGAGCTAGACTGAGACATTAACGCTCTTTCATGTGTATGCTGCCATTTTAAAAAGTCCAGCTTCATGGACATGTGACCAGTGGTCAAATAAGGGCCTGTGTTTACAAGGACCCCATGCTTGGATTTAATGCTTTCTTTTATTTTTAAACTTGGGTTTTGTTAGTGAATTCCATGTGACAATGGAACATGCTCCTGAGGCCGGAGCCTCAGCAGCCACGGTCCTGCTTCCCGCTGCCCCCTCTTGCCTTGTGTTCTCAGAGCGCTCCCCTCCCCACCCCGCCCCCCCGCTCATTTCTTTCTACCTTCTCCTCCCCTGCCTCTCCCCACATCACCCAGCAATCAGTGTGCCATGGGGAGCTGCCCTGTGTGCTGCAGGGAGCTGGGTGCAGGCCAGAGAAGGTCAGGCTGCTGTGACCTGCGGCATCTGCACATGGGTGAGGTGGCGGCTCTCCCTGCCCTAGGCTGCCACATCACAGCTCATTTGGTAGGAGATTCAGTGGAACAAGTCTTTGGCCCTCCCCTGATCTATGTACCTAGTGCACCATGCATGGAAGTTGCTATTCCATTGGGTCCTGGGGATTGCCTGTCTGCCTTGGACTGCAGCTGTGGGCTGATGGGAAGGAGGGATGCCTGGCTTGACTTTCTCACCCCTTAGTGGGGAATGGCTTCTGTCTGGTGGCTGGCAAGAAAGGAGAACCCAGCTGTGAGTGCCAAGTCTCAGGGCCAGGCACCTAGGCACCTGTGAGGGTCTGCACCTGCCCTGTGAGTATTTCCATGCTCGAGGAAGGATAATATTGAATAGCAAATAGGTGGAGACAGAAAGAGACAGAGAGGAATAGAGAAAGAAAACTTTATAACTTTAATGGTGCCTTTTTCTGCTTTTTGAACAAGGGATGCTTCATATTCATTTTGCAGTGGCCCTAGCAAATCATTTAGGGTGTCTTGACTCTAAGCCACCAGCAGAAGTGATTCGTGGGGAAAAGAGAACAGAATAGATGTAGAGAGAGAAACTGAAATGCTACAAGAGGAAGAGGTAGCCCAGGAACCTGATGAGTTCTCAATTCCAGTCCAAGGGTGTCTTATAATCAACACTTCTTTCTTGAGGTAATGGAAGAAGTTCTCTGCATCTTGCAACCAAACAAACTTGCTTAAATGATTGAAGTAAACACTCTCTGAGAGACAGGTGCTAAAGGGGATACAGAGGTTTGCAAGTCACAGCTCTTGTCTCAGTGAGATTTCAATGAGGTATAAAAACACAATAAATAGTAATAGTAAGAGCAATAACAGGTAACCCAAAGGGCACTGATGCCATGCTAAGCACTTTGCATACATTTAATCCTCACAATAACCCAATAATCCCATGAGAAAGGAATCAATAGTTTACAAATGGGGCAACAGAGGTTTAGACAGTGCACTTGGCAGAGCTAGGACCTGCCTTGCAGCCTATAATAAATCTCAGAGTGGTATAAAACACTAACATATTAGCGAGGGTGGACAGGCTACTTCTAGCTGGGAAATTCAGGGAACACTTCTCGGATGCTGTAGCTCACCAATTGGTGGCTACTTATGGAAGGGTTACTGAATGAACAGGATTGAATAAGTGACCAAACGAAGGAATCAAATTGAATTGGATTGAAAGCAAAGATTTGACAGGCAAAAATAGAGGCAGATCATTAGTAAAAGGGCTGTGATGGAAAAGACCACAGTGAGCTTGGGCATTGGGAAATAGACCAGTTTGGTTGGAGTTGAGGTTACGTAAAGGGAGCAGGAGGCTGATGAGATGGGAAATGAAGAGACCCAGGCTGACGGTTTCATTCTATTTGGTGGGGAATCTTGAGCCACAGAACATCTATGCGCAGGGGAGCTATGATTAAAGTCATGCTTTGGAAAAGTTAACTCTGGGCCGGGTGCAGTGGCTCACGCCTGTAACCCCAACACTTTGGGAGGCTGAGACGAGTGGATCACTTGAGGCCAGGAGTTCAAGACCCAGAATGGCCCACATGGTGAAACCCCATCTCTACTAAAAATACAAAAAAAAAAAAAAAAAAAATTAGCCAGGTGTGATGGCACATGCCTGTAATCCTAGCTACCCTGGAGGCTGAGATTGGAGGATTGCTTGAACCTGGGAGGCAGAGGTTGCAGGAGATCATGCCACTGCACTCCAGCCTGGGTGACATGGCAAGATTCTGTCTCAAAAAAAAAGAAAAGAAAAGTTTACTCTGGTATTTCCGATATTGCTAATTTTTTTTTTTTCTAGGCACACAGGCTAAGCACCTGAGAGCTATCTTTTATTATTTATCCCTTACCCTCCTCACACATCTATGAAACTATTTATTCCTTTAAAGTGTGTCTCGAGGGGAGTGGGGGTCATAAAAAGAAGTTCCGGGAAAGACCTAGAAACATTGGGTTCTCCCTCCAACATACCTTATTTATACCAGTAAGAGATTTGGTAAATGTTTTCTTAGAAATTTCAGTCCAGTTCCAGCCACATTAATAGGAATTCAGTAGAATCTATCTTTTAGGGGTTTTCTGAATCTAGCTAGTCAGAATCTTAACATGAAAATAGTGATATCTCATTCATTCAATCTCCACTATTTTACAAGTTGTGATCCTTCTAACCATCTAGAAAATTTACTTTTATTTAAGCAAACTCATGCCTCATAAACTGGCATAAATTGCAAGTTTAAATGTTTTAAGGGGTATCTACCACATTTAAGAGAGTAGAATAATTTCATCTAAGTCCTACATCCTTATAAACACTATTTGTGTAAGATGGCTGATGTGTCTTCTTTATAAATCCCTAATTGTTTCATTCAAGGAGGTCCTTTCGACACCAAACAGAACTCAGTTCATGTACTTGAGTTATCGTGTGCTCTCCAAAGTCATACAATCGCATTTCTTAAACTCCTCCCCCGCCTCTGACTTCCTCCTGATTCAGACTGACCTTTACCATACATCACTGTAAAGAAATCCCCTTGGGGTGAGTTATCATGGCAAGATGCTCGTCAACTGAAAGGCGAGGTCAGTGCCTCTTTGTAAGGTCTGCTCACACTCTGAAAAGGGCTGCTGGAGGCCTGACAAGGAGGCTCGCCCAGCCCGTTCCACCCCACTGACTTCCAGGCAAGATCGCCCCAGCACACAGCTAAGTGTGTTGTTTTTACCTTCTCTCTACCTGAGATCCTGACACCAGCCCCTGGTTTCTGCAATAGGACATGGCTTGGACTCACCCAGTTCACGTAGCAGTAATTGGGTCAGTCCTATAGTTATCAACTTATTTATAATTTCAAAAAAGGCTGCATGTCTGGCAAAGGATTCCCCATTTGCTAGGGTAGAAAAAAAGGGGGCAGCTTAAGCTCTGGGGTCTGAAGGCTGCGATAAAATTAACCAGTAGCCTGAGGGACTTCAACCATACACAGATAATTTTCTTGAGATGACAATTGTTCTAGGCTGAAATAGACAACTCGGGAAGGCTGTGGAAACTTCTGCTCTCAAGATTCAAAATATAGCACACAGCCTCACTACCTGGGCTTGTCTCTACAGGCAAAATGATCTCTGAAATCTAGCTGCAGGACTCAACGACTGGCGAATTTGTGCATGACACAATCATAATCAATGGGAAGGATTTGTTCCATTGCTCAGATAAAACCAGTTGCATTATTTCATCGCCCTACTGCATACATGGGGGAGAATGGTGCTTTTTCTGCAAAACTACTCTGCCATTTTTGGGCACAGTTTTGTTGTAAGATTGGTGTGCAATAGAATGAAGAGTAAAGAAAGGGATAAATGAACCATAATTTGTAGGCATGAGTCTGTCATTCCATTCTCCCACTAATATTATAGCTTTGGGTGTATTTGAATTACTTTTATATATGCATCTGTGTTGCTAGGCTCTTTAAAATGAGCTACCTAGAATCTTCCACAATGTTTGCAGTTAGTTTGGCACACAGTAGGTACAAAATAAATAAATTAGGCGCATGAGCAACGACTGATTTTGGTTTTTCTAATTGGGGCTTGTTTTTCTAAATGGAGATCTTAGGGCTCCGCCCATGGGTGAAGCATATCACTGCCTTTCCTTCTACATTCCAGACATGTGCCCAGAGGCCTTCCAATGAGGAGGGTAGAGTCTAAAATGAGCTCACTGGCATTAAAATCCCCTACAGCTTCTGGACATGAAACTTGGACATTTTTTACATTCCCTAGAGATACTGGCCTACATTAAAATTTCAGTCCCTTCCCGTTCCTCCTCCCTGTCACTCCAACTAAAAGAATTATCTAAACATGTCCCTCACACATTTATTACAAAATAAACTTGCCTCCTAGAGAGAGGGTAGCTTTAGGGGCTCCTGTAGCCAAGCTAATATGCCCAAAGCTAATATTAAACCAGTAACCTCGGATCTCCAACAGAATACCTAGGGGCCACCACACCTGAGACAGCTTGTTCTCTCAGCCAAGACACACACCCGGCTCTAGGTATAAAGTGAATTTCCCATGTGAAATTTTTCCTGATGCCCTGACTCCTTTGCAACCTGACCTTAAAGGAATAAGTTCAATGCTTAATTATGGATGTATTATCAGGTGTAAACAAGGAATGTAGATGATAGCTTGGCTAAGGTTAGATAAACGACTTCCCTTTTCCCTATCATTTTCTTTTTTTAAAACCTGATTGATCCAAAGATATTTATTTTTGACTGCTGTTGGGAACAGTATGCACTTACAGGCACATATGCACCTCTGGTCTATTTACACATAATTATTGTTTGAGGAATAAATGTTAAGAGAGTTTCATTGTAAGAAATCGAAACTTGAACATTTATGCCAGTAAGCAGTTAAAAAAAAAAAAACCCTGAATACAAGAGAAATTCTTTAATGAAGGAAGTCATTAGTTTTGATTTGAATTTAAATGTTGTAGCAACTTTCCTTTTGGTAACTAATAAATAATAACTTAGTTGTACGTGATGATGACCATTTTCTTTCTAAGAAAATGTTCTTTGGTAACTGGTACTAATAGAGGACAGTCTGAAAAGAAGAAATCAATCATTGGTTTCTTGAATCTAAATTTTATAGCATTGGAAAATGTTCTAAAGGAAGGATTCTTGGATGGCATGAAGTACCTGGCTCCTAGGACAGCGTATCAGAATAAGAAAGGATGGAACAGGGTTTCAGTGATCCAAGCTTCTCACTCCAGCCCTTCCTCCCTATAAGAATATCAGCTGAGGCCAGGTGTGGTGGCTCACACCTGTAATCCCAGCACTTTGGGAGGCCAAGTCGGGTGGATCCCTTGAGGTCAGGAGTTCGAGACCAGCCTGGCCAACATGGAGAAACTCTGTCTCTGCTAAAAGTACAAAAACTAGCCAGGTGTCATGGCAGGCACCTGTAATCCCAGCTACTTGAGAGGCTGTGACAGGAGAATCGCTTGAACCCAGGAGGCGGAGGTTGCGGTGAGCTGAGATCCTGTCACTGAGCTCCAGCCTGGGTGACAGAGGGAGACTCCATCTCAAAAAAAAAGAAAAAAAAGAAAAGAAAAGAAAAAAGAATATCAGCAGAGTGATCTAGTCTTACTAACACATGTAATACATGTTTGTCTTCAGGTGCGGAGGGCTGGAGATGCAGAGAACCCCAGTCAAGGTTAAATTCAGTGAACAAAAGCAATGGAGAGAGCAAAGTAGGGGATGAGAAAGCCTCAGCAGGCATTTCCCCCAGTTTCCTTGGTCAAACACTACTCACCATTTCCTTTTATAACTCTGAGCTAATTACCTTGGACTTGTTCACAGTCCCTCTATTTATGCAATCCAGAATAACGTTTGATTTATTTTATTGCTCCAGAACCTGGTGCCAAAGACATTAACATTTTATCCGCCTGTGCACTTGGATTTATCCTCTCAAATCTATTGCCCATGACCAAGGAAGATCTGTCTTGCCTCTAGATTTCTTGTCCCTAGCCTCATTACCTTATTTGTCACTACACTGAGTTGGATAATCAAATTACCTGCCTCTCTTCAGCAAGCACTTGGAGTTTTATTGTCCTTACTGGCCACCTTTGATCCTCCTTCTGCCCCCTCAGTGCTCGCTCTTCAACCCCTGCAGGGCTTCCCTTAATCTTTGGAGGAGGGCAAAAGTGCTTGACTTAGCCGCTTCACCTCTTTCCCTGTGGGCCAAATGTCACCCCCTCTCCGGATCTCAGGATCAGTAACACAACTAGTTCCCCAGGCTCATCTACAAGTGGGTCCCCCAAGCATTTGCAGAAGTTATCCCACATAATGTGATGATACAGGTTCCTAGACAATCTCCCTCTATGTAACCCACACCACTCATATCTGACTCTTTAAACATTACACAAAACACAAGAAAACCAAGCACTCTGGAAGGATTGTTCTTTACAGTGCGCACAAGCATTATGTCATTCATTTCCTCCCTACAGGTGGAATTTGATTGTCCCAATCCAAAATGACCTCCGGAGCCTCTATTTCCTGCACCCCTCAGCCCTCACAGTACCTCAGTATGTGGCTGAGTCATGCAACCATTCATGATACAGTATGTCCACTCTACCAAAATGCAAACTTGCCAAGGCAGGGCCATAGAAAATATGTTATTCATCCATGTACCTCCTAAAATATAGCATAATGCCTAGAATTAGCAGGCTTTCAATAAATATCTGTGAAAGGAAACTGAGAAGCAAAAGAGGGAGAGAAATTAAGAAGATGACTCTAGTGTTGTAAGAGCAGCAAAAAATAGCACCAACCACTTATCATGAAACTGTTTTTCCCCCAAAAGTTTGGTTTTTCAAATTCTTATTTCTTAAGTTCCTGTTATTCATTATTCACATGTGTTTGTATACGTTCTGCCTGGAATTGAATTCTCTAATGCTTTATTTCCCAAGTCTTAATTTCTGAATCTCTTGTGGTGATGTAATCGTGTTATTCGTTATTTCTTTAGTTTCTTTGGTTTCTTTTAGGAAATGCATGTCTGCTTCTAACATTTGTCCCCCATCTTCTGAGAATTCCAAGGCAAAAAAATATTTTTTTAAATAATTAAATAATTACATTATTTTTTTTAGCTACATCTACCTCTTTTTAAATTACCCTCCAATTCTTCATCATCCAACTATCGCCTTCAATGACCCCTATGTTCCTTACACACTTGAAATTTTCCCCATTATTTATCTTAACCTTCAGTGCAATCTCTTTTTCATTCACTACCTTTGCCTTCCTTATCTTTTTTTACACTCCCTGGACTTTGTTCAGTAATCTTCCCTGGCTGCCTCTGTACTCGATGCTTAATGCCTCACATATGTCTCTTTCTTACCTTTGATTACTTTTTTTTCACTTGTTCATCCACATTGTGGAGTCTCTTATTGCTAGGAGTGCATGCAAGATGACCCCTGGGTTTATGTTAATTTATAGTTGAATACTTTTCATTTCCAACTATGTTCATCATTTCTTCCCTCTCTTCAGCCCACACGGTTTCACCTGGCCCCTCTGATGCTCTTCAGAAATGCATAGTATCTTTTTGATATGGGATAGTGACAGTGAATTCTGCTTCTAGCCTCTGCTGCATTATCTGCTCCCAAAAAAGTAATGTAAGGTAGAGAATAAGGTACTGCTCTCTTCCCAGAAAATACATCTATAAGGAAATGATCGTTGTGAATAGTAGGAAGAACATTCTCTTACACTGTGTCATTGTCTAACCAAATACCATCCAGGCAGCAAACATTTACAAGGCAAAGCACAAAGAGAAAAAAGATTCCTTTTTGCTGAGCTTCTTCCAGCCCCTCAGTGAAGTGGAGTGCATAAGAATGCTTTCAGAGGAATGGACCCTGGACCCAGAATCAGGGTAATGGAGCCCAGTCCTGGCTTGCCTACTGATCAGCTGTGAAATCTCAGAAACGTCCTTTCCCTTGTCTTCAGTCTGCTCTGTCAGTCTCTGTTTGACTCTTCGGTAAAAATGAGGGATTGGATTCTATCATTAAGGGTCCTACCTGTGATTCCAAGGGTGACCATTGTGACAGTTCTGTCTCCACTGCTGTTGTAATTAAGAAATAAGCAAATTTTGTCTTCATTATTCACACCTTCTCTTTTGTTCTTTTCATCCTGTTTTAGGCACCTCTTTCTACCCATCCACTTTATTCCTGCCCAGTGCTGTCACGTTTTGTAATCTGCTAGCCCCTTGTCCCTCCCGAGCCTTGTGCTAGGCTGGGGGAAGTTTCCTAAAATTATTCGCCTGGTGCTGCCACAGGCTGAGATTGGCAGTGCAGTGTAGTGGGGAAGGCATCCAGCCTGGCTGCACATATGATTCTGTGACCTGCTTTGTGTTACATGGCCTCTCTGTGCCCATGTTCCTCATCTGCAAATGGGGACAACATTGGTACCCAAGTCAGAAACTTTCTGGGAGGATTAATTAATACTCATAAAGCATTACAGTAATGCCTGGCAGGAAGTCACCACCATATAAATGCTAGCCAAAGAAAAAAACGAAGTATTTGTATCTTAGAAGTCTCCAAATCTTAAAATAGAGACTGAATTCTGACAAATCAATTTCAAGAAACAGCAAACTGAAAGATTTAGAGGCTTAGGGAGGACTTCTGAGTTTCCTTAACATCACAATACACAGGGGGTCATCCTCTAAAATCACAAATATTCATCCTGGGGGGAGCACAGATCTTAGATTTAACCCAGCTACTGTATATTATTTTATATCAAAACTTCCGTTTCCATAGAAATATTCAGTATATATATATTTTTATTTTGAGTGTAAAGAATGTTTCACAGCAGGTCCCTTTAAAGTGAGGGTTCTCCACCAGAAAAATGTGTATGATCTCTGAGACCTTTTAGTTTCTGTTATAGATACAACTTGTAACCATGAGATGACCTAATTTTGAATTTCTCTCTGCCAGTAGAATCTGAAATGTATCTTCTCCATCAGGTAAACTTGGTCAACTTACAAAATCTAGCGTGTTTTAGAATATCCTTTTCCACAAGTGAGGGGATAATGGATGAAGGAGAGGCCTTCAAATAATAAGATGTTCATGACTCACAGGTATCTTATGTTGGATGTCCGAACACAAGGTAATGAATACATTAACTGTGGAATGTTTGGTGTTACTTACCTACATTTAAGGGACAGATAGAAATATACCATAGGCTGGGAATGGTGGCTCATGCCTGTAATCCCAGTACATTGGGAGGCCGAAACAGGTGGCTCACTTGAGGCCAGGAGTTCGAGACCAGCCTGGCCAATGTGGCAAAACCCTGTCTCTACTAAAAATACAAAAATTAACTGAGCAAAGTGGCACATGCCTGTAATCCCAGCTACTCGAGAGGCTGAGGCACGAAAATCACTTGAGCCTGGGAGGGGGAGGCTGCAGTGAGCCGAGATCATGCAACTGCATTCCAGCCTGGGTGACAGAATGAGACTTTTTCTCAAAATAAAGAAAAAGAAAAAATACATAAAACATACCATGATCTTGAAAGGCAAATCACACTACTCTCCAAGACTGGGACACTTGGGCAGTTAGTTAGAGATTTTGCCCCTCAAGAAGCGATCTTTTGTGAGATTTGCCTATAGTTTACTCATTGGGTGAAAAACATCTCTTGAAATGAAGTCGACGTGAACATCAATGTTACAATGAAAGTACCTCACCCGCTTTGTCTTTCCAATACCTAAATATTTATGTTTGGAAACTTATAGGCTGATCATTTGGAGCAGAGCTGTTATTTAAGAAATGATAATGAGAAAAATCAGACAGGCAGCAAAAACTGGGGCCACATTTTTAAGGCTCACTGTTATTAGAAATATGACTTTTTCAGATATTAAAAATAAATCTTTAATTCCCCTCATGCCATTCTGAATCATTTTTACAAACATCTGGATAAAGGAATCACATCAAATCCATGGTGTTTTGAGACATTCCTGGAGCATGGATGTTCTTGAGATTATGCTTTTGGATTACTTGAATAGAAACAATAAATACTTTCAGTACTTAAAGCTGTAATGCTTTAGGTTGGATTTGGATTTTTGTTTCATTTTAGTGAAAGGTGGAGATTCAAAGTCGCCTCCTTAACCAGAAGGATATATTGGATATGAATATAGTTTATTGCTTTCTGACCTACATTTCCCCTTTTTTTATCATTTGAAAAGTTACTTGACAAGTTGAACGCCTGCAGCTCAGCATTTCCAAACATCTGCCTTGAAGGAAGCACTTTGCTTCAGATTTTCACATAATGATCAAAAGTGGGTTTAACTTTCTCAGGTTAAATGGGAACAAGGGGGATGGTCTGACAGGGATAGAAATATATTTGAGAGCAACATAAAAGAGAAAAAAAATACTTGGAGCTGTCAGAAGCTTAACCCTGGAGTCAGCTTGGGCACATGAAGACAGCCTTCAGCTGAGAGATAAGTAATCTGCCATCTGGCGTTGGTTCTAGCACAGTTTGCCCATCTGTACAATGGGGGCTGTAGGGTCTATACACTTTGAAAGAATGTAAAATCAGTGCCAGTGAAGACATGACCTCAAGTCCTGACCCTGCTATAAACTAGCTGTGTGACAATGGGAGGTATGCTATCCTTTGAACTTTACTTCCCTGGAAAAGAGATGTTCTAAGGCCCTATCACCTTTACCATTCTCTGATTCAAAATTGAAGCAGGAAAATGTGAAAATGCAGATTAGAGTTTAATACCAACCTAAGGAAACTAGAAATTAAAATAAAGAAACCCACATTTTAAATTCAGTCCATTCTGCTATGAGCCAGAACAAGCGTTACAACCATAAGCAAAATCAGACAGGGTCCCTGTCCTTTCAGAGTTTACAATCTAGGGGAGAGATAGATATGATCAATTAATTACACAAACAAATATGAAATTATGTCAAGATAAATTACAAATGATAGGTTAAAGAGCCTAAGAAAGAACATAAAGAAAAATTTAAATGTCAACAAATGACTTTATAACATACTCTGAAATTAAGCTGATACAAACTTGAAAGAAACTACAGAAAATTAAGAATGCTAGTAATTTTTTTTTTTTGAGACAGGATCTTTCTCTGTCACCCCAGGGTGGAGTGCAGTGGCATGATCACGGCTCACTGCAGCCTCTACCTCCCAAGAGCAAGTGATCTTCTCACCTCAGCCTCTTGAGTAGCTGGGACTACAGATGCGTGCCACCACATCTGGCTAACTTTTTGTACTTTCAATAGAGATGGGGTCTTGCCATGTTGCCCAGGCTGGTCTCAAACTCATGGCTCAAGCTATCTGCCCGTCTCGACCTCCCAAAGTGGTGGGATTGCAGGCATAAGCCACTGCACCCAGACTAGAATGCTAGTGTTCTTAAATTATCTTCTATTCCAGAATTCCAGAATGTGTCACATGGACTGTATTCTATGATATATTGTAAAGTTAGCCAGCATCTTCCAGGGGGTCTCCCTGGTTCAATCTCACTTCTGTTTATTCATTCAGCCAATACATTTTTACTGTCAAAGTGCTATGTACCAGACATCTTGCTAGGCGCTAGGGATACAGTATGAATAAGACAGTTCTTGCTGAGTTAGCCTTTGCTACATGACAAACCTTCTCAAAACTTCATGGCTCAGAAAATGATGATTTATTAAATTTTCATGACTCTGAGGGTTGGCTGGCTGGTCTCCCTGCTGATTTTGCCTGGCCCAGTCATGTGCTTGCATTCAGGTGCAGGGTGGGTTGGGCTGCAGGGTCTGGGATGGCTGCACTCGCACATCTGGTACAGACAGGCTCCTGGCTGGGGTACCTCAGTTCTCCTCCATGTGGCCTCACATGCAGGCAAAGGCCAGACCAGCTTCTTCACAGGGTGGTCTCAGGACAGCATTCCGAAAGCAGGGAACCAGAAGCCGCAAAGCCTAAGGCCTAGCCTTGGAATTCATGTAACATCATTTTTGTTGCATTTTGCTTGTCAAAACAAATCCCATGAGCATCCCAGATTCAAGAGGTGAGAAAGCAGACTCCACCTCTAAGGTGTATTTATATGAATTTGTGGCCATGTTTTGCAGTCTGCCCGATATCACAGTTAACAATGTGGATGCTGGGACCACAGACCACCTGGGTTCACATCCTGCTCTGTCACTCACTCATTAGCTAAGAAACAACAGGCAAGTTCCTTTACTTCCGTGTGCCTCAGTTACTTTATCTGTAAAATGGGGACACTAATGGTCACCACCTCACAGGACCACTGAAAGGATTAAAGTTAACATATGTAAAGCCCTTAACACAGTGCCAGGCACGTAGAATGCACTGAATAGAGGCTAGCTATTAGTATTATTGTTAATATCATTATTATTATTAATCCAGTCTATCGAAAAGACATTCATCAATAAATTACACAAAAAGATATTAATTAGTATTTGATACTTATAAATTAACATTATAAAATTACTATTAATTAGTATATGTGCTAATTTACACAAATAGCACAAATTAAAAGCAATTAATTAGCATAAGTATGCTGAAGGCAAAATAGAAAGCAATAAGAACAAATAGTACAGGGTGAGTCAGGAAGCATCTCTGAGAAGTGACTGTGAACTGAGGCCTGAATGGTACCCTCATGAATCCAAATGAAGGCAGGAGCTCAGGCCACGTGGGAAGGAGCTCGGCACACAAGGAGCTCAAAACTCAGTCTCTTCCTTCTTTCCTGCTCTCAGCACTTGCTTACAAGAGTTGAACCTTACTAATTCCATGTTTTTCCAACCTTTTCTTGGAAGTATAATGAAAGCTATTAGGGAAGCAATAGAAAGGAACAGAAAACTCCTTGCCTTTGGAGTCAGGCTGGGTAGGCCCTCGTTCTGCCTCTTCAGTTTACCAGCTGTCCAAATGTGAATAAGTGTCTCAACCTCTCTGAATCTCAAGTGCCTCATCTATAAATTAAAATCAAAGTGCCTTTCTTTTAGGGTTGTTGTGAACAGGGCATGATATTCAAAATATTGAGCCATCAGAATAGACCCATGGGCATCGTGCACCAGTGTTGACCACAGAGTCTTGGGCCTGGTTGTGAGGATTAAATGATGAAATATATTTGAAGTGCCTTCAAGGCTGCCTAAAACAGTGGGGGCCGATACACAGTTGTCTTTGTTATCATTGTTTATGTTTGTATTCACCGTGGCTCTCCAGCTTCTCCATGGGGCTTTCTAGGGACCACATCTCCTCTCTCCTCCCAATCTCCCCCACCAGGTGCCCAGCCCAGGCTCCACCTGCCAGTTGCTGACTGCCTGTCTGGCGTTTTTATTGGGGAGATGTAGCCTGCCCCACCCCTGTGGAGATGGTCGAAGATGAATCACATGGCCAGCCTTGCAATAAGAGGTAGGTTTGAAGTTGAAAGGTCTTAAGTAAATAGGGCTCCCCATTCTGGGGGTCTTCTCTCTGCATCCCACTTTTCTCCCTACACTCTGCCTCACACTTCCAAACAACACTCCCTAGGAGGGCGATTCAGCTTCTGGGCTTCAGCCAGCCTCTCCCTTTCTCCCCACCTCCACCCCACCCCCAACACGTTTTCTCTCTCTCTCCCCCTCTCCCCTCTTTTTTTTTTTTTTTTTTAACATGCAAGTTGCCATGAAAAATTTGTTAATGAAATATTTGCTCAGAAGTCTGCTCTGGGCTAGGCTGATAACCTATCTGTGTTTGAGTTTGGCTTCCCATATTCTAAATACTCATCTTCTGTCTGTTTAGCTTATTGATTGGTTTGGCAGGAAAAGAAGCCTTGTCATCAGTGACCAAGGTCAAACTAAACAAAAATGGAATGGGGTGGGGAGAGGGAGATGAGCTGATGGGCTCAGGAGGCAAGGGAGACTTGTCCAAGTTTCCTTGAAGGGACAGATCCCAATTCCAAACAGTTCCCCACTCCCCAGGTTTCCGTTCATCTGTAGCTGGTAAAAGAAAAACTCTTGGCAGAGGGGGCCCGGATGCGGACATAGATGCAAATGCTGAAAGGTGAGAGGCTAGCAGATGGTGTAAACTTAGAGATTTCTTTCCCTGAGTGTGTCAGGAAAAATGAGGGAGGGAGCTTGTGCCTCCATGAGCAATGTTAAAAGGCTTTGCAGGGGATCACTGCTGATACTTTTGCTGAAGGCTAATATCTCACTAAGGCTGACTATTTAGTTAAAGGCATGGTAGTTACTAAATTAGAAATAAAGCCACTGGACAGGTGATATTTGTTGCACAAATTCAGGGCCCCAATCATCATTGATAACACATAAGTGTGTATGAGTCTATTGAGGTGTGAATGCATTACTTAATGCTTTTGCTTCTAACTCAGCATCTTAAACCTGTTTCTAAAGGGTGACAATTAATGGAGGTGACAGTCAGTAAGCACCCTCTGGTTGGGCAACATAGGGAGCGCCTGGATGTATAGAAAGGGACCAAACCTGGGCTGGGCTCCTGCATCCACTGCAATCAGCCGTATGACAAGGCCAAACTCACTTCTTCTCTTTGAGCCTCAGTTTCCTCATGTGTAAAACAGGGGTCATAATACCTACTCTCAGTTGCTGTGAGGAAGAATGAGATAGCACCGATAAAGTGTCCATGAATGCCGAGAGGTCTAGAAGATATTGCTCGGGATCAAATGTCTGTTACAAGGACCATCACAAGGCAGATCCTCCCATCCTCACCGCCACCATGAACAGCAAGAGTTCTCTATGCTTGTACAAGCTTCATTTGCTCCCTCACTGAACTCAAGTCACTGAGACGAGTCAGATGTGCTCGGTACTAGGAAGGCAGGTATAATTGAGACACAGTCCTAGCTCTCGAGGAGCTTACGATTTTTGTTGGAGAAAAGCACAACAACGTGGAAAGTAAACCGTCACAGACACTGTGACTCAAAGGACAGCTGAGAACACAAAGGAGGAGTGGCCATTTCTACCTGGTGGGCGGGGGAGGGAGGGTTAGCAAAGGCTTCCCAGAGGACCTTTTGAAATAAGTGCCGCTTGCCAGGTAGGCAAGGGAGAAAGGGAGAGCAGGGAACAATAGCATCAAAGCGGGGACTGCACAGCCGCTTCTGAGAATGGCTTGTGGCTCCTGTGGCCAGAGGGCTAGGTGGGGGCGGAGTGGAGGAGAGACTGAGGCTGGAGAGGAGAGTCAGGGGCCCAGAGGCTGTTGAGAAGCAGAAGAGGTGAGTGTGGACTCTTCAGGGAATTGTCCGCCAATGGGAGGAAGATGATCAGGCATTAGTTACTGGAGAGACATTGTTGGAGACTTTTTTTTTTTTTTTTAAGTGGAGACTTGAACGTACTCATAGGCTGTATAGGAGAAACCAGTAAAAAAGGAGAAGTTGGAAATATGGGAGGGAGAAGAACCATCCAGCAGAGCCAGATGCTGGTCTGGGGATCATGGAAAGGGATGGGAGCAAGAGCCCAGGGCAATGGTGAGCCCTCAGCAGGAGGATGCCGCCTCTTCCTCTGAGCCTGGAGTTCTGCGGAGGTGAGGCAAGTGAGAGGGTTGGTACAAAAGGGAGCGTTTGTAGGTGGAGACCGTGTCCTAGTGCTTGTTCCTAAGAGTGTGAATTTCCTCTATGAGCTAAAAGGCAGTTTATCTGCTGAGCAAGAGAGGCTGGGATGAGAGAGCAGAGTGAAGAAACTGTGGAATGTTGGCATGAGACAAGTGGTTAAACTGATCCAAGGATGAAGTTGTGTAGGATTGTCATGGTGGGGACAGAATGTGAAGATGGGAAGACACTGAGGATGCCCAGGAGAAGAAGGCTACAGTGATATCTCATATGGCTGGCAAGAGAAGTGAAGCCCCCTGAGGACATTAACAAGAAAACTAGTCAGGAGATGGCCCATCCCCATGAGGTCAAACAGCAAGTAGGATGGGAGCAGGGGACTGGCCTGCTGGTAGGTAGGAGGGGGTGACTGCAGATTCAGACCCTAGGATTTCAGATGAGGGTGGTGGTGAGCTCCAAGGGCTTACAAAGCCCAGTGGGTGGCCTGAGAGTTGTGGGTGCAGTGGAGTTAGGATGAAACTCTCTGATCTCTGGAATGTCACCAGGAAACTTGACACTGGGGCACAGGTAGGTCATCACCTGGATGATTATATTACTCATTAGGAGGCCAGGAGTCAGCAGACATTGCACCAAGATGATGCAAACTGTCTGATTCTGTGGTTGGTCTAGAGAGTCTGAAAATGTCTGCAACAGGGAGATGCACACGGCTCTATTAAAAAATGGGAAGGACACCCCATACTTTGCTTAAAGCCATAGTTCCCAAACTGTACCCAGGCACTCAAGGGCAATGCAGCAGACTCACAGGCTGCTGTGGGATAGTTTTAACTTTTTAGGGAAGCACCACAACACCTGTCAGACACAACACAAACTATTTGAGGTAGTTCATGGTTTCAAAATACATGGTGCTTTGCTTGATGACTTGTCATATAGAAAAAAAATAATAAATGGCACTACATTCTTTTCAATGACATCATATCTTTTTCAAAGCTAAGTTGTTGGTGGTTGCCATGATAACAAGCAAGTATTCAGTGAATGTCAGTGTGGAGCAGGGAATGAGAGTAGTGGGGTCCAGGTTGACTCCAAGGTTGAAGAAGTTGTGCAGTGCTCAACAGGTACACCCATCCACGAGTAAATAAATGTGCTTATAAAGGGATGAAATAAAATGATTACTTTTTCCTTCTGTTGACATGTATTGTTTCTTCAAATGGCTACTAAATTCTTGGGACATAGGACCTAACCACTTAACAAATGGTACTTTGGGATATTTCTTTTGACTGAGGAGTGCTATGAAACAAAAGTCCCTAAGGCACTAGGGACGCTGTGAACAGAAAACGTTTGGGAGCCTTTGGATTAATAGATTACCCACACTTGGGTTTCTGTTATAATTTTTTTAAATCCTAGAAAGTGAGAGCTGAAAGGAACCTCAGGATTATTTAGAATAACTGCTGTCATTTTACAGAGGACACAGCTAAGCCAGGTTATGGGGACTTGTCTAAGGTCATCAGTTGTTGGTAGAACAAGAATCGGTACCCAGGTCTCAACACTTTCTGTCTAAGGGTCCCTTCTGCTGAAAACAAGTAGCCTAATTCACTCATATTATTTCTGGAATAATAGTAATCTAAGGATTAATTTATTTTCTCCCAAAAACCTTATTTATAGGAGTGAAAAACAAATTCTAGCCATTCCCTGTTGGTGTGAGCCACTATTGGTATTTGGCTATCTAACCATGATACATCTTCACTTGTCACACTGCAAGGACCCCATAAGTAAGTAAAGTCAACCTCCTTCAAATCATGATTCAAAAATATTATGGATGCTAGTCGGGTGTGGTGGCTCATACCTGTAATCACAGCACTATGGGAGGCAGAGGCAGGTAGATCACCTGAGGTCAGGAGTTCGAGACCATCCTGGCCAACGTGGCGAACCTTTGTCTCTACTAAAAATACAAAAATTAGCTGGTGTGTATTACGGGCGGTAGTGATGAATGCCTGTAATCCCAGCTACTCGGGAGGCAGAGGCAGAAGAATCACTTGAACCTGGGAGGTGGAGGTTGCAATGAGCTCAGATCATGCTACTGCACTCCAGCCTGGGCAACAGAGCAAGATTCTGTCTAAAAACAAACAAACAAAAATATATATATATATATGCATACACACATATATATATAATAGGATGCAAACACATTATTCTGGAGTCACTTTTTATAACCAGGTGAACTAACTCCAGAGTCTATCCCATGTGCTGAGGGGGATTCAATGCCTTCCCCAGCCCCCATGATGACCTCAGGAGAGCTCAGGGAGGCAATGGGGTAGGGGGTGTTCCGTTTCCTCCCTCTTGTTCCTTCATCCTGCCCTGCATGGGTCAATTAATTACTGGTCATTCTCTGCATCTTGCCTCCCACAGTGTTTCTTTCTTGTCTCTGTCTGTTCCAGGTGGTCCCAAGTGTAGAGTGCAATTTCTCTAAGTTAATTCCCCAAGACAACAGCTGTATCTGACCTAGACTAATAGTAAGGGGCTGATGGTACTGCACAGAACAGGAGTCAACTTAAATTTAAACACCAGGAATCCCTGTCTGAAAATTTCACCAGGCATTTCTCCCCACAAGATACTTCTCATTGGCCACTGGCCTCCAGGCTCTACTTTCTATCATCTTCTACAGGCCACACTCCTGTCTCTAGACTATTTCTTCCGTCTCTTCTTCCAAAGTCCAACTCCTAACCCCAGGCAGAAATTTCCAAATTGCTCTCACTTTGATAATTAGATAATATTATTCCTTTTTGTTACAACACACTACACTAGCCCCAAAGCCTGGCTTATCAAAACCAAATAGACCTCTCCAAACTAACCAAGGTGTCCATAACCCTTTCAGGGGGAACTGCCCCTTCTTAATGTTTACCACAAGTTATAAAACTTCAGGTTTGCTTTAAAATATACACAACATTTTATGTTATGCTTTACACGCTAACAGAAAATGTATGAAAACAAAGTGATTTTTAAAAAACTTCAGCTGCAAATGCTGCTATATTTGTCTCTCTCTCTCTCAAGTTACCAGGGCTACTGTTTCCAAAGAATGACCAGGTTGTCTATGACAATTTCAGACCCAGAAACAACCCCTAGAAGTGTGGCCTGATTTCTTTCCAGTTCAAGATCATGGGAGGTGTGAACCAGAAGCTGGAGCAGCGGGTCAGGCATCTGAGAGCTTTATGATGATAAGTCAGTGCTGCTGTTGACACATGAAGCTTCAGTGGCCCAGCCAAACTGATCAAATACAAACCCAATTTCCGATTTGCAGGGTTGGGTGGACTAACAAATTGTATCAGAGGCTTTGCATCAAAGCCTTTAAGAAAACGGAGCTATTGCCATGAACCTGAGACTCCCTGCACCTCCCTCTGTCTCTAACACTTCATCATCACTATTCATATATAATCCAGGAGAGGTACAGACCCTACCCAGGACAAGTAGGTGACATGGGGTAGGGGGATTACAACCCCAGAGACAACAGCTAATGATGGTAATAGTGGCTAAATTTTAAGGATCCTCTGTTTGGCTCGGACACCTTTACATACGCATTCTTGTTTAATTCTTGCAACAGCCCTAACAGGTAACTAGTGTTGTTATCCCTGTGGGGCAGGATGATTTTATGAAATACTTGCCAATGAATTTCTCACCCGTAATGGCTTTTGTTTACCTTGTCACCTTCTACTTGCCCAAAATACACCTTGGCTCTCAGAGCACTGGGCATAGAATTGGTATGGCAAAAACACAAGATCAAAAACAAAAAAAACCCAAAAACGTTCTTTTTGGCACACTCAGCAACCCACCTCTTTCTGCTCCGTCATCTTCAGTCTGTGCTCATCACCATCAGCACTGTGTTTACTACATCCCAGACAGGAAGGAGGGAAGAAAGGAAAGCCAAAAAAGGCAGTTGCTAGGATGAGTCTACAACCTCCCTTCCTCTTAAATTACTTTCTTGGAAGCTATACCCAATCACTTTTTCTTACCTTCGTTGGCAGAAAAATACCACATTGTCACCCTCTGTCTAAAAGGGATTCTGCAAAATGTCTAATTTTAGCTAGTAACAATGCCCTTCAATAAAAGGAATGCAAATTAAAATTACACTGAAGTACCTCCTTTCTGTACTGATCAGATTGCCAAAAATCAAAAGGTTTGATAACTCTGAGTTGGAAAGGGTATGAGTAAAAAGATCTTAAAAACTCCTGTGGGAGTGTACATTTGTACAACTTCTATGAGAGCAATTTAGCAAAATCTATCCAAATCCCAAGTGTATATGCCCTTTGACTGAGCAATTCCACTCCTAGGACATTTGCTGTCAAGTCATGAAAAGACATGGAGGAAACTTCAATGCATATTACTAAAATGAAAGGAGCCAAACTAAAAAGGCTACATTCTTTATAATTCCAACTATATGAGATTCTGGAAAAGGCAAACTATGGAGACAGTAAAAAGATTAGTAGTTGCCAGGGTATGGGGGGTGGGAGGGATGAATAGACAAAACACAGAGGATTTTTAGGGCAGTGAAACTACCCTGTATGATACTGTACTCGTGGATATGTGTCATGATACATTTTTCCAAACCCATAGAAAGTGCAATATCAAGATGGAACCCTAATGTAAACTATGGACTTTGGGTGATGATGATGTATCAATGTAGGTTCATTGATTATAACAAATGTACCTCTCTGGTGGGGGATGTTGATAATGGAGAAGACCATGTATATGTGAGAATAGGGGGAATATTGGAAATCTGTGCCTTTTGCTCAGTTTTTCTGTGAGTATAAAACTGCTCTAAAATATAAAGTATATTTAAAAATATCTATATATGGGTTTGCTTGTATATACTTAAAATATTTTTAGATGGATAAATATAAAACTGAAAATATTTATGCCCTGTAGTGAGGGAAAATCCCACATCAATACCAGATAAAAGCCTTATAAGAAACATTTATAAACCAGTCTTATTTATGAATATAAAGCAAAACTTCTAAATAAATGACTAACAAATTGAATCTTGCTTTGTATAAAAGAAATTCATCATGACGCGGTATGGTTTATCCTAGGAAAGCAAGGATGGTTCATGACTAGAAAATAATTAATGGGTTTAAAAATTGCAACTATCTGAATAAATCCTGAACAATCATTCTATTATATTTAATATCTATTTGTGATATTTTAATAATTATTAGCTAACATAAATACAAAAGACCTTACTGAACTTGATTAATGCTATCTACTAGAAATCTATAGCAAGCATCATACTTACTGGTAAAACATTAGAAGAACTTCCAATAAAATTAGAATAAAACAAAGACCTTTTCCCTCCTAACTTCATTTAACACTATACTGATATTCTAGTCAATACAACAAAATAAGAAAAGGGGGTTGAGGGAGGGAGGGGAATACTAAAAGAAATAAAAACAGTCATTACTTATGAAAATATAATCAAATATCAAAACAATCTAAAAGATTTAACTGAAAATTGCTGAAACTCCTAAGTACATTTAGTAATATTCTGGATACCAGATAAGCATGAAAAAAAATCAACAGCATTCCCATATATTTACAATAACCAAACATAAAACAAGACAGAAATAATACCCTTCAAAATATCAATGAAACTATAAGATATCTAGGTAGATACCTTATAAGGTGTATGCAAAACCTTCATTAAAAAAAGGACTATAAAGCTTTCTTTCCTGAAGAACATAAAAAGAAACTTGAATAAATAAAGGTGTTCATGGATGAGAAGATTCAAATTAATTTGTAAATTTAATACAGTTCTAGTCAAATTCCCAAAGATTTGTTTATGCAGCTTGACAAATTGACTTTAAAATTCGTATGAAAGAATATTAAATGCCAACAATAGTAAGGATAATTTTGAGAAAGAAAAATTGTCAAAGAAGTCCTTGACCCATTAGTTATTAAATTAGGTTAGAAAACCGTATTTATTAAAATAATATATTTTTGAAAGAATAGATGAAAACACCAATGAAATAAAATATAGCTCTAAAACTAAGCACTATATATATATGGGAATTTAGTGTTTGATAAAATCAGCAGATGAAAGAATGTACAATAAATGGTGTTAGAAAAATGATAAAATATTTTGGGGAAAAAATACGCTACCTCCCTACCATACATTATTCACAAAAATAAATTCTAATGAAGAAAATTTCTAAATGTAAGAAAATAAACTTAAGAGTATTACAAATAATAGATGAATATGATTGTGAACTTGGAGTTAAAAAGTCTGTTCTAATAAAGTTACAAAAGCAGAAGCCAAAAAACTTGACAAATTTGATTAATTTATCAAACTTACATTCTTCATTACAATAAAGTACACTAACAAATAATAATTTAAGTCCAAAACAAAGAAACAAATAATGATAAAAACTATTTGTCACATAGATAATAATCAAAGGCTTGATATTCAGGATTAAAAACCTCCTACGATTAATAAGAAAAAAAGCAAACAATGCAAGCATTAAAATAGGCACTTTCTTCTTAGTACTTTCCTGGAAATAATAATGATAATAAAATAGGCAAAAATATAATTTACAGAAAAGAACGTGTGATATTAAATAACAAAAGATGCTCAGTCTCACTGGTAATCAGAAATCACTTTTTAAAACAAAGTAAGAAAACTGGTCCCAGGTAAGATAAAGCAAATACACACCATGCTTTTCCTTCAATTGAATGCAACTCTAAAACCTGGACAGAATGTCTGGCCCACTAGAGGACTCTGTAAAATAAACAGCAGTAGGTGGACCAGGGATGGGTGCCAAAAACGAAAGTACTATCAAACTAGCAATAAGTTCATCAATTTTTGTCCTCTGTGTCCACCTGGCCTAACTCAGCTGGAAAATCTGAAATGAGCACTGTGCTGGGTAGGAAGAGCTTCAGGAGAAACCCTCTAGTCTTCACCCAAGGAGTCAGGGAAGTTCTAAAGCTCAGAGAGAGTGGGGTAAATTCTTATATTTCTCTTTCCTTTTGCTTCATTCTCTTGCACACCCACCAGGCAATCCTATGGTGGTGGCCCTGGCCCCCAGTCATAGAAGCAATGGTTAGCCTTCAGGAGCCAAAACTTGAAGGGAGGATAACTTTCTTCTTTATTTAGTGGAGCAGAAGTTCCATGAAGATAAGGACAAATTTCATTGCTTTATTTATTTATTTATTTATTTTTGCAGGGGGTGGGGGTGGGTGGGGCAGTGGTGATGTCCTTCTATCACTTTGCCTCAGACACACTGTGACTGTAGAAGTGAATGGTTTCTGAATAGGAGACCAAAATGGACACCCTAGAGAACTGGGTTGTACTGAGTAGATCACAGAGAGTGAGGAACTCAGGACAGTGATCTGATAAACTTTTAAGCTTTAACCCACACATGCTTGGATTTAATCCTAAGAAAATATATTGAAGACTTTGAAAACTGAGCTAACCAGTAGACCTTTACCCAGGTCCCAGAATGACCACTTGGTACTACACACATGGGACAGATCTGAGTAGCATTGCAAGACTAAAAGTGGAACTGACATTGTAACCACAATCTACAGAAGGCAGATCGAAACTTCGGGTCTAAATCTAATAACCAATTTACCCACTAAAACAAAAATATTAACAACATTAATACAATTCAAACAAAGCTCAGTGTCTCATAACTTAATATTCAAAATACTACAAATACAATCCAAAATTACTCAGTATATGACAAACCATAAAATTTTTAACTCATATAGAAAAAGACAATAGACACCAAGGAGATGATGCAGATATTAGATCATCTAACAAAGAGCTGAAAGCAATTATAAAAGTGCTTGAAAGAGCAATAAAAACACTCTAGAAAAAAAATGGTAAAAGAGTAAGAATCAGTGGTTATATTAATATCAAAGTGGATGTCAGGTTTAAAAAAAAATCTGAAAAGTAAAGAGAGACATTACATATTTCTAAAAGTGTCAATTCACCAAAAAGACATAACAATTCTAAATGTGTATATACCTAACAACAGAGCTCCAAAATAATGAAGCAAAAACAGACAGAAATCAAAGAAGAAATAAGCAAATTAGTAATCATAGTTGCAACTTCAAAAACAGCAAGGATAATGAAGAGCTGATTGACACCATCAACTAACTGGATAAAATTATTAATAAAAACCAGTAGAATATACATTTTTTTAAGTGAACATGAACAATTCACCAAGAGAAACCATATCTAGGATCATATAATAAACATTAACATGTTTAAAAGAATTGAAATTATACAAAGTCTATTTTTTGACCATGATGAAATTATACTAGAAATCAATAAAAGAAAGGTAGCAGGAAAATCTTCAAACATGTGGAAAGGTAAAACCCTTAAAAATAATCCATAGATCAAAAAGGAAGTCTCAATGGGACTGCATGAAAAGGCAAACACAACACATGAAAATCTATGGGACTAACCTAAAGCCGTGTTTAGAGGGAAATGTATAGCACTACAATGCCTATATGGTATTAGAAAGAGAAAAAAATATCAAATAAATCATCTAAGCTTCCACTTGAGGAAACTAGCAAAAAAAAAATGAACACAAATCAAGCAGAAGAAAGTAAATAACAAAGGTAAGGGAATAAATCAATGAAACTGAAAACAGAAATATAATAGAGAAAAATCAATCAAACTAAAAGCATACTGTTAGAAAAAAATCACTAAAATGGATAAGCATCTAGGAAGACTGACAAAAAAGAGAGAGAGAGAGAAGACACAAATTACCAATATCAGGAATGAAATAGGGGATATCACTGCAGACCTCACAGGCATTAAAAGGAAATAACGAAATACAGAATACTATATGCATGATAATCTGACAATGTAGATTAAATGAGCCAATTCTTTACAAACCACAAACTACTAAAACTCACTCAAGATGAAGTAGATAACAGTAGATAACCCAAAAAATCCTGCAACTATCAAAGAAATTGAATTTGTAGTTAAAAGTCTTTCAGAACAGAAACTCCAGATCCATATGTAATTTACTGGAAAATTTTACAACATACTAAAGAAAAAATAACACCAATTCTACTCTCTTTTGAAGAAAATAGAAGAGGAATACTTTCCAACTAATTTTACAAGGCCAATATTATACTAATACCAAACCACAAAAAGACAGTACATGAAAAAAAAAACTATAGACCAATATTCCTCATGAACAGAGATGAAAAAACACTCAACAAAATATTAGCAAATGGAATAGAGAAATATCTTTTTTTAAAAATCACCACAATTAAGTAGGGTTTATTCCAGGAATGCAAAGCTGATTCAATATTCATAAATATGTCATTATAATTACCATGTTAACCATCTAAAGAAGAAAAACCATGTGATCTTATCCATAGATGCGGGAAAGCACTTGACAATGTACAACATCTATTTATAATAGACACCCTCAGTAAAGTAACAAGAGAAGGGAACTTCCTTAACATGATGAGGAACATCTACCAAAAAATCCCAAAAAACTCTTCAGCTAACTTCATACTTAAGGGTAAAAGATTCTCCTCCCTCCCTGCTCCACCCCAGCCCTTGCCACCAAAAGGCTTTCTCTCTAGGTTGAAAAGTAAACTAGGATGTCCATCTAGGAGATCCATTCTCAATACTCTCATTCAACATCATACTGGAAGTCTTATCCAGTGCAATAATGCAAGTAAAAGGAATAAAAGGCAGATCGATTTTAAAGGAAGACAATAAAGCCGTTTCTATGCACAGATGACATGATCACCTGCATAGAAAATCTCAGGGCTCTACCAAAAACCTCCTAGAGAAAAGTGAGTTCAGCAAGGTTATAGGATACAATGTCAATACAAAAATGTCTATTGTATTTCTATATAGTAACAACATACAATTGGAAACTGAAATTAAACCATACCATTTACAATAGCTCAAACAAAATGAAATACTTAGGAATAAGCCTTACAAAACATATACAGAGTATATATGCTGAAAACTGTATGCTGATGAAAGAAATCAAAGAGGACATAAATAAATGGAGAGACAAAATATCCATGGCATAGAAGACTCAGCATACTAAAGATATTGGCTTTCCCTAAATTGAGATATAGATTTAATCAAGTACCAACCAAATTCCAGCATGCCTTTTTTGCAGAAATTGGTAGGCAGATTCTAAAACACACACAGAAATGAAAAGGACCCAGAATGGGCAAAGCAACTTGGGAAAAGAATAAAGTTGAAGAAATCTAACTACATGATATCAATACTTACTATAAAGTTACAGTATTCAAAACACATGGTATTGGTAAAGGATTAGACAAATAGATCAATGGAACATAATAAAGACCAAAAACAGGCCCATACAAATTTACCCATCTAATATGTGACAAAAGTGCAAAAGCAACTTAATAAAGTAAAAATAGTATTTCCAACAAATGGTTTTAAACCAATTAGTCACTTATATGCAAAAAAAACCCAAAACAAATCTTGTCCTATACCTCAAACCTTATATAAAATGTAACTAAAAGTGAATCATAGATTTAAATTTAAAATGTATAACTTTTAGAAGAAGACATAGGAGAAAATCTTCACGACCTGAATTATGTGAAGACCTCCTAGACATGAAAACTAAAGGATAATCCATAAAAGAAAAACTGAAAGATTAGAGTTTATCAAAATTTAGAACTTTTGCTCTGAGAATGAAATGACAAACTACAGACTGGGAGAAAATATTTGCAAATCACAATTCAAACAAAACATTTAAAGAATTTTCAAAACTCAACAATAAGAAAAGAAACAATCCAGCTAAAAATTCGGCAAAAATTTGAATATATCATCAAAAAAGATACCTATAGGGCAAATAAAAGATGCTTAACATCATTACCTATTGGGGGAATGTAAATTAAAGCCACAATAAGGCCAGGAACAGTGGCTCACACCTGTAATTCTAGCACTTTGGGAGGCTGAGGTAGGAGGATTGCTTGAACCCACAAGTTGTAGACCAGCCTGGGCAATACAGCAAGACTCCATCTCTACAAAAAAAATTTTAACATTAGCCAGGTGTGATGGTGCACAGCTATAGTCCCAGCTACTTGGGAGGCTGAAGAGAGAGGATCACTTGAGTCCAGGAGGTCAAAGCTTTAGTGAGCCAATGACACTGCACTCCAGCCTAGGCAAACGAGTGAGACACTACCTAAAAAAACAAAAACAAAAACAAAACAAAACAAAAAGCCATAATGAGATACCACTACATGCTTATTAGAATGGCTAAAATAAAAAGTACTGGCATTACCAAGGGCTAGGTGGTGAGGATACAGAGCAACTGAAAGTCTCCTACATTGTTGGTGGGAATGCAAAATGACACAGCTACTCTGGAAAATAGTTTCACGGTTTCGTACAGTTAAATATAAACTTATCATTTCAACCAGTAATCCTGCTCTACCCCTTGGTATTTGCTAATTTTTTTAATTATTATACTTTAAGTTCTAGGGTATATAAGCACAACGTGCAGGCCTGTTACATAGGTATACATGTGCCATGTTGGTTTGCTGCACCCATCAACTCGTCACCAACATTAGGTATTTCTCCCAATGCGATCCCTCCCCCTGCCTCCCACCCCCACCCACTGCCACATTTTCTTAATCCAGTCTATCATTGATGGACATTTGGGTTGGTTCCAAGTCATAGTTGGTTGCTATTGTGAATAGTGCCACAATAAACATACGTGTGCATTGTCTTTATAGTAGCATGATTTATAATCCTTTGGGTATACACCCAGTAATGGGATTGCTGGGTCAAATGGTATTTCTAGTTCTAGATCCTTGAGGAATTGCCACACTGTCTTCCACAATGGTTGAACTAGTTTACACTCCCACCAACAGTGTAAAATCATTCCTATTTCTCCACATCCTCCAGCATCTGTTGTTTCCTGACTTTTTAATGATCACCTTTCTAACTGGTGTGAGATGGTATCTCATTGTGGTTTTGATTTGCATTTCCCTGATGGCCAGTGATGATGAGCATTCTTTCATGTGTCTGTTGACTGCATAAATGTCTTCTTTTGAGAAGTGCCTGTTCATATCCTTTGCCCATTTTTTGATGGGGTTGTTTTTTTTCTTCTAAATTTATTTAAGTTCTTTGTAGATTCTGGATATTAGCCCTTTGTCAGATGAGTAGATTGCAAAAATTTTTCTCCCATTCTGTAGGTTGCCTGTGCACTCTGATGGTAGTTTCTTTTGCTGTGCAGAAGCTCTTTAGTTTAATTAGATCCCATTTGTCAATTTTGGCTTTTGTTGCCATTGCTTTTGGTGTTTTAGTCATGAAGTTCTTGCCCATGCCTATGTCCTGAGTGGTATTGCCTAGGTTTTCTTCTAGGGTTTTTATGGTTTTAGGTCTAACATTTAAGTCTTTAATCCATCTTGAATTAATTTTTGTATAAGGTGTAAGGAAGGGATCCAGTTTCAGCTTTCTACATATGGCTAGCCAGTTCTCCCAGCACCATTTATTAAATAGGGAATCCTTTCCCCATTTCTTGTTTTTGTCAGATTGTCAAAGATCAGAGAGTTGTAGATGTGTGGTGTTATTTCTGAGGGCTCTGTTCTGATCCATTGGTCTATATATACTGTTTTGGTACCAGTACCATGCTGTTTTGGTTACTGTAGCCTTGTAGTATAGTTTGAAGTCAGCATGATGCCTCCAGCTTTGTTCTTTTTGCTTAGGTTTCTCTTGGCAATGAGGGCTCTTTTTTGGTTCCATATGAACTTTAAAGTAGTTTTTTCCAATTCTGTGAAGAAAGTCATTGATAGCTTGATAGGGATGGCACTGAATCTATGAATTACCTTGGGCAGTATGGCCATTTTCACAATATTGATTCTTCCTATCCATAAGCATGGAACGTTCTTCCATTTCTTTGTGTCCTCTTTTATTTCCTTGAGCAGTGGTTTGTAGTTCTCCTTGAAGAGGTACTTCACACCCCTTGTAAATTGTATTCCTAGGTATTTTATTCTCTTTGTAGCAATTGTGAATGGAAGTTCACTCATGATTTGGCTCTTTGTTTGTCTGTTATTGGTGTATAGGAATGCTTGTGATTTTTGCACATTGATTTTGTATCCTGAGACTTTGCTGAAGTTGCTTATCAGCTTTAGGAGATTTGGGCTGAGACAATGGGGTTTTCTAAATATACAATCATTTCATCTGCAAACAGGGACAATTTGACTTCCTCTTTTCCTATTTGAATACCCCTGATTTCTTTCTCTTGCCTGATTGCCCTGGCCAGAACTTCCAACACTATGTTGAATAGGAGTGGTGAGAGAGGGCATCCCTGTCTTGTGCCAGTTTTCAAAGGGAATGCTTCCAGTTTTTGCCCATTCAGTATGATATTTGCTGTGGGTTTGCCATAAAGAGCTCTTATTATTTTGAGATACATTCCATCGATAGCTAGTTTATTGAGAGTTTTTAGCATGAAGGGCTGTTGAATTTTGACAAAGGCCTTTTCTGCATCTATTGAGATAATCATATGTTTTTTGTCATTGGTTCTGTTTATGTGATGGATTATGTTTATTGATTTGCATATGTTGAACCAGCCTTGCATCCCAGGAAGCCAACTTGATCGTGGTGGATAAGCTTTTTGATGTGCTGCAGGATTCGGTTTGCCAGTATTTTATTGAGGATTTTCACATCGATGTTCATTAGGGATATTGGTCTAAAATTCTCTTTTTTTGTTGTGTCTCTGCCAGGCTTTGGTGACAGGATAATGCTGGCGTCGTAAAATGAGTTAGGGAGGATTCCCTCTTTTTCTATTGATTGGAATAGTTTCAGAAGGAATGGTACCAGCTCCTCCTTGTACCTCTGGTAGAATTCGGCTGTGAATCCATCTGGTCCTGGACTTTTTTTGGTTGGTAGGCTCTTAATTATTGCCTCCATTTCAGAGCCTGTTATTGGTCTATTCAGAGATTCAATTTCTTCCTGGGTTAGTTTTGGGAGGGTGTATGTGTCCGGGAATTTATCCATTTGTTCTAGATTTTCTAGTTTATTTGCATAGAGGTCTTTATAGTATTCTCTGATGGTAGTTTGTATTTCTGTGGGATCGGTGGTGATATCCCCTTTATCATTTTTATTGTGTCTATTTGATTCTTCTCTCTTTTCTTCTTTATTAGTCTTGCAAGGGGCCTATCAATTTTGTTGATCTTTTCAAAAAACCAGCTCCCGGATTCATTGATTTTTTGAAGGGTTTTTTTTTTTAACTTTATGGATTTTTTATTTCCCCTCTCATATTTTTAGTGTCTCTATCTCTTTCAGTTCTGATCTGATCTTAGTTATTTCTTGCCTTCTTCTAGCTTTTGAATTTGTTTGCTCCTGCTTCTCTGGTTCTTTTAATTGTGATGTTAGGGTGTTGATTTTAGATCTTTCCTGCTTTCTCTTATGGGCATTTAGAGCTATAAATTTCCCTCTACACACTGCTTTAAATGTGTCCCAGAGATTCTGGTATGTTGTGTCTTCATTCTCATTGGTTTCAAAGAACATCTTTATTTCTGCCTTCATTTCATTATTTACCCAATAGTCATTCAGGAGCAGATTGTTCAGTTTCCATGTAGTTGTGTGGTTTTCAGTGAGTTTCTTAATCCTGAATTCTAATTTGATTGCACTGTGGTCTGAGAGACAGTTTGTTGTGATTTCTGTTCTTTTACATTTGCTAAGGAGTGCTTTACTTCCAACTATGTGGTCAATTTTGGAATAAATGCAATGTGGTGCTGAGAAGAATGTATGTTCTGTTGATTTGGGGTGGAGAGTTCTGTAGATGGCTATTAGGTCCATGTGATGCAGAGCTGAGTTCAAGTCCTGGATATCCTTGTTAACCTTCTGTCTCATTGATCTGTCTAATATTGACAGTGGGGTGTTAAAGTCTCCCACTATTATTGTGTGGGAGTCTAAGTCTCTTTGTAGTTCTCTAAGGACTTGCTTTATGAATCTGGATGCTCCTTTATTGGGTGCATATATATTTAGGATAGTTAGCTCTTCTTGTTGAATTGATCCCTTTACCATTATGTAATGGCCTTCTTTGTCTCTTTTGATCTTTGTTGGTTTAAAGTCTGTTTTATCACAGACTAGGATTGCAACCCCTGCTTTTTTTTTTTTTTTTTTTTTTTTTTTTTTTTTTTTTTTGCTTTCCATTTGCTTGGCAGATCTTCCTCCATCCCTTTATTTTGAGCCTCTGTGTGTCTCTGCACTTGAGATGGGTCTTCTGAATACAGCACACTGATGGGTCTTGACGCTTTATCCAATTTGCCAGTATGTGTCTTTTAATTGGGCCATTTAGCCCACTTACATTTAAGATTAATATTGTTATGTGTGAATTTGATCCTGTCATTATGATATTAGGTGGTTATTTTGCCCATTAGTTGGTGTGGTTTCTTCCTAGCATCGATGGTTTTACATTTTGGCATGCTTTTGCAGTGGCTGGTACCGGTTGTTCCTTTCCATGTTTAGTGCTTACTTCAGCAGCTCTTGTAAGGCAGGCCTGGTGGTGACAAAATCTCTCAGCATTTGCTTGTCTGTAAAGGATTTTATTTCTCCTTCACTTATGAAGCTTAGTTTGGCTGGATATGAAATTCTGGGTTGAAAATTCTTTTCTTTAAGAATGTTGAGTATTGGCCCTGATTCTCTTCTGGCTTGTAGAGTTTCTGCTGAGAAATCTGCTGTTAGTCTGATGGGCTTGCCTTTGTGGGTAACCTGACCTTTCTCTCTGGCTGTCCTTAACATTTTTTCCTTCATTTCAACCTTGGTGAATCTGACAATTTTGTGTCTTTGGGTTGCTCTTCTCAAGGAGTATCTTTGTGGTGTTCTCTGTATTTCCTGAATTTGAATGTTGGCCTGCCTTCCTAGGTTGGGGAAGTTCTTCTGGATTATATCCTCAAGAGTGTTTTCCAACTTGGTTTCATTCTCCCCGTCACTTTCAGGTACACCAATCAAACGTAGATTTTGTCTTTTCACATAGTCCCATATTTCTTGGAGGCTTTGTTCGTTTCTTTTTACTCTTTTTTCTCTAAATTTCTCTCCTCACTTTATTTAATTAATTTGATCTTCAATCACTGATACCCTTTCTTCCACTTGTTCAAATCAGCTGTTGAAGCTTGTGCATGCGTCACGTAGTTCTCATGCCATGGTTTTCAGCTCCATCAGGTCATTTAAGGTCTTCTCTACACTGTTTATTCTACTTAGCCATTCATCTAGTCTTTTTTCAAGGTTTTTAGATTCCTTGCGATGGGTTTGAACATCCTCCTTTAGCTCGGAGAAGTTCATTATTACCAACCTTCTGAAGCCTGCTTCTGTCGACTTATCAAAGTCATTCTCCATCCAGCTTTGTTCCATTGCTGGCGAGGAGCTGCGATCCTTTGGAGGAGAAGAGGCGCTCTGGTTTTTAGAATTTTCAGCTTTTCTGCTCTAGATTCTCCTGGTTTTTGTGGTTTTATCTACCTTTGGTCTTTGATGTTGATGACCTACAGATGGGGTTTTGGTGTGGATGTCCTTTTTGTTGATGTTGATGCTATTCCTTTTTGTTTGTTAGTTTTCCTTCTAACAGTCAGGTGCCTCAGCTGCAGGTCTGTTGGAGTTTGCTGGATGTCCACTCCAGACCCCGTTTGCCTGGGTATCACCAGTGGAGGCTCAGTTGGAAATGCAGAAATCACCTGTCTTCTGCATCAATCATGCTGGGAGCTGCAGACTGGAGCTGTTCCTATTTGGCTATCTTGGAATGGGGATACCCCTTGGTATTTTCTCTAGGGAAATGAAAACGTATGTTCACATAAAAACCTGACACAAATGTTTGCAGCAGCTGTATCCACAATTTCAAAAAACTGAAACACCCCAAATGTCCTTCATTGGGTGAGTGAATAAACAAACGCTGATAAAAGTGTATGGTGGAATATTACTAGGCAATTAAAAGGAAAAACCTCTTGATATTATGGAACAAGTCTCATGAATCTCAAAAGCATTATGCTGAATAAAAGAAGCAAACCTTAAAATGTTACATACTGTATGATTCCATTTATGTGACATTCTCAAAAGGACAACACTACAATGATGGAGAAGAGATCAGTGTTTGCCAGGGGTAGGAAAAGGGGAGAGAGAGTCCCAACTGTGCATGTGTTAAAGTTTCTAGAACTCTACATCAAAAAGAAAACAGCTAATTTTACTGTGTAATACTTTTAAAATATAGTTTTGTAGGGCAAAAAACCCATATTTTTAAAAATAATGTTATATTTTAACTTAAAACATAAAGAGAGAAGCCCCATTTTTATACCCATTAGATTAGCAAAAATCAACACACTTATCAAGACAAGATTTTGGGGAAAATCAATACACTAGAAGGCTACTGGTGGAAGATTAAATTGGTAAGCCATTTAAAAAGAAAATTTAACTATTAGAATATTAAATATACTTAATGGCCCAGTGATTATAATTTTTGTATAGAAAAACATTCATATACATATTCAATGAGGTTTTTACAGGTATCTTCATTCTGACATTGTTTGTAATCACAAAAAATTGTAAACATCCTAAAGTTCATCAGTAAAGGAACAGCCAAGAAAATATACCTACTCACTAGAATACAATACACCCTGTAAGAGGAATAGAGTAAATCTATTTTTTTTTTTTTTTGGCATAGAAAGAGCCCCAGATTGGTGGAGCCAAGATGGCCGAATAGGAACAGCTCCAGTCTACAGCTCCCAGCGTGAACGACACAGAAGATGGGTGATTTCTGCATTTCCAGCTGAGGTACTGGGTTCATCTCACTGAGGAGTGACAGACAGTGGGTGCAGGACAGTGGATGCAGCACACAGAGCATGAGCCAAAGCAGGGTGAGGCATCGCCTCACCAGGGAAGTGCAAGAGGTCAGGGAATTCCCTTTCCTAGTCAAAGAAAGGGGTGACAGATGGCACCTGGAAAATCGGGTCACTCCCACCCTAATATTGCGCTTTTCCAACTGTCTTAGCAAACGGCACACCAGGAGATTATATCCCACACCTGGCTCAGAGGGTCCTATGCCCCAGTAGGGGAAGACTGACACCTCACACGGCCAGGTACTCCTCTGAGACAAAACTTCCAGAGGAACAATCAGACAGCAACATTTGCTGTTCACCAATATCTGCTGTTCTGCAGCCTCCGCTGCTTATACCCAGGAAAACAGGGTCTGGAGTGGACCTCCGGCAAACTCCAATAGACCTGCAGCTGAGGGTCCTTACTGTTAGAAGGAAAACTAACAAACAGAAAGGACATCCACACCAAAACCCCATCTGTACATCACCATCATCAAAGCCAAAGGTAGATAAAACCACAAAGATGGGGAAAAAACAGAGCAGAAAAACAAAACTCTAAAAATCAGAGCACCTCTCCTCCTCCAAAGGAACACAGCTCCTCACCAGCGATGGAACAAAGCTGGATGGAGAATGACTTTGACGAGTTGAGAGAAGAAGGCTTCAGATGATCAAACTACTCCGAGCTAAAGGAGGAAGTTCGAACCCATGGCAAAGAAGTTAAAAACCTTGAAAAAAAATTAGATGAATGGCTAACTAGAATAACCAATGCAGAGAAGTCCTTAAAGGACCTGATGGAGCTGAAAACCAAGGCACAAGAACTACATGACGAATGCAGAAGCCTCAGTAGCCGATTTGATCAACTGGAAAAAAGGGTGTCAGTGATGGAAGATCAAATGAATGAAACGAAGTGAGAAGAGAAGTTTAGAGAAAAAAGAATAAAAAGAAACAAAGCCTCCAAGAAATATGGGACTATGTGAAAAGACCAAATCTACGTCTGATTGGTGTACCTGAAAGTGACGGGGAGAATGGAACCAAGTTGAAAACACTCTGCAGGATATTATCCACGAGAACTTCCCCAATCTAGCAAGGCAGACCAATATTCAAATTCAGGAAATAAAGAGAATGCCACAAAGATACTCCTTGAGAAGAGCAACTCCAAGACACATAATTGTCAGATTCACCAAAGTTGAAATGAAGGAAAAAATGTTAAGGACAGCCAGAGAGAAAGGTCACGTTACCCACAAAGGCAAGCCCATCAGACTAAGCGCTGATCTCTCGGCAGAAACTGTACAAGCCACAAGAGAGTGGAGGCCAATATTCAACATTCTTAAAGAAAAGCATTTTCAACCCAGAATTTCATATCCAGCCAAACTAAGCTTCATAAGTGAAGGAGAAATAAAATCCTTTACAGACAAGCAAATGCTGAGAGATTTTGTCACCACCAGGCCTGCCCTAAAAGAGCTCCTGAAGGAAGCACTAAACATGAAAAGGAATAACCGGTACCAGCCACTGCAAAAACATGCCAAATTGTAAAGACCGTCGAGGCTAGGAAGAAACTGCATCAACTAACGAGCAAAATAACCAGCTAACATCATAATGACAGGATCAAATTCACACATAACAATATTAACCTTAAATGTAAATGGGCTAAATGCTCCAATTAAAAGACACAGACTGGCAAATTGGATAAAGATTCAAGATCCATCAGTGTGCTGTATTCAGGAAACCCATCTCACATGCGGAAACACACATAGGCTCAAAATAAAGGGATGGAGGAAGATCTACCAAGCAAATGGAAAACAAAAAAAGGCAGGGGTTGCAATCCTAGTCTCTGATAAAACAGACTTTAAACCAACAAAGATCAAAAGAGACAAAGAAGGCCATTACATAATGGTAAAGGGATCAATTCAACAAGAAGAGCTAACTATCCTAAATATATATGCACCCAATACAGGAGCACCCAGATTCATAAAGCAAGTCCTTAGAGACCTACAAAGAGACTTAGACTCCCACACATTAATAATGGGAGACTTTAACACCCCACTGTCAACATTAGACAGATCAATGAGACAGAAGGTTAACAAGGATACCCAGGAATTGAACTCAGCTCTGCACCAAGCAGACCTAATAGACATCTACAGAACTCTCCACCCCAAATCAACAGAATCTACATTCTTCTTAGCACTACACCACACCTATTCCAAAACTGACCACACAGTTGGAAGTAAAGCTCTCCTCAGCAAATGTAAAGGAACAGAAATCACAACAAACTGTCTCTTAGACCACAGTGCAATCAAACCAGAACTCAGGGTTAAGAAACTCACTCAAAACTGCTCAACTCCATGGAAACTGAGCAACCTGCTCCTGAATGACTGCTGGGTACATAACGAAATGAAGGCAGATATAAAGACGTTCTTTGAAACCAACGAGAACAAACACACAACATACCAGAATCTCTGGGACACATTCAAAGCAGAGTGTAGAGGGAAATTTATAGCACTAAATGCCCACAAGAGAAAGCAGGAAAGATCTAAAACTGACACCATAACATCACAATTAAAAGAACTAGAGAAGCAAGAGCAAACACATTCAAAAGCCAGCAGAAGGCATTAGGAGATATACCTAATGTTAAATGACAAGTTAATAGGGGCAGCACAACAACATGGCACATGTATACATATGTAACTAACCTGCATGCTGTGCATATGTACCCTAAAACTTAAAGTATAATTTAAAAAGAAAGAAAAAAAAGACAAAAGCTAGCAGAAGGCAAGAAGTAACAGATCAGAGCAGAACTGAAGGAAATAGAGACACAAAAAACCCTTCAAAAAATCCATAAATCCAGGAGCTGGTTTTTTGAAAAGATCAACAAAATTGATAGACCGCTAGCAAGACTAATAAAGAATAAAAGAGAGAAGAATTAAATAGATGCAATAAAAAATGATAAAGGGGACATCACCTCCGATCCCACAGAAATACAAACTACCATCAGAGAATACTATAAACACCTCTACGCAAATAAACTAGAAAATCTAGAACAAATGGATAAATTCCTCGACACATACACCCTCCCAAGACTAAACCAGGAAGAACTTGAACCTCTGAATAGACCAAACAGGCTCTGAAATGGAGGCAATAATTAATAGCTTACCAACCAAAAAAAGTCCAGGACCAGATGGATTCACAGCCGAATTCTACCAGAGGTACAAGGAGGAGCTGGTACCATTCCTTCTGAAACTATTCCAATCAGTAGAAAAAGAGGGAATCCTCCCTAACTCATTTTATGAGGCCAACATTATCCTGATAACAAAGCCTGGCAGAGATGCAACAAAAAAAGAGAATTTTAGAGCAATATCCCTGATGAACATCGATTCCAAAATCCTCAATAAAATACTGGCAAACTGAATCCAGCAGCACATCAAAAACCTTATCCATCATGATCAAGTGGGCTTCATGCCTGGGATGCAAGGTTGGTTCAACATATGCAAATCAATAAACATAATCCAGCATATAAACAGAACCAATGACAAAAACCATATGATTATCTCAATAGATGCAGAAAAGGCCTTTGTCAAAATTCAACAGCCCTTCATGCTAAAAACTCTCAATAAATTAGGTATTGATGGGACATATCACAAAATAATAAGAGCTATCTATGACAAACCCACAGCCAATATCATACTGAATGGGCAAAAACTGGAAGCATTCCCTTTGAAAACTGGCACAAGACAGGGATGCCCTCTCTCACCACTCCTATTCAACATAGTGTTGGAAGTTCTGGCCAGGGCAATCAGGCAGGAGAAGGAAATAAAGGGTATTCAATTAGGAAAAGAGGAAGTCAAATTGTCCCTGTTTGCAGATGACATGATTGTATATCTAGAAAACCCCATTTTCTCAGCCCAAAATCTCCTTAAGCTGACAGGCAACTTCAGCAAAATCTCAGGATACAAAATCAATGTGCAAAAATCACAAGTATTCTTATACACCAATAACAGACAGAGAGCGAAATCATGACTGAACTCCCATTCACAACTGCTTCAAAGAGAATAAAATACCTAGGAATCCAACTTACAAGGGACGTGAAGGACCTCTTCAAGGAGAACCACAAACCATTGCTCAATGAAATAAAAGAGGATACAAACAAATGGAAGAACATTCCATGCTCATGGGTAGGAAGAATCAGTATCGTGAAAATGGCCATACTGCCCAAGGTAATTTACAGATTCAATGCTATCCCTATCAAGCTACCTACGACTTTCTTCACAGAATTGGAAAAAACTACTTTAAAGTTCATATGGAACCAAAAAAGAGCCCGCATCGCCCAATCAATCCTAAGCCAAAAGAACAAAGCTGGAGGCATCACGCTACCTGGCTTCAACCATACTACAAAGCTATAGTAACCAAAACAGCATGGTACTGGTACCAAAACAGAGATATAGGCCAATGGAACAGAACAGAGCCCTCAGAAATAATGCCACATATCTACAACTATCTGATCTTTGACAAATCTGACAAAAACAAGAAACGGGGAAAGGATTCCCTATTTAATAAATGATGCTGGCAAAACTGGCTAGCCATATGTAGAAAGCTGAAACTGGATCCCTTCCTCACACCTTATACAAAAATTAATTCAAGATGGATTAAAAACTTAAATGTTAGACCTAAAACCATAAAAACCCTAGAAGAAAACCTAGGCAATACCATTCAGGACATAGGCATGGGCAAGGACTTCATGTCTAAAACACCAAAAGCAATGACAACAAAAGCCAAAATTGACAAATGGGATCTAATTAAACTAAAGAGCTTCTGCACAGCAAAAGAAACTACCATCAAAGTGAACAGGCAACCTACAGAATGGGAGAAAATGTTTGCAATCTACTCATCTGACAAAGGGCTAATATCCAGAATCTACAATGAACTCAAACAAATTTACAAGAAAAAAACAACCCCATCAAAAAGTGGGCAAAGGATATGAAGAGATACTTCTCCAAAGAAGACATTTATAAGGCCAAAAGACACATGAAAAAATGCTCTTCATCACTGGCCATCAGAGAAATGCAAATCAAAAACACAATGAGATACCACCTCACACCAGTTAGAATGGCGATCATTAAAAAGTCAGGAAACAACAGATGCTGGAGAGGATGTGGAGAAATAGGAACACTTTTACACTGTTGGTGGGACTGTGAACTACTTCAACCATTGTGGAAGTCAGTGTGGCGATTCCTTAGGGATCTAGAACTAGAAATACCATTTGACCCAGCCATCCCATTACTGGATATATACCCAAAGGATTATAAAACATGCTGCTATAAAGACACATGCACACGTATGTTTATTGCGGCACTATTCACAATAGCAAAGACTTGGAACCAAGCCAAATGTCCAACAACGATAGACTGGATTAAGAAAATGTGGCACATATACACCATGGAATACTATGCAGCCATAAAAAATGATGAGTTCATATCCTTTGTAGGGACATGGTTGAAGCTGGAAACCATCATTCTCAGCAAACTATCGCAAGGACAAAAAACCAAACACCGCATGTTCTCACTCATAGGTGGGAATTGAACAATGAGAACACATGGACACAGGAAGGGGAACATCACACACCGGGGACTGTTGTGGGGTCGGAGGAGGGAGGAGGGATAGCATTTGGAGATATACCTAATGTTAAATGACAAGTTACTGGGTGCAGCACACCAGCATGGCACATGTATACATATGTAACAAACCTGCACGTTGTGCACATGTACCCTAAAACTTAAAGTATAATAAAAAAAAAGAGCCCCAAGACATATTTGTAAATGGGGAAACAAAAGCAAATTTCAAATCTTTCCATACTGCATGTTACCATTTATATATTAAAAAGAATATTGCATAAGTACACACATATAAAAATATAGTACAAAGTCTCTAAGACATACAATAAATCAGGAACAGGACTTTCTGTGAGAATAGGTGGAATAGGAAGCATCTAAAGAAACTGCTTTTTTTTCTTTTTCTTTTTTTACACTGAAATGTTATTACTATATTACTTGTGTTTTAAAAATAAATAACTTTTGGCCAGGCGTGGTCCTAGCACTTTGGGAGGCCAAGGCGGGCTACTCGGGAGGCTGAGGTAGGAGAATCGCTTGAACCCGGGTGGTGGAAATTTGCAGTGATGGAGATCACACCACTGCACTCCAGCCTGGGCGACAGAGTGAGGCTCTGTCTTGGAAAAGAAACAAAACAAAATAAATAAATAAATAACTTTTAAGAGGGAACATGCTTAATCTATGCTATAGACTGAATGTTTATGTCGCCCCTCAAATTGATATCTTGAAACCTAATCCCCAATGTAATGGTATTTGGAGGTGAGGCTTTGGAAGGCAATTAGGTCTTGAAGTCAGAGACTTCATGAAGGAGATTAGTGCCCTTATAAAAGAGACCCCAGAGAGCTCCTTCGCCCCTTCCACCAAGTGAGAACACGGCAAAAAGAGGGATCCTGAGCACCACAGGTCCAGAAGCCTCCTCAGACCTGCTCAGCCTCCTGGCTATTAAGCGTAGTGGGTGGCTGGGCCTATGGGCAGTGCTGTAGGCTGAGGCAGAGTTCCCCAGCCCAGGCCTGACCATCCAGCCTGGACATCCCTGACTAGCCACTACTGAAAGGCTGGTTCAAATCTCACCTCCTCCAACAAGCTCTCCATGACTGCTTTTGCAACCAGGAAGCCCTTCAATATTTATGAAGTCAGTTTGGACTGCAGTTAATCCTTTCAAGTCCTGCAACTATTCAGCCCTTCCATGTACACTCTGGCAATCGCTTTCATAGTCTCCTCTTCTTGTTTCCTTTCTACCCATCCTAGCTTGCTCAACTGGATTCTAAGCTCTGTCAGGACAAAGATCATTGCATACATACATTTCATACATTGCATTTACTCCAAACACGAAATGACCTTTTTCTCACCTGGCACAATGCTGAGTACACAGCAAGTGCTTAATATGTAGGTAGTATCATATGCCAGCCCTTTAAAGTTAGTGCCATGCCCAAGTGCCTGTCTGGAGGTTAGGTCACAGAGCCTCAGTGGTCACCTCTCAGCATCTATATCCAGCCTCCTTGTCTGCTTACCCAGGCTCTGGCTCTGCCCTGCGGTTTTTGTTCTACCTCTGACCACTTCCCCATCTGTAATGAAGTCTCCAGTGAACCATCACACCTCAATTCTGTTGCCCCTCCACACACAATGCTGCTTTTTAGCTTGCAAATATTTTCTAGAACCTCACTGCTTCTTCAGTGTCCAGCGGTAACCCTGGTTTTGCCCCTCACTGCCCAGTGCGACATCTCGGGCAGGTGGATGGAAGGTAAGATGACAGGTGAATACACACAGCACCTTGCTGCCCTCCACAGACCTCAGCGGATGTGTTGCTAGCAGTCTTTGCCACCTACTGTACCTCTGCCTTGCCCTTGCCTCTGCCTATTAATTTCCTGGTAGACCTCTAAAACCTATATCCAAGCCTATTTTATATGACAATTTTCAACATATACTCACTGAATAGCTAATATGCCTAATAATGAGTTCCTAATAAGGAACTGCATTCTGTAATTCTTCCAACTCAGTATGACAGTTCCCTTTTCTGAATCTCTGAAACACCCCTGGTCAACTTCTCTTGTGATGTTTGTCATAGTTTGCCTGGTCTTATCTATTTATGTATTTGCCTTTGCCACCAGTCCCTCATTAGACTGTAAGCGCTTATGGGTGACTTTTTACACATTGCTATCTCTCTTTATATTTCCGGCATCCCTCGAGGGCAGGGTTTTGTGGCTAGTAAGGCTCAGTGGGTATTTCTGATTGACTCAATTCACTAAATTGAGTTAAATGGCGAGATAAATGGATGGATGAATGAAACTATTAATACACGGTTCCGCAAATCTCCCCACAGTGCCCATCCATGGTTCTTCACAGAATAGACCTTCAGTCAATGCTGTTGACAGACTGATTGATGTGTCTGAAAACGAAGAGTGATTCCTGGTGAGTCAGAGGTTTTCATTTACTCCATGTGTTTTGGCTTCAAACCCTACAACAGTCATGCCCGATGTTTCAAAACCAGAACTGCAATCGCCTTCCTTCTACAGCCAGGTTGCCACAGAGATGGGGCCTAGAGAACAAAATGCTTCTGAATGGATCGATCGAGGCATATCTGAAGATAGAAAGTTCCAAAGGCTTTCCTGGACTGCCTCTAGGACGGGCCCTATTATTAACCTCCTCTGTGAGGCTGAGCTGCTGTCTGGCCTCGCGCGACTGAAATGATTTTCTCCTGGACTCACGCCGTGGCTTTGTAGGCCACAACCACTGCCTAGAAGCCAAGTCAATCTGAGAAATAAGGGAGGCCCTAGTGGTTTGTGGTTTTAGAAGGCGTTTCCTTTGACATTAAGCCCGGGAAAGGACAAGCAAGCCACAGCAGGTTCAAGAGAAAGGGAGCAAAGCCTGGTTTGGGGTGACCAGAGGTGATTTCCCAGCCCCGTCCCTTCTAGCAGCAAGACCCCCACAGGATCAAGTGCCTATGGGGGTCAGGGGGAGGGAATGCCCAGAGACATACGTGCAGCCGACTGCAGGGGTGCCGCTGGTATTCAGAGAGAGTGTCAAGGAAAGGGCAGCTCAGGAGTCGTGAGCTGTGCACTGTGAAACAGCTGAGTGGGCACTGGAGCGGGAGGGGCAGGGATGGAGGGAGACACTGAGACTACAAACGTGCAACCGAATGGAATTTAGTCTGTAGATACTTCCTGTGGAATTAAGCATGCCCTACTGTCCGGCCCACTGACATGGGAGAAAGGGTCTTTCCAGTTCCAATTCACAAAAGAGGAGGCTGCAACTTGCATTCTCAGGGATAAATGCCCCTGATAGCAGAAAGCCACTGGCCTCCACGACTGGCAAAATAAGTACATGCCTGTAACAGTGTGATCTCAAGGGTGCTGCACAAACTTCAGAGCTTAAAAAAAAAAAAAAAGACATTACTTGTCCCCGAGCAGGGTAATGCCTAAAATTCCATTATTGCTTTTTCCCAAGGCTTAAACATTGGTGGAAGTACAAATATGCAGGGGGAACATTTCAAGTATTTCGTCAGGTACACCTCAGTGTCTGGAACTCTTTTAGATCCTGTCCTGTGGGCAGGTTTTCTGAGGGGAGGAGATGAGGAGGTGAGAGAGTTGGGGAACTCCAAGTAACAAGAAGGAAGAGGCTTGGAGGGGCAGAGGAAGGGGCATACAGGGCTAACACAGTGATCCCAAACAGGCTGTCCTTTCCACAGTTTTGCCCAGGGTCGGCCAGCCCTTCAGATCCTTGCCAGATTCATTCGTTGCTGCACCATCCTTAAAAGAAATAGGGCATCACGTTCTCCTAACCAGCACCGACTTCAGGGTATGGTACCTGCACAGTCACCTAGGGCTTGTGTTCAGAAGGGCCCACACTTTAATGCTCTGCAGTTGCCATCTTAAAATACCTTATATTTTTGGAATAAAGGGCCCCACATTTTCACTTTGCATTAGGCCCTACAAATTATATAGCTGGTCCTGCTCTTAACTATCCCCTAGCAAATCACAAAAGCCCTCTGAACAGAGGTCAGTCTAAACTCACAATTCTCTCTTCATCACACATGTTAGTTCCTTCAGTCTATTTTTACACGTCAGGGAATATTTGAAGAAATGTCCTTAATTCCGAGCACTTTAATTCACCTTCACCAACTAAGCTTCTTTTGAGGTGACTTAGGCGTCATGTGACCCATCCTATTATTAGCACATGCCTAGCCATCCCCAACCCACCCCCCACCCACAAACTCCTGCTTTCCCTGCCCTTATATATACCTGTCTCTTAGCAGAAGAGTGACACATGAACTCCTAGCCTCAAGAATACTTGGCGTGGGTCCCTGTTTCTCAGCCGTATCTATTGTTCTAGTCCAGAATGACACTGGCTTCTACGCGTGTTTCTGACATTTCTGACTTTTAGTGGGGAATGCCATTAATCAATCGGCTGCATCTGTTTTGGAAACATTAAATAGCTCAAGTCAAGGCAAACACAGTAAATAATCCTTCAACAATCCAGGAGAGTAGTGGGGGCAGAGAAGGCAGGGTTGTGTCTTCTAGTTATCTGAAATGCATTTAATCTGCTGCTGGATCCTCTGCACCTGGGCTAGGGTTACTTACTGGACACAGAAAGAAGAGGTCAAAAGCTCTTTAAAAATGTGAGGCTCAAACCAGGGTATTAAGAGTGTAAGTGTGCTATTCAACACATGTGTTGTGGACAATGAGTTAGCCAATGGGAGGCTGGGAAGAGGCTCTTCCCTGTGGTTTAAAACTATAGAAATATACTCTAATTCTTTAGTAAGTACGGCCTCCCTAGGGAGAGGCAGTAATGGTACAGTGGTTAGGTATGGTGGAGTCAAACCAGCTGGATTCCAACCTTGACTTTTTCCCTTACTAAGCATTGACCTTGGGGAAATTACTTAACCATACTGTGTCTCCATTTCTTTACATGCAAACTAAAAATGTAACAACTATGTCAGGGTTATTGAGGGAATAAATTAATTAGTGTCTATGTGGTGAATTGAAGATGGCTCCAAATTCATTGACATTCCTTCCATTGAGAGGTGGGATTTTATTCTCTCCTCCTCTTAATTCTGGGCTGGCCTGTTACAACTTTGGCTAGTAGAGTGGGGCAGAAGTGAAATTTGCTAGTTCTGGGCCTACCCTTGAAGAGAACTAGAAGTTTCTATCTTAGTCTCTTGGAGCCCTAAGCCAAGAAGGTTGATTTCCTCATTAGAGAAGCCACATGGAGAGGCAGTGAGAACACAAGAGAAGTGGGACACAACTGAACACAGGCTTCCAGCCCCTCCACCAAGGTACCAAGATATGTGAGTCAAGCCACTTTGGACCCCAGAAACCAGCCCATCTACCAGCTGGATAACATTGAGTGACCCAGTGTGAAGCTGAAGAAATGCCCAGCAGAGCCCTGCCCAAATTTCTGACCCATAATATCGGGGAAATATAATAAAGTGGTGGTTGTTTTAATGTACAGAGTTTTAAAGTAGTTTGTTAAGCAGCCATACACAAATGGAACAACCTGTACAGCACTATAGATGACAACCTAACAGAACATCAGGACAGTGACTGGAACACAGTAGGCAGTCAATGTTAGTTCTTCTACTTACGTACGGCTATACTTGCATTGGTAATATTAGATGGATTAAATTTTCTGAATATTTAAAAAATTGGAAACTACATCTAAAAATTAATGACCCTAAGCTCATTGTGGTTAACTCCAAGTACTATATTAACTTTTCCCTCTACTACTTCTATTCATGTAGTTCTCTCTTCTATTTCCTACCTCCATTCTATTTTTCAGATTCTTTTACCTGGTTGCCTTCTATTCATGCTTTATATCATTTTCTCAAATGTCAATTGCATATATGGTTCACCTGGACATTTTGCAAAAAAGCAGATGCTAGGTCAATAGGTCTGGGACAGATCTAAAATATGCATTCCTAGCAAGCTCCAAGGTGATGCTGTTGTTATTGGTCTATAGGCCATACCTTGAGTAGCAAGGCTTTAGTCTCACCTTAGGTATTACCTCCTCCTGAGACCTTCCTAATCCCCACTCTCTCCAAGGCTGAATTAGTGAGATGCTGTTGCAGACTCTCTTGGCTACCTATCTAAAAACCCACATTTATTTTCTTTAGTGCTCACAAAGCTCCAATTTTATTTTAAGGTCTCCTCTTGCCCCCAGTGGTGTGTGTGGATTTTAATAGATGTAAATGCAATCCTTGGTGTTGTCCTTCCCTTTGCTGTTATTTTTTATAAGCAGCCAGGTAACCTGGTTCGGAAATGTAAGGAGAAGTCTGCTGTGTAGAGTAGGTACTTCTAGGAAAGTTTTCTTCACTCTTAAAAAGAGATGCACATGAGAGATACAGGCCTTTATCTGTCCTTGGAATGTTAATCTGTTGTTATGTGATCCCTGGAGCTACTGCAGCTGTCTTGTGATCATGAGAAGATCTAGATAACATTCTGAGTGAGGATGGCAGAGTGAAGATAAAAAGAACCTGGGTCTTTGTTGAGTCACTAATCAACTCTGAGCTTTCCTAAATTAGAGCTTCTTTCTATGGAAGATAATACATCTCTTTATTGTTTAAGCCATCTTTACTCAAGCTTTCTGTGACTAGTGACCAAGAATATACTATTGTGGATTTATATGTCCTTGCTCTCTTCTACTCATAAGCCACGTGTGTGTCGCCATCACTGCACTCCCCACATTATTCTGTGATTTCACATCTACCTCCTCTGGTCAGGTACCTCTTGAGGTTTATTTTTTGTATCCCTCCAACCTGGTATATAGCAAGTGACACAAACTTTTATGAACTAAAGTCAACTCACCATAAGGGTTTTCAATTATGGAAAAATTAAATTTTAGCCACTTCATGCATTTTCCCCTGCCAAGGTTTAACCTTGAAGAACTTCCTCTTGATACTTTGCACTCCATGACCTTACCACCCACTAACATCAGTAGTCCTGGAATACCATCTCATTCTGATATTAACCCAAATGAAATATCATTCAGAAGGTTGCGGAAAGGCCACATGACTCATTCCAAGGCTGAATAAAAATAATACTCATTCTAGTGATTATAGTAATGCCTTGCCTTTGCATAATAATGGTTACCATTCACTGCACCCACAGTATCCTAAACACCTCTCTACATGCATAATCCCCAACTTATAGGAATATATAACTTCCTAAAAGTCACAGGGTCAGTAAGTAATGAAGTCAGGATTTCAACCCAGGTGTCTGACCCCTGAGCCTGAGAGCTTCCCATTTTGCTCCTGAAAATCCCCTCCTGAGCACTCCATACTTGCCAAAGTGCTTTTATGCACGTGATCTCATTCAGTGTTCTCAAAGGAGTTGTGGGTATGATCAGACACATTGTTTTGATATTATTCATGCTGCTAACTAAATGTAAGTTACACTGGGATCATTGTAGAGTTCATTTTTTTTCCTATCCTCTAGTTTATTGCTTTTTATAATCCATTTCAAATAAAGAAACACCTTTTGGAAGGGAAAATAACCTAATGTAACAACTTGGGGAAATTTTTTAAGTGCTAAAGGAAAAAAAATTAAGTTGGCCCAGTTTTTCACAGTGGCATGTTGATGAAATGCCATAAATGAATTGTGGGATGAATGAATGAAATATATCAAAGTGGAAAAATAAATCACAAGGAAGAACCAATTCCACAAAGAAACAAGGCTGCAGATAGCAATTCCCTGATTTCTAGCCCCTCTCACATTTTTCATTCTGAGAAGACCCCTCTGTCTAAATCTCCTCGATGGAGACATAGAGCTAGAGCAATAAGAAAAATCTCATTCTTTAGAGCATCTCTTTCCTTCCATCCTAGGCTTTAGGATAGTGAAATGTCTTTGTTCTCATGAACCAACTGGTCGGCACTAATCAACAGCCACTCAACAGGTCCCTCAGAAGTGAGGACAGAGCAGGTACCAACAATGCCTATGGGAAAGGGAGTCAGTAGGGACATACTTTCATCTCTCACAAGAGCATGTGCATTTTCTACTCAACATTCCCCTTAAAAATAAAATCCTCCTTTCATGGATTATCTAAAGCATTTATGCTTTCATAACCCACTCATAATAAGCTTCCAATATTTAACTATCTGATGGGTAAATGGCTTGTGTCCCCAATACAGCAGCACATAGGTAGCATAATTCTAAGCTGGAGAAGGCCCTCAGTACATTTCAAATTAACAGAATAAGGCCAGGTTGATGCCCCTCCTTCCATCTCCACAACCAGGTCAATGCCTCACTTGGCCTCTCCTATCCCTGGTGTCAGTTACATACATTTGGCTAAAGCAAACACAGTTGACTTTAGTGGGGCCCATTTCTGGTGCCTGGCAGTGGGACCTGGCAGAATATGGTTGTCATTAGATGTGGTGACACCCCCCACCTGCCAGCACAGAAGGGAAATTATGCCAAGTAGCCACCATGTAGTGATCCCATGTGACATAGCCCTGGGTGACTCCCAGAAACAGTGAACTTTACAGCAGCCTGTAATTTTGTCTTAGGAGATAGGGGCCAGGCTAAAGAAACAGAAATGAAGTAGTAAAATAACAAAAGTTATCCTAAGAACGTGTCAGACCTATCATATTGACATGTGATAGGTGATTCACATGAGTTATTGTGCTGTGTCCCTTCTTACCAATGAGGACACTGAGGTCCACAGAGGTTAACAACATCCCACAGCTCAAAACTGGCAGAGCAGAGATATGAATGCAGGCCTTTGTGCCTCCAGAACCCATGGTCCCTTTATCATGCCCTGCTTCTGCTCACAGAACTGCCCTTCTGGGTCAGGGGCTCTCAATGCCCTCAGCCTCTGGAAGTTTATCCCAATCCCAGGAGATTTCTTACAGTAGTTTTCCTGCCACAGGTATCCCCTGCCCACCCTGGGTGCCCACCTCATGCTATAGTATGTATACCTGTTGTGTGTGCCATATATGCCACTATGTTACGTAGCTATTAAGCCTCTGGATTTTATTATTTTTTAGAGACAGGGTCTCACTATGTTGCCAGGTGGGCTTCAAACTCCTGGGCTCAAGCGATCCTCCTACCTTAGCCTCCCTAATAGCTAGGATTACAGGAATGTACCACCATGCTCAGCTAGGCTCTGGATTTTAAATTCCTTAAGGACATTTATCAGCTGGGCATCAAGGGTCTCCAGCAACTTCTTCGACCTCCAGCCCAACACCTCCTTACTCCCTGCCATGCATCAGCGGTGCCCACCGCAGTGGTCTTCTCATCCTCTGGGCTCCAGCTCCAGGCTCCTGCTGTCCTGCCCCGCCCTGCCCTTAGATGGCCTTTCTTCTTCCCACCAGTGCCTCTGCAAGAGGCGCCTGACCAGCTCAGCCCCCACAGACCTCCCCTTCCTGATCTGCAGCATTTACATTCTGTCCCACTTAGCGCAGCATTTGCTTACATTCTCTCATGTACTGTGCACTAATAGCTTCCTGTTTTTAATATCCTTTTTCTGATTTGAGTGTAAGCTCCTTAGAAGCTGGGGCCATGCCTTGCACTTTGCTTACAGCACCTTCCCAATCATGCCCTTTCCCAAACTCCAGCCTATTGCTGTGAGGGAGGAGAAGGGACACACAGTACAAAAGGATTCATTCAAGCACTTGCCCCATGAGGGGTTTTGCCCACTTTGGGTGAAGAACTAAAGTTAGTCAACTGGCTGGCCTTCCTTTTAGAAATCATTTTCCCTACCTACCCCTCCCCCAGAACAGTCACTAAGGTGGCATGCTTTCCCCCAACCTCTGCCAGCCACCCCTTGTAGGGAATTGGTCTCTCAAGTCCCCATGGAGACTGGCAGAGCCTTCTCAAAGGGAAGCAGGCTGGATGCCTCCCCCTGGACTTGGTGTACATTCTCACAGGGACACATTCTGTCTTAGCAGCAGCTCAGCTGGCTTGCAAAGTTCCAGCCACCTCCTGCAGCAAGGCCCCCAGATGGCGCGTTCTGTGGAACACACGGTGATGGAGGGAGGCACCAGCTAGGGAGGAGGGCTGCCTGGGGGCCAAGTGCCACCAAATCATTCATCCTCCATCCTGGCCCTTCTGCAAGATGTCTTGCTCTTAACAGGCTTCCTGATGGTGAAAGAAAGCCTCAGCCACAACCAGCCTGCAGTGCTGAAGGCATGTCGGGCAGAGGAGGTGGCACTCTTCTTTCTCATCAAGCCTTCCTTCCTTCCTCTCTCAGGCTGAGTTGGAAAGCTCTTGAAAGGTAGCAGATTGCAGGCACTGAAGGCTGGTGTCTTCTGTTTATCCACATAACAAGGACATTGGCCAATGCAAAAGCCCCTGTACTGTTCCTTCCATGTGCTGCTGGCTCCAGAGCCCCTGAAGCAGCCTGCCTGGGCTGTCTGAAACTGCAGCCTCTCCCCTTGACAGCCTCCCACACTTCCCCATACCCCATTGGGGGAGCTGAAGGTGTGTTCTCTGTGGCAGTGTTTCTCAAATTGTGTGGCTGTGACCTGTCAACAGAATGTAAAATCAACTTACCAGGTCACAAATAGCAATTGTTTTAACAAAATAGAATGGAATAGAAGTGTCAGCACATCACACATAGGAATAGTATGGTGTCATCAGGTTTTGGGGACACACACACAATGATATAAAATCTATTTCCAGCTGGGCATGGTGACTTATGACTGTAATCCCAACACTTTGGGAGGTCGAAGCAGGAGAATTTTTTGAGGCCAGGAGATCAAGACCAGCCCAGGCAACATCATAAGACCTGTGTCTCAATTAACTAAAATAAAATAAATAAGTAAAAAATAAAATAAAATGCATCTCCTCCTGTGGATCACAATCCTGAAGGTTTGCAAGCTCCTCTTCCACAGGCTGAAAGAGCCCAGTCTTGTCCCTGACTCAGGTTCTGCCATGGCAAACTTCTAGGGCAGTGTGGGACACTTCTTCCAAGCTGACCAGCTCTCTCCCATTGCCATCATTCAAAAGGAAACAGCTGCTAAGAGCAAGGCACAAGGACAAGGACATAGGAAACCAAGAAATAAAGAAGTGATTTCTGCCCTCCAGGAGTTTGGGAATTGGGAATAATGCTGAGATGAGGCAGGCCGACTGGAACAAGATTTACAAAACATCAGATAAGATGGTGGAGGGGGATGTTAATTTCTACTGCCAAAGAGACCCTCAGAGTTCTGGTTTTGAGCAAAAACAGTAAAGGTGCTTTGCAACAGACTCAGGCACTGCTATCAAAGGTGTGGCTCTCAGAATTAGGAGTGGGCTATTAACTTATTCTCTTAAGCTGGGTTATTGGTCATCTGGATTCACTCTCTGTAGAAACCGTAGTGGTACACAGGACTCTCAAAACTTCTTGCCCTGGGGGCACCTTTCCTGGTCTAGGTCTCCTCACATCCATGTAATTCCTAAAGAAACTAGAATGGGGATCCCAAGGACTAGATGTTACCTCTAGGACTGTTGTTATTTTGCTGTGTGACTTTGGGTGAGCCACTTCACCTCTCTGGGAGGCAGGATCCTCAGCTACTATTGTAGCTGCGGATAAAGCAGCTGTACTCAGTCAATGGCTTTGTGACTTGGTGAACTTGGCTGGTGACAGACACACGTCCAGAAATAATGAGGATCAAACAGAACCTCACTGGTCGTCTTTCACATCAGAGGGGAAGATCTTTCCTCCACCCAGCCGCAGTAAAAGCCCATGCTCTGCTGTCTTGGACATTTATTCCTTGCAGCTGTGAAAAATGCCTGTTGTCATCTGGTGAAGGCTTATGGAGCACAGTGAACTTAAATGAGCGAACCAGATGCACTAGCCTTAGGGTGGTTTTCCTGGTACATGTAAGAATAGTCCCACCTGGGCAATTGAGGTGGGAGTCTCCTGTCTGGGCCCAGCCAACTTGCCCTTTGCCCTGCTTTGCCCAGACTGTGTGACTTTAGCACAGGGACACTGAAGCACTGTGGTCACGTGCAGCAAGCTCATAGTTACTCTTCAAGCCTTTGTTTGCAAGTAGAGGTCCTCTGCCTTTAAGTTCACCATTAGAGAAGCTTAAGAAAGGAGAGGATAATAGATACATTTTTACTGCAAGACTGGACACTGCCAATTATGGTATCAGTTCTAATGCCAGTGATAGTGTTTTATAAAGTAGACAAGAGGCTAGAGTCTGATGTCCACCACAGTCCCTTTCTGGGCCTTAAAAAGATTTCTTTAATATTTTGCCTCAATGTGTCTTAAGTGTTAACTGGAGCTTGCACACTGCTCCAGGAAACATGACTCTAGTCCAAATCTCATCGACACAAGGAGGTAGATCGTGACTGGTGCTTTCTTTTCATAGTAAATAGCAGAAATGACAAAGATCAACCTATAGGAGGAGTGATCTGGTGGTGGAGAGTCCGGCACAAGTGATGCTGGTGCAATTTTGGGACAGAGAAAATTATCTCAAAAGTTATTCCACTCAGGGGCCACCAATTCCTCTAACTCACAAGGCCAACTTTGTTCATTTCCTTCATTCATAATAACGGTCCAGTGAAAATGTGCTGACATCTTAATGAATTCTACCCAGCAAATGCTTTCTTGGATGGTTGGGGAGAGGGAGTTGGGAGAGAGTCAGTTACAGCTGCTGATGACATGGGCAATCAATGCAATGCCCGCAGACATAAAAGCGATGAGAGTCACCATCCCAAGGGAAAGAAGTGTTGATTTCCTCAATTCTCATCACACTGGGCTTTGTTTGGAAAATGGTATAAAAAGGCAGAAAATACATTTTCTTTTTATTCTCTGAAGGAGAAGGTAAAGGTTACAGGAAGAGCAAGTTGATAAAGATATGTACACCTTCTCTTGCCGAGGCAAATATACTTCATGATGTATGTTAGAAAGAAAGGAGCCCCCGGAGTTCTCATTAAAACCCAAGTGGTTATTTTAATATGAAGTCTCAGGGTAAAAGCTATGCCTGAATCCAAAAGAACTTTGGATTTATACTGAGACTATAATTAATTGGAGAGAAATGGACTACATTTTGCCAAAATAAGATTCAAACAGTATTGACTCAAAATCTATCTCTACACATGTGAGACACTTGACAGTTTTTGCAGCAACTTTATGTACATTTTCTCAATTACCTTTTATGTAATCTCATAAACCATGGAAGGTAGCCATTAATCTCTCTACTGAAGAGGAAACTGAAATGAATTGTTGAAGGACCCCCAGCCACTGAGACTATACTTGGGCCTTCTATTTCAGGCCCTCGGCTCTTACCCCATGTCATATGGTCTCAAAATTTCTAAAGTCCTTTAATTCACAAAATTCATGTTGAAAGTAAATTATGAATTTTGAAAGTAAAGTAATTAATCATAGAAAGGTATGATGCAGGAGTTCTAATTGAACCCTGCAGACTTGGAGATTATGTAGCACAAGTGGTTCTCAAGCCTGAGTGTGCATCAGAATTCCTTGAAAGGCTTGTTAAACACACATTGCTGGGCTCCACCACCCAGAGATTCAGATTCAGTAGGTCTGGGGTGGAGCCCAAGAATCTGGATTTCCAACAAGTTCCCAGTGCTGCTGATGCTTCTGGCTGAGGGGCCACATCTGAGAGCTGCTGACCTAGGGATGTTCTCACTCAGCTGAGAGCACCTTAAGGACAGAAGCTGTGTCTTCCCTCCTCCTTTGTATCTGGCCTGGTCTATCCATCTGGTTTCTGCACAAATTCATCACAGGCTTACTACCTCATCTCTCAGCCCCTCTGTTGCTGAGGTTTCTCCAGGAAGGAGGCTCTACTATAAATGCCATTGGCCACCTTCCCTCCCACCTATTTCACACCTTATAATAGTGATAACATTTCACCATTTCAGTGAGATTCAGTTTGATGGCTCCAAGTATAAATTCTTGGCTTTCGCAGTGTATTCTGAGAATCATCCAAGACTTGAGGACAGAAATGAGGACTATAAGCTTTAGTCACAGGAGCAACTCCGCCAAGGAGCTTCAAGAGCTAAATACAAGATGCAAAACGCACATTAGCACACCCAAGGCTCTGAGAAGTCCTGTGGTGTGTACCAAGTTTAACTTTGTTTGACATAGCTCTTCCCAACTTTACATGACTACGTAAGATCCCTCCTCTTTCCTGGATAACACCTATTGTCATTTCATGGAATAAGAGCATTAGGAGAAGCACACGTTAGGAAATACTCCATTGCAGAGTGAGTTGGCAAGTCCTAGGGAGTGGGCTGGATAATTCCTCAATTTCAGGTTTACTCCTTATCCACCCCTCCCCAACAAACACACATGTGGAGCCTACCCTGTAAAAACTGCAGCATGGGTGAGCCGAGAAAAACATGTGCTTCATGGGGGCAGCTCGGTCCCAAGAAGAAGACAGAAGAAATTTATCTCAAATTTCCAAGCAGATGGGTTATTTCTGCTCTCCTAGAAAAGAATTCCAGTCTCTAGAGAAGAGACAGAGAGGCCAGAACATTACAAAATGTTGTTCCCTCCACATAAAAGAAAATAAAGTGGGAAAGAAGTATTCCCTCTGGCCCCACTACCAACAAAACTGAGGAAGAATAAAAGAGACAGAAGACCAGTCCCAAAAAAGCTTGCAATATTGTTGGGAAGCATGGCTTAGATTCACACATGATGCAGTGAGGATAAGATATTATACAAGCATTTATGGTGTAACCCCATATATGCAACCCCCCAAAAAAATTATCAGAAATAGGAAATGTTTCACACATTTGGATGTCACTTGAGTCTATGTATCCAGCAAATGGACTCAAGAACAGGAAAGGGTCTTCATTGTTCCTGCGAGCAAATGCAGTTGACTCCAATTGACTTGATTGGCTGAATCCTTGCAAAAACAAATATGTCCCACCGGAGCAAACTGACCCTCAGAGAATGATGTTTTCCTACCTGAATTGCTCACATGTGTGGTCAGCCGACATATGTAATGTATTGTTTTCCTGCCATCCAGGATGAGGGAAGCCCCTTAAACAATTACTGCCCTGGGGAGTGTGTTCCAGACTATAATCACCTTCCAGGATAGGAATAAACTTCAAGGTCACAAGCCAAATTATATTTTCCTGAGGGAGAAAGGCTGAATCATTATATAGGAAGCCCTAAGATGGCCAGGGGTCAGGAAACGAGTCGCCTGTGCTTCCTCTGTGGAGGCAGATCTCGTGTCCCTGATGGTCGAGGTTTCCGCCAAATCTCCTCCTCGCTCTTGCAAACAGACGACTCGTTTCCCTGGTTTCCCTCTGGGGACTCTTCCACGTCTCAGTGCTCTCAGGCAAAGCAATAGTTCTTGACCAAACAGGGATGGGGCATCCTCAGCTCCTCATCTGTCGTTTATCAGTTTCCACCATTAGTCTGCCATCACTTCTCCTTTCTTCAGGCCTTCGAAAGCACATTTGGAATGGCTTCCAATAAGTAGACAAAGGATGTGAAGAGCTGGTGCATGAAATAGAAAACAAACTGGCTCAGGAACGTACAGAACCAGGTGCAACCTCACTGCGACTCCACAGTAAAATGCCATTTTTTGCTTATCATGTGAACAATGAAACAACATTAAAATGCTCAGTGTAAACAAAGGCGTGGTTTAAGACAAGGTATGGCTGATGAGAATGTAAAACCGTACTCGAAGATACTTTACAAAATCTGACTGAAAAAGTTCATGTATGTATATTCCTCAACTTAGAAATATGTTTACAATATCGCTGGTTTTTACAGAAGATTATAAAATAACATACAGAGCAATCTCATGGAAAGGGTAGAAAAGCATCTGAAAGGTTATACTCTCAAATTTTATTTTGGGTTTTATTTGGATTATATCACCCCTAGACATGGATCCATCCTTGTAATTTATTAGGTTGGTGCAAAAGTAATGGCGGGTTTTGCCATTGAAAGTAATGGCAAAAACCCGCCATTACTTTTGCACCAACCTATAGATGGCTTCATTCTGGCCCTGGTCCAACCTGCTTCTCTCCACAGGGCAAAGACTTTGCAAGGCCAAAGAGATAAACCCACCTGATGCCCTAGCCCATTTTCCTCCTAGTGCACACTCTAGCCCCCAGCACCTGGAATTCCCTGGAATTCAAAGCACTGTTAAACCATTTCCGGGGATGCACAAGCCTCTTTCCAGCCATCTCTTTGTGAGGGTGATTGTGCTGTTGGTTTGCACGCCCCGACTCAACAGGTAGCCAAGAAGGGGCTGTTTGCACGGGTGTGGACAAAGCTGGTACATGGGACTGAGTGCCAACACATGCAACACAAACCTCTCATGGTGGGCGTGAGGACAAAGACTTAGGAGACCAGAAGTGAGAAAGGAGGTGGCCAAGGCCAGAGGTCAGGTCTCTGCATCCCACTGCGTTCTATCAAGGACCTACAAGGAGTCTGAGTGCTTCATTTGAACCTGAAATTCTAGATTGTTACAAAGGTAAGAATAGAAAGTATTTCATTTAACAATTTGTTTGCAGGATTTAGAACTCCTAGACATTTATACGTGGTATATGGACTTTTACTTATACTCCCGCCTCAGATCATGACAATGTTAGGAATGGACCTGCTTTGGATAGTAGAATTAAGGATGATTTTAATTCTCCTCCTCCATTTCAATTTTTTCTCTGTGTTCTTATTTTTCTACTATATACTAACAAATTGACATTCTTTATTTTAGTAATCCCACATTCATTAATTTAGTGTAAAAAAATTATAAATGTCGACAAATATTTGTACACCTAAAAATGAAAATAGCCTAAATGCTAAACAACCAAGAAATAGTCAAATGAATGGTACATCTATGTCATATGTGGATAAACATATTTAAATTCTATTAATGAATCCATTTTACATTAATGAAGAAATTTAGTGAAACAAATACAATATTAATTAGACAGCAAGTTACAAAATAATATAGTATGACTATTCTATAAAAATATAATACATATACAAATGCACATATTAAAAAGATGGAAAATCACAAAAGTAGTAACTGGTGATTTATGTCTGGTGAAATTTTGGATAAGAATTTTTTTTCCTTTTTTTTTCCTACAGTGATCAGGAATTACTTTTATAATCAGGAACTTGCTTAAAAATCTAAATATGTCTGTCGTTTGTCCAGGTTTATGTTTCCACGAGGAAGCGATAGCCTGGTGACCTTTGACGTCATCCCCACACGACCCTCCAGACTTTTGCCACCGTGGAATCCTGCTTTCCAAGCGCTATTTCCCTTAGAACCTTCTGACACTTGAGTTCCCTAGTGCAGCCCCGGAGGCCTCATCCTAACTGCGAAGCTGCCTCTTTAGGGGGCCACCAGGAGAGTGGCTTCCACAGGGGAGCAACACGGGTGCTTTTAAAAGAGCCAAACAGACCCACCTGCCTTCCCCCTGCTGGGACCTGGGCACATCAGGTGCAAATATGGCCCTCTGTGAGTTGTGGAACCCCGGGGCACCGTCACCACCTCCCTCCCCACCTCCCTTCCCAGGCTCCACCAGGCAGGTGCTTTATCTCTTGCTTCCTGGGAGAGGCTCTGATCAATTACTTCACCCAAACACCTACCCTCCAAGAGTCTTCATTTTTAACAGAGAGTTGACAAACTTAGCCCAGGGAAGGACTCTCCAAAGGCAACATGTCCTGCATGTGACTTCTGAATCCGGAAGACATTTGGGGAACCGAATCAGGATGCAAATCAAATCATGTTAACAGCCACAGCGTTCTCCTGTCAGCAAAGCCCACCACGATCCATGGATGGGAGAACTGAGAAGAGCCCCTCTAAGCATTAGAAAACTAAAACTAGAAGAAAAGTCAGGCAGGTCCAGCCAGATACCCTATTCTAACTAGAAATAAAATCTGCAAATTCAGGCGAGAACCCCTGTGAGTGCCCAATCCCCAACACGCACTCAACACTTCTGAAAGTTGAGATAAGGAAAGAAAGCTACCTCTTTTTTATTTATTTTGTGTGTGTGTGTGTGTGTGTGTGTGTGTGTGTGTGTGTAATTGCAACTGTCACTGTTTTAAAAACACTGCCAGGTAACAGGCTAGCATCTTAAATGTTTTCCCCTGCCATGTGCTCCCTCTGGCCTTCTTTCTCCCATATAATACACAGAGACTTGGTGTAGAGTGGTAGGGAAGGCCTTTATTGGTCCCCATATTCTCCACCTTTAAGGAGGAAGGATGGGAGTCATGAGATAGTTTGGGAGTTAATAGTAAATGCTGGAATACAGACTACTAGAGACACCTCTCTTCCAGTAAAACCATGTGACTTAACCATTCTGAGCCTTCATTTCCTCCTCTGTAAAAGAGGGAAAATTACACAAGATATCCAAATCCTTTATTACTCTAAGACTATATTGTTCTGTGGGCTTATATCCCATTTCTTTTCTTTCTAAAATCTGTGGATGATTTTCCAATTTGTAATAATATTGCCACACCCTAACACTCTTACTGAAATTGTGCTTATTTCCAGTTTGGCCAGTTCAGCACCTAATATGATGCTTGTTTCTTCCGAGTTAGTTTTGTCTTTCCAATAAATTCCTTGAGAGAAGTTGCAGGGGAGAGCATGCCTCATTCTTCCTGAAAACATTGCTGAGCACGTAAGACATACTCAGGAAATGGGAATACTAGCTGGGCTGAGTGGATGTCTTGCCATCACAGCATGGGCGAAAACTAAGCTCTGTAAACAGGCAAACCCAGGTGGATCCTGCCCTTAGTTTCCTCATCTGTAAATGGAGATGATCATACTCTCATTGTTGCTTACTGAGTTTTAAATGAGATTATACACAAGGTGTCTATTACAATGCCTGGTACAGAACAAGGACTCAGTAATATCAGTTCTTATCCTTTATCATTATTACAATAATATCTGCTCTCTCCTGGAAGTACAGAATTTAAAACCTTGATCCCCACAATGAGGAAAACAGTTGGTCTCAAACATGCCTCTGACAGTTTGGGCATCTCCAGGGGGCATCTCACACGAACTCCCTTTTGGTGCAGGTTTTGACCTCAGAGCTGTAGCTCAGGCTCCAGCTTGAGAACAGCTTGGCTCGTTGCCTTGAAACTTATTGGCACAATAAGAGATAATGATTTCCCTGGACACACTCCCTCAGAGCAGTTATTGTTGAAGTATTTCCCTTATTCCTCCTTTACCGGAAAACAATCCCTTATAGAAATCAGCTGAGGAAGACACTAATAGCAACTTCAAACACATGGCTTTCTCGCTGCCCTGACTTGGCAAGGAAGCCTGTTTGGAGCAGTTTGCTTCAGACCCAGGAACAGAATGTGACAAAATAAGTCCCTGTGGACTGATGTGGGCACCGAACAGTTGGCAGCTTTGGGGCCAGCAGGGCCAGTGATAAGAGATTGGTTCCCTCATTTGATGTCCCATTTGGACCCTGTTTGCCAGCCCCAGAAGGTCAGAAGCCACACTACAAAAATAAGAGGGTTTTTTTCCTCTCTTTTTCACCCACCCTCCATGGCTTCCATGATATTTCTTCTCCATCCCTTGGGAAATTTGTGTCTTTGTGAGATCTGTCCTCTGCCCTTCTTTTGTGAATATACCAAGACAAAGATCCATTTAATTTTCAGAAACTATGTCTGTCAATAAATTGCCTTTGCTCTGTCTCAGAAGGGGCGCTGCCACCGTCCTCCCTGAGCAGACATTCCTTATGTACAGGAAGCGTTTCTCATTATCTTCTTGACCTCTTGTGCAATCTTCTTTTCAAGCTCTCCTTGGGCTTTTCTTATCATGGTTTGCACTCCCTCAACCTCATTCTGTAATCGGCGGCATCCTTCTCAGCACCTGGCGTTGTCTCCCTTGCACATGTCCTCTGGCGTAACCTTGGTCGTTTCCCCTCCTTACCCACCAGAGCCTCTGAAATTGGGAGTGTCGTCCTTGCTCTCACCAAACCCAGCACTTCAGCTATTTTGCTTCCAGCTCCTCCAACCTTGCCTTCTAAAGGCCAGGCTGGGGAAATTGCCTTTCCATGAGTGTTTATTCATTGAGCACCTACTATGTGCCAAATATGGTTCTAGAAGAACAAGACAGACATGGTCCCTGCCCTCATGGGGTTACAATTAATACAAAAGAGACATGTAAACAGATAGTGCATAATGGTGAGCCCAAAGAGCCCAGATCAGTACAATCACCTCACAGGGGCTCAGTGGGGTCGTTTAAGTCTTTGAGGGCCACTCAGCAATAGTGTACATTTTGACATTAAATCACAGAACATTCTGTTCAACAATGTTACATCCACAAAGCTGAATTTTCAGCAGTTGCTAGGATAAAAAGAAGCACTGTGTGAAAGTCAGTGCAGTGTCCTGATTCCAAAACTTGAGAAAGTGTGCAGTGCCCAATAGCTCTGTCCATTCCATGAGTAAGAAACTGTGACTTTTTAAGAATGAATTTTTAGAACTCTATTTCCGTCCATTTTGTAAGAGTTGTTTTTCAAATGGCTACTAAGTGATGAGGGGATAAATACCGAGTATATTGTTCAGCCCTAACTGCATAATCAGAGTAACTTTCAGGATTTCTTTTGGCCTCGAAGTGCAATTAAAAAAACTACCAAGAAGCTAAGGGCACCATGACAGAGAAAGTTTGAGAACTTCTGATCAAAGCAAAGACCTGAAGGATGAGAAGGATTTGTTAATTGGGCCTAGAGGAAGGGAAAGAATGTTCCAGACCAAGCAACAGGATAGCCAAAAACAAGATATGAGAGAACAGGATGAGTTGGAGAACTAGAAACTGTCCAAAAGGTGCTAGTTCCCCAATGCAAGCCACCCTTCCCATCTCCTACTGCCCCCACCCTCACCCACTGACTCACACACTTGCCCACCCTTCCCCAGACCCACAGTCCTGCCCCACTATCTCTCTTCCTTTTCCCAGGTCTCCAATGGCTGGGATCAGGCCTGAGCACAGAACATCAAGATCTAAGGATTTGGTGAGTCTACAGGAATGGAGCCAGGCAGATGGTCGCCCCAGGGCTGCAGGGTAGCAGGCGAGAGTCAGGGTGTCGGCAGCCCACATGGCAGGTCTGGCAGCCTTGCAGGTCTGGCAACAGAGAGATACTGGATTTCAGGGACAGGACTCCAGTCCCTGGAAGGAACTGAGGCTCTGAGCAGGAAACCAAGCAGGGACACAATTCCCAGAAATGGGGCACAGGGCGGGGGTTCAATGACACAGAACAAGTCAGGAGCCCAGTTACAAGAACAGGCACCAAACCACAAGGGACTTGCTGAGAGGGTGCAGTTTATTGATAACAGGGGAAAATCAGAAACAACTTGAATGTCCACAAATAGGGGATTAATACGTGATGGCAAAACTGCACTGAGGAATACTGTGCAGCATGAAAAACCCATGTTCTGTAAGCCCATGTGATAGTATGGGAAAGTTTCTTGAATCACGTGCACTAAGCTGGAACAGCAAGTTGCAACCTAATTTGTAAAATGAAATTCCTGTTTGGTGTAGATAGTTAGAAATGGCAGACAAGGAAGAAAAAATTGATAAATGCCTGGAAGGATATATAACCAAATATTATCGCACTGGGCAGAGTCTAGCTGATTGTCATTTTTCTTTTTTCTACTTTTCTGTATTTTCTAAAGTTAAAAAAGAACAGTATTGCCTTGATTTCCTTAATGAAAAGAAGCAAAAATAAAAGCCACTTATAGTAATAACCTTTCCCAGTACAGACCAAAGTCATAGGAGAAATTGATCTCCCCAATTAGTTTGGTTCTCTCTACAAACATGGAAAGTCAACAATTATGGGTGGAGTGGGGAAACAGAAAAAATTTTTTTTTCTTTTTTCTCTTTTTTTTGTTTTTCTTTTTTTGAGACAGAGTCTCCCTCTGTCGCCCGGGCTGGAGTACAGTGGGGCAATCTCAGTTCACTGCAACCTGCGCCTCCTGGGTTCAAGCGATTCTCCTGCCTTAGCCTCCCAAGTAGCTGAGATTACAGGCATGCACCATGATGCCCGGCTAATTTTTGTATTTTTTAGTACAGACAGGGTTTCTCCAGTTGGCCAGGCTGGTCTCGAACTCCTGACCTCAAGTGATCCACCTGCCTCAGACTCCCAAAGTGAGAGGATTACAGGCGTGAGCTACTACACCTGGCCAGAAAAAAAAAAATTCTCAAAAAAAATCAATCATTCGAAGATAGGAGATGAAGCCGCTTGGATGTTAGGTATAACATCAAGGCCAGCTTGGAATTAGGAAGGATAAAAAATAAAAGACCAGCAACCTGACTTCACCTCTGCTGCCACCCCTTCTCATGGTTCCTGGTCCTAACTTCTGCCCATGGCCAGGTGTTTACCCTCTCCCCAGGAGCAGTAACTGCTCAAAGTACCTCTGAAGCTTTGGGTGTCTGATGAGGGTTACCCAGGAGGTGAGGTCACATGGTGCAGTTGCAGTAGCAGCATCAGGACAGCAACCTCTGAACTAGTGACAGAGCACAGGGTCTGGGGCCAGCAGCCCTGCTCTGAACCCTGACTCTGTCTTCAGCCAGCTGTGTGGCTTTGGACAAGCTATGTCTGAGATTTCTTCATTTACAAAGTAGGAAAAAATAATAATATCTGCCCTACTGGGTTTGTGTGAGGTAAATCTGCCTGCTGTGCTTTGTAAGCTATAGCATGTGTAAGTTAATGTTATTATCGGATAGTTGGAGGTTCCACTAACACAACAGGACACAGTTCTGGAGAGTGTCAGAGATCTCTCAGACTCCACAAACCACATCATCTTTACTCACTGCAGTTAAGCCTCTGTATTTGCAAGAACTCTCATACCAACAGACCATGTGGCTCTGATCTCCATGGGGAAAATATAAAGGGTACCTCTTGCTCTCTCCATTAGGAAAATTCTATGAAATAAAGCCCCCAAACTCTAAGGCTGCGAGGGAGCTAGAGAAAACTAATGAGAAAAGTCCTTTGCAATTTTTGCTTGGCATCTACTACCTCTGGCTAAGAAATGGGTATATCTTTGCTTCCCAAAGACCTTAACTTTGATCTGAGCCTCAGGTCATGACCTGGGAAATAGAAAACCCCAGAAAATTGAAACATCAACTCTAAGAAAACCTCTTCTCTTGGGGATCCTGAAGAGCCCCAAAGAAGACTATAAAATGTTATTCTTTCATTGAATTTAGAGATTTTTATGTTAGAAACACCAGGCCGGGCGCAATGGCTCACGCCTGTAATCCCAGCACTTTGGGAGGCCGAGGCAGGCAGAACGCCTCAGCTCAGAAGTTTGAAACCAGCCTGGGCAATGTGGCAAAACCCCCTCTCTACTAAAAAAGAGAAACTAGCTGGGTGCAGTGGCAGGTGCCTGTAATCCCAGCTACTCGGGAGGCTGAGACAGGAGAATCACTTGAACCCAGGAGGCAGAGGTTGCAGTGAGCCAGCCTGGGTGACAGAGCGAGACTCTGGAAAAAAAAAAAAGAAAAAAAAAGAGAGAGAGAAAGAGAGGAAGGAAGGAAGGAAGAAGGAATGGAGGGAGGGAGGGAGGGAGGGAAAAAGAAAGAAAGAAAGAAAGAAAGAAAGAAAGAAAGAAAGAAAGAAAGAAAGAAAGAAAGAAAGAAAGAGAAAGAAAGAAAGAAAGAAAGAAAGAAAGAAAGAAAGAAAGAGAAAGAAAGAAAGAAAGAAAGAGAAAGAAAGAAAGAAAGAAAGAGAAAGAGAAAGAAAGAAAGAAAAGAAAAGAAAAGAAAAGAAAGAAAGAGAGAGAGGAAGGAAGGGAGGGAGGGAGGGGAAAAGAGAAAAGAAAAGAAGGAAGGAAGGGAGGGAGGGAGGGAAGGGAAGGGAAAGAGGGAAGGAAGGAAAAAAGGAAGGAAGAAAAGAAATGAAGGAAAAAAAGAATAATAAAGACTGGAAGTTTTATTTGGAGGAATGAGAATTTTTCTCCAGCCTCTTAGAAACTCAATATAGCATTAAATGGAGATGACCATTTAAACAACCAAAGAATCATAGAGAGAGGACAGAATCCATTGTGGAGGCATGAAGTTCTGAGAATCTTCAGACACCATTAAGTTTGTCATCTAAGGAGCTTCATCCTCAGGAAGCCACGTGAGGCACTGAATGAAGCTGTCACTGACCCAACAGGCCAGCCAACAGACCCACAGCCTCCATCCTGTGCTCCCAGCACAGAATCTAGTCCTGACCTTCCAACTCCAGGCCAAGTGTCGGAGCAGCATGGTCCATAAGTATATAAATATATATTTTCTATAGTTTAATATATAAATATATATTTACATATAGTAAACATATATATATTTATGAATATATAAATATATGCAATATATAATATATACAAATATAAATATATAATATATTTAAATATGTTTATAAATTTATATATATTTACATATGTTTTATAAATACATAAATGTATAATAGGAGTAAATATATATTATTCTTAATAAGAAATATATATATATTTACTCTTTAAGACACATGAACTATATATATTCACACCCACACACAAACATTTAAATCAAATACAGGTAAATATGAACCACTGCCTCAAATTTAATTCATTTTGATTGAATCAGATCTTTGTTTTGGAAAGAGAAAATCAACCTGTTTTATCAAATTTTTTCACCTGCTTCTGAAAACCCTGAATCTGGCACCATGCCAGGGTGGCAGGAATGAGGATCATTTATTTGTTCTTGCCTAGTAACTTCTTTCCATCTTGCAAAGCATGGCTTCACCCAGAGTGCTTCACAGGCAAGCCCCACTGTCTCATCCTCCTTCCCAGCCTGGGATGCCACAAATCTTTCTCAGGCTTCTCACAAAGTCAGCCAATACTTAGGGGCCTTTTGTGCCCTACCACTTATTTATTTGTTCATTCACATAACAAATACCACTGAGTGGCTAGTGTGAACCAACTATTACATTTGAGACTATTGCATCAAGGAAAGTAATCTTCTCAAAAACATGCACCCTATGGTTGTTTATTTTTAAAGTATGAGAAATTCAAGTCAAAGTTCTGGTGAATCTCTTGCTAGTGGGGAGAAGTGGAGCTGGTGGGGAGTTAGAAATGATTCCCAGTAATCTTAAGGTGGGGATAGACAGGAGAGAGCTCCAGCTTTGCTCCCTCCCTAAACAGACACCTATCTTGTCACCATGGGCTTTGTAGAGAAGAAAGAAAAGGCTAAGGGAAGGCCTGAGGGTTTCAGGGAAATGGGCTCAGGGAAGGAGTTCAAGTGCATCTATCTCTGATTCCCCCTATAGGCCCGATTAGAAAAACAAGTTATGTTCCCAGAATGGAATTACCAAAATGACAATATCTCATGCCTCTCTGTTCATTTAAAAAGTGATTTTGATGAAGGCAAAAGGGTAGAGAGGGGACTCCTCCAAGCTCTGTGGTGTGTGGACTGTTTTGAACTTTCTGTCTATTAAGAGGGAGCTTCTGAGATGAGGCCTGGGAATCTGTATTCGTCCGTTTTCAGATTGCTATAAAGACATAGCTGAGACTGGGTAACTTATAAAGAAGAGTTTTAATTGACTCACAGTTCCACATGGCTGGGGAGGCCTCAGGAAACTTACACTCATGGTGGAAGGCAAAGGGGAAGCAAAAACCTTCACATGGCAGCAAGAGAGGGAAGCGCGAGCCAAGAAAAATGCCAGACGCTTATAAAACCATCAGATCTAATGAGAACTCACTCACTATCATGAGAATAGCAAGAGGGAAACCAACCCCATGATCCAGTCACCTCCCTCCCTCTACACATGGGGATTACAGGTCCCTCCCTGGACATGTGGGGATTACAATTCGAGGTGAGATTTGATTGGGGACACAGAGCCAAACCATGTCCGCATGCTTCACCCCATAGCTGGGATCCTGAGCACCTGAGCCAGGTCAGGGCTTCCCAGACCTCTCTGTGAAGAGGAGACAATGAGGGAAGAGGAGGCAGGTCATTCTGATCCATTTCATAAGTCACAGCCACTTTCTTCACCATGCCCTTCGAATCCACATTTGAATCAAGAAACGCCACAATTGGTACAAGCGACAGATTTGAGGGCAAAAAAGTAATAATGCAAAACCGCCAGCTAGAACAGATTTTCCCGTGATTGAAGATGGCAATAATAAGACAAAAGACAGATTTTTGCCTTCAAGAAACTATCTCTTCATTGCAGCCAAAGCAACACAAAATTCAAGGCAAACATTCCATTATTTTCCCCCCACTGTTTGGAAATATGGAAAAAGAAAATCTTGCCATGAATGTTTTTCCCCCCCTCGTTCTACCAGAAGTGACACTCTTTTTTTTTTTTTCTCCAGTGTTAGCAAATGACTGGGTATGATTCTTCTGGTGCTTGGAACAGAGGACAGACCCAGCAAAGAAAAGAGCCTGGATGGGAGACAGCCTGCAGGAAATTGTGAAGCTGCTAAGAAAACAGAGACCCCCTCAACAGGCTGTCTTTACAACATTAGTCTTTTTGAATATTATGAAAATATTATCTGCCTTATTGATCACCAGCTCCCTAAATAGAATAGAGCTGTTTATAACAAATGCAACCAGCAATTGTAAACGTCCAAAAACAAGAACACACAACACTCATCTTCTAGCTTCATACCCACTGATAAATACCACACAGGGAAAATGAAACACTATACATTTTGATTGCGTGAAATTTGGGAAATCACAATAATCTAAGACGTCACTAGATTCTAAATGTAAGACGTAGTCTTACATTTTTACATTTTATGCCAGATATCTGTTTTGGCATGAAATGTAAATGTCTGTATAAAATAATGCAGTTTTTTTGGTTTTGTTTTGTTTTGTTTTGTTTGAGACATAGTCTCTGTCGCCCGGCTGGAGTCCAGTGGCACAATCTCGGCTCACCTCAACCTCCGCTTCCCAGGTTCAAGCGATTCTTCTGCCTCAGTCTCCAGAGTAGTTGGGATTACAGGCATGTGCCACCATCATGCCTGGCTAATTTTTGTATTTTTAGTAGAGACGGGGTTTCATCATGTTGGCCAGGCTAGTCTTGAACTCCTGACCTCAAGTGATCTGCCTGCCTCGGCCTCCCAAAGTGCTGAGATTACAGGTGTGAGCCACCACACCCGGCCTAAAATAATGTATTTTATACATTAAAATACTGAGTCCCCAGATTCATATTTTTCCGGGAGAGTTTCTGATTTTGTCCTCATTTTTTTTTATTTACCTAAAAAGCAGATTGTGGGATTCTGAAGATCATTCAGTCCAATGGACCCATTGTATAGACAGGAAAACTGAGGCCCCAAAGAGAGGAAGTAACTTTTCCCAGGTCACATAGATAAGCAGAGCTGGGATTGGAACTCAGATATAACTCTAGATTGTTTAACATCCTGGATAGATGAGTTAAAAACAGGTTCAATTTTTGGATGGGCTGAGCGACTTTGCACAGAAAGAAATTCTATTTGTACATGCAAGGTTGTGTACTCTTTTAACTAGCTAGTGATTTCCTACTTATGTGCTGTTGGAGAGTGTGACTTCTTCAACAGCTTCTCTTACCACTTCTAGAAAATACAAAAGAGGAGTCATGGCAATATCTGCAGCTCTGAAGGACAAAGATATGCTTTCTCACATGGTTATTCTCCTGGGGCTGGTGAGATTGTGTTTCTACAAGTTGTGGGGCTTTTTCCTTTTATGTATTTACATTACTTGCAATGGCAAAACCCACAATTACTTTTGCGTCAACCTAATACCTCGAGACAAGTCATCACTCTGTTTTGTTTTTTGTTTCTTTTTTTCAAACAACCCTGAGATTGAAAGGAGACTTCTCCAGGAGCCGCTCACTCTGAGTCAGGCAAGTGCCTCTTTAAACACTCTACCCTGGGTACCACATTTGCCTGACCCTAGTCCTGCTCTGCCCTTGACTTTTTACATTGCTTATTTACTACATTGTTCTATGAGTATCTTTCCTAACAACAACAAAATAAGTGGGTCCTTCATTCAGAGCAGCTCTGGGTTTCTTGGTATTCTGCAAGGCCAGGTGACACAGACCCGTGGACTCCTAAAGCGTTTAGAAGCCAGAGCCGCCTCTGTCACTGAGAAGTGGACCTAAATTGCCACTGAGGCTCTGAGTGACTTAGTCATGAAGCCTCTCTGATCTTCGGTTTCCCCTTCCTTTCCCAAGGAATATCTGCCATGGATCGTCCTGCTGAACCTAAGCATGGAGATTTATTCCTCTCTTGTCAAATCCACCCTTCCCTGTTTCTAGGATGTTCTTCCCAGGTCCTCTTGCCTGGCTACACTCTGTTTCCTTCTTCACATCACCTTCTCTGTATTCCCTGAAAGAGTCTCGCTCTGGGATGTAGCCCATGGCCCCACTTCACTCACTCCTAGACTGGCGGACATGGCCCAAACCCATGACCCTGCGCTCGCCTCGCCCCTGCACACCAACCTGCATTTCTCCATGGTTGTGCAAGGATATCCCTTAAACATGCAAATATCAGCTTAACATTTTCTTAACCAGAATAAAGTATAGGTGGATATGTACCTGTTTTCTAAATATATGAATGGGAAAGAACCCTTTAAACCTAAAAGCAATGAAAGAAACCACAAAGGAACAACAGATCTAATTATAAAAATTTGAACATCCACATAGTAAGGAAAAAAATAACCAACATACTTCCATTCTCTTGTTCGGGTATGTATGCCATCCTCCTTGGCGCACAGTCTAGCCTCAGAATCAGTCGCTTGGTTTTGAACTGTCTATGCTGACAGTGGCTTTGGCTGCCCTTCGAGAAATGTCTCTGTCCAGCCACAGTCACAGTGACTCCGTCCACATGGCCACCCTGGCTCACAGAGGTAGGGTACAAACAGACTCTGAATACGTAAAGCAATTAATAATTCTCTGTTGTTTTACTCGATATGTATCTCAGTATTTGACTTCACAAGGGCAAAAAATGTATTTCTACTCTTGGCATAGTGCTGGATTTGAGAAGTAAATAATGAACAGAGCCAAGAAAATGAAAGTTATAAAGCCAAATGAGAGGAAAATAATGTAAGTATTAGGATTCTTCAAAAGTAAAGTTTTATGACCAGCTGTCAGTTATCAGTGCTAAGAAACAGCCAAAATAATTGAAAAGATCAAACCAGGAGTGGTGGGCTCAAACCAGGAGCCCACTTACTGCGCAGCAGGGTTCTCTCACCCAAGGGGGCCCTTCCTGACAAAGTGGACACATGTTGATAGTGAAAAGCTGACCCTTCATTCCATCAAAGTCAAATCCATGTAAAACCAGTGCTTTTGGTGGCTGGTCTTACTGTCTTCTATTGTGCTGCCTTGTCTTCTTCAACTGGACCTCATTTACTTGGCTGGTGGAGAAAACCCTTTATAATAGAGGGAGGACAACCACCTTTTACTGGATTACTGGAAGAAAGGAGTTGAAGGAGACAGGGAACCAGGAGGCAGCAAAGCCACTCGCGTTGACTCCTATCAGCTCATGGCATAGCCCCAAGGTATCACTCCAGAGCATGACCAAAGAGGGACAGAAAATTCTTTATCCCTAAGCCCTTCATCCCATCTTCATAGCCTGTCTTAATGGGCAAGTCTTTTCGGTTTACTTTGTGATACTGCCTTCCTCCTCTAATCAAGTGATCCTTTGTCACTTCCTGTCATTTTCATAACTCAGGCAATCTTAAGCTACCTGCCATTTAAAACTAATTTACATTCTACAATTATTTTTCCATGTCTTTTTCTCTCTTCACTTCTACTTTTTGTTCTGGTATTTAAAAACTAAATAAAACAAAACACAACAGCAAAAAAAAAATCCCCAATATAACAAAATTCTTGGGAACTGGGCATTCTGCCACGTTTAGTGATTCTTCAGGGATCACTAAAATGTGGGAGCCCCACTAGGCTAAGGCTCACATAGTTTCAGACATTGTTAAGTTAAAACCTATGAAATTATCATTTTGGTAGATCAAAATTAGCTGAATTTTGAGAATGCCACACAGTTCAATGTCAAATTATAAGCACTCTGTTGAACACTAGCTTCACTATGATTCCCCTGGTAAAGGCATCCTGCAAAAAGTTAGCAGAGCTGCTGCCATGATGTCCTAAACAAGGCACGAATTGCTGGGCTGGTCCAGCAAAACCACTGTCTTCCAAAAGCAGCTGAGGAGACCTGGAGGGGAACTGATGGTTTGCGTCCCAGCCATCCGTGGTCAGGAAGGGGACACCTGTGTGCCTGTCTGCTTCTTTCTCCTGCCTGCCCTTTGCAAAGGAAACGTGGTTGGAATGTCCTCTCACCACAACAATGAGAAGAAATGGACAAGAGGCTGTTTCATCACCTTTTCCTCTGCCCTGATGCTCTGGTAGGGACTGGAGAGCAAGTATCCACTATGTTTGGGAGGCTACAAGAGGAAATCACTGTCATTAACCCAACATGGGTCATTCATTCTGAGGTATAATGGTTGGAGGTGGAAATTTCAGCTGGAAAGGAAAAGAAGTTATTTGACCCATGAGCCTGTGTCTGGGTCTGTGAGGCCACATGTATACATTGGTGTCATTGTGAATAATACAGATAATGGTGGCGTTTACCTTGAAAGTCAACACAAAGAAGAGGAAGAGTCTGGAACTAGTGTTTGTGGGTGTCATTGCAGTCCCCGAGTGGTGTCCAGTTTTATTTTAATAAACAGGAAATTTTTCTTTTCACAGCTTAAGATGGGAAATAAAGAAGTATTGTTCTGGAACGGCACTCTTCCTCCTCCTATTTGATGTTTCTGATGTATGCCTCCACCCACCTCTCTCCCAACCCCCAGTGCCACGAAGGCCAAGATTTTTTTCAACAAAATCTAGCCCCAGGCCACTTTTCCAAGCAGGATGGGCTTCACTTTGACATCCTCTCCACCCTCCACTCACTTCCTGTGCTGGCACTGTCTCTGTCTCCCAGTGTCTTGTCCCTGGCTCTGCCTGGCCCTCCCAACTAGGAATAGAGCACCCAGTTCAGTCTACCACAGCAGACTCCATGCCCTAATGGGTCTGCATCTTGTTTTGAAGATTACATGTGTAGATACGTAGAGGACTTAGAACAGCATTCAGCATATGGTAAGTACTATATAAATGTTAACCAACAGTATTATAGGAGGTGATTAATTAATGGATTTTGTTATTATTATGAAGATTGAGGTGGTACAAATAATCACTACTTGAGGGCCTTGATTAAAAGTCAGTTTCAAATTGTCAGAGGAGAAATTATAGGAGCCCCTCACCTTGGCTCTCTAAAAATAAAATGGGAGCCACATACATAATGTTAAATTTTCTCATACTGTAATCATATTTTTTAAAGTAAAAGGGTAAAACTTATTTAATAATGTATCTTATTTTACCCCTCTATCCAAAACATTATCATTTCAACATGTAATCAATATAAAATTTTAAATGGCATATTTTACCCCTTTTTGCGCTAAATCTTTGAAATCTGATGTCTTTTACAGACATAGCATATCTCTGTTTGTATGCTAATTTTTCAATGGCTAAAGTCAAATGTAATCCTACTGAAATGGTGAAGCTTTGTTTAATGGAAGAAATAGTACCCATTGCTTCCATTTTTAGGCTGGGCATGGTGGCTCACACCTGTAGTCCCAACACTTTGGGAGGCTGAGGTAGGTGGATTGCTTGAGGCCAGTAGTTCAAGACCAGCCTGGCCAACTTGGCAAAAGCCATCTTTACTAAAGATACAAAAATTAGCCTGGAGTGGTGGTGCACGCCTGTAATCCCAGATACTTGGTAGGCTGAGGCACAAGCATCGCTGGAACCCAGGAGGCAGAGGTTGCAGTGAGCCAAGATCTCACCACTGCACTCCAGCCTGGGCAACAGAGCAGGGCTCTGTCTCAAAAAAAAGAAAATTAAATTTAAATTAACTGTAAAATTCAGTTCCTCAGTCACACTGACTGAGTGCCCAATAGCCCAATAGCCATTGTATCGGGGCATGCAGGTCTCAGCTGCCTACTGACTTCCTCCACTCGCCACATGCCTCCCACCCCACCTACAACAAACTCTCCTCCTCTCCTTCCTACCACAGACCTTCGCTCGTATCTTTCCCTTTACCACGAATGCCTTCCCCTCCTCTTTCAGGTCCCTTCCATTGCTTCCTTTAACTCCAAATTCACCTCCTCCCTAAAGCCCTTCCTGACAGTTCACTGTTTAGGACCTATCATTGCCTCCAACCTTGTGTGCCCAGGGCTCTGTTGTGTGCAATCTGAACTACTTTTATGTGTATTTGCTAAGTGTGGGTGTATGTGTGTGTTGCTTGATTAGTAACCCCTTCCAGGGGAATATCCTTGACTTTATGAGCCATTTTCCCCTGGCCTGGACTATTGCAGTAGCCTCCTAATTGGTCTCCCTGCTTCCACTCCTGGCCACTTTGAAAATCCACCCTCAACACAGCAAGCAGCCAGTGACCTTATTTAAAATACAAATCAGATCATCTATCTCCCCATCTAAAATCCTAAAAACCTACTGTTGTTTTTTTTTTTTCATTGAAATTCAAATTTCTCAGCCTGGCCTGTAAAGCTCTCCTGAGTGGGCCCTGCCTGCCTCTCTGACTCTGTCACCTTCCACCTCGCTGTGCCCCACCACACCAGTCTTTCTTCTGCTGTTTGAGCATCTCGAGTCCCTGCCCACCTCAACACCAGTGCCATTGCTGAACACTGTTTGTAATGCTCAGCCCCACCCTGGATCCTTGCTTGGTTGGTTTCTTCTTATCATATGTGAGGCCTCCTTGATTTCCATTAGCATCCACTCCCACTCCTAACCCCTGGCTTGCACTCTGTCACAGCTCCTTGTTTCTTTTCTTCATCTGTTATTACAACTTTGTTGATCTTTTGTTTATCTTTTCTTACAGCCGTTTGAAATTATCTTGTTCATTAATCGATTGGCTTGTCAATGTCTGCTTCCCACTAGAATATAAGCACAAAGCTTGCCCCTCTTGTCCACTACTGTATCTCAGGACCTAAAGGCCTAGCACAACAGAAACTCTTAATTAATATTTAAAATCCATTAATTAATATAAAATCCCATGTAACTCTCATGGTTGGTAAACCCAAAACATTAAGTGGGCATTAAATTAATATCACAATTCACAAAATAGCTAAAAAAGTGGTTACAAATTTAAGTCTCTACAGAGATTCCACAAGTGGTACATGAATAAGGTACAACGGAGAAGGGTGGGTCCTGTGGCCAACTGGAGAGCACCTGCTACCCCTAGAAAGGGCAAAAGTACTCAGCTCCAGTCATTGTTGCCTCACAAGACTACAGGCCAGTGTCATCTGAACCCCTGATTTTTCAAGAAAAGCTAGATATTCAAACATTTTAATAAAATTTTTAAATTATTAAAACTGTACAGACAAAATAAGACTGCTGGATATATTTATCCTACCAGTTTTCAACTCTGATTTTTAATGCTTTCCATTTAATTTTTATTTCTTCCTCAATTTCTATTAAATCTTTGACAAAAAAAGCAGCTAAAACTCATCATTTTCTCTTTTTTCTTTTTCACATTCCTCTTTGATCATTTCCTTCCACCCAGTAACTCAAAGCCATTAGGGTTTTTGAATACCAAATCCAACAACTTATTTCAATCTTCATTGTCTTTGATTATTTCATACCATGGGAATCAGTTGTGCAGTACTGCCCAGCTTCCCCCTCAGGAATGAAGGTCTTTACCTCCCCAGGCTATTGGCAATATTTCCTGCAGACAAACCTTAGCTCTTAACCCCCTTTGGAAATTGTCTAAGCTGAAGACACCTTGGAAAGCCACCTGTCCCAAGGTCATGCTCCCTTCCTGGGGCAGACACATCCCAAGATGTGACTAACTGATTGACACAGGTAAGAAGCCTTAACACCTCTTGTCCCAACTCAGGAAAGGTGTGAAGGGGCACTGGCTTTGGAGTTCCCCACAGGTTCCACTGAAGCCTCAGTTGTAATTCTAGAACAGTCCAACTTCTCCCTCTCCCTAGACCTGTTTCATTAACCTCCCTTACTGGGTATTGCTCCCAAAAGCACCCCCCTAATAAACTTCCTCTTTATAATCTCCATCTCAGAATCTGCTACCCAGGGGCCCCAGTGTGACTGTAAGTTTAAGAAGTGAGAAGTTGGAGCCAGATCTACCATCATCAGGCTGGCAACAGGGACTCCATCCCTGGTGAGGGGGCAAAGCACAGACCGCCCCTGGCACAAGGCTGCAGTGCCATTGTTACAACCCTCCACTTGGTGAAGTGGGATAATGTGCTGCTGGAGGGGCATGCACTAGCTGGGGTAGGGTATCAGGTAACCGAGAAACATGGTGGGAAACAGAAGGAGAATGGAATTTAGTGGCTGTTGGGAATTTCAGTGGAGGCTTTGAAAAAAGATAACAAAAGATAGAGTGTGAGTAAACTTCGGGGGTTTTGTGTGCAAAGATAAGCAATCAAGAAGAGAAGTCACCATCTTGGCATGGGGAATTGACCCTGGCCTTCAGGAGGTAGTAAGGCTGCTGTTGCAGAGTAGGGGCAGAGAAGAATATGCTCAGCACACAGGTGATGTGCTTGGGCATCTCTCGGTTCTTTCTCACCCAGTTTCCACAGTAAATGGACCAGTGCAGCAGACCTCACCTGAGAAAGGCATCGTGCCCGGTGGCCCAGACCTCAGGGATGAGGGTTTGGTCATGGCATCGGGTAAGCCAGCAAGACTAGCAGAAGTGCCAGCTCATGGGGAAGGGATGCAGGGGAGAGGAGAAGCATCAGTTATGGTCCCGAGACTAGCTGCGGTGGTGGGGGCTGCAGTTTATCCCACTAACTTTCCTCTTCCAAGTTTTGCTCAGGAAGAGAAGCTCTTTGGATCCTGAAGGATACTGCCAGGAGATATATAAAGAAGTGGCTCTGAAGACAGAAGGAGTAGACTGTGTGGACACTGTAATGGACTGCCCAGATTCCACTTTAGGAATGAAGGACTCGCCGCCACCACCACCCGGCTGCCGGAGCACTGCCAACAGGCAGTCCTAGGATGTTAGTCCTCTCTGGAAATGGCCTCCGCTGATGAGAGTGACCTCACCCATGGTCATGACCTCCTTTCTAGAGCAGCTCACTTTGAATGACTGATCAGCGTGGGAATATAAATGCTCAGTCCCTTCACCCCAACTCAGGACATCTCAGAAGGCTCATCCCAGCTTCTGAGCTCCCACATGTCCTCTGAGGCCTCAGCTGAGATTGCCTCGCAGCTTACTGTCTCCCTCAGCCAAAACCACTTCTGTCCCGTCTCTTCTACTGGTGGTGATCCCAAAAATCTCTCCATTTTGAGATCTGCTTCCCAGAAAATTCAACCTTCAACACGCTGACCTTTCCTTCTTGAAATTCCCCTGCCCCTTAATTTTCAGACGCTGAATTTCTTCAGTCTCTCTGATGGCTTCCACCTTCATCCAGGACCTCCTTCTCTTCCTCCCACTCCTCAAGAGTAAATGTGGCCTACTTTTAGTCACCTTTCCTTGGAAGAGAGGATTTCTGACAACAGGATGCTACCTGCTAGCAGAAGATTTAACCCCCACCTGCATAAACAGATTGCTCTTCTATATTTTACATTCCCTAGACGTAAAGCACCAATTTTTCTTTTCTATCCCCAGGAAATACAATATTGGTTAACATAAGTAATATGTATGGCAAACAGTCTTAGCAAATCAAGAAGGTCCTAGAAGTTTTTCTAATTCGTCACAAAAATTTACATTTTGTAATGTTATCTTCTCCCCCTCATTGCTGCTCCAGACACACACACACACACACACACACACACACACACACACACACACCACTACCTTTTGTCACAAGAATAAGGCAAAACACATGCCCACAAAAAATATATGTGAATTCCATCTTACTGCCCATCTTTCAGCCCATTGCCTGATAACTCTCAGCCTCTGGGGAGCAGGACCAATTCCTGTTCTTCAGTTCACAGTTATTCTCTGATCCTGTATGACCAACAGGATCTTAGAAGGTTAATGGGTGGTACAATGTATGGGAAACATGATGATCTGAGGGCAAAGAGACCTGGATTTCAGGCATGATTATGCCACTGATGAGCCATTCTATTTTTTTTTTTTTTTTTGAAACAGAGTTTCACTCTTGTCAACCAGACTAGAGTGCAATGGCGCAATCTCGGCTCACTGCAACCTCCACCTCCCAGGTTCAAGTGATTCTCCTGCCTCAGCCTCCAGAGTAGCTGGGATTACAGGCACCCACCACCACGCCTGGCTAATATTTTTGTATTTTTAATAGAAATGGGGTTTCACCATGTTGGCCAGACTGGTCTCAAACTCCTGACCTCAGGTGATCTTCCCACCTCGGCCTCCCAAAGCGCTGGGATTACAGGCCACTGCGCCCAGCTCTAGAGCCATTCTTAAGCAAGGTCTTTGTTTCCCCACTTATAGAAGTAGGAGAAGAGTCCTTGACTGACCAACCTTCTTCCTAGGTCCATCAACAAGCTAAAGTAAAAACTTACATGTGGCAGTTAATAGAAGGAGACACAGCCATAATGACAAATTTCCCTTTGGGTTTTCTCTTCTGATGCACATGCTGCCTAAAAGAAACATCTAGAGCTAAGCAAGTGCATGGGAGTGTGGTTCAGGGATCCCAGGCCTCCTCAGAGCCCTCAGGTGACTCACCAGGGAGGGGGTCCAGAGCACTAAGCCCCTGCTTAGGCCTTCCACTGCCTCTCTCCTCTGCTCTAAGAGGCCAAAATAGGGCTGCTATACCAGGAGCTGCTTCTCCATGCTCCTGAGAGATCTGTAAGAACACTGTCTGCCTCTGAATCTCCCTCTCATTTGGTTTACTTTTGGGTGCCTGCTCTGAGATGTTCAGCCTTTACAAGGTTCACGTGTGTCATTCCAGTGAGAGCGCTAGTGGAGATTATCACTTGCCATGCTGACCCCTACCCCAAGCCAAGGCTAATGCACCTCCTGCAGAGGGACCTGCCCTTTATTTCCATTGGAAGAAAGAGAAGACACAGCGTTAGTGACTAGAGCCCAGGAGGATGACGCTTTGTGGGGCAGGTGCATGGGAGATGTCACCCCTTGCTATTGTCTCAATGTTATGTACCCCAAAATTCATATGTTGTAACCTAAGATCCAATGCAATAGTATTAAGAGACAGAGGCCGGGCATGGTGTCTCACGCCTGTAATCCCACCACTTTGGGAGGCTGAGGAGGGCAGATCACAAGGTCAGGAGATCAAGACCATCCTGGCTAACATAGTGAAACCCCGTCTCGACTAAAAATACAAAAAAATTAGCTGGGTGTGGTGGTGGGCACCTGTAATCCCAGCCACTCAGGAGGCTGAGGCAGGAAAATGGTGTGAACCCAGGAGGCATAGCTTGGAGTGCAGTGAGCTGAGATTGCGCCACTGCACTCCAGCCTGGGCAACAAGTGAGACTCCATCTCAAAAAAAAAAAAAAAAGACAGAGGTTTTAGGGGGTGATTAGGTCATGAGGACTCTACTCTCATGAGTGGGATTAGTGCCGTGATAAAAGAGGCCTGTAGTCCCAGCTACTCTAGGAGGTTGAGGTAGCAGGATCACTTGAGCCCGGGAGGTTGAGGCTGTGGTGAGCTATGACTGTGCCACCGTACTCCAGTCTGGGTGAGAGAGAGAGACCCTGTCTCAAAACAAAGAGGCCTGAGGGAGCTTATTGGCCCCTTCTACCACGTGAAGACAAAGGGCCATCTATGAGGAACAGGCCCTCAGCAGATGCCAAATCCACCAGTGCCTTGATCTTGGACTTCCCAGCCTCCAAAACTGTGAACAATAAATTTCTATTGTTTCTAAACCCACACTTAAGTATTTTGTTACAGCAACAGGATTGGACAAAGACACCATGTGGTTGGAGAAGGATTTTCTACCCTCCAATTTGGCTGAGTTGAGGGTGGGGAGATAACACTCAGTGGGATTTCTAGAGATTTGCTGGCTCAGAATTTTGCCTTCTTGCAGGAGGATGTCGAATCCCGTGCAAATGGTCATTTAATATTTTCTGGATGATCTTCAGGGATAATATTCTCAGGCTCCCTGGGTCCCCTTATTCCAATGTTTGAATATCTCAAAAATTAGGAAGTTTACTCTGGAGCTAATCAAAATCTCAGCTGCTTTACCTTAAATCCATTTAATTATTTCATTTTTTATGTATCAAACACTCCAATGCCTACAATATCCAAAGCATTAGGTTAGGCCCATTCCTCTTGGAGAGTTATCTGCAGATATGGATGATAGCAGCTCACCATCTACCCAATGAAAACCCTTCATCTTCTTGAAGGTATCTTCCCAGGCATCTCTGTGCCTCTTGCCCCACTCCATCTCCAGCCTTTCATACTTTCCCAGTGTTTAGAAAGACCAACAAGAGGCTACAGCAAGCTGGATGCCACCATTGGTTTTTAAGGCAGAAATATAGGGCTGCCCTGCCTTCCCCTCTATCCCCACCCTTGATAGAGCATTGATTTGTTTCCCTTTGGGTCTCTGGCCCCCACCGCAGATCTAGCACTCAATAAATAGTGGACACAGATGAAACAACCCTGTTCCTCACCCAACTTCCATGCCTGCTTCGGGCTCTGTCAATCCCTGGGCAGGTCCTGGAAAGCATAAAGGTAAAATGTAAACCTCAACATCAAACATTGCAGATCATGGGTGAAAGGTGCGGAATAGATGAGTTATTGCTGAAGGTTTCCAGGGATACAGAGGAGTCTCCAAAAACCCTCACTTGGAAGTGAGTCACCCCCGAAGGTGACTTGCGTGGGGGATTAGGGCACATGACCAGGCTAACGAGAACAAGAAAGCTTGGAGACCTGAGCCTGGCTGGCACACACCTTCCTTCTTCTACAGCCCAAAAGTGTGGGAATGTGAAGTGGGTCAATAAGGCCAGTGTGGGAACCCCTGCTGGGAGCAGAGACTGGACCATGTGACCAATCTCAGGGTCACCCCCAGGACACACTCACTGCCTGTCACTTAGCACCAAAGTCCCTGGGATCCATATCACCTACTTCCTTGTTTTGAGGCCAAAGGAGGTGGGAGGGGAGGAAAGATCACAAAGCCAGAGGATGAAGAGCCTGGAGCTTTAGAAGGATTGGTGCCCTTCTCCTCATCTGTCTCACTCTTTTAAGTTGGAGTCTCTTTCTTCACTTTGCTAATAATGTAAAGTATCAGCTAAAAATTGCAATGCATGCATTTCATTTAAGTTTTATTGCCCTAACAGACAGCATTAGATTACAAAAGAGGACATTTTTCTTCTCAGTTTTAGCTTATTCTGATGATTTATGATTAGATACAGCAAGAGTTCATAAACTTCCCTGACCTGCTGACAGTTTTTACAGGCTCCCAGATTTATTTCCATCTCAAACTTCACAGCTTTCATATGACTGATATTCCCAGCGTTGCGGTGTGGCCGAGCCAGGGGCTGAGAGAGTGCCTCTAATCTCCATGTTACTAATTTAAATGAAGTCTTGGTCTGTTGTTTAAAAAAGACATCAGTCATCCCGGGGAGGTTTACAGATCCTCTTGTAATGTAATGTCAGTCCCTTCTGAGATATGAGGTTTATAAAGCCTCACAATGTTGAGTGTTGGCAGACATGCCAAGGTCACCATGGATGGCAAACGGGAGGGGAGGGGAGGGAAATGCACTTCAGAGAGGGAGCAAAGAATCGCAAAGAAAGATTGGTCTCCTGGAGAGGCCAGATGTGACTGTCAAGAAAGAAACCTGAGGGCTGGTATCTGGGGGGAACAGGATAGGGAAAGGTGGAGTCATATTCTGATGGTGGGACCCCTTGCTCTCAATCCAGCATATCCCCTCTCCACTTGAAGCTGAGAAGCCCTGAGAAAACACAGCTCCTGGGCCCTTATCTGAAGATCATCCTGGGCACCCAGTCTTTGTTTGCATGGGACCCTTTGCCATACCATGCCATGTGTTAAGCCGTGCCATGTGTCTCGGTAGAGAGACCAGGAGATTGTGCTGCCATCTCCATGGCAGACAGTCTCCTGGAGTAGGGAGGCCTCAGGAGGAGAGACACCCCATTCACCCAGCTGTGTGAGGTCCCCAGAGGTGGCAGCATAGAGGTGGGACTCCATCCAGGGATTGAGGCAGAGCTGGGAAAATACAGATTCCTTGCACCTGCCTGGGCTGTTCTCACACATTCACACCCAGGTGCTGAAGGTCACTTGGGATCAGGACTTCAGACTGGGCAGGAGTTGCTTTTGTGTTATTTGGAGATCAGATAAGAAGTGACAAGTAGCAATAAGCTCTGGCTCACTGGAGAAATGGGCTGAGGACTTGTGGGATATGGGGGTGGAACACTTTTCATTCTCCTGGGAGCAGGGGAGGAGGGTGTGGAATAAATATTTCAGCAAGCAGTCCTTTCTCAGGGGGAGAAAGGCTGACCCCATGCATCCCCGGAGCCCTGGGCTCTGCAGAGGGAAAGTCTGTGTGATGAGGATTCACCATCCACAGCCACAGACCAACATGGGGCTAGGGAATGAGAGCAGGTAGCACTGCTGTTATCACCTGACATTCACTGAGCGCTAGCTATATGCCAGGCTCTGGGTAGGCTCTCAATTAACCTCAACAGCCTTGAAAATTAAGGAGGGTAAATGAAGTGGATGTTACAATTGCCATTTTACAGATGAGGCAACTGAGGCTTAGGGTATTACAGAATTAGCCCAAGGTTACACAGCAAGTGATGCAGCTGAAGTTCAAGTTCAGGTCTGAATGTATGTCCCAGTTTCTTACTCACATGCCCTAATACTAAGAAAACTATGAGTAAAAAAATACCCACTTTCTGTTTGTCTATAAAGATTTGGAACCCACCAGTCAACCATTGCCTTTTGCCCTGGAGAGACTCAGAAACAGTGGTTTATTTCAGTGTTTCTCAAAGTGTGGTTTGTAGTTTTCTGGGGGACCCACCTCCCAAGCTCCATATTAACACATGCCCTGGAAGATTCTTATGCATAAAACACCTAAGAACCATTCATCTTCTCAAAGCATGCAGTTGGTGTCCTGAAAAAATTAAGCAGTGAAGGAAATTAAACAGTTTCCCTGCAATTCCTGAGTTTTCTTCTCAAAACGTAGCCTCTCTCTTTTCCTAACATAAATTCCTAGAGCATAATATTAGGGAAGAAATGAGGATAAACATGCATTTCAAAGTCACTTCAGGAAGATTTGAAAATTATCTACCATTCGGTGTCATTTTTCTCTGCACCAGAGCATCCATAGATAATGGTGATATAGAAACAGCTGGACAAGCCAGATGTTGGCATTTGTTAACTGCAGCCATTTCTCTGTTAGAATACCAGATGTCCCTATTTGAGGGGATTTTCTCTGGAAAATCTGGTGAACCACATAGCAGTTTCTCAAAGAGTGTTCTAGGGACTGCCAGCATCCACAGCCTCTGTGGTGCTTGTTAATGATGTGTATTAGTCCATTTTCATGCTGCTGATAAAGACATACCTGAGACTGGGTAATTTACAAAGAAAAAGAGGTTTAAAGGACTCACAGTTCACAGTTCCACATGGCTGGGGAAGCCTCACAATCATGGCAGAAGGCGAAAAGCACATCTTACATGGTGCAGGCAAGACAGAATGAGAACCAAGCGAAAGGGGAAACTGCTTGAAAAAACATCAGAACTCATGACACTTATTTACTACCATGAGAATAGTATGGGGGAAACCACCCCATGATTCAATTATCTCCCACCAAGTCCCTTCCACAGCACGTGGGAATTATGGGGGCTAAAATTCAAGATGAGATTTGGGTGGGGACACAGCCAAACCATATCAAGATGCAAATTCCGAAGCTTCACTCCAGACCTACAAATCAGATACTCTGGGGGATGGGGTCCTGGAATCTGTGTTTTTCTTTTTTTTCTTTTTTTTTCTTTTTTCTTTTTTTTTTTTTTTTTTGAGACAGAATCTTGCTCTGCCACCCAGGCTGGAGTGCAATGGTGCAACCTCGGCTCACTGTAACCTCCACCTCCCGGGTTCAAGCGATTCTCCTCCCTCAGCCTCCTGAATAGCTGGGGTTACAGGCACACACCACCATGCCCAGCTAAGTTTTGTATTTTTCAAATAGACAGGGTTTCACCGTGTTCACCAGGCTGGTCTCGAACTCCTGACCTCAGGTGATCTGCCAGCCTTGGTCTCCCAAATTGCTGGGATTACAGTCATGAGCCATCGTGCCCAGCCTGGAATCTGTATTTTTAACAAGCTGTCTGAATTATTCTTACATACACTCAGATTTGCAAATCTATATGGTGTCCATGGTAGAAAAGAGCAGGGCTTCCCAGTCAAGCAGACTCCCAATCTGTAGAGCTCAGAACCAAGCTCTGCAACTTCAACCCTCCTACACTGTTTGCAATAGGAAATGGTTCAACCACTTTGAGAAGTAGTTTGACAGTTTCTTATAAAACTAAACAAACACTTACTATGCAGCCCAGCACTTCTACATTTAGGTATTTACCCAAGAGAAATAAAAACATGTTCATGCAAAGATTTGTGCACGAATGTTTATTGCAGCTTTATTCATAATAGCCCCAGACTGGAAATGACCCAAAGTCCATCAGCAGGTGAATGAATGAACAAATGTGAGTGTCCACGCATCGGAATACTACTCAGCAATAAAAACAAACAACTAGTGATGCACGCAACGGCAAGGACCAATCTCAAAAGCAATATGCTAAGTGAAAACAATCCAGACACAAAAGACTACATACTGTGTAATTCCTTTTAAATGAATTCTAGAAAAAGCAAAACTAATCTACAGTGGCAGAAAGCAGGTCCCTGGAATCTAGGCCATGGGTGAGGGGAACTGACTGCTAGGGGGCTTACAGAAGCTTCTGGGGCTGATGACAATGTTCTACAGCTTAATCTTGGTGGTGTTACAAAAGTGCATACATTTGTCAAAACCCATCAAACAGTGCATTTAAAATGAGTGTATTTTATTGTAAATAAATTATAACTCAGTAAAACTGATTTTAAGTTCAAAAAAGCACCATCATTTATTAGCTATGGGGCCTTGGCCAAATTACTTCTCTGCTCCCTTCTCTTCTTCCCAATCCAGAGTAGTTTTCAATCTTCTGCTGTGCCTTTCACCCCAAAACTAACCTTTCTACTTTAAAAATCGAGAAGCCCCGTTGATTATATAAAGTTAACTTTTTAAACAAAGAGGTAAATGTCATACTTAAAATGTTTATATCAATTTCTAAATGTCCCTGGTCTTTTAAGGACATATTCACCTCTGATAATGTGATCCTGGTGACAGAGGATAGCAGTGAGGCCATGTGCCGTCAGTAAGGATTTTAGGTGTTTTGACAAATAGTAGTCAGAGGCCATCTTTGCTTGGGTTTCATTTTTGCTTGGCAGGAGGATGGTGAAGCCACTGGAGAACAGAGGTTAGCTGGCAGTATCTAAGTGCTCACACATTTTACAGATAGTGAGTTATAACACAGAGGATTTAAACTACTTATCTCAAATCACCCAGACAGGTGGCACCCTATGTGAGAAATAGAGATTTCCTTTACCTTTCAGCTGCAGCAATTTCATTCACGTATTCAATAAATTCCCATTTAGCAAGTATTTAGAATATGTGTCAGGACAGTCATTGGATGTTCAAAAATGAATCAAAAAAAAAAAAAAAGGTCCCTGATCTCTAAGAGCCAAAGTTTTTAGGAACACAAATACATAGGAAAAAAAGCAAAAGCAACATTTTACAATGTTGCAATGTGGGCAGGTACAAAATGCTGTGGGTCACAGAGGAAGTCTGACGGATCAGCTTTTGCTTGGAGGAAGTGAGGGAGGCTCCACAGAGGAAATGACATTTTAGCTGCACCTGAAATCAAAATCAGGAGAAAGGTGGAAAAACCACTTCAAGCACAAGGAATAGCATGTGGAAAGGCACAGAAGCCTGAAAAAGCATAATACCAGCGAATGCAAAAACTTGATGATGAGAGTTAAAACTGAAGTAGACAGCAGTAGAAGAAAGGCCTCTTATGAGGGTGTAGACACCTTTGATACGCAGGGCTCCACTTCATGCTTGCTGCAGATATTGGCGTTGAGGAGCTCCCACTTGCACTCTTTTCTAGAAGCTGTCCTTGGCTGGCTGGAGCCACCTTTCCTGGAGATGCCTGGGCATTTTTCCACATGGCAGGGAGAAGACCTGGAGCCAATGGGTAACAACTGCAGCTCTCGAGCCCATGCCCCTTGCCTCTGGGCAGGACAACCTCTGTGGTATGATCCCAGCTCTAGAGTTCTTCCTGGGATCGGACTGGGACTACAGGTCTCCTGAAACATCATGTCTCATTTTTCTGAATTTTCAACTCCAGAAGAGACTATGTCTTGTGAACCAAAACAATGTGAAAAAGAGAGAATGACAGACTCTTACTAGCAACTAAGGAAGAATACAACATTAAAATGTCATTTTAATGACAAATGGGGAGTAAAAAGGGGGAGAGAGACAGGCAGGGAAAAGAAGTGGATCCGGCGAGGCTGCATCTCTTCCAGAGGGAGTCAGTTGGACTACAGTCACTGGTGCTTTGGAGCTGTGAGCCAGAAGTGAAGTCTTCAGGTACCAGAACTACTCTCCAGGGCCATGTCACTATGCCCTGCCATGGGAAACACAGCCCAGGCACAGTTCTCTCTCAGAATTCATGTGGGATTGGTTCCAAGACTCCAGTTGGTACCAACATTTACAAAATACGCTCAGGTCCCTTATATAAAATCATGTAGTATTTGCAAATTACCTATGTACATCTTCCTGTATACAGGCATACTTTGGAGATACAGACCATCACAATAAAGCAAATTGCAACAAAGAAAATCACATGAATTTTTTTCGGTTTCCAGTCCATATGAAAGTGACCCTTACACTATACTATAGTCCATTAAGTGTGCAATAGCATAGCATTTTGTCTTAAAAAAATAATGTCTACACCTTAATTAAACAATACTTCATTGCAAAAAAAAATGCTAACAATCATCTCAGCCTTTACCAAGTTGTAATCTTTTCACTGGTAGAGGGTCTTGCTTCTATGTTGATGGCTGCTGACTGATCAGAGTGGTGATTGCTGAAGGCTGGGTTGGCTGTGGCAATTTCTTAAAATAAGACAATAAAATTTGCCACATCAATCGACTCTTCCTTTCATGAAAGATTTCTCTGTGGTACGAGGTGTTATTTGATAGCATTTTACCCACAGTAGAGCTTCTGTAAAAATTGAAATCAATCCTCTCAAACCCTACCACTGCTTTATCATGTAAGTTTATGGCATATTCTAAATGCTTTGTTACCATTTCAACAATGTTTACAGCATCTTTACCAGGAGTAGATTCCATCTCAATAAATCACTTTCTTTGCACTAGAAGCAGTTCCTCATTAATTCAAGTTTTATCATAAGATTGCAGCAATTCCAGGCTCTACTTCTAATTCTAGTTCTCTTGCTATTTCTACCATATCTGCAGCTACTTCCTCCACTGAAGTCTTGACTCCCTCAAAGTCATCGTGAGTGTTGGAATCAACTTTTCCAAACTCCTGTTAAAATGGATATTTTGACCTCCTCCCATGAATCATGACGTTCTTTATGGCATCATCTAGAAAGATGAATCCTTTCCAGGAGGTTTTTAATTTATTTTGCCCAGAGCCATCAGAGGAATCGCTACCCATGGCAGATACAACCTTACAAAATGTACGTTTTAAATAATAAGACTTGAAAGTCAAAATGACTACTTGATCCATAAGCTATAGAATGGATGTTGTGTTAGCAGTCATGAAAACAACATTCATCTCCTTGTACATCTCCATCAGAGCTCTTGGATGACCAGGAGTATTGTCAATGAGCAGTCACCTTTTGAAAGGTATCTTTTATTCTCAGCAGTAATTCTCGAACGTAGACTTAAAATATTCAGTAAATCATGCTATAAATAGATGTGCTGTCATCCAGGCTTTGTAGTTCTATTAATAAAGCAGAGGCAAAGTAGATTTAACATAATTCTTAAGGGCTCTAGAATTTTTGGAATGGTAAATGAGCATCAGTTCCAACTCTAAGTCACCAGCTGCATTAGCTCTCAACAAGAGAGTAAACTGTGCTTTAATATTTGGAGGCGAGGCATTGACTTCTCCTCTCTAGCTAAGAAAGTCCTAGATGGCATCTTCTTCCAATAAAAGTCTGTTTTGTCTACATGGAAAATCTGTTGTCTATTATAGCCCCCTTCATCATTTATCTCAGCTAGATCTTCTGGATAACTTGCTACAACTTAACAACTTCTGCATCAGCACTTGGTGCTTCACCTTGTACTTTTTTGTTATAGAGGTGGCTTCTTTCCTTAAACCTCATGAATCAACCTCTGCTAGCTTCTAACTTTTCTTCTGAAGCTTCCTTACCTCTCTCAGATTTCATAGAATTGAAGAGAGTTATGGCTGTATTAGCCCATTTTTATACTGCTATAAAGAAATACCTAAGACAGGGTAATTTATAAAGATAAAGAGGTTTAATGGATTCAAAGTTCCACATGGCTTAGGAAGGCCTCACAGTCATGGTGGAAGGCAAAGGAGGAGCAAAAGCACAGCTTACATGGCAGCAGGCAAGAGATTATGTTCAGGGAAAGTGTAATTTATAAAACCATCAGATCATGTGAGCCTTATTCACTATCATAAGAACAGCACAGGAAAAACACCCCCATAAGTCAATTACCTCCCACCAGGGTCCCTCCCACGACACATGGGGATTATGGGATCTACAATTCAAGATGAGATTTGTGTAGGAACACAGCCAAATCATATCATTCCACCCCTGGTCCCTCCCAAATATTATGTCCTCTCATATCAAAACCAATCATGCCTTCCCAACATGGGACTTCCTAAGTCCCCCAAAGTCTTAACTCATATCAGCATTAACTCAAAAGTCCACAGTCCAAAGTGTCATCTGAGGCAAGGCAAATCTCTTCTGCCCGTGAGCCTGTAAAATCAAAAGCAAGTTAGTTACTTCCTAGATACAATAGGATACAGGCAATGGGTAAATACACCCAATCCAAATGGGAGAAATTGGCCAAAATGAAGGGGCTACAGGCCCCATGCAAGTCCAAAATCCAGTGGGGCAGTCATTAAACCTTAAAGTTCCAAAATGATCTCCTTTGACTCCATGTCTCACATCCAGGTTACACTGATGAACCTCATGGTCTTGGGCAGCTCTGCCCCTATGGCTTTTCAGGGTACAGTCCCGCTACTGGCTGCTGTCATGGGCTGGTGTTGAGTGTCTGTGACTTTTCCAGGTGCACAGTTCAAGCTGTCAGTGGACCCACCATTCTGGGGTTTGGAGGACGGTGGCCCTCTTCTCACAGCTCTACTAGGCAGTGCCCCAGTGGGAACTCTGTGTACGGGCTTCAACTTCACAGTTCCCTTCCAAACTGCCCTAGCAGAGGTTCTCTATGAGGACTCTGCCCCTGCAGCACACCTCTGCCTGGACATTCAGGTGTTTCCATACATCCTCTGAAATCTAGGTGGAGGTTCCCAAACCTCAATTCTTGACTTCTGTGTAGCCACAGGCCCAACACCATGTGTAAGCTGCCAAGGCTTTTGGCTTGCACCCTCTGAAGCAACAGCCTGAGCTGTATGTTGGCCCCTTTTAGCCATGGCTGGGACACAGGGCACCATGTCCTTAGACTGCACAGTGCAGCAAAGCCCTGGGCCCAGCCCGGGGAGCCATTTTTTTCCCACTAGGCCCCCCAGCTTGGGGCTGCTGTGAAGGCCTCTGACATGCCCTGGAGACATTTTCCCCACTGTCTTGGTGAATAACATTCGGCTCCTCGTTACTTATGCAAATGTATGCAGCCAACTTGAATTTCTCCTCAGAAAATGGATTTTTACATCATCAGGCTGCAAATTTTCCAAACTTTCATGCTCTGCTTCCCTTTTAAACATAAATTCCAATTCCAAACCATATCTTTGTGAATGAATAAAACTGAAAGTTTTTAAGAACAGCCAAGTCACCTTTTGAATGCTTTGCTACTTAGAAATTTCTTCTACCAGATACCCTAAATCATCTCTCTCAAGTTCAAAGTTCCACAGATCTCTAGAACAGGGGCAAAATGTCACCAGTCACCTTTGCCCCAGTTCCCAATAAGTTCCTCATCTCCATCTGAGACCACCTCAGCCTGGACTTTTTGGTCAAAACATTTCGATAAGTCTCTAGGAAGCTCCAAACTTTCCCACATCTTCGTATCTTCTTCTGAGCCCTCCAAACTGTTCCAACCTCTGCCTGTTACCCAGTTCCAAAGTTGGTTCCACATTTTCAGGTATTGTTTAGCAGTATCCCACTTTCTGCAGTACCAATTTACTGTATTAGTCCTCTTTCATACTGCTATGAAGAAATACTTGAGACTGGGTAATTCATAAAGAAAAAGAGGTCTAATGGACTCTCAGTTCCACATGGCTTGGGGAGGTCTCACAATCATGGTGGAAAGTGAAGGAGAAGCAAAGGCACATTTTACATGGCAGTGGGCAAGAGAGCATGTGCAGGGGAACTACCCTTTATAAAACCATCAGATCTTGTAAGACTTATTCACTATCACTAGAGCAGCACAGGAAAACCCACTCCCATGATTAAATTACCTCCCAACAGTGTCCCTCCCACGACATGCAGGGATTATGAGATCTACAATTCAAGATGAGATTTGGGTGGGGATACAGCCAAACCATATCAATGGCCTTTCTCTGGATTAGGCTTTGGCTTAAGGGAATGTTGTGGCTGGTTTGATCTTTTACCCAGACCACTCAAACTTTGTCCATATTAACAATAAGGCTGTTTCACTTTCTTATCATTGACATGTTCACTGGAGTAGCACTTTCAATTTCCTTCAATAACTTCTTTGCATTTGTAACTTGACTAACTGTTTGGCTCAAGAGGCCTAGCTTTTGGTTGGTTTTGGCTTTTGATAGGCCTTTCTCACTAAGCTTAATCATTTCTAGCTTTTGATTTAAAGTGAGAGATGTGCAACTCTGCCTTTCACTTGAACACAAAGATGCCACTGTGGGGTTGTTAATTGGCCTAATCTTAATTTTGTTTTGTCTCCAGGAATAGGGTGGCCTGAGGAGAGGGAAAGAGACTGAAGAGGAGCAGTCAGAACACAAACAACATTTATTGATTAAATTTAATATGGGTTTGGTTTGTGGTGTCCCCAAACAATTACAATAGTAATATCAAAACTGATGATCACAGACCACCATAAAAGATATAATAATAATAATAATTACCAAAATGTGACAGAGACAGGAAGTGAATACATGCCATTGGAAAAATGGTGCCAATAGACTTGCTCAAGTCAGGGTTGCGAAAAACCTTCAATTTGTTAAAAAAAAAAAAAAAACCCACAGTATCTGAAAAGCTCAATAATGCAAGGTATACCTGCATTTTAAATCATCTCTACATTAAATATATTACCTCATACAATGTAAGCACTAGGTAAGTAATTGTTATACTATATTGTTTTTAAATTTATATTATTTTTATTGTTGTATTATTATTTTTATTGTTGTGGAGGTTCTTTTTAAACTGTTTTCCATCCATGGTTGGTTAAATCATTGGAGGCAGAATCTGCAGATGCACAACTCGTGGGTATGCAGAGCCAGCTGTATGCGTGCCACTATCCAACTTGTACCCCCTCCACCCAACCCTTCAGCAAGGTCCCACCTAAACCATTCCAGAGCTTCTGGAAATCCATTTCAGTCTTGGAAAGGGAGGGTCAAACAACCCCCATTTTACTCTTGGGAAACAGATCCTGCAACCTGCACTTTTTGTGTCTAGCTGCAGGTTGTGCCCCCTTCTTTCTTCCTAAGTGGGAATTTGAGGACATAACTGAAGATCAGCATCCTCATATTGAGCTGGGTGCTAAATTCCTCCATGAGTTATCTGTAGAATGGAGTGAAATAAAGGCATTTGTTGACAAGGGCTCAGCCTGCATCATGCTTCTGGGGGACCTGCCCTCCTCAGCCAGTCCGCATGTCATTTCCCGGTGTATGACTCTGTTCTCATACTGCTAATAAATACATACCTGAGACTGGGTAATTTATAAAGGAAAGAGGTTTAATTGACTCACAGTTCAGCATGGCTAGGGAGGCCTCAGGAAACTTACAATCATGGCAGAAGGGGAAGCAAACACATCCTTCTTCACATGGCAGCAGCAAGGAGAAGTGCTAAGCAAAATGGGGAAAAGCCCTTTATAAAACCATCAGATCTCAAGAGAACTCACTCACTATCATGAGAACAGCAGCACGGGGGTAACCGCCCCCATGATTCAGGGAACTACAATTCAAGATGAGATTTGGGTGGGGACACAGCCAAACCATATCACCTGGGACTATGGAAAGATCCTCTTACAGGTCTCATTGCCTATTTTACCAGCATCATCCTGGTGGATGCCAAGGACAGGTGCTACCTCTCCCCATGCTTGGATAACAGCTGTGAATGCTAACATGGACATAGCAAGTGCCATGTGCCAGGCACACATCAATGTGCTTCATATGATTAAATATATATATATATACACTCATGACATCATAATAAGATCTTTAAGAGACAGATACTAGTATCATCCACATCTTACAGAGGAAGGCTCTGTGATTGAGAGGCTAAATAACCTTCCCAAGTTCACATGGCTATAGGATGGCAGAGCTGAGGTTTAAGCTGGCAGTCAAGCTATACAGTAATGCTCCCAACCACCACACCTCACTGCCCTCCAGTCCCTTCCCTAGCCAGTCTCTTCACCTCTACCCTTCATTCCACCTCCTCCAATCCAGCCTGTGCACAATGGCTCTCACCCGTCATGGACACCATTGTGTTCTTCTCCAGGCAGGAGCCCACAGTGACTCGGTCTTGCCAGCCCACACCCCAAGCATGGGGATCAGGGTCCTCGTTTCCCTTAGTTTACCCAGTACCCTCCCATAGTTTGACTCTAACACCAAATCAAGCTGGGCCATTTCTGGGGCCTTCGACTTCCCACCATGTTACCACATCCCTACAATCTGGGTCAGAACTGCTCACATCATGAGCAGGGAGATGTGACCAAGCCTGCCTTGTCCCTCCTCACCATTTACCTTTCAACTAATTGTGTCATTATATGACCATGTCCTGGTTTATCTCATAAATGTTTCACGTAAGAATTCTTGGATCTGTTGTTTTTTCTTCCTTATTAGATTGCAAGCTTACTAAAGGAAAGAGATATTTATCTTTCCTCAGCAAGGCTAATAGAGACCCTCCAGGGTATAATTCCAGGACAATGAAGTTCTAGCCCATCAATGACTAAAATTCTACCATTAGAGATTCATTTCTTTGATGTATCTTTGCTTCTTTTAAAATGAAAATGCCTTTAGGAGGAATAACCAATTGAACATTTCTAATTATTTATTCTTAGAATTGGTAAGCTGATCAGATTCCAACTGATATCAGAGTTTGGAAGGAGGGAGAGAAAGAAGGAGAAATAAACGGCAAGAGGGCACCAACCTTAGGAATTGGAGAAGATGAAAGACACTATCAAGGAAAGAAAGAGGCGTAGAAAGGGGATGCCAGCACTGCCCCAGAACAACTTATCTGTCCAGTGATTTTGTAGTTTCATGACATACTAACTTGCCCTGTTTCTGCCACTTGCATATTGAACTCAGCATTTAGGTTGTTTTTACTTCTGATTTGCACTCCTTACCCTTCTGACAGCTGATGCAGCAAATCTAGGGCCACAGGGTCAGGGCTTGCACTGGCCACCTGGGACTATCAGCCATTGGTCTGCTGTCTATCTGCCTGTCTGGCCACCTGCCCATCATCACCACTCCTTGGACCTTCACTCACTTCTGGCATTTCCATAACTGGACTCTCTGAGATGAAGGCTTTTATTGCAAGCTAGAGTTTGTGGCATAGAGCCTGGCATTTGAGGTTCTTCATACAATCTATTGTTTAGACGCTTTCATTTCCAGGAACAAAGGCTCTCCTACCCCCACCTCTCTGTCCCTTCAAAGGGCACCACCGTCTAGCAACAGAAGCACTTCTTGATATCATTTCTGATATCCATAGGTTTCAACAACCAGTAACTGGGTTTTGTTCCAGGAAAAAGCAATATTCTTTGACAAATAAGCCATTTGCTGAGCAGTTTAAATGACATTGCAAAGAGTGACACTACAAACCGATGAGGCTGTTTTTCCCTGCTTCTTTTCACTGTGAAATGGCTAATGCCCCAGATAAAGAGTGCAGATCACATGTGACTTATAACATGAATACACAGCACTGTATAAACAGCCTCAGGAAAAGGCAGCCCTGGTCATTCTTCTTATGAGAGTCCCAACCAAGCTGAGTCTTTTTCCATACAATCTTGGAATGGGAAAATATCATCACCCCTCATCCTTAAGGGTTTTCTTCAATGGCTTCCATTCCTTAGACCATTCTCTTCTCATTACTAATGTGGCAAAACCCAGGTGTCTATAAGCCCTGGAACTATAGTGGCCTGCTTTAATGTGGGGCGTTTCCAGGAGGCAGATGTTTTAACTAGCAGGGGAAAGAAAGGTCTGTTTCTTATTGACGGAACCCTAGCATGTGTAATAGAACTTCAAAGATGGGAGGCCAGATTGGGCAGGCAACATCAAAAGCTTTTGACTGGTGCTGAGTAAACTTTGTATTCTGACATAGAAGTTCTTATCTATTCTGCTCCAGACTTGAGAGCAGGAGGCTGCATCTAACCAAATCACATTGTTTTTCCTCACAGCTGCCAACTTGGAAAAATATCAGGGCACAAAGGGACCATTAAAAAAAAGAAAGAGAGAAAGAGAGAAACACACACAGAGAGACATGTTTTTGTTAGTTCCTAAGCAACACAATATTACCAAGATGGGGGCTCTTAGGAAAATGAGAAGACATTTGCTACACTTCCTAGTGCGGCCACTCACTAATCCCAATTTTTATCTCTTTATGAAGAAATTAACAGTATATGCTTGGATAAAGCCTTCATCTCCCTAACATCCATCTCCTGTCACAACGGCCCCAATTCTTTGATAAAGATTTACTTTCTAATGAGGCCAAATCAATGGTTTAATTATATCTAAACTCAAACAATGAAGCTATTTCCTGATTTTAAAAAAACTAAATTTGTTTATTTGTAAAATTGTTTAAAGAAATTATATTCACTTTAGATAACCTGCCCTTTCCATTATTAAAAAAAACTTTAAAATGTGTTTCATTTCAACATAACTGGAACATAATAATATTTCCCCAGTCTGGGAACCAGAGAAAATCAGAAGGACCATCTTTTTATCAAAGATGAATGTGCTTCCCGCATGTGGGTTTGTTTCAAAGCACCAGGTTATTTCCTCTGAGAATGTCTATGTGTGTCTATCCTGTGGAAGGGAGGAATAGCCCCTCAGAAGGAAATTAGTTCTAAACCTGGGATTTTCCTCCTGCATTGGGAACACATTTATTTAATCAGTGAGTCCTTCTGAGAGTCTCGTGTGTGGGATCTGTCAGCAATGGAATCACAGCTCCAGCCTTCCCCTCCACGGGGCTTGGCCTCCGAGACCTCTCTGAAGCAGGCAGCTATGTCTGCCCATCCCTCCACCTTGAAACTCACTTCTGGCTTGGACTCCACAGCCTAGCTCCATCCTGATTTTGTCTTGCCTCTCTGCATCCCCTCGAGACAGTGTTATCCATATCTAGGGAAGCCTAAACAGAACGTCACAGAAATCGGTGCAGCGATGCTCAACCTCTGGGGAAATTCAGAAATCCCAAGGCCGTGTGAATCTAAGAGTGGTTCAAGGCCCAGCAGCATCAGCATTCTCTGGAGCTTGTAAGAAATACAGAATCTCAGGCCCTCCTCCGGACCTACTGAATCCAAAGTGGCATTTTAGCAAGATCCTCACAGCTTGGGTGCACATAAGGTTTGGGGAGCACTGCCCCTGGCTTCAACCCTGAGGTTCTAGTTAGGACCTAAAGTGACATTTTGGATTCTCCATCTCAAAAGTGCCTCCAGTGATTCTGCTCTGCCCTATGTCTAGGAACTGTGGTGTGACGCCCAGATGCATCAGCTTTGGAGTCCGGCAGACAAACCTTACAAATTTGACTTCGTCACTTATTAGCCAGACTGAGCTGGTGAGAAGTGAGCAAAAGGGACACAGATTGTAAACATCCAGGGAACTATATGCACTGAGGTCCCTCATAGAGCCTGGGGAATGGCCATCTCTGAGGCCCCTTCTTTCCTTCTATCCTTCCCCATCCATGCCATGTGCTTGACCCAGAAAACTCTGCCCTATCTCCTCTCTGCTTCCCAAGACCCAGCCATCTACAAGGTGTTTTGAAAATGCTGACAACTCAAGGCCCTCTCCGCCTCTTATTGCCTCCAGACCTATCATAGCCCCTTCCCTTCCCAGATGTAAGTTCCCTAAGGGCAGGGACTGGCAAAGCTGTTTCTGTGTCCCCTTCAGTGGCTGGCTCTGATCTCCATGCTGAGAAGATGCTCAATAAAAATCAGTTGAGTCAAATAAGTCTCGCAAGTTCCTTTAAAATATCTTTCCCAAAAAACCCTCCATTTTACAGATAGAGACAGGGAAGAAAAAGGTATTTCTATTTAATATTTGTCTACAAAGGCCACATCTGTACAGGCAAAAGCAAGTAGAATATTGAGGCCATTCGTCTATTCGGTAAAGCAATTATTAAACCAAAAACCTATAATTGGAAGACACATACGCATTTAAAGACTAATTTATTTAACGTATTCTGCTGTCAAGCCTGATAGTATTAATTATCAGAGTATGACATTATTTTAACTTTGGTTTCTGACATAAAGAGATATTTCATAGCATCTTTTCCTCATTAGTGCTGGAATAAAAGAAGTCCAATTTGGTCTGCCCCTTCTGGTTAGGCTGGTTTCACGGTGACAAGGAAGAGTAGATGGGATCAATGTGGAAGGGTGTTGTGCCCCTCAAGTGGTACAAGGGTAGGGCTGGGTTGCTCAGATTCATTAGATAATTTCTCACCCTCCACACCATTTGACCTGGGTCAATACATTCCTGACTCATTTGATAAAAAGTGGACAACTGCCCTGGGTGACTCACAAGCCAGATGAGACTCACCCAATGACCCAGAGGTCCTGTTTCAATTATAGAGGAAATGAAAAGTTCTTCACTGGCAAAGAATGAAGTGTTTCGTAGGGGGCATTAAAAAAACTGGTAGCACATGTTCTTCTATCCTGGACACAGAATGCCATGATTGCTACAACTCTCCTGCAAAAGGGGATGCTTCTTCAGGAACCATGAGGAAATGGGTCTCTTTTTCAGTTGGGACGTGGGTCCGTAACAAGGGCAGAATTAGACCCTCAGAGCTTTGGTCTTCTTATCAGGGTGGAATGCTCCCTTTGGTCAGTGACACCCAACTCTTTCCTTTTTTGAGCGATTACTGTGTGCCAGGCATTTCACATACACAATCTCACTTAATCTTTACAATAACCCTGAGATAAATACTATGAGTATCCCTTTTGGTAAATGAGAAAACTAGAACTCAATGAGGTTTAGTAACTTGCCCCAAATCATTCAAATAATAAGTGACAGAGCTGAGTTTCCTACACACCCAGGCTTCCCAGGTCTGCGTCATAACTAGCCTTCTTGGGTAAAGTCTCCAGCGTTTGAACAGTGTTACCTTCTCTTCCTTACTCCATGCCCTCCTAAGCAAAACTGTACAGGTTACCCCTTGCATTCCTAGCTCCAAGTCCAATTGCTTTCTAAGAGAGCCACTTCCCTTGCTCTTACATTTATCGATCAAAGAGCACAATGACTTCAATTAACTTCCTATGGAAAGGATTTGGGTGAAGTCTTTGATCTCCTTGAGGCAGCAGGCCTTAGATTTCTTTGTAGCCCTGCCCAACACTTAGAAAATGTCTCAAACTCACCTCGAGTTTCTCAATACCTGTTTGTTGAATGATTAAGTGAGGGAATGATGGCTGAATGCTATTCAGGTAGTAATTCCATGCTTCTGCCCTGACCACAAATGATCTATTTACTTGATTTTAGTGACTCCACAGTAGCTGTTATATTACCTCAGGGTAAAATTACTCATTTCTTGTTCCTAAGACCTAGTAATTTATATGCTGAACATGTAATAATCTATTATATCAAATACCAACTCCTATTGAAAAAAAAAATAGCTTGCTGCCGAGCATAACAGCCCTGGATACACAAAATGAGTACAGGTGACTTATGAGTTTACACAAAAGAGCCTTCTGTTCTGGATGCAGCTGTTTCAGAAAAACACAGCTAAGAGTATAGAAGGAAGCTGGGTAAGTAAATATTAGGAGAGGCCTTTAAAAGCAGCCTTGATCACTGGATCCTTAGGATGTGTTTGTTAGGCAAGGATGCCCTAATAATGCTTAATATTGAAACAACATTTACAATGCAACAGACAGGCAATAGGAAGGCTGTTTTTCTGAAAATGAGCAAGCGGAAACATGACAGACCTAAGGGAGAGCTAAGACCCACTAGGTTTTAGCTCACAACCTCAGACAAGTCAGCAAGGCACCCAACAGCAAGGAGCAAAGACCCGGGCATCAAATGGCTGGCACTGCCTGCCTGAGTACCTAGGAAAAGCACAGCCAAAGGGAAGTGAAAACTTTATCCCCAAGCCCAGGGTCCCTGACCACTCCACCCAAATGCTACAGTGGGAAGTACACTGGGGAGGGGGGAAGGGAGTTAGGTGCTGGTCGAGGGCACTCTGTGCTCTCCTTCCCACTTCCCTGGATCTCTCAGGCCTGATGGTGCTGCTGCAACAGTGGCCATGGCTGCTACTTCCCGCTCATGGTTGTTGGCAAGGCCCGTGACAATTTGCAGAGTCTGCCTCTCTCTCATCTTTTCTCCTTGACTCACAATTCCCTAAATCAGCACTTGAATATAGAGCACTAGTCCCTGTTCCCTTACCACAGTCAAGGAGAAAAAGCCCCAGCTTTGGAGTGAGGCCCATCTGGGTTTGAATGCAGGCATCATTATTTGCTAACATGTAACACTGAGCAAGTGACAATCTTGCAGGGCTTTTGCGTCCTCCTCTTTAAAATGGGCATGATATTGTTTACTGCAGAGAGTTACAGTTAAATGGTATGAGCCAGACTAAGAATCTAACCAAATACCTAGCCCTGGAGAACATTCTCTATAAATGGTAGTTCCCTTACCTGTTGGTCTGACTCTTTGTCCCCGCTAAGCTGCTCCATCTTCTATTGGAGTATAATTAGGAGCAGCTGGGAAATATCTGATAAAGTTTTACTTTATTCCATATGTCCTTGAATTGAATCTTCTGTCCTCGGTACTCCTCTTCTCACCATTAAGCCCCCTTCCTTTCATCTCTGGGGAAATCTGGAAACCAGAGGATAGTCCAGCCTCCCATGGAAAAGACTGGCACTAATCTGGTTAATGACATCCCAGAGCGATCTGTAGAGCAAATAACATCCTAGTTTGCCCAGAATTTTCCCAGTTCTAGCACTGAAAGTCCCATGTCCCAGGAAATACCTTATCCTAGGCAAACCAGGGCAGCTGGTTGCTCTATCTTTACAGTCAAATAGAAGGCTCATCATTTTTCAGATTTATTATTAACAGCAAGTGACTTAAGTAAAACTTAGTCAAAACTCAGCATGAGATACAGGAGTCTCATGTTCCTGCTGAGTGTTCTTGTCAGATATCAAAGTGTCACTTGGGAGTGGTCCCATATGGGACATCAAATGCTGTTCTTCCAGCCAGTCTGCAAGCTGGACCTGACAGGCAACTGGAAAAATCCAAAAGGCTCCTCAAAGACATACCCAGAAATAAAGTTATTACAGGACAAGGTTACTGACATTACTGACCCAGGCAGAGTAACTTTCCCAGGCCAGGGATGGGTTTCTCTAGCCTTGCAAGACAAGGGAACAAAAGCCTATACATTGGAATCATTCAAATGTTGGGAGAATCTCAACTCCATTACAATTACTAGCTGGTAAGACCTGGAGAAGCTGCTAATCCCTCTACACGTGTATTTCCTGCAATAATAATTCATATATTTTAGGGTTGTGAAGAATTAATACAATAATCCAAGTGAAATGCCTAACACAACTTTCATTTCTGGTATTGTATGGGATCAGATTACTTCAAGACTCTCCAAATATTAAACACCTAGAAAATGCTGAATAAGTTATAATGAACATTCTTTTAAAAGCAATAATTGGAAAGTGAGAGAAATTTCCAGAAACCCCAAACAAAGGGAGAACTGAAAACTAGAGTGGAACCCCAGAGCTGATACTGCAGCTGCCTGTGGGAGAGCTGCCAGATTATGTCACGTAAGGACTTAAGTGTAAGTGTCCACATGGAGTCGGGAGTTAGGTCTTGAGCCTACATGATACAAAGAAGTGAAATGCACATCCCATTTCCCCCCAGTATAAAGCCAGAAGCCTTGAAGCACCTCCTTAGATGTAGGATGAAATATACACAATCCACACTCAAACTCAGAAAGATGATCAAAAAGCTTAGCCGTCTCATACTAGGCTCTGGATGAGGGGAAAAAAATAGTCTCCTCTGATAACACATGATCACAGGTGTGACTTCATATGGGCTTGAGTTCAACTTTACTGTAGATGCATATTCTAGAAATTAATATAAAAAGTGACTAAGACCCATGACCTTGATGTGCCTGATAAAAACAAATGAAAAAATTTCTCTGAAGGGAAATAATGTTTCTCAAGCTAGAGGAGTCCTTCAGATAAATGTCCACCAACCATACATTACAATCCAAATTTATAAAAGAGCACATAAGGAAGCAATCCACAATGAGCAAAAGAGTCAGCAGACACAGCAAATAGCAGAATTTTAACTCCTGATAACATCCACTTAAAATAAACTATCAGAATTAAGCTAAAAATAAATGTTTAAAATGATGAAACATTTAAAAGAATCAAAAAGACAATACAACAAAATGACAATTATATTGAGAAAGGAATTAAAGAGAATTTCTAGAAACAAAAAAAAACATAGTCATAGTTATAGCATAGTTATAGCAGGCTAGACATAGCTGAAGAGAGAGTCAGTAAACTGAAAAATCTGAGGAATGAAAGATCTGAAGGTACCCGAATTGTAACACAAATTGAGAGCACCCAAATTGCAGAACAGAGAGGCAAAGAAATGTGAAAAAAGGGAGCAAAATATGAGAATGATAGGTTGAGAAATTTCACCCAGCATTAATAGGAAATCCAGAAGAGAGGAAAGGCAATATCCAAAAAAAAAAAAAAAAAAAAAAAAAAAAAAAAAAAAAAAAAAAAAAAAAAAAAACTAAAGGCTGAGAAGTTCCAAGAATTGAAAAAGAAGTAACTTTATGAGACCTGAGAGCAATAAAAGTCAACCTAAATACATGTCAGTGAAAGTTCAGAACACAAAAAGCAAAGAAAAGATGTTCAATAAAACCATGAAGAAAGTACAGGTTACTTTTTAAATAGGAATAATTATTAGACTGACAACAGTCCATTTTCCCCTAAATTTTATTTTAACATTTTCAAACACAGAGCAGAGTTGACAGAATTTCATAGTGAACACTTGTATAAACACTATGTAGGTACTACCAATAATATTTTACTCCATTTCATTGTATTTGCTTTATCACATATCTATCCATCTATCCATCTCTGCATTCATCCAACAATCTCTCATTTGCTTTTTGTTGTTGCTCTTTTATTTGGGGTGTTTGTGTGTGTGCATTTCACAGCAAATTACAGACATTTCTACACTTTTTCACTTTTTTTTTTTTTTTTTTGAGATGGAGTTTCACTCTTGTTGCCCAGGCTGGAGTGCAATGGCATGATCTCGGCTCACCACAACCTCTGCTTCCCAGGTTCAAATGATTCTCCTGCCTCAGCCTCCTGAATAGCTGGGATTACAGGCATGAGCCACCATGCCCAGCCTACAGGTTTTCTTAAATCTGTCAGCAAGGATTTCATTAATGAAGTTCGATATTTGTTTATGGATTTTTTTATATCAAATTTGCATGCAATGAAATATACAAATAATAAGTGTACATTGGTGTGCAACTCAAACACATATCAAATATAAAATAGTACCATCATCCACAGAAATTTCCCTTGTGTCCCTTTCTAGTCAAAATCCATCCCTATTCCCTTCAAAGTCAATCACTATTCTAAAGTTTTTCCACTGTAGATTAGTTTTATTGCGCTAGAGTTGCACATAAATGGAATTCTACATTTTTATGTAAGACTTCTTTCACTTAGTATACTAATTTTGAGATTCATCCATGGTGTTACACGTACCAGGAGTTCATCCCTTTTTATTGTTGAGTACTTTTCCATTATATGAGCATACCAATTTATTCATCCATCCTGCTGGTGGATATCTGGCCTCTTTCTACTCTAAGGACATTATCAATAAAGCTGCTGTGAACATTCTTGAACAAGTCTTTTTGTGAATGTATTTTTCTGTTTCTCTTAGTAAATACCTGAGAGTAGAATTGCTAAGTCATGGCGTAGGTGTGTACATTTATAAAAGACTGATCCCTTTCTCCAAATTTGTTATACAATTTTACATTTCTAATATATGAATTTCTGTTGTTATACATCTTTGCCAACATTCACTTTTAAAAACAAAATTTAACCTTTCTGGTGGAAGTTTAGTAGTATGTCACTCACTGTGGTTTTAATTTAAATGTTTTTCATGACTAGTAATGTTGAACACTTTTTAATGGACTTATTGGCCAGTTGAATGTCTTGCTTTATGAAGTGTTTATTCACAACTTTTGCTGACAACATACTTCTGAACAGCAACACGATAAAACAGAAAACAAGAAAGTAATATTTCATCAGTCAGGGTCCAGTATGGAGACTAAAGCTATATCAGTAACTTACACACACAAAAATTATTACGGTGAATTGTTAACTAATAAAAGGTTGTTAATTGTCAAACTGGGCAAAGCAAACCATAAGGTATAGGGAGGTAGGAACCACAGAAACAAATTACTAACCTTTGGGCTGAGAGAAAAGTGAACAAGAAGAAACTTAAAAATCTCAGAGGAGGGGATCCTGCAAAGTTGAAATTTAGACCTTTGAGGAAAAGGGGTAGTTGTCATAGGAACATGGTGCCTGTTGATATGGTGACAAAGAAACTGACCACTACTGAGCTACAAGAGCTGAAAGCCACTTTCCAATGTGGCAACAAAGAAACTGACTGAAGGACACCACAAATGAACAATGACCCCTATACCCTGATCTGCTCATTGCTGAACTATAAAACAGAATACCAGAAGGAACAAAGTTCCCTCTTCCTTCTTTTCCCAGGCTTTCAGTGTCCCTCTTGTGCCCTCTATTGGCAGAACCTAACACTAAGCCATCTGTCAAGGGAGAAATGTAATCTACAGAGTTTAGGTCCAATATCACAAAGTGTGGCAAAGAAGGGTGGTTTCAGAGCTAAGAAGCAATAAATTAACAACAGACATAAATATATTCAAAGTGCTGAGAAAAAATATGCCTGTGTACCCAGAATTTTATACCCAGTTAACCTATCATTTAAAAGTGAAGGCATAATAATGACTAAAAACGATTTTCTCTTTGTTATACTTTATACAACACATATAGGAGAAAATATGCAACATATAGGTAAGTTAAGACTTTTTCAGACAATTAAAATCTGAGAATTCATTACTAACAGTAATAAATGCAAGAACTATTATGGTACTTTCCCTCAAAGAGAAAATTGAATCCAGAAAAAAAAAGTAAAATACAAAAAAAAAAAAAGAGGTAAGCAAAAAAACTTGGTAAACATTTGAGTAAATAAATGGTAAGCAAATAAATTGGTAAAATTATAGGTAAATATAAATGAAAAATTACAGTATGAATAATTATAAAATAATAATTAATTTAGCGTATAAAAGTAAAGAGTAATTAAAATACTGGCCAACCATATGAAGATGAAAAGAAATGATCAGAATTAAAATGTTTTAAGCTCCTTGCATTTTTGGAAGACAGGTAGAATTCAAGGCCTTACTCCTTAACAATCTAGAAACATGATTGGTACTCCCTGGAAATGTACAACACAATCCTAGATGATATTTTCCAAGTCAAGTGTACAGGATATAATGTTAAGTTTACCTCTAAAGAACAGAGGTAAAATGAAAAACCTTAAAATCAGTAGAAAACAGAAAATAAAGTTTGATCAACTCCAAATAAAGTGGGAATGAAGAGTAAAAGAAAAAAAGTTTAACCACAATAAGTGGGAAACAAAATCTTTGGAGAAATAAATCTAAATGTATCAGTAATTGTAACAAATATAAATGAACTAAAATTCCAAAGTAAAAGACAGAGATTTTCTTATTGCTTTTTAAAAAATCAGATATATAATCTGTACAAAGACCTAGCCAAAATATAGCAGCATAAAATATTAAAAGAATGGAAAAAAAGATATATAAAAGATATATATCAACTGATAGAAACTTGATGTCACCACATTGATATCAGATGAAATAGATTTTAAGAATTATTAAAGAGGGGCTTTTTACAATGGTAAAAAGGACAATTTATCAGGAAAATAAGACAATTGCAAATGCCTATACACATAACATAACTCTGAAATATATGAAACAAAAATTAATAGACTTTCAAAGAGAAATTGACAAATCCAGCAATATGGTGACAGATAATATATTTCTTTCAAAGAGTAAATCAGGCAGACAGAAAAATGAATAAAGATATAGAAGATTCAACAACACCATTAACAAACTTTAAAGACATACAAAGAACTTTTCAGGGCAAGGCATGGTGGCTCACACCTGTAATCCCAACACTTTGGGAGGCCAAGGCAAGAGGACCACTTCAGGCCAGGAGTTCAAGACCAGCCTGGGCAACATATTGAGGCCCTGACTCTGCAAAATATTTAAAACTTATCTAGGGATAGTGGCACACACTTGTGATCATAGCTACTTGGAAAGCGGAAGTGGGAGGATCGCCTGTGCCCAGGAGTTCAGGATTACAATGAGCTCTCATTACACCACTGCACCTGAGCCAGGGTGACAGAGTGAGACTGTCTCTGTAAAACAGAACTTTGGCCAGGCGCAGTGGCTGACACCTGTAATCCCTGCACTTTGGGAGGCCAAGGCAGGCAGATCACAAGGTCAGGACATCAAGACCATCCTGGCAACTAAAAAATACAAAAAGTTAGCCGGGCGTGGTGGCCGGCAACTGTAGTCCCAGCTACTTGGGAGGCTGAGGCAGGAGAATGGCGTGAACCCGGGAGGCGGAGCTTGCAGTGAGCCGAGATCGCACCACTGCACTCCAGCCTGAGCGACAGAGCAAGACTCCGTCTCAAAAAAAAAAAAAAAAAAAAAAAAAAAAAAAAAAAAAAAAAAAAAAAACAGAACTTTTCAGGAAATTTTACGGAATATATTATTTTTAAGCACACATAAAGCACTGATAAAACTTGATCATATGCTGGGCTGCAAAGCAAATTTCAATACCAAAACTTGGTATCAAACAGACCAAATGCCCTGACCATTATACAAATAAATTAAAAGTTAATTATGAAAAGTCTTTGATGATTTCAAAAGCATACTTCTAAGTAAACTGCATAACACATCCCAAGACAGAGCATAAGACCTTTAACAATACTAGTCTTCATCCAACTAATTGACATCGCCAAGCCCAGTTCCTCATTTTGCTAACAGCTAGCATTTTATAGATGCTGCTCAAGGTCAAAGGTAAAATTAGTGGCTCTACAACAGAAGGAAGGAATCTGGCCTCAAAGGATATTGAAAGTGCAACCTTGACCCTACTGGGCTTGTGCCCCCAACAACTGACCTCCAGGAATTTAAAAGTACTTTAATCTGGAAAGTTCGACTTATATTATTCCTGGGGTAGACACATCCAGGTAGAGTTTCCCTTCTGCCATTTCAAAGAACAAAGTAACTCTCTCAAAGCTGAATTGGGCTATCTGCTCTCAAAAATATTTTAGAGAAAAGGAGCTGCTCAGTGGGGCTGGGTTATGTATTAGTGGGTGAGTGAGGGGGACCCAAATACCAAAAATGCTTCACTGTTTCTCCAAAGCTGACCCCAAAGAAAAGGGCACTGATCCCAGAAAAGAGAGGAGAGTAGCACATTGTGCACAGCATGGACTCAGGGCAACAGTGGTAAGGGAGCCCAGCTGTCTGTACCCTCATCTGCACACACCTAGCATCCCTTTGCTCTGAGCAGTGGACATACCATGAGGGCATTGCTGTACAAATGACATAAGAAGGAATTCCACCTTAACTAAAATATCAGCCTGCTTCTGGTGATTTTGGTAAATATGACTTCAGTCCTCTAGAACATCCATTCTCAAAGCAGGTAATATCACCCCAAGAGGGCAAAATTTGGTTCAGCGTGGTTGGAAGGTCAAAAAAAAATTAGCTATTACAATGGTTTATGGCTTTCCAAAGAACCACAGCACATAAATAGATTTACAGTATATCTGTGGTATAAAATTTCATGGGAAGGGGACACAATTAGGGAAAAGAAAGTCTTCAAAGACTCTATAAGGGGGCAGTCATGAGGATAAAAATGTTGAGAAACACTGCTTTAGCAGATAATACCCGAGTAGACGTATATTTGAGACTGGTGACCAGACCCTGCTCTGAGGTAATCCTATATGTAAGCCCCTAATCAACTAACCTCTCTTTCATTGCCAGCTTATAAATCTCAAGGAAAGGCATCAATCATATTAATGAGGGACCATGAGCCCAACTCTCTATTTTCCAATCAACCTCTTAGCAAATATTTATTTGGTACCTTCTGCAGCTATGCTGTACAATATGGTAGCAACATGGAAGGATGAGCTAGTATCTCCATCTGGGGCAAAAAGCAGGCTTGCCCACTGCTTACTATGAAAGGGTGAGTTACCCAAGCTCAGGATTCCCCCAACTGTGACACAAATACACCTCATGTGCCACATCCATCTGGGCCCTTTACATCATCCTCGTGAGATTTGGTGGGGGGGAGTTACATTTGTTTTCTATCACAGAGTAAAAAATTATCACAAAATTGGCAGCTTAAAATAATACTCATTTATTAGGTCATAGTTCTGTCGGTCACAAGGCCAGGCAGAGTTCCCTACTTAGGGTCTCAAAGGTTAAAATTAAAATATTGCCAGGCTGTGTTCTCATATGTAGGCTCTGGGAAAAAATTTACTTTCACACTTACACAGGTTGTTGGCAGAATTTAATTCCTCGTGATTGTATATCCGAGGTCCCCGTTTTCCTTACTGGCTGTCAGCAGGGTCCACACTCAGCTCAGAGAGGCCACCTGCATTCCTTGCCACATGGTCCCCTCCATGTCAAAGAAGCCATGTCTTCTTTGACAGTAAGAAATGGAGAATTTCATATTGCCAAATCTCTGCCATATTTTAAATATTTATGACTTCTCTGTCTCTGACCTCTAAACCCAGATTTAAAGGGGCCAGGTGAATAGGTCAGGCTCATCTACTTAATCTCCCTATTTTAAGGTTACCTGACTTGAGATCTTAATTATATCTGACAAATTCCTTTACAGCAGCGTTTGATTAAATAATTGGAAGAAGGTATGTGTATATCAGGGGCTGGGAGTCATTGGGGCCATTTAGAATTTTGCCTATTACAGGAGACTAGGGGAACTAAAGTAAACATGTTGATGTTCATGTTGCTTGCTGTGTCATGAGTAATAAAGTCCTTTATCTCTGAACCAAGAGTTTCATCATCTCTTCTGTCAGCATCCGTGAAATACTATAAGTAGCTTATTAGAAGGATGAAGTAAAATACCTGCTACGACATACACGTTGGATTTCAAAGACTTAGTATGAAAAAAAGCCTAAGTATGTAAAACATCTCATTAATAATTTTTATATTGATTCTATATTGAAATGGTAACATTTTGGAATAATGGGTTAAGTAAAATATATTATTAAAATTAATTTTACCTGATTATGTTTACTTTTTAATGTGGTTACTATAAAAAAATTAAATTACACATAGAAGAGGCTTGCATTATTTTTCCATCCAATAGCACTGATCTATATGCCTAGACAATACTAAAGTCCCAGGCCCTCGGGCAAAGGTTGCAGCACAAAAGCTTTGTCCTACAGATGTTTTGTTTGGCCAGCATAGTGTCCAAATTTTGTTCTTATTTAAATGCCTTCAGGTGAGGCATGTATCATTTAAATGCCTTCAGGTGAGGCATGTGTCTTATAGTATGTTATAGGTCCTATCATTCTCCATTGTTTTTCAACTGGCTCATTTGCCAATTTATTTTATCTAACTGACTTCTGTATGCACTTAAATGCTGTGGCCCTCGCAGTCACACTTATACTTTTTTTGGGCATATAATAAGATACTAACACAGGAGGGCTGCCAAAGGACAGCATTCAATCAAATGTTAATTTTCATGGTTCCAAAGGGCTCTATAAGCTTCAGAACAAAGGGTCCCCACTGGGCAGTGTGGTGGCCATGAGTCAGGAGAGCTGGTTCTAGACCAAGCTCGGTCACTAATTCAGTGGGAGACCTTGAGCAAGTCAATTCCCTCCTGTGTGCTCTGTTTCCTCAATGGCAAAGTGAAGGATGAAGCTAGAGGGCATCCAACTTCCCTGTGAAGATTTCAATTTGATGGTTTTGCTTTCTATATCAATCAGAGATAGCTTCCTAGAAGTCCAGGGCTTGAAGATATGTGCTTCTCTGTTCTTTGTACTGTTAAAAGAAAAAACTAGACTAATTACATTTAGCAGAGTTTAATTGATCAAAGAAAGATTCAAGAATCAGGAAGCCTCTTGAACTACAATATGTTTAGAGAGGCTCTGGAGCTATTGCATTGTCTAAAAAGATTTATGGACAGAACAAGGAAAGTGATGTACAGAAAACAGAAGCAAGGTGCAGTAACAGCCAGATTGGTTACAGCTCCATGTTTGCCTTATTTGAACATGGCTTAAAGAGTGGGCCACCTTTGATTGGCTGAAACTCAGTGATTGGCACAACAATAGGTTACAGTCTGTTTACACATCCAGTTAGGGTACAGTCCACTATGTATGGAGAAACTTTTAGGCCAAACTTAAAATATGTCAGAAGGCAGCTTCAGTCTAAACTTATTTTAACAGTGCGTGATTTCCATTGCTGTCATTGGCCAGAAAGACAGGGAAGAAGAGTCACGTAGAAGACTCAAAGGGCTGAAAAGCTCCAATGGGTAGTTTGTGAAAGAAGGAAGTCAAAACATTGGCTACAGTGTTGCTTTGTGCTCACTAGGGATGTAGAGATCATTCATGTTTTGGCCCCGTACCCCAAATGGTAGATAATCAGGTGCTGGCAGCATCCTGATACCTACATCGGCTCCTTACTCCCTTCCTCTCCTGACAATGGCATTTTGTAGAATCCAGAGGCAGGTGCCGCAAGCCAGGGCTGAGTGAGCGTGAGCAGGGGTTTGTGGTTGGCAAGTTCCCACTCTCTCTACCCATGACATCTTTTTCATAACCTGAATTTCTTTAATTAAAAAACATCTGCCAACTCCTGTTATCTGCAAAGATGTGCCATAGCAACTCTCACTGCAAGCCCCTTACGTAGCTGATGCAAACAGGTGGAAGAAAAGCCTCTGTAAAGCCTCCCAAGTTTAAAGAAAGGGAAGAAAAGGAAGCTCACCAACATGTGTGTGCATGTATATGTGCATGTGTGTCTGTGTGTGTAACATGGAAGGATGTAGATAGGCAGATCTCTCTTGCAACTCATCCTTCTAGAAAGTTTTCCTTCTCTTTCAGAGAAGGTTAGGGGAATTAGGGAACATGAGCAGCATATCACAAAATATGACGGGCACCTCTTGACAAACTCAACCCACTGAGAAACAATTCCTTTTACTTAGCCTTATTTGTTAGGATTTTTATTACATTTTGATTAGAATGAGTCTGATGGATGCAGTGGGAAGAGGCAGCCAGATCTCCACTGCCTTTGTCCTCTGCCCCATGAACAATGACATCTAAAAGAAAATCCTCAACAATAACCTTAAGGAGGAGAGACAACACTGGCATGCCCTCAGCCACAGTACAAATGGAGACCACATACTCCAGGTCTACCATATATCAAGCTAACATATTAAAATACCCACATAGTAAATAAAATATTTTGTATCCTCATGCCTTATAAATACCTTCAAATCAACCTAGAAGGCCAGTTTCACATTTAGAATTCTCATACTCCTTAGAGCTCTGCACTGGACATGGAGGTGTGGAGTTAATCCCAGGGTCCCATCCTGCCTCTTCTTCCCTCTCCAGCATGGCTATGTCCTGCACAGCACAAGCCTCCCACACATGCAGATGCTCCAGTCCACACACCCAAGCTCCCAATATGCCCTCTACAAACAGCTGCCCTGTAGCCAGCATGGAGACTTTGTGTGTCTTCCGACTTCTGGAGGCCTGACTTAGGAAAAAGGTGATGCCAGGCCTGGAAACTCAAGAATTCTGGGTTGATGAACTCAGAGCATACACTAGAAAGTGGGGGTGGAGAGGTATGAGCTCAGAGTGGGCACACATCCTTCATCCTGTGGATGCCTCACCTTGCATAGAGAAGCACAGTCAGAAGAGGGCTGAAGCAGGCCCCTAAAAGTAGAGGGATAAGGTGAGGAGCCATCTAGTTTGGGTCTAAGACAGTGCTGATCTCATCCTCTTACTTCCATCCCTGGGCCTCCTCACACAATGGATCCACAGGCGTCTACCTGCCTATCAATTCCTAAAGAATGCTCCTCTCTTCCACTGTTTAGTCCTAGGAAGACTGTCCCAATTCTGAGAGAGGGAATAACCCCCCACCCCACCTGGATTAAATGAGCTCCATGACTGGCTCCACAAATCTGTAATGGAAATATTACAGAAGTAACGAATGATGCTCTGTGTCTCAGGGTTAGCTTCCTGACCTGACAGTTTCCAGAGGGCAAAGAACTTTGTGTGTGCTTGGGGCTTTCCCTCAGCACATTCTCTACCATGGCTCAAGGTGGACAATGAAACTTAAGCAATACCTTTTAAAATAATGCTTTTTAGATGATGATAATGTCTGATGCCTGGCTTGTTGTGTTAGCAGTCCTTAGGACAAACCTCTAAATCTGCAGCCAAAAGATCACTTGCCTCCAGGGAAGCCCAGCAATTATCAGGCAAGGATAACTGCTTAAAAATTTCTTCATATTCTTAATATAAGTTCCATCCACCAATTCTGTTCTTCTGTTCTCTGCAGCAGCAGCCTAGGTAAGCCTGCTCCCTCTGCATAAATCTTAACAGCCTTTGTTCTTTAACTTCTCAAACTGTATGTGATAGTTTGTGCAAAGAGACTAATGCTGTACTTGTTACGTACTAGACACTTAAATAATGTACTATTGTTACTATTGCTAATTTCTTTCCATTCTTCTTTAAAAGGTTTAAAAAAGTAAAAATAAATAAATACAGATAAATCCCATTCTTTACATGTTTCTCCACCTTTTTTGATCCCAGTCTGCCTCCCCTTCCAATTCCTCCCCACATATTACAGGGCATGGCAAGCAGAATGGGAAAAACATGCACACTCTTGTCTTAAAATCCCAACTCAAACTTGGCTAAGGACAAAATATTTACCTAGTGGTAAAAACATTCAATAAATCCTCAATGATTTATTGGATTATTCAACTACAAGGTGTCAAATATTCTAGTTCTTTTCTCACAGCATCTTAAATTATGTCACCAACAGTGAAGACTTCATGTAATACTAGGCAGTGGCTCTGATTTTTGAAGAAGGAGATTAAGTTGTAAGGGGACTGAAGACATGGAGTCTCATACCCCATTCTGGCCACAGAGGTGAAGAAACTCCAAGCCAACCTTCCCAAGCATTCTTAGAGAAAAAGATGAAGGAAAAGGAGCCAGGAAAAGGGTTAGAAGTGGAAAAAAGAGTTCAAGAGAAACAAACTGTGGTAGAGTAGAAAGAAACTGTTGATTTTACTTGGAGAGAGTTAAGTGAAATTAGTTTATAGAAAATCCAAAATAGTATCTCCTTGGATTTCTAAATATGCTTAAGAGTAACCACAATTCACAGTACCCAGCACAGCACTACAGCCTGTTGAAAGAGAAAGAGAAAGAAATATTACTATTCACGACTAGTAATCAACCAACTGATATAAACATTAATAAGAAATAGCACTACTCAGAAGGCAGAGATGGGAGGATCACTTGAAGCCCAGGGGGTCGAGGCTGCAGTGAGCAAAGATCCAGCCTGAGTGACAGAGTGGGACCCTGTCTTAAAAAAACAAAAGCGAAAACAAAATAGCAAAAATGAAATATTCAAGCAATCCCCAGAACTTCCCAGAGCTGCAAAGTGCATAAAATGGCAGGAATACATTTTCAACAGATAGATATCTTCAGCAGCATTACCTAAAATCTCTACCATGTGCTTCCCTTGCTAACACTGTCAACTGCCAAGGGCCTTGCTGCCAGGGAGGGAGTGGGCATGGGGGAAATGGGGCCCTAGTTTGTTCTGATTCTTCAGTGGCACTTTCAAGTTGCAACATTTTCAAACATTCGTTCTTTGTAGTAGCCTTTTGGATGATCTTAGCAAGCCTTTCTGGGTAAACTGTCCTTAAAACAAGTTGAACACCTGATTTTATGATGAGAGCTTTCTTCTACGAATAGGTGTGCTTATGAATGGCCATCATGAATAAAATACCACTTCCCACTCCCAAAGCTAGCCACACAGGCTCATTCATGACTGTTGTTTTCTATACTTTATGCTTTAAAAAATTCTATCCTTGTATCATATTTGTCAGGATTCTTCTATAAAGGTGACGGAGGGGTATGCCTAAGTCAGCAGTAGAAATTCTGAGTGGGAAAAAATTTATTAAAATGTATTATGTTATAATGAAATGCATAATGGACAATTTGAGTATTAAAAGATAGACTCTAGAGTATGTTCTAAAAGGAGAGACCAGAGCAAAGGAAGCACTGAATGAATATCTCTGCATCAGGATATAAGAGAAATTTTTTCTGTACTTATAATCAGAACGGTGGTTAAACAAGAAGTTCAGAGACTGGAGACCATTCAGAAGATGTAAAGGAGAGAGGAAGTAGGTACAAAAAGTGCAACACGCAACATGGAGATAGAAAAAAGGTGGTTGCTGAGAATTCCAGGTTCTGGGTATGGCTGAACAATTTTAAACAATTGTGATATTCAGAATTAGAAAATAAAAATTCTAAAATTCATTTGGAACCAAAGAAAAGTGCCCAAATAGCCAGTGCAATCCTAAGCAGAAAGAACAAAGCTAGAGGCACCACACTACCTGCATTCAAGGCTATACTACAAGGCTATAGTAACTGAAACAGCATGGTATTGGTACAAAAGCAGATATATAGACCAATGGAACATGTTAGAGAAACCAGAAATAAAGCCACACACTGATAACCATGTGATCTTCAACAAGACAATAACAAGCATGGGTAAAGGACTCCCTATTCAATAAATGGTGCTGGGAGAGCTGGTTAGCCATATGCAGAAGATTGAAACTAGATCCCTGTCTTTCACCATATACAAAAATCAACTCAAGATAGATTAAAGACTTAAATGTCAAACCTAAAACTATAAAAACCCTAGAAGAAAACCTAAGAAATACTATTCTGGACATCCGCCCTGATAAAGACTTTATGATGAAGACTTCAAAAGCAATTGCAACCAAAAACAAACATTAACAGGTGGGGCCTAATTAAAGAGCTTTTGCAAAGCAAAAGAAATTATCAACAAAGTAATCAGACAACCTAAAGAATAGGAAGAAAATATTTGCAAACTATGCATCCTATAAAGGTCTAATATCCAGAATCTATAAGGAATTTAAATCAACAAGCAAAAAACGAACAACCCCACAAAAAAAATGGTCAAAGAATCTGGACAGACACTTTCCAAAAGAAGTTATACACACAGCAAGCAAGCATATAGAAAATGATCAATATCACTAATCATTAGGTAAATGCAAATCAAAACCACAATGAGATAGTATCTCACACCAGTTTGAATGGCAATTATTAAAAAAATCAAAAAATAACAGATGCTGACAATGTTGCGGAGAAAAGGAAACGCTGATACACTGCAGGTGGGGCTGTACATTAGCTCAGCCACTGTGGAAAGTACATTGAGTACTACGGAAAGCAGTATGGAAATTTCTCAAAGAACTTAAAATAGAAGTACTATTTGATCCAGCAATACCATTACTGGGCATATACCAAAAGGAATATAAATCATTCTACCATAAAGACACGTGCATGCATATGTTTATTGCAGCACTATTCACAATAGCAAAGACATAGAATCAACCTAGATGTCCATCAATGGTGGCCTGGATAAAGAAAATATGGTAAATATACACCATGGGATACTATGCAGCCATAAAGAATGAAACCACGTCCTTCGCAGCAACATAGATGGAGCTGGAGGCTATTATCCTAAGCAGATTAACACAGGAACAGAAAACCAAATACCATAAGCTCTTACTTGTAAGTGGGAGCTAAACATTGAGTGCACATGGACACAAAAAAGGGAGCAATAGACATTAGGGCCTACTTAAGGGGAGAGGATGAGAAGAGAATGAGGATTGCAAAACTATCTATCAGGTATTAGGCTGATTACCTGGGTGACAAAATTATCTGTACACTGAACTTCTGCAACACACAATTTACCCATGTAACAAACATGCACATGTACCCCTTGAACCTAAAATAAAAGTTGGAAAGAAAAGAAAAAAAAAAAGAATGGTAATATCTGCTATTACACTTTAAACCATTATGGGGTACCATACTGCAACCTCTCTCCCGTGGCCCAAACCTCAGTGGATCAGTAGTGCTTGAAGGTAGAAGGGAGAGAAAGAGAGGTGAGAGATGAAAGGAATTACAAGAAAAAGCAGGCTACATTTCACGTTTGCAACTGCTTTCCTCCGAGTAGTGATCAAAGATTCACTGGACACAGGAAATTCTAGCTAGAAGTGACTAAGAAAAATAAAAGCACCTCCACTTCCAAAAATCTTCAGAGGCATTGATGGTAATATTGGTGCCATATGGAGATTGAGACTTTATGTCAGTTTAAAAATATATATTAAAAACAAGCCACGGCCTGGGAGAAAATATTTGCAAAAGAGATACTTAATAAAGGTTACCCAAATATACAAACAACTCTTCAAACTCAATATTAAGAAAATAACTGTATTAAAAAATGAACAGATACCTCACCAAAGAAGATATACGGATGGAAAATAAGATATGGAAGATGCTCAAAATCATGTTATTAGGGAAATGTAATTAAAACAATGAGATGCCACTGTACACCTATTACAATGGCCAAAATCCAAAACACTGACGAGACCAAATGCTGGCAAGGATGTGAAGCAACAGGAACTCTGTTTCATTGCTGGTGGAAATGCAAAATGATACAAACACTTTGGAGACAGTCTGTCAGTGGTTTTTGTTTGTTTGTTTTCTTAGAAAACTAAACATACTCTTACTACATCATCCAGCAATTACATCACTTGGTATTTACCCAAAGGAGTTGAAAACTTGTGTCCACACAGAAACCTGCACACAGATGTTTATGGTGGTTTATTCATAATTGACAAAACTTGGAAATGAATGTGATGTCCTTCAGTAGGTGAATGGATAAATAACCTGTGGTACACCCAGATAGTGAGATATTATTCCATGCTAAAAAGAAATGGGCTATCAAGTTGCAGAGATGGAGGAAACTTAAATGCATATTACTAAGTGAAAGAAGCCAATCTGAAAGGGCTACATGCTATATAATTCCAAACTATATGACATTCTGGACAAAGCATAACTATGGAGACAATAAAAAGATTAGTGGTTGCCAGAAGTTAGTGGGAGAAAGGGATGAATAGGCAGAGCACAGAGGAATTTTTGAGCAATGAAAATAGTCTGTATGATGCTACAATGGTGAATACCTGTCATACATTTGTCCAAATCCACAAAATGTGCAACACCAAGAAAGAACCCCGGCGTAAACGATGGACTTTGGGTGACAGTGATGTGTCAGTGTATGTTCACCAAGTGTAAGAAACGTACCACTTAGGTGCTGGATGTTGATAGTGGGGGAGGTAGTGCCTGTGTCGGGGCAATATATACGGGAACTCCCTATACGTTCTGCTTAGTTTTGCTGTGAACCTAAAACTATTCTAACAAATACATATATATACATACATGTACTGTACTTAAGAAGTGTAGAACACAGGAAGTCCCAGATGGCTGACACCTGGGTCAAGATACCAACATTCATGGAGAGTAGGGAGAAACAACTCACCAGTAGTCAAAAGTTCCCGAGCACTTAGACATTACCCAGGTACCACCGTGGAGGGCTCCTTTACTTCCTGGTGCACTTTCCTTCCCCCTTTTGTCTGGGCTGAACATGTGACCAGTCCTGGGCAATGAAATGTAAATGGAAACAGCCTATGTCCTTGCCAGAGCTTTTAAATCAACAGTACCTGAATCTCCAGGCTTCTCTGTCTCTCCTGTGGCCATGGTACAAGTGCATATTGGGATGGAGATGCTAAAAAGTCAAAGCAGTCTGGATGTCGGGCTGGGGACCTGGAGGGGAATTGCTGTGGCTATTCAGCAGCACCTATGGCTTTGCATGAAGAAGAAATAAAAAATTCTGCAGAGTTCAGCCCCTGAGGTTTAGGGTTGTTTGCTGCCAGAGCCCAACCTGGCCCAACCTGACTGCTACCCCAAGTTTCAGTTTTCAGTTCAAATTCCTTGAGGCCTGACTGGTGCACTTAGGCAGAGCTCTCTAACCTAGCAGGAAACCCGGGAACAGTAGAACGCTGAAACTGTCGTGGGGAAAGCCATAATAATTCTTAGGTTTTGAGGTGAATTCAGTTTTGAGGTTTTTCTCCAATCTAAGCAACACTCAGGTCAGGGTTACAGTGCCCATTTTGCTTTTTCCGGTTTCCCAGAGAATGTATTTTTAGGGGAGAGCAGAGATGGTTACCATCCATCATTTTGGAAAGTCATGAGATTTACAGAGATAGATGCCTAAACAAAGGACAAGCGTATTAACAAATCGAGCTGTCCAAAAGTCAGGGCTAATGTTAACCAAGATGAGCGTTACTGCGATTCCATCAAGATGTCCTGTTATTTATTTAACTTTTCCATTTTCATTTTTTATTTGGGTAAGATAATTGCTTATGATAAGCCTTGGGTGTGGAGAGCCGGTGCATACAGAGTGGCGAGGCAAGCTTCAATCTGCAGTCTCGAGATGCACTGGGGAAGCGAATCGATGTATTAACATATTGAAATGATCTCAATTAATGTCCTTTAGTACTTTTCTTTAAAAAAAGAGGACCTCTCCAAAGTGAATGGACTACTCCCTACCAACAGGGAAAAGAAAGCCTGTTAGGAGAAAAATGTGCTTACCTGCCTGAGGAAAGAGGATCTCAGAATTCTGAGTCAATTTCGTAAGAAACAAAAATAGATGCAGTGTTTCTTCCCCCTGGGTCTGACACCGCAATGTTACCCATGTATCTCACTTCATAATATCTATGCTTGTGCCTCCCATTGCTTCTTGCCAAGACCGTAAACTGAACAACACTAGGGCTTTGGTGCCATAGGTCCTAAAATAGAACTTCAGTAAATGAGAGCTGTTTATTTAAATGATGACTTCAGCACACAATTATGATTATTTCAATGGAAAAGTAACCATGACATTCAGGCTCTCATGTGCCTGCTGTGCACCCCTCAGCCCCTTATCCCCTGATGCCCCTCTCCCCACTGCCCTCTCTCTTCTGGCCTGAATACCCTAGAAGCTTAAGTAGAAGCAAACCTGGGTGTGGTGCTTGCTTCTGTGAAACTGGTAATGGTTTGGGGCCTATTTTAGTATTTTCTTGGATAACAATAAAAAGAGCCACCAGGCTTGGGTGGTGCTGATGATGAGCCCCAGAAATAGTATTGCTATCCTCTTTCTAATAGGTGAGAAAACTGAGGTTTAGGGAGTAACTGGCCCAGGGTCACACTTCTACTGAAGCTGCTGAAACCAACAAAGAAGATGGACAGGGGATGTTGTTAGAGGCATTGTTCCTTCCTTAACATGCCCTGACTACCAAAAAAAAAAAAAAAAAAAAAAAAAGGAAAAGAAAAAGAAGAAGAAGAAGAAGAAGAAAAGAAAAGAAAAATGCCTGCCTCCTTCTTGCCCTACTTTGATGAATTAAAAGGTAGAAGAGAACAGGGAACATTTTTCTTTGGCCCTTCTTTATACTCCTTCTGATAATGACTGACCTTAGCAAGGGACATGACCCAAAAGAGAAAACAAAGAAGTAAACAATATCAAAAGGATTTTGACCCTTCAATCCTCTGTTCATCTAAAACAACCAATAATTTACAATCCAGCTAAAATCCTTGCTGGTCCAAGAGCCTTCCTTGGTTAGTCCATCTGGAGTGATTTCTCTCTCCACCGAGGGCCTTCCTCCACCACCTAAGACTCTCTTGGCCCTGGTGATCCATTGCTTGAGGGGTCCCTGCCTTCTGCACCCCAGAGGTCATGCCCCAGTCAGTTTTGGATTCACTGCACCACAGACATAAAAATTAAGTAAAGAGGGATAATCATAAACTCAGGAGGCACATTCTATCTCCTGAGCCCAGGGACTTTGGGGGACTCCCACTGGGGGAAATGGAGCCACCAGAAGCATGTATTCAGCCTCCCTTTGTGGTAGGAGCTGGAGCAAGCAAGACAGATGCAGGCTAAGGGGATCTCACAGTTCATGAGAGTTTCCCTCCCATAAACAGGATTACATTGATTTGCTCTAACAGTATTTTATTTCTAGTTAACTTTAACTTACAATTCTTATGTGGCTTTGTATTTTTAAAAGTTAGGAAATATATATTGAATACAATAAAGTATATAAAGCATATATGTACAGTTCCAAGAATTATAATAAAATGATTTCCCATGAGCCCACCATATAGATTAAATCATACAATATTACTAATACCTGTGTGTCCCTCCTCATCCCAATCCTACTTCTTACTCCATTATCCATGTTTTATATTAACCATTTCTTTGCTTTTCTTTTTTCTTTTTTTGAGACAGACTCTTGCTCTGTTGCCAGGCTGGAGTGCAGTGGCACGATCTAGGCTGACTGCAACCTCTGCCTCCCAGGTTCAAGCGATTCTCCCACCTCAGCCTCCTAAGTATCTGGGACTACAGGTGTGCGTCACCAAGCCCAGCTAATTTTTGTACTTTTAGTAGAGATGGGGTTTCACCATGTTGGCCAGGATGGTCTCGATCTCTTGACCTCGTGATCCGCCTGCCTTCGCCTCCCAAAGTGCTGGGATTACAGGCGTGAGCCACCACTCCCAGCCTGCTTTTCTTTATAGTTTTACCACACACACATGTATCACTACAAAATATATTGTGTGGGTTTGCCTATTTTTTCTACTTTTCTATAAATGAGAAATTCATTTATTTATATACTTTTCTATAAATGAGATGTCTTCTAACTTGCTTTCTAAAATTTCTTTGCCCAACACAGTATCTGTAAGATTCAACCATGTTGAAAGGAGCTGTAGTTGAATCACTTTTGCTGCTCTGTAACTTGGTATCATGTAAATACACCACAATATGTTTATGCATTCTATTTAATTGCAAATTTAATTGCAAAAACTGCAGTTACTTTTGCATCAACCTAACACTTCTGGTGGATATGAGGACTAATTCTACTTTTTTGGCACTTACTATACCAACGACACTTCTATGAAAATCCTTGTACACATGTCCTGGTGCATATATACCAGTATTTCTCTAGAGTGCTGTCTTAGTCTGTGTTGCTATAAAGGAATATCTGAGGCTGAGTAACTTGTAAAGAAATGAGATTTGTTTGGCTCACAGTTATGCCAGCAGTACAAGAAGCATGGCAACAGCATCTGCTTCTGGTGAGAGTCTTAGATCGTTTCCACTCACGGTGGAAAGTAAAGGGGAGCAGGAACCACATGGCAAGAGGAAGGACGAAGAAAAAGGCAGAAGCAGGTGCCAGTCTCCTTTCAACAATTGGATCTTGAGGGAACTAACAGAGTAAGATTTCACTCTCAACCAAGAGGACAACCATTCATAACAAATCTACTCTTATGACCCAAATACCTCCCATCAGGCCCCACCTCCAACACTAGTGATCAAATTTCAGTGTGAGATTTGGAAGGGACAAATATCCAAACTACATCAGGTGCATACTATAGAAGCGGTTCTTTTTGTTATTGAGACAGAACATCTTCAATTTTGCTAGATAACGTCAAATGGTTTTCCAAAATAGTGGCAGAATTTGAGACTCTCCCTAGCATTGTATAAGAGTTTCTTTTATTCCACATTCTCACCAGCATTGGTACTGCCTGTGGCAGGCATTTCTAGGTAGAAGCATTTAGACATGTTAAATATAATGAAAAAATCTAGAGCCAGGAAAATCAATCTGTAAGGCTTCAAAGTCAGACTCACATGTAAAAATATATCTGGATATGCTAGTTTATTTATTAAAAGAGTATGGCTGAGGTCAGCATCAACAGTCATAAATCATGCTGATAGCAGGTACCTTTAATATGATGTGATGAAAATGGTAGTTCACCCCTGCAGTCTTCCTCCCAAACCCCATAACCTCAGTCTAATTAAAAAAAATTCTAATAGAGGAACATACTACAATAGACTTGAGAATCATTTCTCAAAACTAGGAAAGTCTGCAAACCTATCACAGTGGAGAGGAACCTAAGGATAAATAAATGTAATAGAGTATCCTAGATGGGATCCTGGACAGTAACAGAACATTAGCTAGACCCACATGTGCATGCCAAGGCCATGGCAAAGGTCTAAATAATTGATCCAGTGGAAATTGAAATAAATGATGGACCTTAGTTAAGAATAATGTATCGATATTGATTCATTAGTTGTAACAAATGTACCATACTGAGGCAAAATGTTAAAAACAGGGGAAATGGTGTGAGGGTTGGTGGGGGAGGACATGAGAACTCTCTATACTATCTGTTCAATAGTTCTGTAAGTCTAAAACTATTCTAAAAATTAGGCCTATTAATTTTTTTTTAAAATAATGCAGCTTCAGCTGGGCACACTGCCAAAATCCTAACATATAAAATTCTAAATTCATACACTTAAGAGAAGTTAGGATAAACTTTCATATTGCACAAGGACTCATTAGTTATACTTATAAAATGTAATAATATATGTTGGGTACAGCCACATCTATCTACAGATACATTGGGTCTCTATGCAATGAGAAGCCTTTTTCAAACTTACCCTCCTCTTGTGGATCAGTTACTTATCCATTCATCCATGGACATGGAATGCCCACATGGAACTAGCCAAGTGAATCAGTGATGTCTCCATCCTCACTCTGCCTGCTGACAGTAGAATGTTCTTCTCATGGTGAGAATGGACTCCACTGAATGATCAGCTTTGTGCCTATGGAAAGGAAACTCCATGAGGGAGAGGTAATGTCTGCTTCCCTCATCACCATACACTTAGTTCCCAGCATAGTGCCTGGCAGAGTAAGTGCTCAACAAATTTTTGTTGAATTAATAAATTACTACCCAAAGAACAGTATATTTTCTATATTGCTCTTTAGTTCATGTGCTCATTCCAGAAAGGAACATTCGACCCATTTCTGGGCTTCGGTCCAGGTGAGCGGGGGAGGCAGCATCTCTCTTCTCGTTAGGACTATGGTCACCCTAGCCCAGTATCAAGGAGCTAGTGCCCTGGGCCTGATTACAGGGGAGACATTTACAACGCTCCTGAATAAAAGAAGGGTTCACTGGGATCAAGCACATGGCTACAGGGATCCCATGGAAGAAGCCCCCATCCCAGAGCTGTCCGGGAACACACACAAGAGGAATGAGACTGCATGTGCACAGCATGGTAATAGTTGGTGGGTGGGGGAAGCTGTGTTGATTATAGAGAAAGAGCAGAATGTGGGAGAACTTAGAAGCAGATCTCTTCTTCACAGAGCCCACACAATCTAAGATACTCATATGGGTTGAATTGTGTCCCCCCAGTGTGTTGAAGTCCTAACCCCCCAGTACCTCAGAATGAGACCTTATTTGGAGATAAGGTCTTTGCAGAGGTAATCAAGCTAAAATGAGGTCATGAAGGTGGACCTTAATCCAATGTGACTGGTGTCTTTACAAAATGGAGAAATTTGGACACAGAGACAGACACTCACAAAGGAAAGATAATGTGAAGAGGCACAGGGAGAAGACTCATCTACAAGCCAAGGAGAGAGACTTGAAATAGATTCTCTCTCTCTCTCTCTCTTTTATTTTATTTTATTTTATTTATTTATTTATTTATTTATTTATTTATTTATTTATTTATTTGAGACAGAGTTTCACTCTTGTCTCCCAGGCTGGAGTGCAGTGGCCCGATCTCAGCTCACTGCAACCTCCGCCTCCTGGGTTCAAGCGATTCTCCTGCCTCAGCCTCCTGAGTAGCTGGGATTACAGGGGCCCATCACCACACCCAGTTAATGTTTTTTTTGTATTTTTCATAGAGCTGGGTTTTCGCCATGATGGCCAGGCTTGTGTCGAACTCCTGACCTCAGATGATCCGCCCACCTCAGTCTCCCAAAGTGCTGGGATTACAGGCATTAGCCAGAGCGCCCAGCTGAAACAGATTCTCTCTTATAGCCCTGAAAGAGCCAACCCTATAGACACCTTGACCTTGAAGTTCCAGCCTCCAAAACTGTGAGAGAAGACACTTCTGTTGTTTAAGCCACCCAGTCTCTGGTGCTTTGCCACAAAGTCCTCAAACACTCAGATACCAAGTGTGATGCTGATGAACTGGCCACATTCTTCTGACTTTGCTCCACTGCTCTTCCAATGTTCTCTTTGGAGACAGAAAGACTAGGTCAAGAAGGAATGAGAGAGGAGGCCAAAGGAGAACACCTTCCAAACAGAGAAGACCCTCTAAGGTGAATAGTAAAGGGGGCCACATAAGCTTTCTGAGAGCCACAGTGCAGAAGTGGCAGGTCAGGAGGCTGACACCAGAGGAGGAAAGGGCCACCATGAGATGCAAGCAAAGCCTAAACTCAAAGGCTCCTCAGAACCCAGGACAAAGTATGTTGTGAAAAACATGGTGTGCAAGGATAACCTATATGTAGCTCCATGGCAGGGAGATAGGCCAAGGTGCCAAGAGGGAACACACAGAGGGGCCACGGAAGGATGACTGGATCCTGGACCTCCAGCAAACAGCCACAGCATGCCCTGAGCTGGCAATGGCAACAGAGACACATTCTAGGGTTTTATTTTTGCTTAGCCATTGTATCTTTAAATTCCTGTATATAAAAAGTGTATAAAGAGTCACCCCTAGTAATCTGTGGAATAACATTATTGCTAGAGCTGTAATCATGAGCCAAATGTCTCCTGGAGTCTGTCCTTACTCTATCCTTGACCTCACTCTGCCATCCTGGGTCACAAGTACCACCCTGCCCTCTCCCTACCTCCTGCAGCAGAAGGATTCTCTCGCCTTCACTTTCTGCAGGCTTCCCTTCTGCTCTTTCTCAGGTCAGTCCTTCCATCCTTCCACTTAACCTTATGTGATATGTTTTTACTCTGTTTCTTTCCATTTCTTTCTTCTTCTCCTTCTCTTCTTCCCCTCCTCCTCTGCTTATCATCTTTTCTTTCTTTTTCTTTCCACACCTTGCCCTTCTCTTTGAGTGTGTGTGCATTGATGTTTTGTTGGATATGCTGCAGATGATGAACTAGTGTCTGCCAGAAAATAATGCACTGAAATGGGTTACTTAGCCCTTCATTAATCATTCTAGTGCTGCTGGAAAGTTTAGCAGCTAAGTTAGATCTTTTGTAAAGTGTGTCCTTGGAGTTTCCTGTCACGACCATCCCTAAGCCAAGTCTACACTCTATGTCTGCAAGAAGCAAAGAAAACAGGAACAGGAAAAAAGACTGGAACCCTGAAGTAACTTATACATAATAATCTCAAAAAATTCTAGCCGAGTAAAGTGGACTCAAGGATAGAGCAATTCTTTATTGGGTGAATTGTTCTGAACTGGGATGGTTTCCCAAGGAAGACAAAAGGGATGATCTCTTCTGCTACACTTTTTAAATGGAATAAATCCGCGTTTATCCTGGATGCTTTAAATTTGGCATGGATGGTGACTAAAAGCAGGAAGTTGGGCTTCAATCTTCTAAGGATCCTCCTAACCCCAATTATTAGCCATCACCTCAATCTGAATACTTCCTCCCTGTTCAAATCCCAACCTAAGCTGGAAATCTGGAAGACATGGGTGAGTTCTCCCTCCCACATAGCCCCAAAAGAGTCTGTTAGCAGATCCTGCCCTGTCTTCTGTCTTCCTGTGTTTTAAATTCTTCCTCCTCCTCCCCTGTTGCCTCTACCTTTGTTTAGCATCTGGGTCACTAAAAGGACTCCGTGCCGCTGGCCTCCAATCCATCCTTGGCTGCTGCCTCAGTGATACCATCACACCTTTCCTTGCTCCCCTACTTCTGCAGCTCATTGCTGTCCTCACAGCCAAGCCCAACCCAGCTTTTCAACAAGACTCAGCGTCATTTATGAGCATCTCTAGGCTCATCCGTAACCACTTTCCAGCTCCCGTGGCTATACCCATGTGAATGAATTGCAGTCCTGAATGGGCCATTCTCACTTTCCTCTTTGGCTTATTTGCTGTCCCTTTCTCCTGAAGGTCATACAAATCTTAGTCACCCAGCTATTGCCCCAGGTCAGTTGTCCCTGCTCCTCATTCTCCTTTACAGAGAGCTTTAGCAAAGCTCCTGTCCCACTGTAGCATAAGGGCTGGTTTGCGTGGCCCTCTCCTCACCTGAAATTTGGGAGACCCAAGCTATATCTTTCCAGTGAATTACCTGTGGGATTTAACTGCCTGTTCATGCTGGCACATAATCATGTATTACCTAGTAAATAGCATTCAAAATAATCGCTATTATATGGTGTTAAAAATTACTACAGAATCTATGCACATTGTTGAAATAGTATACTTTCTTAACTATGTCCTGAATGCTTGCCCTGTTGCTCTCAAGACATTAAGAAACCCTTAAGACTCAGACAGTAAGGGACTCTTAAGTTATAAAGTATGCCTAGTTTTTTCATGTTTTACCTCTCATCATCTCTGTAGCTCATGATGCCTCACACATGGAGAATGAAGAGGACTCAAAGTCAAAAATTTAGAGAGAAAGAGCAGCATACACTGAGAGAGAAAGGACACAACCAAAGCTGGAGATAGGAGTTTCTACTTCTGGGGATGCCACCTGTGTTGTACCACTCACTGCAATGGCCTGTCCCATCCTTCTGAAGATGGGGACACTGGCTCTGTCCTTGTTCTCCCCCAGCGGGAGGGGGACTCTGCTCCCTGCAGGACATGTATGCCCAACAAGATCAATGAAGACTGACTGGAATGGACATAGCAAATAACTTTTCCCTCACCTGGTGACTTGGATTGGTGGAAGCTTCCTGGAACACTGTGGTAAGAAAGATTTAGGGGCTGAGTCAGGGCTCAGCAGACAACATACCAAGTTAATCAGCAATGCCTCCCGTAGACTTGCTAAGGAGATGCTGTGCCACAGAGTCACTGTCCTCATGTGGAGACTTTTATAAGTGGATCAATTATTCCTCCTGATCTTTCAACATTCTCAACGGAAATGTATTAAATCGTGTCTCCCTATCCACAGAGGGAGGCAAACAAGGTGGAAAGGAAGAAGACAAAGTCCCAAAGTTGAGGGCTAAGGGAGAAATCTCAAGAACACAACCTACTCTAGGCTCAGGAACTCCTCCACGAAGCTTTGGCCCCAAAACTGGAGATTCCCTGCTCCACCTGGCAAATTTTGCTTAGCCTGCAGCACATGTTCAAAGGTAACCTTTCCAGTAAAGTTTTGCCCAGGCCCTCCCTTTCATGCCATCTGTTCATGGAGCACTGGCCCATGTTGCTCACACACAGCTTGTGCAATGGGTCATATACCATTCCTAGTCTCCACACAGCTGTCTCTCCCACTAGACACAGCACTCCTTGAATATGTGTCCTTTATCTTATTTGGCTCTGTGTTCTCAAAGATTCACCCAGGGCTTTTAATGGTTTGTGGTTATTAAACGTAAGCTTCCTCAAAGGATAGTCTCAGGCATTGTGGATTTTTTTTTAATCAGTAAGCATTATGGATACAGGAATACCTCTTTTATTGGACTTCACATTTTTATGCTTTGCAGACACCATGGGGTTTTTGTTGTTTGTTTGCGTTTGTTTTAACAAATTGAAGGTCTGTGGCAACCCTGCATTGGGCAAGTGTATTGGTGCCATTTTTCCAACAGAACGTGCTCATTTTGTGTCTCTGTGTCTCATTTTGGCAATTCTCACAATATGTCAAACACTTTCATTATTATTAAATCTGTTATGGTGATCTGTGATCAATGATCTTTGATGTTACCATTGTAATTGTTTGGGGGCTCCACGAACTGCACCCATATAAGACAGCAAAACTTAATCGCGAAATGTTGTGTGCCTTCTGACTGCTCCACTAACCAGCAATTCCTTGTCTCTCTTCCTCTTCTTCAACCAGCATTCATGATTCATGAAAGGAGGTTAGGATAGCAACAGTAACAGGAGCTTGAATGAAGTTGATTCCAAACCCCATGGATGACTTTGAGGGTTCGAAACTTCAGTGGAGGAAGGACCTGCGGATGTGGTAGAAATTGCAAGAGAACTAGAATTACAGGTGGAGCCTGGAGCTTTAACTGAATTGCTGCAAAATCTCATGATAAAACTTAAATGGATGAGGAGTTGCTTCCTATGGATAAGCAAAGAAAGGATTTCTTGAGATGGAATCTACTCCTGGTTAAGATGCTAGGAATGTTGTTGAAATGACAAAAAAGGATATAGAATATTCCATAAAATAAGTTGATAAAGCAGTGACAGGGCTTGAGAGGATTGACTCCAATTTTGACAGAAGTTCTACTGTGGGTAAAATGTTATCTAACAGTATTGCATGCTAGACAGAAATTTTTGGGGAAAGGAATAGTCCACTGATGTGGAAAACTTCATTGTTTTCTTATTTTTAAAAACTGTGACCAGACATGGTGGCTCATGCCTGCAATCCCAACACTTTAGGAAGCTGAGGTGGGCAGATCACTTGAGCTCAGGAGTTCAAGACCCACGTCGGCAACATGGCAAAACCCCATCTCTATCAAAAATTACAAAAAAGAAAATCAGCCAGACATGGTGGTATGCACCTGTGGTCCCAGCTACTCGGGAGGCTGAGATGGGAAGATCACTTGAGCCCAGGAGGTGGAGGTTGCAGTAAGCCAAGAACACACCACTGCACTCCAGCCTGGGTGACAGAGGGATACCCTGACTCAATCAATCAATCAATCAATATTGCTCACATAGTCTGGACAACATAGTGAGACCTTGTTTCTAAAAAACTTTTTAAAAGTTATCCAAGAATAGCCTGTAGTCCTTGCTATTTGGGAAACTGAGGCAGAAGGCTGAAGCAAGAACATTACTTGAGCCCAGGAATTTGAAGTTACAGGGTGCTATGATTGCACCACTGCACTCTAGCCAGGATGACAAAGCAAGAACCCCATCTCACAAAAAAAAGGAAGAAATTGCCACAGCCACCCCAACCTTCAGAACCACCACCCTGATCAGTCAGCAGCCATCAATACTGAGGCAAGACCCTCCAGCAGGAAGAATATTATGACTCACTGAAGGCTCAGATCATGGTAAGCATTTTTTAGCACTAAAGTATTTTTTAATTCAGGTATGTACATCTTTTTTTAGACAAAATATTATTGTACACTTAATAGACTTGCATAGTGCAAATATAACTTTTATACGTACTAGGGAACCAAAAAAATGTGTGTGACCTGCTTTATTATGATACTTGCTTTATTGCAGTGGCCCAGAACTGAACCTGCAATATTTCTGAGATATGCCTGTATTTTCTTACTAAGTAAACTGAAACTCGGATCTCTTAATCATTTTGCCCCGATCATTTTAACCAATGGGACTTATTGATCCAGTCCAGTAGATCTACTCGCCTGCTGTTCCTCACTAGAGACAGCTGGGCATGTTGTGCAAGAACAATTCTTAATTTGTGCTTTACTATGTCTATTATTACTTGCTCCAAATAGCACAACCGCAACTTTCCCCAATGTGCATCTGCCTCCCATCTCACTCTGTGAGGACACCACAGGCAGAATTGAGAGCCCAGTCTGGAGCAGGACCCACAGAAAGAAGACCCCAAAAATCCTATTTACTTTCCAACTGGAACGGCTCATGAAAAAGAAACTGCTGTGCTTTGGGTCAGGCAAATGAAGTGCAGCAATAGCACCAACCACAGAGAGGGATGTTAATTTCCCTAATTGACGGGGAGCTTCTATCATTTCAGAATATGCTTATTTTTCTGCAATGAAAACAGGCCAATTTATTCCACTGCTTACAGTGTCAATGTGCATTTGTGAAGTGGAGGTTTTCTCTGGTCGCTGACTTCTGGTGGGTAGCCCATCTCCAGGAAGCTGGATGGATATCAAGAGTTGAGATGAGAGTTCTAGAGCTGACAGTTTTCCCAAGGAAGGAGCAAAAAGAAACAGGCCTGCCTTCATGCAGACTGCATGCTAGAATAGGAAGCCTGATGAGTAGTCAGGCATTCATCGAGCATCTTCAGTTACCCAACATTGCAAAAGAGCCAACGGCTGTGTCCTTTAGTCAGTCACCTCAACTTTCAAAGTCACTTCATCTATAAAATGGGGATAATAATATCTGTCCTGGCTCCATCAAAGACTTGTGGTATAGATGAAATAGTCAATATAAGACCATACTGTAAACTACAATCCTAGCATTCTCTATCACAGAACCCTGTTTATTTCCTTCAAAATAAGTATAGGGTGATTATAGCCCATAAGTATTTTACTTATTCCTGCCTTGCTTAATGTCTATCTATCTCCCCCAGTAAAATGCATGTTCTTCAGAGGCAGGATGAGTACTAGTGCACAGAGCAAACTCGTACTCGATGGGTACTGTCATTTTCCTCCTGCCCCTCCTCAAAACAAACTCATTCCTACCTGCACCCTCTGCCCAACCTGACCTTCTGCTCCAGAAACACCTTTCCCTCATCCTTACAGCAATCTAAACACTATTCTTCCTAGAAGGGCACCTAGAGTCCTACCACTTCTGTGAAATTATTTTCTCGTTCTACCTTAAAATCTTCCTCTTGCCAGGCATTCTTCACCACCACACACACCACCCACAGCCACAGTCACTGCTCCCTCGGCATAGGTGGGATCATGTGACAGGCTTTTTTCCTGTCTTCCTCAAGCCAATGTAAGGCTCAGCTAGGCTCTGATTCTGTACTACCTAATAAGAGATTTCTCACACAAAGAACAAGAGAGCATGTCCTAGAAGAGTCATAATCAAAAATCCTAAAACATCCAGGATTGAAGGAGATGCTGGGCCCAGGACTTAACGCTGCAAATTTGCCACAGGGTTGACATTTCTTTCCTCCTCAGTTATTTCACCAAACTGAGATTTATTGGCCCACCAAACCTGGGAGCCAAGGATCTTCTCAAAGGAAGGAAGTTATTCCTGCTAAGGACCTGGGAGGGAGCTGACCTATCCTCTTAATGGTCAGATGTCCTGATAGGAAAGACTCCTGGGAGTTCCAGTCCCTCCTGATGGGACCATGCTCTCTTCCCCCTTGGACTCCCTTGCTTCAGATGGATCCACCCCAAATCAGAGACTCAGGCTTCCCTCCTACAATGAGGTCCCTGCCTTATTATTCTTCATACCTAATCTCTTCTAACAAAGAAGAAAGCCAAAAAGTGACCATGTTCATAAGAGCCAATAGATATATACAAAGCACCTGGAACCTCATTTGCAGGTCATCAATAATCTAAACATCTCAAGCAGTCAGAACATTTTTAAGCATGAAAGTTATGGGAAGCTCCCAGAGGTATATATCTAATTGCCCCCAAACACAGCAGCCAGTTTGCCCACAAACTCACACACCCACATTCCCTGTGGGCCTAGAATTCTGGGTGACTACCACCAGGCTGTGATGACTTCTACAATATCAAGAGGAAAGAAGCTCACTTGGGACTCTAGCTCAGACTCCTGGTAGGTGAGGGGACAAAAGGACCATTTTTATAAAGGCTTCTGTGTCAAGCAGCAGGCATTGTCACATAATGTGTCTCATTGAGTCTTCATAACACACCTGTGACATGAGTGTTATTATCCCAGGTTTGTTTGCAAACAAGTAAACTGAGGCTCAGAGAATTGGCCAACACACAGCTAGTATGCCAAGATTAAGGTTACAGCCAGCGTTCCAACTCTCAAGTCCAACCCCCTTCCAATTAAGCAAACCAGCTGCAGGGTAAACGCTCCCAGTGGCAATAACTTAAGTATAGCCTTAGAATGGATTGGCCCTGTATGGCAGACTCCCACCTGAAAATGTTTTCCAAACTAGGGAATTCAGGAGTGGCCAACCCAGAGATTCACTCTTTGTCTATGAGGAACATCTGAGCCCCTGCCTATCGCAAGGAGCACGGCCTTACAGAGAATGGAGGCCCTGAGATTTGGATTATATGAAGTTGCCAGGTGGAGGCCATTAAAGGGAGGGTTTGAAGTGAAAATATTATATAAATTGCATGCTCTTTGCAAGCAGTTGCAGCTTGTCTGTCCAGTCCACTGCCACTGCACCATATGTAAGGTGGATATGTTGTCCAGCCTACAACCAATGAATTGTAGGAACGCAGATATCATGTCTAGCCCACCACCACCGGACCAATTCTGTATATCAGGTGGTTCTCCTGTTCAGCCCGCCCCCCACTGGGCTCTCCCCTGTATGTAAGCCCCTAATAAAACGCCATGTCTCCTTCGCTGGCTCTGGGTCTTTTCTTCAGCCTCTTGAACCTGGTGCCTCCCTATTGAGGTTAACAGGGGTTTGGCACAACACCAGCCTCCCAGTTGGGGGCACTGGAGCAAAGGCTGCATATGTCAAGAAGGAAAGAAGATGGCAGCTAGCTCTCGTATGCTTTCAATCTGTTCTTACCCAACCCTCTGCCATCCAGGCCCAAGGTATAAACACACACACTCAACGGCTCACCTTTTATCAAGGTAGGATGAGGTTGCCCCACTTTCCTGTCTTGGTCTTTGTTCGTTAATTTATTCAGTATTTGCTGAAGGCTCACTATACCCCAGGTGTTGTCCTAGGCACTGGAAACCATGCACCACAAACTAAACACCTCTGTCCTCATGCAGTTTATATTCATTAGCATGCTTTGAAATTGTTTTGCTCATTTACTTATTTGCTGATTGTCTGCCCAATGCATAAATTCCGTAATAGAAGGGACACTATCTTTTCCTCCACTGTCAGTCCAGTGCCTAGAATAACACTGAGCCCCCAGAAGGTATTACTTAACAAAACCTTCAAAAGGGGAGCTGTTATTTTAGGCTTTTCCCTTTAAAAGCATCCTCCACCCGCTTTGGATCATTTACTCCGTTTTATGCAGCATAAACAGACCTGAAGGGCCGAAACACTTTGTATCATTTTTTATAACCCTGAACTTGATAGGAACGTTCAGAACTATCTGCCAGATTCTTTGGCTTCATCGTACATATGCCTCTAGCAGATGCCTCCTAAAACACAGACTGGAAAAAAAAAAGTGTTTATAGTATTTGACAAGTGAAGGGAACACTATTGGCTGCCTTCTCGGCCTCCATTTCCCTCCTCTTCCAGGCCAAAAGAACCTCAGCTTTGTTCTCGCTTAGTAAACCCAGGCAGCCAGGAGCCTCTTATCACCCCACCCCCAGCTCTCAGATTGGTCTAAGGGCAATCCTATTCCACAGTGATTGGTTCAGGAATGAGCATGTGACCTGATCCTAGCCAACGACACAAGAGGGGGACTCCTCGCGCCTAAAAGAGAGCCACAGGAAGAGACGGTCTCTCTGGCTTCCTTGGGCATGTTGTGAGTGGTTACCTGGAGCTGTTGCAGCCCTTTTGGTGACCAGGCCAGGAGAAAGCCAGCTCTAAGAATGGCCAAGCAGAAAGATGGGAAGAACCTGCCTCCTCAAAGACATTGCCAAGCCACAAATCAACAACCCTGAATTCTATATACCCTGGGGATTACCTGTTTTATTAAGAGAAAACTCCAGTGGGGTAAGGGTCAGAGGGAGGTAATCTGCAGAGATACTGCACTGAGGACAAGCCACAGAGGAAATCAGACTGAGGGGCTCCCAGGGCCCCAGGCAGATATGATGAATACATGTCTCTAGACTTAGATGAGGTGGGGGACCCTGCAGTGTTATTATGCTTTCTCCTTTCCAAGAATGAAAGCTGTATTACTCTGCTTTCCGTTCTTTTCTGGCCACTAGGAAACTCAACACCAAACGTATTGCTGCATCACAACTGTTTTAACCTGTGTGGTTGGCAATATTTGCCTTCTCTTTGTCTCAGCCAAGATTTTTCTAGTTTTATTCTGCTCCACTCATCTTATTGTATATGGCCACTTCAGATTCTTCCTGAAAAGAGATGTGGTATAAATAAATGAACTGGTAACACAGCCATGGGCCCAATGTCTAAAGAGGAATTAATAAAATGAACCTCCATATGGAGCCTGCTTGACCTAAGCTGATCGGCTTTCTTAATGCAAAATGCACAAATCCCCCTGATGCCAAGCCACTAGGTAGTTTGCAGTGTCAGTAGGTTGTAGGGTACCTTAGAACTCTTCTCAGTGTTGATATAGTATGTCCTCAGTGCGAACTTAATCGTAGGATTAACCATGATTGGGGAGAAGGAGGTGGCAGTGACGCTGAGAGCATGGAAGAGGAGAATGTTACCAGCAGGCTCTGAAATCAGGGTAGCTGTAGCGGGCAAAGACTTTACAAATGAAGTGGAACTTGAGAAGAGCCTTTTCTATTCTGAAGTAAGAGCTTCTTAAGGACAGTGAATAATACTTATTTTTGACTGCTCAACTCCTAGCACAGTGCCAGGCATATCCTAAGTAATAAATTGTTCATCTCTTAATGCTCTTTTTTGTTTTTCTCCCAAGTTTTTAGCATTGGGAAGCATATCAGTTCATATTTCCATGGGAGGAAGGAACTCTGGGCTAGAAATCAGGAGACCTGAGTTCTGGGCCCCATTGCTAAGGAGCTGTGTGGTTTGCACACCAGCAGAAGAGCAGTGGTTGAAGGATGCAGGTTACCTCAGCCTATCTGGATTTGAAAACTTGCTCCTTTTTCTACTCTATCTTTAGGAAGCCTGGTAACCTCTCTGTGGCTATTTCCTCATCTATCAAATGAGGATGAACACCAAGCGGGTGTTGTAAGGATTAAATGAGTTACTATATAGGAAGTGTTTAGAATACTCCCTAGCACATACTAAACATTCATGTTAGCTTTTATGATCTTCAATAAGTCTCTGTGTTTTTCCAGGCCTTAAATTTTGCATCTTTTAAAAGTCAGGCTTGACCTGGATAAGAGACTTCAGATACACAGCATTCACTCCTTTCCCATTCGCTGTCTGTGACAGACATCACTAATTGATCACAGCACTGCCTTCCACTGAGTCCAGTCACAAGCTTAAAATTCTTTTCCAAGACAATACTCCAGGCAGCCACTGTCAGTTTTTCAGAGTTTATGCAAGAAATGAAACCTATTTGCTATCCTGGAAAGAGATCATAAAGATTCTGTGGTTGCCAAAGAACATATACAAGAAAGGTGGGCAAATCATAGAACAGGGAAGGAGTCTGCCTGGATGAGACCTTCAGTGCCATTCCAGGTCCCTTCCTTGATCGACTGGCCCCCTCTAGGCACACAGTGTTGAGACTTTGTTATTCCTCAGCTTCCCCTGGGACAAATGGCTGGACTGTTTTCTCCCTTTGCAGTGTAATTGCAGTGATAAAATGGTGTATAGCTAATTGCTGGGTAGGCCACAAACAGAGCAGCCCCACATGTAATTTCAGACTGGCAGAGACTGTAAATTATTCAACATGATAACCAAAAGATTATAGCAACGTGTGGAAGTGGAGAGAACGTTTCAGGGAAACAAGAGGCTGGCTTTCAAGTGAGGGTAGTCCAAAAAACCTTGTATGAAAGTGAAGAATGTACTTTGGACAGAAATACAATGGGGCAGCTGAAGCTCAGGCCTGGGAGAGTTCTGTGTGTTCTCATTTACCAGGAACGTTAGTTTCCTTGTGAGAATAATAAACCACTACAGAAAGTTACAGTTATCCATGTTCCTTCCAGAGAGACAGGAATGGCCTAGATCACAAGAACCCACAAATAATAGCACAAAATAATATGTACCATATTGATTCTAGCAACCCACATGAAAGACCTTCCATCAAGCCAGAACCTCCTGATTCTTGTTTCTCTGTTAATGGCCCCATTTTTCTCTCAGTTCCTCAAAAGTCTTCTTTTGCTCCTCCCTCTGTCCAAGTCAGTCAAAGTCAGTCATCAGTGCATCCTAGTGAAGGACTTCCCACTCACCTTTTCTTTCCATTCCCACTGCCGCTGGACTCAGTCTGGCATGCACCATCATGGCAGCCCCTGAGCCCTGACTCCCTGGTTCTGGCTCTTCCTGCATGTTGCCACCGTTTCCTAATTTCTCAGGGAGAGCTCTGATCGAAGCACTCTGTACTCAAAAACCTTCCACAGCTCCCACTGCCTGTCAAGTGAAGCCTGAACTTCCCTAGGCTGGCATTAGGGTCCTGTGTAACACCTTTTGGGCCTCACTTTCTCCCACTTCCTTTCACTCTCCCTCTGCTCTCCCCAGATAGCCTATTAGTTGCTCCTGGGACACACTTTCCCCTCTTGGAGACTTTGCATGGCTGTTCCCCACCTCAACAGTGTTCCCCACAGTACCTGTAGGCCAGGCCTAGGTGATTCTCTCAAGACGGTGGCACATGCTGACAATCACCCCCTTGAGTTCCCAAATCCATGACGCAGTTGCTTGGGCAATGGGACACTGCACATCCCCCTCTGAAGGCCGGCAAGGAGCCTGCTCCTAGCTCTGAGATAACTGCTCACTTGTGTTACCAACCACCCATGGCAAGGGCTCCAGCCATGCTCTCAACCTTGATTAGCCTGGCCTGGTGGCAGGGAGGATTCTGTTAGTCTGCTGTTAGCATAGCTGGGGTGCAGTGGAGAACGGGGAGGAAGACGGTTCTTAGTAAGCAGAAACCTCTTTAGGATCCTTTCTTGTCCTTCTTTATCTCCTACTATCTTCAGTGTTGTTCCCTGATTTCCCAAATTACTTTTAAGGCCCTGAAAGTCAAAGCCACAATATTCTGATGGGTTCCAAGTGACTTTTTTTTCCACAGAAAAACAAACCCAGCCAGCTGGGTGCGGGCTAAACCGTAAGCCCCTCCCCCTGTAACTCCTGACCTATAAATCTAAGATGGAGAGAGTTATCCTAATGCATCCGCAGTTGGAAATCAAACCCTCACCACCATCACTTTATGCACCTTCAGGATGGGGCTGCCTTGGCCGCTCCCCACCCCTTCTGCCCATCTGCTGGGATGGCTTGGTGCCCGCTCCAAGTTGGTTGGAGCCTATGGAGGTGCCAGGCAACAATGTGTTTTGATGGGCAGCCTGCAGAAGGGGGCAATTGCCATCTCTTGTGAGTGAAGGCCGTAAGCGCTGCTAGCCCTGGCATGCCAGGTCTCTGTACACTTGTTCACACCTGTTGACTCTCCAGTGCCAAGAAAAGCATACTCGAGCTAGGAACGAGGGTAGGGGGAGATGACACTCTCCAAGCACCAGCCTCTTTGGGTTTCCTTGTGGGGACAGATAGAACTTAGGGAGATTTGGTCAGCGAGTTTCAGACCCATACCTGGGTCCAGCACTGGAATTGCTCAGTGGCTCTTTGTCCTCTAATGTTAGTCTGTGCCCACTCAAGGAAAGGTGCCCAGCTGGGAAACCGCAGCACAGGTACAATTCAATACATACACAGCCTTATCTCTAAGCCAGAGAAAAGAGGAAAAGAGAAGGCCATGCTGAGTTTAGGAAACTTCTTTCCACTGATAGCCCAAAATGTTTTAAACTTTGATATGTCTAAGTCATCAGGAGGCTTCCGCTTCCTTGCTCGTCCAGCTGTCCTGGAGAACTGCTGTTTTCTAGCAAGGACAAGAGATTAGCTCCCAGTCAGGCAGAACTGGTTATGTCACTGAGCTCCATTTATTGACCCACTGACCTTGAGAAAGTTACTGACCTTACCTGTGCCGTAGGCTCCTCATCTCTAAAAATGGGGGTAACCACACCTGTCTCCTTGGATTGTTACAATAATGAAATTGGACAACATAAGTGAAGTGCCTAGGGTGGTGCCTGACACAGAGTAGGTGCTTGTCACATTAAAGTTTCCTCTCCTGTCCTGTCTTCCTTCTCCATTCCAAATAGGAAAGGTGTTTCAGGAGCCAAACTATATTATAGATATCAGTCCAGGAATAGGTCATGGGACTAAATAGCAGAAGAAATTTCAAGAACAGTTGCAGCGGGGAGTGGCAGCAGATGGCAGGAAAAGAAAGAGATGGAAACAGGAGAGGAGGGAACCGGGGTTCCCTTTCTAAAAGGCACCCTTCGATCTCTGCATTACCATGTCAATGCCTCATTCCAATAATGGCTTGGCTCTGAATTCCATCCCCACCTCAGCTCAGCAATGTCTTCCTATTCCTTCATTCTAACTCCTCCATAACAGCTGCTTCAAAAAAATAACAATTAGCAAGGAACATATATAGTGAATTCTCATGATCTAAGTGTCCAATCTGTATACACAAGACATTCCTCCACAAAGCCCTTGACATTCTCTTGTTCATTATTCTGGAGTGTCTGCAAAACATCAGTGGCAGGACTGAGCAGAGTGAGGGTGACATGAGGCATGCCTTGTCCTGCCCTTCAGGCTCTCAGGTCAGGAGGCAGAAAGGAGCTCAAATTAAACAGGCCAGGCCAGATGGAGGCTTCAAGCAAGCCACAAGCAAGCAGATCTGGGGAAACATGACGTTAATGGATCTCTGCCCTTCATGTTTGGCCAGCACTCATGTGCCAGCCTCAAGAGTCAGGTCCACCTCCTGCTATAAGGCCCTTGTGAGAGTAGGACCATATGCATTCCAGGAAGAGGCCATGCTTACAGATGCACTTATTAACTGTGAGAGCCTCGTCTGCATCAGAAGCATGAGAAGCCATGAGAACTACTCTATTTGGTTAGCTGCTCTGACTCTACTAGAGCTACATCAGTGGAGGCCCATTGAATTTGAAGGTTAAGTGACATAGTTGGGGACAGACCTGGAAGCTGGAATGTCATGTATAGGAACAGGATCTTAAGTCTATAGCTGAAAGCCTGAGAGAAAATTCAGGTATGCCAGAGATGCCCAAGGCATTTCCCTGAGTAACTGCCCTAAGTACTGGATGACGTAGGTGAAGAAGAAAAGAAGCAGCAGCAAAATATTGGAAAGAAATGCACAGGCAAAATCCTGTCTGCTTCCTAAGGTAGGGGAGATGGAAAAACAGGAGATGGGCCAAGGGATGAAAATGAAAGAGCTAGTCTTAGAAGTGGAGGATAAATGACGAGTTAATGGGTGCAGCACACCAACATGGCACATGTATACATATGTAACAAACCTGCACGTTGTGCACATGTACCCTAAAACTTATCGTATAATAATAATAATAATAATAATAATAATAATAATAAAAGAAGTGAAGGAAAATTCTCGTAGGGGCTGTTCCTGAACGCTCAGGACTTGCAATAGAATGTGGGCCCCCAAAGCTCTAAGAGGTACAAAAGGTGCCAAAATAGAATAGATGGGATGAATCTCCCAATCTCAAGCAAAATCTAGCTTTGAGATCCACAGGAGACCCAGAGGAGAATTGGCCTACCAGAAACTAATCAATTCAATTCACAAAACATTTAGTATATTCCTACTGTGAGTCCCATGCCAGGGATCAATGGTGAGCTAAAACACACACAGTCCTGACTCTCATGAAGCTTAAAGTAAGCCCTGGAGTCAAGATGCCTGCATCCAGAGCCTAGCAACTCCACTGAGTAGCTGGGTGAACCAGAATAAGTTATGCGAGCTCAATTTCCCTATCTGTGAAATGGGAATAAAAGTGCTATTCCATTGCAAGAGATATACCAGGATTTAATCAACAATATCTAAGCATGTTACAAATTTTCATGCTTCAATAAACATCTTTGTGTTTCTGTGTGTATGTGTATGACTTTGAAGACTTGTACAAGGATCAGTTCTTAGAGTTGAAATTGCCAGGTTAAAAAAATGTACATATTAAAAACATTTTTTAAAGTACTCTTGGTCTGGCTCCTCCATCTCAGTCCCATCCTGCATCCTGCTCTCCTTGCTCTCAGCAATTCCTGTACTCTGGCTTTTCACAGACCATGAATTCATCCCATTCCCCACCACCATGGAGGCTCCATGCTCCATAAACTTCTCATTTGAAACATTGTTCTTCCTTCTTTGCCTGGTTAGCTCTCCCGTGATCCCCCCAACTAAGTCAAATCCCCCTCCCCATTATCTTTTCTTAAAGCACTGTGCGCTTCCCATTTATGGCACTTACTACAGTTGTAACTTTATACTCTTTGTGTTAATTGATTCATGTCGGTCTCTTCCAGTGGATCATAAGCTTGAGAAAGGCAAAAATTGTGCCTGATTTTGCTCATGGATGAGGTTCCAATGTTTCGTTCCTAATGTCTAGCCCATAGTCAAAACTCTTCCGTATATCACTTGAATGAGTGAATGAATGAATGAATGCTTTAATTAAGTTCCTACCTGATTCCTACCCTGATTCAGAAGTCACCAGGTTATTTTCCAGAAGACTTCTGAAGTGCTAATGAATAACAGCACCCAAACATTTTTCCTTTACACTTCAGTAAACCAGACCCACTGTGGTTTATTTGTCGCTCTGGCTTCTCAATCATGAGGCTGCTTGGAGGACGCAGGGTGAAACCCTGTCCAAGCATAGGGGAGCAGACCTAGATGAACCACAGAAGTCAGGGCTGGCAGGATCTGAGATGACATTAAATCAACATCCTCATACTACCAATGCTGCTACTAAGGCATGAAAAGAGGAGAAGGACACAGAGAGTGGAAGGAGCAGAATGAGGACCCATTTTTGCAATTTGGGGCCAGTGTTCTTTCTACTCTTTTTCCCCAGTGTCAAGAGCACATTGTACCAAAAGATCAAATTGTACCCCCATGAATACAGTTGACCTTTGAACAACACAGCTGATATGGTTTGGCTGTGTCCCCACCCAAATCTCACTTGAATTGTAGTTCCCATAATCCCCATGTGTCGTGGGAGGGAGCCATGGGAGTTAATTGAATCATGGGGGTGGTTACCTCCATGCTGTTCTCATGATAGTGACTGAGTACTCACAAGATCTGATGGTTTTATAAGGGACTTTTCTCCCCTTTGCTCGGCACTTCTTGCTGCTGCCATATGAAAAGAAGATGTGTTTGCTTTTTTTTCTGCCATGATTGTAAATTTCCTGAGGCTTCTGCAGCCATGCTGAACTGTGAGTCAATTAAACCTCTTCCCTTTATAAATTACCCAGTCTCAGGTATGTCTTTATTAGCAGTGTGAGAACGGACTAGTACAACAGCTTTGAACTGTGTGGGTCCACTTATACATGGATTTTCTTTTGCCTCTGCCCTGAGACAGCAAGACCTACCCTCTTCTTCCTCCTCCTCCTCAGCCTACTCAATGGGATGACAACAGGATGAAGGCCTTTATGATGAATCACTTTCACTTAATAAATAATAAATATATTTTTCCTTATGGTTTTCTTAACATTTTCTTTTCTTTAGCTTACTTTATTATAAGAGCATGGTATATAACATACAAAATGTATGTTCATCATCTATTTCTATTATTGATAAGGTTTCTAGTCAATAGTAGGCTATTACTAATTAAGTTTTTGGGAAGTTAAAAGTTATATGCAGATTTTTGACTGTGTAGGGGTCAGTACCACTAACCCTTGTGTTGTTCAAGGGTCAATTGTATGTACAATTACAACGTGTCAATTAAAATTTTTAAAAAAGAAATGCTAAAAAAAAAGAACACATCAAAAGGGTCTGAAGATTTGCAGAATGGGAATGTTCTGGGAATTTTGTTCAGTTTCTTTGGAGCACTCTCCATATTCTCCAATAGCATATAAGCTTCCTTAGTATGATGCTACCCACCCAATGGTTGTAGGACTGAAGTCTGTGTTCTGGTCTCACTGTGATCACAAATCCCATGAGATCATGGAAAGACAGTAGGTCTGGGAAACACTCTGTCACTGTCACTGTTACTGACTCTGGGGTTCTAGCCAAGCCTCAGTTTTCTTGTTCTATAAAGTAGGTTAAAAACCTCTCGGCTCTATATATTTGCAGAAAATTGCAAAGGTCAAACAAGACCAGAATTTAAAATGATTTATAAACCATAAAACACTACAAATTGTAAGATTTCCACAGGAGCAGTGCCTGACCCATCTCCTAACTAGTCTCCTCCTCTGCATTGTGCATGGGTAGTCATCAGGCAAAGCAAGATAAAGAGATGTGATTCTGGACCTCTACGAGCTTTACAAATGCAGACTTTCCAAATATTCATTTGGTTTTGAGCTGCTCAAATTTTGGGACCAAGTCTTATTCATATTTACAGCACCTTCCACTCTTTCTCCAATGACTTGCCCAAGGCATCCCTTTCTGACAAATGGGGTGAGGCTGTGAATAGATGTCAATTAAGCCATCCAATGAATTGGCTCAGTACCAGAAAACCTCAGGATATCATAGAATTGTGGAAGGATTGCTAGTCTAAATTAAAGAAATATTTTAAAATCTGGAGTATTGTTTTAAATAAATGCAATTTTTATTACTCTTAAGAACAAACAGTAACACAAATTGGGCTAATAAAAGTATTTCCAAATAAAGGTTTTGCCTCAATTTCCTAAATTGCCTTTACATCCTTCCTGTCCCCCGAACTGTCCTATGAGGTAGATTACAATCCCCACTTTATAGATGAGGAAATGGAGGCTCAGGGAGCAGAGGACTTAGGTTCACACAGTTTTAGCGGTAGAATCAGGACTGAAACCCAGATTTTGGATCGCTGTGTCAGAATGATTTCTAAGCTATCATTCTTTCCAACAGATTTTATTCTTTGAGCACACATACCATCATTTTTCACACCTAATCTCCCTCCGCTATACTTGCTGGGCAAAATTCCAGCCCTAGTTAAATTCAACTCTCCTCCCCTCCTATGCTTCACCCAGACAGCTGAACCTAGCTGGGGTGAAACATCAGCCATGCTAACTGCCTTACTCTAAGTTCTTGATTAACCAAGCTCAAGTGGGCCCTCAGTGTGCCCAGCAATCCTGTCTACTACACTTCCTTCATCCAGTACGCTCTCTCTCTCCCAACCAACAATATCACATGTGCTCAAATCTGTCCACCTTCCAACAACCCTCTGGACTCTCTGGTGATAAACTTGGTTCACTAAGAAAATATTGCAAATGGAAGAGAATATGTAAACATTCAATCGATCACACGTTTACATCTACCTGCATTTCCCCCAAGTAATCTGTGCCCTCCTCTCTTCCTTATTTTAGGTCATCAATCCTAGAATTATCCTTTTGTTCTCCTGCAGTTTTCTCACTCTACTGGACTATTTTTGCCAGCAATCAAGCATGCCATATTATCTCCCATTTTTTAAAAATCAACAAAGACCCTCCCTGGACCCCACATCTCCCTTCAGAATAGCCCCACCCTTTCTTCCCTATCAGCAGCACAATTCTTTAAATAAGTCATTTATACTCGCTGTTTCCACTTTCTGTCCTCTTACTTTCTCTTGGACCCAGTCTACTCAGCCTTCCCCCCACCACTCTACTGAAGAAAACCCTTTCAAAGAAACCAATGCCCCCATGCATTGTCCAAGGGCGACATCAGTCCTCAGTCCTTATCATCCTCAGACATCAGCCCTGTATTTGCCAAGGCTGACAATCATAATCACTCCTTTTGCCATGAAACCCTTGCTTCATTTGTAACCTGAGACAATGTTTTCTCCTTATTCTCCTCCTACCATGTGGCTACTTCATCTTTGTTTTCTTGGTGGATTTCTCTTCACCTTCTAAGTATGGCAGAGTCTGAAGGCTACCTTGGGACCTTTTCTCTTTATCCACTCCAGTCTCTGATAAGATTATCTAAGTTTCCTGGCTTTAAATACAAATGTATTATAGCCCCAGCTGGTACCTCTCTTTAAACTCCAGACTTTTACATACAGCCACCTACTTGATATCACTAATTGAACATCTAATTGCACATAACATCAGAACTCCTGATTTCCTCCCTAACCCTGCTTTACTTTAGTCAGTAAATGGCAACTCCATCCTTCTGATTGCTAAGCCTTGCACTTTGGGGTCACCCTTAATTCCTCTCTTTCTCTTACACCCCCACAGCTGATATTTCAGTAAATACTGTCTCTCTACTTTCAAAACATACCCAGAATCCAAGTGCTTCTCTCCCCCTACAGTGTTCCCATCCTGATTCAAGCCACCAGCTTTTGCCTGGTTTATTACAATACACTTCTAAGTAGTTTTTCTATTTCCACTTTGCCCTCATAGCAGCCAGAGGAATCTTTAGCTCAGGTTAAAATCATCCTTATTATCATCACATTTACTGGGTGTCACGCACTTTACCTATGTTAAGCCATTTACTCTTCCTAACGACTCTGTAGGATAGGATTTGTTATCCACATTTTGCAAATGAGAAAAGGCAAAAAGTCGTTAAGTAACTTACCCAAGACCACACTGCTAGTAATATAGGAGATAATTTAGTAAGAAGTAATTGTGAGAGGCTCAAAGTGGGGGTTGTTAGCTCTACCTTTCCAAGGTGATTAGATCTTGCCCTGTGTAGATCAAACAACTTTATAGGAATAGACATGCTTCATAGGAATAGCCACCAGGTGCAAGTGGTAGGCACTGCATGAAGTGCTCTGCACACATGATCTCTTTTATTGTCTTGGGATAGTCCTGTGAGTAGGTGGTATTAACTCCATTCTACAGATGAGAAGACTGAGTCTCAGCATTCTGAGACTTTACAGTAAATGGCAGAGACAGGATTTGTACTTTGGTTTTTGAGACTCTGAAGCCCATACTTTCCACACCAGAGAGATAGGTCCTCAATGACAGAAGAAGGGGTTCCAAGGGCTTTAGATGAAGCTTGGAAGGAAAGTCTCAAGTGTTGTTTCTCAGGTCACAGTTCTTCTATCAGAAGTGAAGCTAGTCGATCTGCTGAGCCAGAGGCTCAGGCCCCTGGGCTGGGGCTGGGGCTGGCTGCTCCTTCTCGGGGGAGTGGGAGACCTGGCTGATGAGATCCATATGACCTTGTCAGAGAGCACCACTGAGCTGCCTGGGCTGGGGTAAGACAGGGCCTCTGCTTTCTGGGTGATGGTGAGGAGCAGGGAAGAAGATGCACAATACTATTTTTTTCCCAGGTCTGGCAGCATGCCTGGGTTCTGCTGGCACTCAAGTGCCTTGTGAGTTCCAGATCATGGTGGAGCTATGTTGGGCATCTCCGGCAGCCATCAACCTGCTATGGGCAGAAAAGCTGGTTCTCCAAAGTCTTTTCTCAACCTCATTCTGACATAATAGGACCATACTGCAGCTTTTTCCTGCCTCCCGGGGCTTCCTCTTTCTGTCCTATGCTCTTTGGGAGTCACCGACAATCTTCAGGGGGATCAGCCTCCCGCCGTGACTTTGTACTTGTCTCAGGGGTGTTAGACAAGCCGTCTCCTCTGCCTGCAACATGTGTCTGCCTCGCTCAGTCTTACCCCCGTTCCCTGGTGAATGCCTAAGAAGCAGCTCTCAGTTCTCAGCTCCAACCAAGGCCCTTTCATCAGTGAAACCCTTTCCAATCCCCTGATTAGATCGGGGTGCAGGTTTTCACTCTCAAGCACTGTAAGTGACTTCTGCTAATGCAGCTTCTTACTTACCACTTACAGCAGTTTGAATTACACTTTCTGTGCCTATATTTGATTAATTTCTGTAACCCCCACTAAACTTTGAAACCAATAATAAAAAATAATGGTCATAAAGATAACAATGACAACAACAATAACAAAATTAGCAGCAAACATTTATTGACCCTGTGTTCTGGGCACAGTGCTAAGCTTTTCTGTGTATTACCTGATTTATTTTTACAACAACCCTGTAGATTGTGTATTATAGGCATACTCCATTTTATTTTACTGTACTTTGCAGACATTGTATTTTTTAGAAAGTGAAGGTCTGTGGCAACCCTGCATCAAGAAACTCTATTGGTGCCATTTTCTCAGCAGCATGGGCTCATTTCATGTCTCTGTGTCATGTTTTGATAATTCTAACATTTTAAACTTTTTTCATTATTATTATAGCTGTTACAGTGATCTGTGGTCAGTGATCTTTGATGTTACTAGTCTAATTGCTTTACAGCACCACAAACTGTGCCCATGTAAGACGGTGAACTTAATCCATAAAAATTGTGTGTGTTCTGACCACTCCACTGACCAGCTGCTCCCCCATCTCTCTCCCTTTCCTTGGGACTCTCCATTTCCTAAACACAACAATATTGAAATTAGGCCAATTAATATCCCTACAATGGTCTGTAATTGCTCAAGTGAAAGGAAAAATTGTGTATCTCTCACTTTAGAGCAAAACCTAGAAATGATTAAGCTTAGTAAGGAAGGCATGTCAAAAGCTGAGCTAGACTGAAAGCTAGGTTTCTTTCACCAAACTGCTACCCCAGTTGTGAATGAAAAGAATAACTCTTGAAGGAAATTAAAAGTGCCATTCCAGTAAACACACCAATGATAAGAAAGCAAAATAGCCATCTTGCTTATATGGAGAAAGTTTTAATGGTCCGGATAGAGCAAACCAGCCAAAATACTCTCTTAAGCCAAGTCTTGATCCAGAAATAGGTCCTGCTGCCTTCAATTCTGTGAAGGCTGACAGAGGTGAGGAAGCTCTAGAAGAAAATTTGGAAGCTAGCAGCCATCTCCATAACATAAAAGTGCAAGGTGAAGCAGCAAGTGCTGTTGTTAGAAGCTGTGGCAAGTTATCCAAGAGATCCAGCTAAAATCACTGATGGAGGTGGCTACACTAAACAAAAGATTTTCAATGTATATAAGACAGCCTTCTATTGGAAGAAGATGCTATCTAGGACTTTCATAGCTAGAGAGAAGTTAGGACATGGCTTCAAAACTTCAAAACACAGGCTGACTCTCTTGTTAGGGGTTAATGCAGCTGGTGACCTTAAGTGGAAGCCAATGCTCATTGACCATTCTAAAAATCCTAGGCCCTTTAAGAAAGAATTATGCTAAATCTACTCCGCCTGCCCTCTATCAGTGGAACAACAAAGACTAGATGACAGCACATCTGTTTATAGCATGGCCTAACTGAATATTTTAAACCCACTGTTGAGACCTACTGCTCAGGAAAAAAGAGAGTCTTTTCAAAATATTATTGCTTGTTGGCAATACATCTGGTTACTCAAGAGCTCTGATGGAGATGTGCAAATAGATGAATGTTGTTTTCATGTCTGCTAACACAATATCAGTTCTGCAGCCTATGAATCAAGAAGTCATTTGACTTTCAAGTCTTATTATTTGAGAAATACATTTTGTAAGGCTGCCATAGATAGTGATTCCTCTGATGAATCTGGGGAAAGTAAATTGAAAACGTTCTGGAAAGGATTCATCATTCTAGAAGCCATTAAGAACATTTGTGATTCACAGGAGGAGGTCAAAATATCAATGTTAACAAGTGTTTGGAAGAAGTCGATTCCAACATTCATGGATAACTTTAAGGGACTCGCAACGTCAGTAGGGGAAGTAACTGCAGATGTGGTGGAAATACCAAGAGAACTAGAATTAGAAGAGAACCTGAAGAAGTGATTGAATTGCTAAAATTTTATGATAAAGTTTGAATAAATGAGGAGTTGCTTCTTATGGATGAGCAAAGAAAATGGTTTCCTGAAATGAAATCTATTCCTGGTGAAGATGGTGTGAACATTGTTGAAATAACAACAAGAATTTAAAATATTACATAAATTTAGTTGGTAAAGCAGTGGTAGGATTTGAAAGGATTGACTCCTATTTTGAAAGATATTCTACTGTGGGTAAAATGCTATCAAACAGTACCACCTGCTAGAGAAATCTTTTGTGAAAGGAAGAATCAATGGATGTGGCAAACTTCCTTATTACCTTATCTTACGAAGTTGCCACAGCCACCCCAACCATCAGCAATCACCATCCTGATCAGTCATCAGCCATTAGCATCAAGGCAAGACCCTCTACAAGTAGAGAGATTGACTCACGGAAGGCTTAGATTACCATTAGCAATTTTAAGTATTTTTTAATTAAAGTTTGTGCATTTTTAGACAATGCTATTACATACTTAATAGACTACAGTATAGTGTAAACATTAACTTTTATATGCACTGGGAAACCAAAAAATTCATGTGACTTGCTTTATTGTGGTAATTTCCTTTATTGTGGTGGTCTGGACCCAAACCCACACTATCTCCAAGGTATGCCTGTAGTATTCAGTTGTTAAAGGATAATAAGGTAGACTTACATGCACTAATATGAAAAGATACATCATTAAGTTAAAAAAACTAAATTGTAGAACAGAGCATATAGAATGAAGATAATTTGCTTTTAAAATGTGTATTCATATCATATATTCTGTATATTATATACAATGCACTAGGTATAGACTATACACATCAAATGGCCAATAATGGTTAACTCTGGGGAGTAGGAATGGAGAGGCAGGACTTTTATGTTTTTCTTACTATGTGTCCCTCACATTTGAATGTTTTTCATAACAACTATTTATTTGACAATTTAAAAATAAATGTTTGTTATATTTTGTTTTAAGAAAGAGAGCACACACCCTTCTTTTTGAAAATCCACCAGTAAACCTAAATGAATCCCTAGGTTTGTGCTTCCTTTGAGCAAGTAGACAACCATTCTAAATCAGCCCTCACCAACTACCTGTCCTCTTTCTTGCCTTATCTTCTCATGGGTTTGGTAGGGAAGGAAAGTGGGTATGGGTCAAGTCTGATAAAAAGAATAAAGGAAGGAAACGAGGGAGGGGAAGGGAAGAACAGAAGGAGGGAGAAAGGAAAGAAAGAAAAGAGCCCTTTTAAGTCCCTTTCTTACCCATGTGTCCCTCCAAGGGTCACTGAGTGATATGGTTTGGCTGTGTCCCCGCCCAAATCTCATCTTGAATTGTAGCTCTCACAATTCCCACGTGTTGTGGGAGGGACCTGGTGGGAGACAACTGAATCATGGGGTGGTTTTCCTCATACTGTTCTCGTGGTAGTGAATAAGTCTCATGAGATCTGATGGTTTTATAAGGGGTTTCCCCTTTCGCTTGGCTCTCATTCTCTCTTTTTGCCTGCTGCCATGTAAGAAGTCCCTTTGCTCTTCCTTTGTCTTCCACCATGATTGTGAGGCCTCCCCAGCCAGAACTGTGAGTCCATTAAACCTCTTCTCTTTATAAACCCAGTCTCAGACATGTCTTTATCAGCAGCGTGAAAATGGACTAATACACAGAGGCAGGGTCATTAAGAGCAAGAAGGAGACAGGTAATGGAATAGAACAGAGTTTAGACACATAATAAGAACCACCATTGGTTTGGATCTCTTATATACATAGCTCAAGATAAAGATGTTAATCCTTTATTCCACATTTAAAAGGCAGAAGCTGTGTGATCTCTCAAAACTGTAATCTCTCACCACCTCAGTATTCTCATCTGCAGTGTGGGAAAAACTTCCCAGCTCACAGACTTTTCTGGAGTTCATTTGAGATCCCACATAAATAAAAGTATTATTTATGCTACAATTGATATTGTTATTGTCACTTCAGCTACTGAGCCAGAGCTGACAATCAATGCTCACTAGCATGAAGTGCAGTCATCCAGTATCCAGTGGTTACCATGTGGCTGCTCTTTAGATCTGCTGAAAAATGGTGACTGTGGAAATAATTTTAGTCCCATTCACAGATTTTAAATAACTGACTGTATGCAGGGGAGAGGATCTGGCTGTGGGGAGGGGTGGTCTCTAGTACCACGCAGCTGCTATGGCTGTGAAAATTTAACCTCAAGCAGCCTAAACATTCATTTTACAATGTACACTGCTGATTACTTAATTATGTCTAAAATATAAGTCAGACACACTACAAACCCCAGGGAGTAAATTACACAGATCTATGAAGCAACATCTACGCACTCATTCTGGTCTCACATTTCTGAATTATCTTTTCCCCCCAGTGAATCTGAAAAACCTCTTTCTTTTCTGCAAAACGTATGGCTACTGCAAACAAATGACCATTTTCTCAGTTTTATAAGCTCGGTGTGGGAGAGCCCATCCTCAATCTAACATTACAGACTCTTACCAACAGGTTCTTATCTTTGTGTATATTTGAACTAGGAGATCTACATATGCTTGATCTCAGCATGAACCTCCGTATGACCTGATTTTGTTACCATGGTCACCAATTAGATGAGTCTTGTTGACTGCAGAACAACAGTCAAAGGATTTCTATTAAGTTCCAGGGTGGAATAACAGTCATATTTTGTGAACACACTTTATAGGTTATTTTTCCCACTTGCTTGCCCCAAGGTCTACCTCCCTCTATCTGCTGAGAATGTAGTTGTTATATAAAATTCAGAGAAAATGCTTTCTGGAGCCAGTAATTAAATTTTCTTACAAAATGAATGGGTCGTCTGAGATATCCCTTCCCTTCTTCTCCCTCTGGGATGTAGATGTGCAGGTCTTCCTCAGAACTCACCTACAATCATCTTTTCCTAAATAAACTCATCCCCATTCTACAGCCCCACATGGATACACATATGTGAAAACACACTATCTCCTTTATCAATATCTACCATCTATATATGCATAACACTGAAGGGTATTTTTGAAAGGTTCAGCTGGGCAAGGTTTTTCATATGCTCATTCCAGCTGATGAGTGTGGTCCAGTGATCTCACAAAAACCATGCCCAGTAATTTATAAAAGTTAACATTAACAGGTCACAGGTAGGTACTGAAGGTTTTACGATGTTTAGTTTGGAGTAGCTGCCATAAGAAATCACCATAACATCAGCGACTTTAAAGAACAAATTAATTATCTTAAAGTCTGGAAGCCAAAAGTCTGAAATCAAGGTGTCAGCAGGTCAGGGCTCCCTGCAAAGGCTCTAGGGGAGGATCCTTCCTTGCTTCTTCCAGCTTCTGGTGGCATCAGACGTTCCTTGGCTTGTGGCAGCATCACTGTAATCTCTGCATCCATCTTCACATGCTCTACTGCTTCCCATCTATGTCTTCCCTTCTGTCTCTTATGAAGATGATTGTTATTGGATTTAGAACCAACTGGATAATCAAGGATGATCTCATCTTGAGAACTTCAACTTAATTACATCTGCAAAGACTTTTTCCAAGTGAGACCATAGTCACACGTTCTGGGGAACAAGGACATATATTTTAGGGGGCCATCATAAAACCCATTATGACGACAACATAGACTTTTCTGGAGGTTTTTTTAAAACTGGAATTTTTACATGTGCAGTGTCAGGTACTTATGATCAGTTTTGAACTTACTACAATGCCAAAGACTATTTAAATAAATACATGCCTTTCTGGGGTTGCAATCCTAGTCTCTGATAAAACAGACTTTAAACCAACAAAGATCAAAAGAGACAAAGAAGGCCATTACATAATGGTAAAGGGATCAATTCAACAAGAAGAGCTAACTATTCTAAATATATATGCACCCAATACAGGAGCACCCAGATTCATAAAGCAAGTCCTTAGACACCTACGAAGAGACTTAGACTCCCACACAATAATAATGGGAGACTTTAATACCCCACTGTCAACATTAGACAGATCGACGAGACAGAAAGTTAACAAGGATATCCAGGAACTGAACTCAGCTCTGCACCAAGCGGACCTAATAGACATCTACAGAACTTTCCACCCCAAATCAACAGAATATACATTCTTTTCAGCACCACACCACACCTATTCCAAAATTGACCACATAGTTGGAAGTAAAGCACTCCTCAGCAAATGTAAAAGAATAGAAATTATAACAAACTGTCTCTCAGACCACAGTGCAATCAAACTAGAACTCAGGATTAAGAAACTCACTCAAAACTGCTCAACTACATGGAAAGTGAACAACCTGCTCCTGAATGACTACTGGGTACATAACGAAATGAAGGCAGAAACAAAGATGTTCTTTGAAACCAACAAGAAAAAATACACAACATACCAGAATCTCTGGGACACATTCAAAGCAGTGTGTAGAGGGAAATTTATAGCACTAAATGCCCACAAGAGAAAGCAGGAAATATCTAAAATTGACACCCTAACATCACAATTAAAAGAACTAGAGAAGCAAGAGCAAACACATTCAAAAGCTAGCAGAAGGCAAGAAATAACTAAGATCAGAGCAGAACTGAAGGAAATAGAGACACAAAAAATGCTTCAAAAAAATCAATGAATCCAGGAGCTGGTTTTTTGAAAAGATCAGCAAAATTGATAGACTACTAGCAAGACTAATACAGAAGAAAACAGAGAAGAATCAAATAGATGCAATAAAAAATGATAAAGGGAATATCACCACCGATCCCACAGAAATAAAAACTACCATCAGAGAATACTATAAACACCTCTATGCAAATAAACTAGAAAATCTAGAAGAAATGGATAAATTCCTTGACACATACACCCTCCCAAGACTAAACCAGGAAGAAGTTGACTCTCTGAATAGCCCAATAACAGGCTCTGAAATGAAGGCAATAATCAATAGCTTACCAACGAAAAAGAGTCCAGGACCAGATGGATTCACAGCCGAATTCTACCAGAGGTATAAGGAGGAGCTGGTACCATTCCTTCTGAAACTTTTTCAATCAATAGAAAAAGAGGGAATCCTCCCTAACTCATTTTATGAGGCCATCATCATCCTGACACCAAAGCCTGGCAGAGACACAACAAAAGAGAATTTTAGACCAATATCCCTGATGAACATCGATGCCAAAATCCTCCATAAAATACTGGCAAACTGAATCCAGCAGCACATCAAAAACTTTATCCACCATGATCAAGTAGGCTTCATCCCTGGGATGCAAGGTTGGTTCAACATATGCAAATCAATAAACGTAATCCAGCATATAAACAGAACCAACGACAAAAAACACATGATTATCCCAATAGATGCAGAAAAGGCCTTTGACAAAATTCAACAACCCTTCATGCTAAAAATTCTCAATAAATTAGGTATTGATGGGACGTATCTCAAAATAATAAGAGCTATCTATGACAAACCCACAGCCAATATCATACTGAATGGGCAAAAACTGGAAGCATTCCCTTTGAAAACTGGCACAAGACAGGGATGCCCTCTCTCACCACTCCTATTCAACATAGTGTTGGAAGTACTGGCCAGGGCAATCAGGCAGGAGAAGGAAATAAAGGGTATTCAATTAGGAAAAGAGGAAGTCAAATTGTCCCTGTTTGCAGATGACATGATTGTATATCTAGAAAACCCCATCATCTCAGCCCAAAATCTCCTTAAGCTGATAGGCAACTTCAGCAAGTCTCAGCATAAAAAATCAATGTGCAAAAATCACAAGCATTCTTATACACCAATAACAGACAAACAGAGAGCCAAATCATGAGTGAAATCCCATTCACAATTACTTCAAAGAGAATAAAATACCTAGGAATCCAACTTACAAGGGATGTGAAGGACCTCTTCAAGGAGAACTACAAACCACTGCTCAATGAAATAAAAGAGGATACAAACAAATGGAAGAACATTCCATGCTCATGGGTAGGAAGAATCAATATCGCGAAAATGGCCACACTGCCCAAGGTAATTTTTGGATTCAATGCTATCCCCATCAAGCTACCAGTGACTTTCTTCACAGAATTGAAAAAAACTACTTTAAAGTTCATATGGAATCAAAAAAGAGCCCGCATTGCCAAGTCAATCCTAAGCCAAAAGAACAAAGCTGGAGGCATCACACTACCTGACTTCAAACTATACTACAAGGCTACAGTAACCAAAACAGCATGGTACTGGTACAAAAACAGAGATATAGATCAATGGAACAGAACAGAGCCCTCAGAAATAATGCCACATATCTACAACTATCTGATCTTTGACAAACCTGACAAAAACAAGAAATGGGGAAAGGATTCCCTATTTAATAAATGGTGCTGGGAAAACTGGCTAGCCATATGTAGAAAGCTGAAACTGGATCCCTTCCTTATACCTTATACAAAAATTAATTCAAGATGGATTAAAGACTTAAATGTTAGACCTAACAACGTAAAAACCCTAGAAGAAAACCTAGGCAATGCCATTCAGGACATAGGCATGGGCAAGGACTTCATGTCTAAAACACCAAAAGCAATAGCAACAAAAGCCAAAATTGACAAATGGGATCTCATTAAACTAAAGAGCTTCTGCAGAGCAAAAGAAACTACCATCAGAGTGAACAGGCAACCTACAGAATGGGAGAAAATTTTTGCAATCTACTCATCTGACAAAAGGCTAATATCCAGAATCTACAATGAACTCAAACAAATTTACAAGAAAAAAACAAACAACTCTATCAACAAGTGGGCAAAGGATATGAAGAGATACTTCTCAAAAGAAGACATTTATGCAGCCAAAAGACACATGAAAAAATGCTCATCATCACTGGCCATCAGAGAAATGCAAATCAAAACCACAGTGAGATACCATCCCACACCAGTTAGAATGGCGATCATTAAAAAGTAGGAAACAACAGGTGCTGGAGAGGATGTGGAGAAATAGGAACACTTTTACACTGTTGGTGGGACTGTAAACTACTTCAACCATTGTGGAAGTCAGTGTGGCGATTCCTCAGGGATCTAGAATTACAAATACCATTTGACCCAGCCATCCCATTACTGGGTATATACCCAAAGGATTATAAAACATGCTGCTATAAAGACATATGCACACGTATGTTTATTGCGGCACTATTCACAATAGCAAAGACTTGGAACCAAGCCAAATGTCCAACAACGATAGACTGGATTAAGAAAATGTGGCACATATACACCATGGAATACTATGCAGCCATAAAAAATGATGAGTTCATGTCCTTTGTAGGGACATGGATGAAGCTGGAAACCATCATTCTCAGCAAACTATGGCAAGGACAAAAAACAAACACCACATGTTCTCACTCATAGGTGGGAATTCAACAATGAGAACACATGGACAGAGGAAGTGCAACATCACACACCGGGGCCTGTTGTGGGGTGGGGGGAGGGGGGAGGGATAGCATTAGGCGATATACCTAATGTTAAATGATGAGTTAATGGGTGCAGCACACCAACATGGCACATGTATACATATGTAACAAACCTGCACGTTGTGCACATGTACCCTAAAACTTAAAGTATAATAAAAAAAATATATCCCTTCCTCAGCATTTATTTATTAATCAAAGGCTAAAAATTTGATTTTAAGTTTGTGAATTAGGTGTAAGAATGCTGAGAAGTCACAAAGATATTAAAATGAGACACTTTAGAATTTGTCAAAATAGTCTAGGACCAAAATAAACCAGGAAATGTCAAAGGCATTCTGAGAACAGTAAAGAATCAGAAGAATGACTGGAAATGAGAAAACTGTTGAAACAGCAAAGGACTAATTAAAAGGATGTGCTGGCAGAGAACAATCAAAAAACCACAAGCAACATGGAGACAGCACTTGGCAATGCACGTGAGCACTCCAGCGCAAGATTCCATCACAGAATCTATTCTATTCATGGCTATTAAGATGGCTGGAATGGTGCATGTTCACTGATAAAGCTGCATATCAGTATTACTTTGTGTCATTGCACCACCTCTCCACTTTGTACAATATTATCTTGTTCTTGTGATGGTTGCTTTTGATCATATATCTTTGTGTTTCAAGTTATTTCAGGTATAAATGTATTTATCCTCCTCTGCTAAAATGCTGTGCATGGCAGGCATTCAAATGGTAAGTTTGGGGTTTGTGTTTGTTTGCTTGCTTTTGTATTTGTTTCTTCTCTCCTGCTAATGCAATCAATCCCTGAGAATGGGGTTAGATTGGGGTAAAAGCTAAAGTTTGTGTGCTCTCCAAAAATTGTTGTAGAGTCATTGCTTTTTGTGCCTATTTTTTGCCACCCTAAACCCTTAAGAGAAGGAACTGTGCTATCTCTTTCTTCAATTGTTCTACTACAAAGTCCCCTGACCACCTTGGGTACTATATTAATTTTCTCTTGCTGCTTATATAACAAACTAGCACAAATGTGGTACTTAAAACAACACATATTTATTATCTGGTAGCCCTGGAGGTCAGAAGTCAGAGATGGATCTCAGTGGGCTAACAACAAGGTGTTAGCAGGGCTGAGTTCCTTTCTGGAGGCTCTATGAACGAATTCTTTCCCTTGCTCTTCCCCACTTCTAGAGGTGCCACATTCCTTGGCTCATGGCCCTCCTCCTTCATCTTCAAAGTCAGCAACAGCATGGAGGTCTCATCACTTTGCATCACTCTGACCTCCTCTTCTGCCTCCCTCTTCCATATTTAAGAACCTGTGATGGCATTGGGCACACCAGGATAGTTCAGACCAGTCTCACCCATAAAGTCCCTTTTGCCATGTAACATAACGTATTTACAAGTTCCAGGGATTAGGACATGCTCATCTTTAAGAGGGTCATTCTTCCTACCATAGGTAAAAAACAGATCAAAGAATCAAGGTGAGCTGACTTTTTCCAGTTGACACAGAGGCCACCCCTCCAGGTTTGGGCACATCTCCTCTGTCACCAGTGTTTTGAACTAATTCCTATGTCTTGGCAGGGTAGCTGGGTGGCAACTAGAGATAGATGGTAAATGGTCAGGTCTTTGGCAGTTGAGTCTCTGTAGTTTACAAGGACAACACTACTTCTTCTCAAATGATTGCCATAAAAATTTCACCCCAGATAGAAAATGAAGCACAAGTGTGCCTCATAACAAGGAAATGCTGTATAAGAAAGTCTGCCCTTTCCCACTTAGATAATTTGCCAAAGCATGGAATCACAGCACTGAAGTCCACCAACCCTAATCCTGCTGGAACTCCAGCAGTTTGTACCACTTAACTGTCGACTAATGGGCTAAAGCAGTTGCTAATGGGCTAATAAGATGGCCATTAACAGCTTCTTAAGTAGCAGGCTGGGAGAGCTGTGTGACTTTTATTACAGCCACTCAGAAAGGGCTGAGTCTTCTCAGTTTATAAAAGACCCCAAATTGGGGCAAGAATGCTTTTTCCTAAAGGTTGATTTCTCTGGCTCCACGTGTGGAGGCGGCAATCGTACAAGTTACCGAAGGCTTTCTCTCTTAATAAAGATATTCACTCTAAAGTTCCTTGCCAGGATCTTCCTTTGGGCATTTAAATGTTGATTTGCAAACCATAAATTATTTCCAAAGACACAAGGAACAGGGACATTTTTAAGTGATGTCTTAAGACAGACTCTTCAAAAATCAATCAGGAATGAAGATAGAGCCTCATTACAATTGTGAATGAATGTCCCCAAGCATAACCATCTAAAAGTGCAAATGAAGTCAGAGTAACATTAAAAGCTGACTATTGCTATCACTATCACTATCTCGTCAAGGCCTCACATGCTCATTTAGTCATTCAATAAAGTCTTACTAAACACATAGCGGGTGGTGTTCTGGCTGCAGGAATCCATCAGAGAACAAATGGGCAAAACTCTGTACCATTTATGGAGCTTATGTTAGTGGAGAGACTGAACATAAAAACGAGTAAATGATATAATATATTAGAAGGTGACAAGTGCCTGGAAAATGATAGAGCCAGGGAAGGGGGATCAGGAATGCTCAGGGGAGGGACAATAGTGAAGGGACACCTCCTTGGAGAAGGTGACATTTAAACAAAGGCTTGAAGAAACAACTATGAACCAGAAGGAAATCCAGGCATGGGCAGGACAGTCTCTAGTTTATTGGAGGAAAAGTAAGGAGATCTGCATAGCTGGAGAAGGGAGAGTAGGTGAAGACATAGGGGTGCCAGAGGTCTGGATTATACCGGCCTTATTGTGACTTTGGCCATTTCTCTGAAATGAATAAAGGGCTGCTGGGGGATTCGGAGCAGAGGGGTGAAGGAATCCCATCCCTACATTAGCATCTCCCCACTTGCTTCAGGGAACTCCAAAGTGATACTTACAAGTTGGCTTCACAGGACACCTCTCCCCACCTCCACCATCAACACCACGTGCAAAAATGTCAATGCCTTCCCAGGCTGCTGCTCCACAATGCTGCTGGATGGCCAGCCCCGGCTTGCCAGAGCAGGGCCGTGGGGGCACCATCTCCCCTGCCCTCAGAGAGCCAGTTCCCAAAGGCACACAGCTTCCACACACTTGCATAGTCTTTCAGGAGAACAGTGCCCCCAGTTTTTGGTCTTTGTGTCAGGCTAGTGAGCCATTCCTATTTCTAAAAAAAAAAAAAGACATTCCTCAACATTTTAAAATTCGTAACAGATTTACTAATCTTATACAAGATTTTTCTTGAGTTATATCATCTCAAAGCTCCATTTTCTAAATTATTCCTTTGAAGTCCTGCTAGATGACTTTAAAATCTGGTGTCTGTTCTCACTTCTCTTTCGGATTTCTCCTATTTTGGAAACCCCTCTGGTGAAAGGGAATTTGTTTCCTTCCCCGAGTACTAAGCACCCATCTTTGCACACAGTTAAGTACTCAGTCAATATTGGCTCAATTAGTGTTTATTAATTCCCTATGACTTCGGCCCTGGGCTAGGCACCAAAGTAGTCACAGAAGTAAAAAGGCCTCCCCACCCCACACAAATAAGGGCTTATATAGTATAGGGAAAGTCTGGAAAACAGCATCAATAATGGTAGAATACGGTTAAGTAAAAGAATTGGACATGACAAACTGCGGCTCCTACGAATTCAGGGAGGATCTGGGTAGAGTCAAACAGTGAAATGGTTTCCTAGAGAAAACAGGACTTGAACTGGAGACCGTGAGTGCAGGATCAAACTAGACTCACAGAGCCACTAAACCCCATTAAAGAGACAGGCACAGAATAATTGGCAGCCACAATTTATATTGCTCAGTAACTGCAAAACCAAGGAGTTATTTTTACAACTAGCCCGTTATAGCCTATGATTTGGCCAATAAACCCTGCCTGGAGTTTCACAATATGAAGTTAGGGGGTATAGAGTATACCTCCATGGAAACTCTATCAGTGTTTTATCAACAACAAAAACAAACTACACAGTACTTAACCTCCATCAGATGAGCTTAAATGACAAAGATAAAAGTGGATCTAACTTTTGGATAAAAGAAGTCAGGCATTTGGGGACACTGAAGGGCTTACTGGAAGTACTCCGGATCTGGTGATTGGTACCAGGAATTACAAGTACATAATGGAGGAAAACTTATTTAAGGACAGGCACAGGTAATGCCTGGGGCTTAGGAGACAACAGAGCATGCAATTGAAGCAGGCCCCTACTTTGGCTGCTGTGCATTACATGAAAAGGCACAATGATGCTCTTCCACCATCCCCTCAGCAATTAGTCCTCCAGTAAATGAATTAGCACCCTATTGTAGGTAGGAACCCAAGAAGTTGTTAGAAAACAGGCAATCAAAGATACTGGAGACAGAGCTGTGAGAATCAGTCTGCCCAGATGGGAAAGAGACCAGATATCTTGCTGTTTGATAAATGTATAAACTTACTGACATTCATCTTCATTCAATGAAAAAGAAATTCAGAGCATGTGCTTCAATAAAAGAGATACATCTATGGACATAATAAAAGAGATAAAAATGGCTGCAAGAATCACAGGATACTGGTATAAAAACTGGTTATCTAACACACGAAAATTATTTTCATATGCTAGCATTAAAGTTTGTGTCTGCTGCAGGGGAGAACATTATAAAATGTATTAATGAAGGTACTGCTTACCCTTTGATACCTAAGAATTGGCATTTCTTGGTTCAATTCTACATGTGTACATTCCAAGAGTCATTATTTGACTCTGTTGACTGAGCCCAAGTCGCTGCTAAGAAATTAAAGTTATGTGAAGTGTAAAGACTTCGCATTTGTTCAACAGACACCCTCTAGGTAAGCCTTGAAGAAATTAAATCCCATACAAAAACAGGTTGCCAGCTAGGAGTCAGGGAAGCCTTTTCATTACAGAATAATTATTTTGAAAATTGAACGACCATTTACTAATTTAATATGTACAAATGAATTTCCGCTTATAGTATTTTATAAAAGTGGAATTTATTTGCCTTTCTGGATTCTAATTCTTAGAAGAAAAAAAAAAAGGATCAACTCTCTTTCTTTAAAGATAAAGCAATGACCAACCTCAAAAGACAGGTAAAGACAGAACCCCCAAGGGGCTAGTTTTTCATTCTCCTTCCTTGCCTTAATACCCAGATTTGGTCTTTAGCCATGTGATTTTAGGGTGATCGTATGTACTGGCTTGCCCAGGACAGTGCTGGTTTACATCTGATGTCCCAGCATAATTATTAAATACACCTTACTACCAAAATGTCCCAAATTGTGTGATAAATTACATGGTCACCCTACATATTATAGATTCTAAAGAACTGGAATTTGTTGTATTTCAAAATCAATTAGAAGGCAGTATTTTGGACATCATGACATCACCTCCAAGGATGAGGCACAGCTTTTTTACAACCCACCTGGGAGGTTCTACTATGTACTCAAGCCACTATCCATGAATTCACCGAGTTAGAAGTTCTAATCTCAAGTCAAGATCCTGCCATTGCCCTTTTCTCTCCAGCATCCACCTGCTAAACACAGTAGATACCATTTGCAGATTAGCAACTGAGACCAATCAACAACAATTTATTGAGCCCCCAAAAGACACACCTCAGGTTAACATGAAAACCCTGGTGGTGTCAATCATTTGACCAGATAATGATTCCTCACTATTTACAAAACTACTGTACTTAAAATATTGTCTTCCTGGGTTATATGTGGAAATTGAGGCTTAAGAAAAAAAGGAAAAACTTATTGGGAGCATAGCCTAGAAGCAAATTCAAGCTCTGCCCAGCAACCATCACCCACAAACTCCAGTCCCAACACACACACATACACACACACACACAAACCCCTTACTGGTGATGGCAGAGAACTTTCAAAAGCAACACAGCTTCATTTTACAAATGTCCTATTTTCTGGCTCTCCACTTTTTTCTGTGCTGAATTGGTAATGGAGCTAATAAAGGTTCAAGATGCTCTTTCTGGGGGCCAAATTTTTCTTTTCTCCATGTCATGCTTTTTATTCAGAAAATCATTTTCTTTGCATTGTTTTCACAAAAGCCTTCCAACACCCCCAAATAATGCAGAGAAATTGGCTTTCATTTTGAACAGGCTTTTTCAATGCACACTGTATCTCTCAGCATATCTATTATATTAATCCAAGCCTTAATGATACAATGGGTAAAAACAGTGTACGGATGTGTATCAATGAAAAATTTAATAGATTTCCCTCTTAATGTAATAGAATTGGCATGAGGCATTGGGAACAGGAGTGAAAGTAGTCACTCAAGCATTGTGTTTACATGATATTTAAATACAAGTGGCTGGGGTATAAGTACCGCTAAGTACACCTGAAAGGGATGGTGCCTCCTAATCATTGTTTCAGCAATTGACAGTTGTTTACACAACAGCAGCACATTCGCTGCTGATTTGAATAATAAACATGCTTAAATACCAGCTGGATAATAGAAGGATAATTGAAACATAGTTTAAAGCTCTGATTTACAGGCATTGTAGCAACACTTTTATTTGCTGTACAATGCTGCACTTCTGTGCAGTTTCTGAAAAAAGAATTTAAGGCATTGTTTCAGACACTGGGGTCTATTAAACTTGATTAATACACTCAGCATATGTATCCATAGCTCAAGCCATGCCTGGGCATACTTGAGACAGCTATTGTGCAATGTGTTTGATCAAAACACTCAATGCTGTAATAGAACCATTCCGGAGGCCCGCAATGCAGTGTGTCCACCAGGGCTCTGAGCGGTGGATGGGACCACAGGCACCTGATAAGTTTCATGCTTCACAGGTTAAAAAAAAAAAAAAAAATGAGAGGGTTGACCTGAATCATCTCAGACTGTATAAAGTTATGCTGCTAAACTATCTCCAATTTGCGCCACTTTCTTTGCATCTGTCCTTTTCCTTCTTTCCATGCCTCTTGCTACCACCTGAGTTCAGGCCAGTTTTACCTCTACCCAGGTCAACTGCAAGAGGCCTAACCTGGGCATCTGCTCCCAGGGTCTCTCTATTTCAGCCCCCCACCCTGCGCTGCCAACACAATGGTCCCTTTTCAGGTAGGAGTGCCAGAGCCAGGCAGGTTGCGTGCTCAGGTTGGCCCTGCGGGTTGGTAGTACCTGGCAAGTGTTAGCTGCCACTCGAGTCCTCAAATGTGGGGATCCTAAAATGTGACTGAACCTGTTCACTTGGAATAGGTTGTACTTGTGGAAGTTACTCATGTAACCAAATTAGCAGGAGCCTAATTTGCCAACCAGAATGCTGATACGTTCATTGATTTATCAATTTACTAGGGGAGATACATCTTACAGAATCATTCACATTGGTCATTCAGAACACTCTCTCCTGGAATAATTGCCTCAGAGGAGCAAATTATGTGTCAGAAAGTTGCTTAATGAACATAAAGTAAGAGCAAAAGGAATGGGATGAATTGCCACTTTCCACTCCAGGGAAAATGCTGCCTAAAAGTAATAGCACTCAGGCACCAAGCCAGACATCTATTATCACTAATTCTTTTAAAATCCCCCAGGAATTATTATTCCTTTTTAAATATAAGGGACTGATCTAAGGCCACAATGTCGTTGAGTTATAGCATCAAAACCACATAACTAGCTAGCTAATTAAGAATCATCATATTGATGGTCAAGAATAATTACCAGACATTGATACATTGATATTCAGATCTCCCTCCATCTCTGTCTCTTTCTCTATCTCCTGGATTGACTGGGTTGAGTAAAAACAGAGAGGCGTTTATATTCTCACTCCTTTTTTAGTGACTCACATGCACAAGTCATAGGGGTCATCTTCCACCCTCTGCTAGACCTGGTGGGTGACCCATAGATGTTGAATGAGTAACTGAGTGAAAAGTTAAATGAACTTTCAATGATTGTTATTTAATGTCAAACCTGTCTTTCTGAGAATACAGTCTGATACTTAGTGAGAGAGTTTGGACAATCATGGCATCTCCAATCTATTAAAACATGGTGTTGCTTCTGCAAATAACTAATCTCATCTGGTATGGGTGTCGCCCTAAAATTTAGTTTCCATCACAACCACATCCTGAAATTTTAAAGACCATTATCAGCATTCTTCCATGCACAAAATCCATCTCCTTCATCTCGTTACTTACCAATTCAAAACCAGGTACAAAAGTAGGAGACTCATTTTCAGAAGAAAGGACAGCAATGCCAAGAGTCTATACTGTAGTACAAGATGGTCCCCATCAAGCATGGCACCATCTTGCCCTCAGAGCCCCTTCTGAGAGAATTTACCCCAGTCACAGTTACTGTTGAAGTAGCAACTCTCTACCCCACTCTGGCTCCAGCTGGATAGAAGTGTGGGCACCTGATCCAAGGACAACAAACAAATGCAGATGACAGCCAATAAGCTACAGGATGGCCTGACACAAAACAGAAACTGAGTCTCTCTCTCTCACTCTCTCTCCCTTTAAGAAAAATCAGGCACTTGATAGTGAAGCCAGAGACAGAAAACATGCATAAAGAGAGAAGCCATGAAGTAGATAAGGACCACGAATGATCAAAACAAGTCACAGTTAGATAGAAGGCAGGAAATATGAGGTAGAGAAACCAAAACAACTGTAGAGTGAAGTGGTCAAGAGCATGAACCCAGGCTCTTGAACCCTGCCCAGGTCTGAACCCCAGCCTGTCCTTTTCCTAGCAGTGTTACCTTGGGCTGGTTCCTCCACCTCTAACAGCATCTGGCCCATGGTAAATGCTGTGTACATGCTGGCATGTTAGATATTGCTGTTGAGCACTTACGATGTGTCAGCCAGTGTGCTCAATCTGTTATATGTGTTAACTCAATCCTCACAACAAAAACCTGAAGTTCTGTTATTATCCCCATTTTCCACATCAGAAAACAGAGGCACAGAGAGATTAAGCAGCTTGCCCAAGGTCATATAGCTGGCACGTGGTAGGGCTGGGATTCGAATCCAGACAATCTGGCCCTAAGGCAGCACAGGCACCATCAAAGAGAGGTTGTGTGTCCTATGATAGGGAAATAACACATTCAAGAGGTCCTTTGGCCAGAGATTCAGTTCTAACACACAAGAATCCTCAGACCTACCCACCTCCCTCTGCCCACGGTAGTCTGGGTGGTTCTTTTTTTCTCCCTGAAACTGAAAGAGCCTGACTATAGCTGGAATCAGTCCTGAATTGGAGAGAGTGAGGTGCATTCATGGAACATAGAATAGGATCTCAGGGGATACTTGGGGTAAGTGGAAGTGGATATCGTACAGTGACAGGGTGAAGGGAAACGAAGCCCCACAGGCTAGGTAAGTGACAAACACTGGGCTTTCATTGATAGACTCCAGTGACCCAGATCTTGGGTCCCATAGATGGGGGTTGTGGGGAACTTAGTGGCTTTGGCCCTAACTCTGATTCATAGGATTAGGAATGAGGTAAACATCACAAAGCAGATGGATGCTATGCATCATATCAGACAAGTTACAATGGGAAAAGGGCACCTCCCCTCCTTTCCTAAATAAGAAATTTTATGTTAGATACTCATTTTTGCAGATCTCTAAAGATTATTAGAAGATTCTAGAAGCTTCCAGAGAGAGGGGAAAAAAACAAGTTGCCCACAAAGAAATAAGAATAAAACTGGCATCAAATTTTCCAAAAGCAACACTAAATGATACAAAATAATAGAAAAGATAATACTTTTCAAAATTCTGAGGGAAATTGAATTTAATACCCAGTTAAACTGTTAAGTAAGTGTTACATTTTCAGATGTGCAGACTCTAAAAGTTTATCTCCCACACCCTGTACTAGGCAATTACTTGAGGATGTGCTCCAGCAAAACAAAAGAATAACACAAGGGAAAGGCCTGGGATTTAGAAAACACTGGGTATGAGCCAAAAGTGAAGTAAAGCCCAGAATAGCAACCATGGCACATAGAGAACAATACATCTGGATAAGACAGTAGGAAACACAACACCAGAAGAGAGGAATCACAATAAAAAAGGAATTCCATATATTTGATATCATGTTTGAGAAGTTAAAAAAAATTGTAAGGATAAGATTAAGACAGACAATGCAAAAAAAGCAATTATAAACTCAAAGAAAAACAAAACTCTATTTGAGAAAGAAATATAATCAGTTAACTACTTGACTATGATAGAATTATTTCTGTTATGTGCAGTGAATCTTGGACCCACCTCCCTTTATATTTTTCTATGTTCAAAAAGATACATTATTAAAAGAAATTATCATAATTGTATATACCTGGCATTAACATAATATTATGTGAAAACCGTTCTATATATACATATAGTTCTAATTCATTCTATTTAATAACTTCACAAGAGTCTACATAAATCATGATGTATTTATGTATTCCCCTTTTGATGAACATTCAGATTGTTTCCAGATTTTTATTATAAACAATGCTATGTAAATATCCTTGAACATATTTTTTTATACTGATACATTTATTTCTACAGCATAGAGTCTAGTAGTGGGGTGATTACAAAAAAACTTTGTAATTTTAACAGATACTTTGAGATTATTTTCCAGAAAGTCTTAGCAGCTCACACTTGTACTGGCACCATACAAGGATGGCAGTTTCTGCATATCCTTACTAATGCTGGATGTCGTCAATTTTTATTTGTCTGTTTGTTCATTTTTTCAATCTCTTGCATGAAGATTCTTGTTTTAGTTTTAGCAAGCAGACTTTGCAATGCCCCAATCTCTAGATATAGAAATAGAATGAGGATGTTTTTGGCTTTATGTGTGATAAGTAACTGTTAATAGGCAGGAACATCTTTTGTAGAACAATGATGTGAGAATAAGCGTAAGTGCGAGAACAGGCAAGGGGTGAAGTGTACTACATATGTCAACCATAGAGACAGCAGTGACTGCTACAGGCACCTTATCCAGAGCCCCTGCTGAAGGGGAATGCCTTGTCACCATGCTTGGCACCACATGATCACTCCTGCCTACCCAGATTCTGTTGATTAAACCAGTGTGGATACCTGACCTAAGGACAACAGAGCCACAAGTTATCGGCTATCTCTACCATGGCTTGCTGTGAAAAGACTGACTAGGTTAAGTATATTTTTCACTCCCAGGAATTCAAATTGAGGAAACATGAAAAGAATCACGTAGCTCACTGTGCCAAGTGAAACTATAAGGCCAAGAGGTAGAGTTAAGGACCATGCATGGCAAACCAAAATTACAAAGGAGCTGCAACAATAAAGTAGAAGAGATGGAACAGCCATAGAGAAAAAAAAAGGTTGTGAAGTAAGAAAAGACACACAGAATACAAAAGAAAAAAAAAGCCACTTTTTAGAAAGAGGAAAATAGAGCATATGCAAAAAGGAAAGCAGACACCATAACTAGATAGCTGCTTGATTACGGGAATAGAATTAAGCCTACTCTGATCAGCCTCAATTTCATATGCTTTCCTGGCTCTCTATTTCTGTTCCAGTTTCAACCCATACTTTTTATTATAATAATTTTATTGGCTTTATTACCAAAGTAATTCAAATTTATTATAGAATATTTAAAAAATGAAAATGAGTAGAACAGAACAAAATAAAGACTGATCCATGATTCTGTCACCCAAAGATAACCACTAAATATTCTTCATCTTTCTTCTATTAACTTTTAGTGGAATCTCATGGTTTATGTTATTTTGTAAAGTGATTTTTCATATTTTGCCACATGAAAATATTAATATTAAAAATATATTGTAAACATATGCCATGTAATCTAGGAAAATGTATTTTTAATGACTACATGGTTTTCCTGATTTATAGATGGACCATAATTTATTTAACCAACTCTCCCATTTTGAATTTTTACAGTAGTTTGTCACTAAGTTTGATACATAAAAAGTGATAATCTGTTTTAATTTATATTTAGTGGATTACTAGAGATCCTAAACATTTCATAAAGTAATTGTCCATTTTATATCTTATTAATGTCCTATTTATATCATTTTTTACTGGGTTTGTTTTCAATTTCTAGAAGCTCTTTATTAAGGATATTATCTTTGTCTTATATGACACAAATATTTTTCCTGATTTACTTGTCTTTCAATTTTGTTTATTGTGGATTGGACATCAAAAAGCCATTCTCAATCTGTCATCCCAGTCTTACTCTAAGATAGAGGATGGAAGGCACCATTTTCCCAGACTCTTTTGCAGCTAGGAGTGCTCATGTAACACATTACAGCCAATAAGATATTAATGAAAGTTGCTGGGAAATAATCTGGGAATTTTTTAAAATAAGGGATAGACTCAACTAGCATGCCTCTTAGGTATTTTGCCTGTTTGCCTTCTTTCTGCCTGGAAAATGAAGATGAGCCTAGAGGTACAGCAACAATTATGCAACCATGAGGTAAATTCTAGGAGGACAGAGCTCTACACTGAACAGGAAATGGAAGGATGGAGGGAGTCCACATTTCCTGAGACACACTACAAGCTTGACTACAAACTTGCAGATTGCATGTTGCTTGAGACAAATAAATCAGTATCTATTTAAGATAGATTAAAAATCAAGTTTTCTGTTAACCATAAATATTGCTAATTAATAAATGTATGCAGTTTTTGTAAATTTATTTTAAAATCCAACAATTATTTTTCTTTTTTTTCTTTTTTTTTTTTTTGATGGACTCTCACTCTGTAGCCCAGGCTGGGGTGCAGTGGTGCAATCTTCGCTCACTGCAGCCCCTGCCTCCTGGGTTCAAGCAATTCTCATGCCTCAGCCTCCCAAATAGCTGGGATTACGTGTGCTCACCACCATACCTAATTTTAATATTTTTAGTAGAGATGGGGTTTCACCATGTTTGCCAGGCTGGCATTTTTTCTTTATAAGACTACTATGTGCCAAACAAGTACCAGAAAAGTAAACGGTTTATGCCTTTTAACCTGTGATACTTTCCTCACACCAGAGATTATGTCAACATTTATATATATTTGCTTCTAATACTTGCATGTTTTACTTTTAAACCATTAATCCATCTGGGAGTTTGTTTATGAAATGAGTTGGGAGAACATAATTTTTTCTCTAAATGGCAATCAAATTTTTAAAACACAATTTATAGGCAATCTTTTGTTTTTCTCAAAATGACTTGTCATTCATTCATGTATTCAAACTTTCAATTATTATTTCAATTATTCAACCGTTGTAATACATTTATATCTTGGAGAGCAAACCTAGTCTTACTCAGTTTTCCCCCAAATCCTAAACTACTATTTCATATGTAACCACTGAGCTAACTTTAGAATCATTTTGTTTCAAATATAATCCCTTGGAAATTTTAATTGAAATCGAATTAAATCTATAGACTATTGATATCTTTAAATATTGATTATTTTCACCCATTCACTCAGGTTAAGCCTTTCAGCAATACTTTATAGTTTTCTTTCAATAAGTTTATTGCTAGGTATTTTATCAATTTTGCTGCTATTGTTGATAGGACTTTTTCTGTTTTCTAGTATATTCTACGGTGGATATGGAAGCAAATAATTTGTTTGTTTTACATATAGACACCCTTCTAAAGCCCATAATTCATTCTAAAATATTTTTACTTTATTGTTCATATGTTTAGATGTATAATCATATCTCCTGAAAATGCAGTCACGCACCACATAAAGACATTTCAGTCAACAAAGGATCACATATATAACAGTGGCCCTGTAAGAGTATGATGGAGCTGGAAAATTCCTATCACCTTTAGCTGTCCTAATGTCATAGCACAACCCCAATACTCATGTGTTTGTGGTGATAACAGTGTAAACAAACCTACTGCGCTGCCAGTCATATTAAAGTCTAGCATATACAATTATGTGTGGTACCTAATGCTTGATAATAATAAACAACTATGTTACTTGTTTATTTACTGTCCTATTCTTTTTATCACTATTTTAAAGTGTACTCCTTCTACTTATATATAATTTTTTTAAGTTAACTATAAAAGAGCCTCAGGCAGGTCCTTGGGAAGGTATTCCAAATGAAGGCATTGTGATCCTAGGAGATGGCCGCGCCGTTAGTGCTATTGCCCTTGAAGACCCTCCAGTGGGGCAAAATGAAGATGGTGATATTGGTGATCCTGACTTTGTGTAGGCCCAGACTAATGTGTGTGTTTGTGTCTTAGTTTTTAATAAAAAAGTTTAAAAAGTTAATAAATAGGAAAAAGCTTACAGAATAAGGATATTTTAAAAAATTGTATAGCATATAATGTGTTTGTGTTTTAAGCTAAGTTATTACAAGAGTCAAACAGGTAAAAAATTTAAAAGTTTTGAAAAGTTACAGTAAGAGTAATTTATTGAAAGAAAAATATTTTTCATAAACTAGTTAGCCTAAGTGTATAGTCCTTATAAAGTCTATAGCAGTGTAATGTCCTAGGCCTTCACATTCACTCAACATTTACTCACTAACTCACCCAGAGAAACTTTAATCCTGCAAGCTCCATTTATGGTATGTGTGTTTTTGTGTGCCATTTTTTTAATCCCTTATATGGTATTTTTACTGTACTTTTTCTATGTTTAAATATGCAAATACTTTTCATTGTGTTACAACTGCCTACACTTTTCAATACAGTAACATGCCGTACAGGTTTGTAGTCTAGGAGCAATAGGCTATAGCACATAGCCTAGGTGTGTAGTAGACTATACCATCTAGGTTTGTGTAAGCACACTGGCCCCAGCCCCCAGGCCATGGACCAGTACTGGTCAATGTCCTGTTAGGAACCAGGCCGTACAGCAGGAGGTGAGCAGCAAGCGAGCCAGCATTACCTCCTGAGCTCCACCGCCTGTGAGATCAGCAGAGGCATGAGAGTCTCATAGGAGCACAGAACACTATTGTGAATTGTGCATGTGAGGGATCTAGGTTGCACTCATTATGAGACTCTAACTATGCCTGATGATCTGAGGTGGAATAGTTTCATCCCAAAACCATCCCCCAACTTCCCCACCACTCCGACCTACTACGGAAAAATTGTCTACCATGAAAACGGTCCCTGGTGCCAAAAAGGTTGGGGGCCGGGGCTCCATGGTGTTCACATAATGACGAAATCGCCTAGTGATGCATTCTCAGAAACGTAGTCCTGTAGTCAAGTGACATGAATATGATGATCATTTTGTCAACTCCATTCCAGTTGTATACCTCTAGTTCTGTATCTTGTTTTATGCTTTTTCTACAACTAGAGAACAATTACAAAATACAAGTGGGAACAGGCATCATGATCTTTAAAGGGCCTTCCTCCAGTGTTACAACACTGTTTATGATGCTGAATGTTGATATAAAAGAATTAATCTGGCCGGGCACGGTGACTCATGCTTGTAATCCCAGCACTTTGGGAGGCTGAGACAGGTGGATCACCTGAGGTCAGGAGTTCGAGACCGGCCTGGACAACATGGAGAAACCCTGTCTCTACTAAAAATACAAAAATCAGCTGAGCGTGGCAGTGGGTGCCTATAATCCCAGCTACTTGGGAGGCTGAGGCAGGAGAATCACTTGAACCCAGGAGGCAGAAGTTGCAGTGAGCCAAGATCACGCCACTGCACTCCAGCCTGGGTGACAGAGCAAGACTCCATCTCAAAAAGAAAAAAAAAAAAAAAAAAATCTTAGAAAACACACTTATGGCCGGGCACGGTGGCTCATGCCTGTAATCCCAGCACTTTGGGAGGCTGAGGTGGGCAGATCATGAAGCCAGAAGATCGAGACCAGCCTGACCAACATGGTGAAACCCTGTCTCTACTAAAAATACAAAAAATTAGCCAGGCATGGTGGCAGGCGCCTGTAGTCCCAGCTACTCTGGAGGCTGGGGCATGAGAATGGCGTGAATCTGGGAGGCAGAGCTTGCAGTGAGCCAAGATCGCACCACTGCACTCCAGCCTGGGCGACAGAGCGAGACTCCATCTCAAAAAGAAAATAAAAGAAAAGAAAAGAAAACATACTTCTATTCTTAGGACAAATTGCTTAATTTTATCAAAAGTATTTCTTGGTATCTTTTTATCTGAACTATTGTGATTAATTATATTAAGAGATTTTCTAATATGGAAAAACTACTGTATAACTGGAATGAAAATTCTTGGCCATAATGTATTTTTTAACTTACTGGTGGATTTTATTTGCTAATACATCACTTATACATCTTTTAGCATATATTCATCATATATATTCATAATGGGTATATCGTCAAAGGAATTAGTTGTTAATTTTGGTTGTTATCTTTGTCAGATATGGTATAAGATAATGTTCACCCAGGAAATGAAATTCCAAACTTTTGAAATATCTTCATAGTTAGAAGTTATTTAAAAGCATAGGAATTATCTCTTAACAGTTTGAAAACAATCAACATAAAAAGATCTTCAGCATTATTTTTTTCCCTTAACGGTTTGAAAACTTTCCCAACTTTTTTGGTCATTAGTTTATTTAGTTATATCTTGACACAATTTTGTAATTATTAGCACGGAATTTTAACTAGTAGTTTCTTAAATTTTTTAAATTTTTTCTACATATTTAGTTATATCTCATCCTGATTCCTACATTAATGTGCCTTTTCCTTTATTATATTTTCCAAGTCTTAACAAATATTTGGTTTTCTCAAAATCCTAGATTTTGGAACTATTTACTAACTACTTTTTACTATTACAGAATTTATTAATTTCTTTTATTTGTTTAAAATTAATTCCCTCCACCTGCTTTCTTTGGGACTATTTCATTAACTCTACTTTCTTGAGCTAAAATACTGTTCATTTATTTTCATTAATTCTTTATACTAAAACCATTTAAGACAATGAATTTTAATCCTGTTACTGCTTTGGTTGCATCCAATGTGTTTGGATATGCAGTGTTCTTGTTATTTTCTAAATTATATGTAATCGAAATTGTAATATCCTTATATGATTTAGAAGCTATTAAGGGAGACTGTGTTGTTATTTTCTTAATTTTGGGTTTGGATGGGGTTTAATTGTTATTTGGTGTTTGGGGAAAATTTCCAAGTGTTTTTTTTTTTCCTTAAGTTAAACTTTTAACTTTTTATTGCTTTATGGTCACAGAAAACAGCCTGTACCATACATGCTCTGCGAAGTTTGTTGAGGTTTTCAGTTGAGGCATATAGGTTGCATGGATGCTGGAAAAGAACAAACATATGCTATAGCATACAGTGTTCAGTAAAAACATATTTATTAAATCAACCAAATTCTTTATATAATTCAAATACTCTATATGTTTATGGTTTGATGACTCATTCAGTCAAAAGAAGAAACATTAAAGTTGATTATTACTATTTTTCTCTGCTGATTTATGGTATTTCCAACTTGATAGATTTCAATACAATGTTCATGATGCATAGAAATATATAATGCATATCTCCTTTGTGAATCTTATTGTTCATCATTATACAGTAACAAGTGGTTTGCTGATAAACTGGCTCTGAAGAAAATAATTGAAAAGCCCTGATTTGTAGCATTTGCAACCCTTGTGGTGTAAATGCTTCCACTGTGGCAAATTTCCAAGTTACTGATACAAGGTCATTGCACTCAGAGTTGGGGCAAGATGGATACAACTAACTGGCCCTCAGGAGCAAGCTCCAACATACCACTGATAGTAAGTTTCTTTTCTTTTTTTCCCCCGAGACTGAGTCTCACTCTGTCACCCAGGCTGGAGTGCAGTGGTGTGATCTTGGCTCACTGAAACCTCCGCCTCCTGGGTTCAAGCAATTCTCCTACCTCAGCCTCACGAGTAGCTGGGATTATAGGCACGTACCACCATGCTTGGCTAATTTTTGTATTTTTAGTAGAGACGGGGTTTCACCATGTTGGCCAGGCTGGTCTCAAACCCTTGACCTCAAATGATTCACCCACCTCAGCCTCCCAAAGTGCTAAGATTACGGGAGTGAGTCACCATGCCTGGCCTGAAAGTAAGTTTCTTATGCTTTCTGATCTCTGCCTTTCACTCTGTTTTAATACTAAAGATCATTTGTTTTTGTGTTTGTTTACATCCACCTAATATATCTTTGCCCATTCACTCATTTTTAGCCATACTGTTATTATTTTTTTTACAGATGTCTCTTGCAAAGCACATTTTGTTTTAAAACCCATTCTGAGACACTTTATGTTTTAATAAGTAGGTTTAGCATATTTATATTTATTGTTTGTGCTATTTGGTCTGACATTTTTTGCTTTGTCTTATGCTTTTTCTTTTGTTTTCTTATTTTGGTCTTTATTTTCTAATATTTGTTATATATTTCACATTTACTTCTCTAGTTTTTATTTCTAGTATCTGTTACCTTTATGTTTTTTTCAACAGTGTGCTAAAGTGTGTATTTCCCTAACTGTCAGATTCAAAGATGAAAAGTATCTTTTGAGCTCCTCATAATTTAAGGTCAGAAATTTAGGACCCAAGGAAGGGTTTTTAATGCTGAAAATAATTCTAAGAGGGTAATAAAAATAATTGTCTTGGTATTTGGTTATATTATCCAAGTTTTAAACTCTAGATTATTATGATTACCTTGTATTATGTTTGTATTTATATCTTTTAAGAATAAGACATTTGTATTCACTTTTACAATCATGCATTTAAAAAGTAATTTATTCCTTAATTTTGGAGTTACAATCAGCCTTTTATAAAAGAAAGGTAGTAGAGAATAATGATTAGGAGAATGACTCTAATGCCATACTCCTTGAGTTCAAATACTGGTTGTGTAACCTTAGGTAAGTTACTTAACTTCTCTGTCCTTCTGCTCCCCATCTGTAAAATGGGCATATTAGGGCCAGGTGCAGTGGCTCACGCCTGTAATCCCAGCACTTTGGGAGACCAAGGCAGGCAGATCACCTGAGTCAGGAGTTCGAGACCAGCCTGGCCAACATGGTGAAACCCCGTCTCTACTAAAAATACAAAAATTAGCCAGCCATGGTGGCATGCACCTGTAATCCCAGCTACTCAGGAGGCTGAGGCAGGAGAATCGCTTGAACCCGGGAGGCAGAGGGTGCAGTAAGCTGAGATTGTGCCACTGCATTCCAGCCTGGGCAACAGAGCAAGACTCCATCTTAAAAAAGAAAAAAAAAAGCGGGGTGGGGGTGCATATTAGAAGAGCACACTTCATAATGTTGTGTGAAGTTTAAATCAATTAATGTGTCTTAGGACAGTGCCTGGCACACAATAAATACATTATGTGTTCCCTTTTACTATTATTGAACTTTTAATGTTGCTCTCTAAAGACTCCCTCAGTAGAACATCTTTAAATAATCTTTCAAAATGTACCTATGTGGTGTATTTTCTAAACCTTGTGTATTTGAAGCTGTTTTACTGTTACCTTTATACTTCAAAGACCACAAGGCTGGGCTGTAAATTCTTGATCACAACTATTCCCCTTCAAAATCCTTTTCCATTACTTTCTGAAATTTAATGTAGCTAAGAAGTCTAAATCAAGATTACTTTTCTTTGTAGATAATCCAGTTTATCTATGTGATTTTTAAAGGATTTTAAAATTATCATTAAAATTTACTTTTTTTTTTCAGGATGTCTATGTGTCTCTCTTATCATTAGTTTTACCTGGAATAGTCAGCCTTTACAATATACCTCTTGTAGATTTCAGTTCTTCAGTTCAAAAAAAATTTTATCACATATTTATACACTTGGGTTTTATTACTTTCCATTTATTCTGTCCTCTACTTCAAAGGCACCAATTACTAATGTTCTGGGTCTCCATTCTCTGTTATCCTGTTATCCACTTCGATCATTTTCTTGCTCATATTTTTCATCCTTTTCTCCTTCTGCATCCTTATAGAGACTTTGAAACATTTGTCTCTCAAAACAATATGACTTTCCAATTTAAACATTTGTCTCTCAAAACAATATGACTTTCTAATGTACCACTTAGTGTTCTCCATTGCCTCCTTTTGTTTCTAAGTACCGCTATTAAAATTTTAGGGTTTTTTCTATCCTTCCATTTCTCTACATTTTTCTTTTTACCTCATCCTGCAGACTTTGCTTTTATTCATGTTGAATTGTTCTTTTTTGAAAACATCAAAGAATTTTTTGAATTTTAAATCTGGATCTGACATTGATAATTCTTAGCAGTATGCATTTTCTTGAATCTTCCTTTCTTCACAGTAGTTTAATAGGACTTACTTGTCCTTGAACAAAGTGAACCATATCTGCCCTTAGAGTCTGTCAAAAGACATGATGAATTGATTGCATTAGTTCCTTTCTACAAGTGTGTGACAACCTAGTCCCAACCATTTCTGTAGCCGGGGGCAGGCTAATGTGTATAACTTCATATTTAATTCCTACTCCCTATCATTGCATCATATACTACAGAGTTATCACATTTAGGGTGCATCAGAAACACTTGGAAGGCTTGTTTACCTACAGATTGACAGCCTCTACACCCAGATTTCTGATTTTTGCATTTCTAACAAGTTCCAAGGTGACTCTGCTGGTCCAGGACAACACTTGAAGAACCATTACTCTATAAAATCCCTGTCCAGTTTTCTGAAACTCTGAAACAATGTAGGACATGGCATGCCATGATTTCCAGCACACACTTCTCTCTAGAACACACTTGCTCTCTGTATTTCCCTACAGGGCTTTCCCTATGAGGTCTTTCAAATACAATGTGCCTCCTCCACAATCTCTCATTCTGTTTCCTAAGAAGTTATTGGCAGGGCAGCTCTGACTTCAACTAGTTGTAAAATGATGAAGTGTGGGGAGCAGTAGGAGAAGAGAAGATATCAACTCCCCTAGTATCTACATTTTAGGTTGGCACTTATATACAGTTAAGCTCCAGAGGCAAGGGGAAGGGAAGAGCATTAAGTACGTTCCTATCATTTTCCCGATTATGTCTGTTTCATGTGACCAAGACAATGTCTGTCTTTTTCTGTGCAGTCCTTTTTTATGGTCAGTATCGCTTCACTTCAAACGTTGGCCGTTAGTTGTCTACTTTTCTACTTTTAATGTGTGTAAATATTTCAGTAGATCTTTGGTGAGAGCTACATCAGAGCCTATTAGCCAGGCACTGTTTTGAACAAAGACACCATTTTACACCAAAATTCTTTTTGCACAACTTGGCCAATATAGAAAGCTCAGGGATCCTGACTTAACTTTCCAGCCATCCCATTTCTGACTTTATGACATTAATAAGGAACACAAAGTCATAAGCTTCATGCAACTGAATATTCCTATAACTAAGTGCAAACTGCCACTAATTTCATTTCTGAAGCTACTTAAATACAAACCTTATGGAAAAGGGAGTCAGATGTTCCTATGTTCCTACAGAACCAGGCTCTCATATATTATACAGGACGTGACTGACTACAAATAATGTCTCCTCTTGCATTTTAGACCTCCAACATCACAAGCACCATCACCACGATCTCTACCAGCAGCATGCATTTCCTTGAGTCTTCTTTTATTCACAGTAGTTCACTTCTTCTAGAATGCGGCTCTACTTTTAAATCACATCAACCAGCTCAGAGCAGCCCTCTAACCAACTGCCACATGGTCAGCGGAGGCCTGGCTGGGGTCTGCTGAAGGAGCTGGACACAAAATGGTCTCCCAGGGGAACAGCAGTTCCCACACAGCATTCCAAGGACATACAAGCTTTAAAATAACATGGGGACAGAATTGTTCACAGCCAGTTTATAAAGAAGGAGCGAGAGCTCACACGTAAGAGGGAGAGTAAGCACAGGAGCGCTCAGAAACACGGAAAAGGACATTTCTCTATCGGTGACGATGCCTATTATATGACATTCAAACACCACAAGTGCTATTCAGCTGCTTGTAAGTCACGAAAGGTGAGAGAAAACACTTACCTCCTTCGTAGAAAGGGAAAAGGAGGTGGAGAATCCTTCACACAAAGACCCTCTTTGACTTAAAATACAGGGTAAGCAGTATTAGAAATCCATGTGCACAAAGCCCACCTATTAAGATTCTGAACAAACAGGAGCCTCTATACCACAAGGCTCTGTTGTTAATATGTGGTTAGTTATGTCAAGGACGCTAAACAAAGCTGCTTCTCATGTGTCCGTTTGAGCTCTCGCAGTTGATAACCACAGCGACTCCTGGGTCACAACCCTAAACGGGCAGCCATTGTCCAAGGAAAAGCAGCAGATGGGCTCCAATGCAGATAGCGCAACTGCGAATCCACGCCTGTGGCCACCCGAGTGGGGTCCAGGCAAAATTCAGGAGTAGATGAAGTTTTACTTTGGGAGTCTGTTCGCTCTCCTCCGCGTGCCTCCTCTATGCACACAATGGTGTCATGCCGAACCCCTATTTTAAGAGGCCAAAGAAGAGGCTCTGAGCCAGCAAACAAGAAATGGAGTTTGCTGGGGGCTTACATACGGGGGAGGGAGCCCACTGACAGTGGGCTGAAGAGAAGAACCACCTTATATACAGTTCAGCGGTGGCAGGCTGGGCAGGAAAGCCACAGTCCCTTGCAAAAAGCATGCAGTTTATATATAGTGTTTCCATTTAACACCTTCCCCCTGACAACCTCCACCTGGCAATTTTTATTCAACCCAAAACGTGGAGACTCAATCCCCTGTTCAGCCCCTGTTCCACTGGATGCGCTGGGGACTCAGATATTCCTTATGGACAAAGAACAAATCTCTGGGTTGGCCACTCTTAAATTTCCTAACTCAGAACACACATTCAGGTGTGTCTGCCGTACAGGGTGATTCTAAGGCTATGATTAAGTTATTGCTCTCAGCTGCATTTACCCTACTAACAGTCACCTGTTCGCCAGCTCTGAGTCTCACCTGGAACCACCCTCTTCAAAGGCAACGCCTTGCTCCTGACTCAGGTGCCCCATTAAAGCCTGTTTGTTTGTTTGTTTGTTTGTTTGGCACAGTCTTGATCTGTGGCCCAGGATGGAGTGCAATGGTGCAATCTCAGCTCACTTCAATCTCTGCCTCCTGGGCTCAAGTGATCCTCCCACCTCACCCTCCATAGTAGCTGGGATCACAGGTATACACTACTACGCCCGATTAATTTTTGGATTTTAGGTAGAAATGGGGTTTCACCGTGTTGGCCAGGCTGGTCTTGAACTCCTGGCCTCAAAGGATCCACCCACCTCAACCTCCCAAAATGCTGGGATTACAGGTGTGAGCCATTGCACCTGGCCGCTCCATTAAAGCCTTCTTTCAGGCCCCTGGTTTCTACCAGCCTAATAACTTACTTAATGGGGAGGCACTGATGGCTGCTGATAGATTAATGGGCCTCCTTGCCAGATAACAGACACATTTTGTTCCAGATAAGAGTAGCGTTTTAACAACTGCCCTCAGTGCCTAACCACCACAGGCCTGGTAGGTGAACATTGGGGTGGGCAAGGGGAGCATCTCAGTTCCTCCTCAAACACAGCTCCAAACTGTGCCCTAGAACAAGACCAATCCTGCTCCAGTTCCCATCACGAGCAGTGTGGGGACAATGTTTCCAGGATCCTTTGCTTTGCTTGTGATAAGAAAGTCCAGCTGAAAAGTCTGTGAAGGTGAGAAACGGAAGGTGAGGTCCTATCCATGCAGCCATTATCTGAACCATTCTGCGAACTTCCCCTCTCTAGAGAACACTCCCCTCCTCAATCCCAAAGACAAAGGCAAACCTGCTGCCACCTTTTCAGATCCTCTTTAAAGCAAGCAGCTTTTCAGATGCCCTTGAGAGCAATTCATTCTTTCACTGCACTTCTACACTACTCACAGTCCTGCCATCTTGAACTACGCATCCTAGCCAGGGAGGCAAAGTGCGGCTTTGTCCAGGTAGCCAACAGCCAACACATCTCCCCTTCCTCTGATGACCACAGAGCACTCCAGGCCTTTTTAGAAGGGGCCATCTGCTGCACTGGAAGCCGAACCATTGTCCGACACCCAGGTACAATGGGCCTGAGAGTGAATGGATGTCCAAGCAGAGGAAACAGAGGCCCGCTTCACCTCATACAGAGTCAAGAGGGAAGCAGAAAAGACTGGCCTCCAAGAGGCCCTCCTATCAAGTCAAATGTGCATGAAACAATCTTGGACTCTTCAGCCGGCACCTCTGAGAGCCCACCTCAGCTCTGCTTTACCACTGAGTGGGATTCATTTTATGTGTTGCCATATTAAGCCGCTTTCAACGTCCGTAGGGGAAAGAGGGGTGAAGGTTGAAGGAAAGGGACCTGAGTTTTCATTCAATAGGACATTAATGGAAATAGAAGTGAAAGAGCTTCTTCTGGAAAAAGCAGAAACCACACCCAATGGGTCTTTAGAAATAAGCCCTTCTCCATCCTCACTGCCCAGCTCTTTCCAAGCCCACTGTTACTCTGTTGCCAGGATTGTCACAAACCCCTAACTAAGAGACTAACTGCAGTCTTTGTCCTGGGTTTTGTCTGATTTCCCTCCATCCTTCACAGCATTTCCAGAACTCTTATCCTGGAAATAAACGTGATCATGTTGCTTCCTTGTTGAGATCTCCCACCAGCCCCTCTGCCTGCAGCATAGAGGCTGAGTGTCTCCATCTGGCCCCAAAACTCCTTCTCCACCTTTATGTCCAAATAACTTCCATTTTGCCCTGAAAACTCCAGCAACCCCAAACTTCCTGCTTTTTCCATTGAACATATTAGCCTCATTCAGAATTCTAAGCCACTGAGATACCTTTATTTTTTGCCCGACATGCCTTTCTATGCCTGGGATAACTATGCATTTTTCAGCCACATCACCTAGTCTGTGAAGTTGTTTCTGAGTCCCTGCCTCCCTGAGTTGCCACTGCACATCCTATATCCTAGGCTGCAGCAGACTGTGGTGTAATATTTTGTTCCTCTATCTCTCTCATTCAACTGTGAGCTCCTCCAAAGTGAGGATGGTGTGTTATGTTCTTTGTATCCTTGGCATCTCTTTTATGGTCTGGAATAAAGTAGATGCTCAATAAATGCTTATTGAATGAAAAGGCCCAGAGGAAAATAAGCCCTTTCCATTCTTAGATCTCTGACATCATCCACAAACCCAGCTTGCATGATTCCTAAGCGTTATGTCCCTGCCCCACAACCCCCACTCCCATTGGATACTCCCTCCTACTGGCTTTCCTGCCATTCACTTCCCATCCAGCCCACCTGGGCCCTCCCTGGGAATCTCCTTCACACCTAGGGTACCAACTCTTCACACCCAGAAAGACGCTCAAAATTCTCCTTCTTCCCAGCAGCCCTCCTTAAGCAACTGTACTCAGGTCTGATCACTCCCTCTGACATGTCCTGCCAAATTAGGAAGCTTATTTCCCACTGCATTATTCTACCAGGGGACTTCTTGAGATTTTTTTTCTTGCATGTATGTATGTTCCAGCTCCCCGACTAGAGCTCAGGATCCCTAAAAGCATAAACTTCCACATCCTCCAATACCTTCTTGCAAATAGCATTATAACAGGTGTGATCATGTTAAGGGGAAAAGAGAACATAAACCCATCTGCTCTTTACTTCAGATTTAATTTGGGGACAATTATATGAATCACCAAAAGATACACTCCAGTGTTACACTTTTCTAGAGTATGTCAGTATTTGCTTACCAATTTATTTGGACAGTTCACAAGGCAGAGCGCTCTAAGGCGAGTAAAGTGTTAGCAGCCACAGCCAAACTCAACCATTTCAAATAAAGATTGGAATCTTTGGAAAGATCTTATGTCAGTTTGGGACAAATGGGATTCCCAATTCCAGAATTAGTTTTTAGTTGCAGTTTTGCAGGAAATGAAATATTCTTAGAGTTCAGACTCCAACCACAATGTCCAGGTGCTTAGCAATTCGCATATTTACTGCTTCAGTTCCCTGGGGTTTAGGGTCAATCTACTCTAGAGGACATTTGGGTCTTTTATTTTCTTGTGAAAGTCCACTCTTTAATCTCAAAGTTGCCAAAATCTGCTGGGCATGAAGAAACAGACGCTATGACAGACAGCCCACCAACACTACCAAATAAAACCCTGCTGCCACCTCCTGCCAGTGGGAAGCCTAGGAGAAGGGTTGGATATCTGTCAGTAACTCCCAGCAGGATGCTTTTTGCTTTTTTGGACATAGCTGAACCTCTAGGAGGCAAATACCTGTGTTCCCATAACAGTTTATAATGGTCCTGTTGTAGCATGTTACATACACTATGTTGTAGACAGTTCAGCTACATTGTGTTGTTAATACAGCCATCCATTGCCAGCTACATGCCAGGTACTATGCATGAGCTAAGGATGGTGAATGATGGTGAACAGCTGCATGGCACCCCTGACTTAGGGAGCTTGGCTTTTGCCAAGGAGATAGGGATTGTTTAGGTGACCATAGTGTGAAGAGTGTTATAGAAGAAAGATATAGGTGCTATGAGCATACACAGAGAGAGAAACTGGTCTAGGGAAGGAATCAAGAAGGCCACCTGGAGTACATGATTCTTAAATGGAAACCTAAGGATTAATAGAATGTAATCAAAGGAATGGGGAGGGAGACAGTATTAGAGACAGCATCATCAAAGACCAATAGCCAGAGGCTAGAGGGAGAAGGGCAGCAGAATGAATGGAGAGAAGGCAAGCATGTGTAGATAAGGTAGGAAAGGTAATAATAATAACATCATATTCTTACCACATTCCTGATACAATTCTAGGTGCTTTGCTTGTCTTGTTTCATGGAATCAATAACCTTAGATACCCTGAGCATCCCCATATGACTCATGAAGAAACTGGGAGCCCAGAGAGGATACAACTCTTACCCAGGACCCCCTTGCACAAAGTAGCAGAACCAGGATTTAAACCCACGCAGCCTGATTCCAGATGAATTAACCACTATGCCCCCCTGTAAGGGCTCATACTGAGCAGGGCCTTGTAGGATTTTGTCCTAAGAGGATTGAGAAGGAATTGAAGAGTTGTGAGCTAAGAAATGGCATCATCATTCTTGGGCCTTAAAAAAAAAAATCACTCAGGCTGCTATTTTAAGAATGGATTGGAAGGCAACAAAAATGAGTTTGGGAAGACCACGGAGAAAACTATTGTAGTTAGTTTGTATTTATTTATTGAGACAGGGTCTCACTTTGTCACCCAGGCTGGAGTGCAGGAGTATGATGTGGGCTCACTGCAGCCTTAACCTCCTGGACTCAAGCAATTTTCCTACCTCAGCCCCCCAGGTAGCTGGGACTACCAACGTGGGCCACCACACCCAGCTAATTTTTTTGTAGAGACAGGGATTCGCCATGTTGCCCAGGTTGCTCTCAAATTCCTGAGCTCAAGTGATCTACCCGCCTTGGCCTCCCAAAGTGCTAGGATTACAGTCATGAGCCACCATGCCTGGCCTATTGTAGTTATTCTAAGGAGAGACAACAGTGGCTCAGACCAGGTGGAAGCAGTGGTGATGGATCAAAGTAGATGGGCCCAAAAGATGTTCAGGTGTTCAAGGTGCTGCAAATTTCAGGACTGATTGACCAGATGTAGCTAGAAGGCAGGGATGACCACTCAGCTAGATGTTCTATTATACCTTAGAACTTCCAACAGTTCTATATAATTATCCAATTTCAAGGCCAGAGAGCTGTAAATGGTGAAGACAGGGTTTGAACACAGAATCTGAAACTTTTATATATAGGCCTATGTTTCTCACGCTTTGTAAGCTGGGCCCGTATCTTGACTACCTTGTATTCCCAGCCCACGGGCCCATGCCTGGTACATGGCAGCAGCTCAATACATTGTTTAATTAAGGAGCAGGAAGAAAGGAGTCTATGGCTCCAGCTCCATCCTGACATGGCCTCTTATGATGTCATCACACAGTGGGCATGTCTCACTGTCCCCAACACCACCAGGCTTAATGAACACAGTATCTTCTGTTCTTGAATATAGTATCTTGATGAACAGAGAGGTTCACCCAAAAGTACTCAAACATCACCTTTCTTTGCCTGTCAGGTCCCAGCTGCTGACACCTGCTCTCTGGCCCTCTCTTACCTGACCATCCAGAGTCCTATGTGTGTACTTTAAAGCCTCATTGGTCCCTTAGGTAATAAAAAAAATAAAAAAATAAAATCAAGCCAAATTAAACTGGGAAGCTCAGGTATTTAAGTTTCTCCAAAGTCTTAATAAATTTTACAAATATTTAACAAGCAAATTAATTTATGTAAAGATCTGTACATATTTGATAAACTTGAACCAATTTAATAAATCCTGTCTTGTTTTAATAAATGCTGGATTAGGGTTAGACTTCCTACAAACAGTAAATACATAAAGAAAATATTTGTTATATGTGTATATATGTATTTTACCTGCCTTTTCAAAGATCAAGAAAAGATTATCTTTGCCAAAAGGACTTGAAACCACTGTGTTGTGTGCGTGCCTGCTGGGAAGGAGAGAGGAGAGTGAACTCATGCATGTTTAGACTATCAAGCTGATGATTACTTCATGGACAAGATGGTGGCCCAGAAACAGCAGCAAGGGCCTCAGCTGCATGAAACTTCTCTAGCAGAGGAAGCAGAAGGGTGAGAGCAAGAGTATCCAGAGTGCCTATGCTCTCTTTTTGTAAATGACAAATGACTCTGCCACACATTTTTTTCTTCCTGCACTGCTTCATGTATTATCTGACCAATAAAATCCTATCACAAAATCCTACTCATTTTTCAAGGCTTAGCACACACATCTGCTATTGTGTGAAAGCTTCCTTAGCCTCTTCTCCAGCGGCTAGCAGAGTTGCTGCCCTAGACTCTGATAGCACCCCATGAACATCTACAGGATAGCACTTATCCTGCTGTCTTGTAGTTAGTGGTGTGCAAGTCTGTCTCCTCACAGCACTGAGTTCCTTCATGGTGCCATCAGCAGCAACTTGCATTCTTTCAACAAATACTTGAGCAAAAATGTGTTTTAGGTAATACACTAGATAATGCTGATGGACTGTAGAGGAAATGATGAAAATATGGTTCTTCCCTTTGTGATGCTTGCATTCTAGCTGGGTACAGCAGACATTTTTGGTGTCCCATCAATATCCTTTCAGCATTTACCTCCATAGAAAGAAAGGATTGGGGGTGGCAGGTTAGGGGTGGGAGAGTATACTCTTAGCATATGCAGGGCAAGCAGAAGTGCCACAGAATTACTGTTCCCCAAAGCCGTCCTCAATCAATGATGGATAGAGAGTTGGTAGATAAATCCCACAACTTCCTCACTCATTGGTTGGGAGAACACTGTGGTGTGTTCTGAGCCATTTTCCAGAGTTCCCCAGCAGGATTGAGCTTATAATTGCCCAGAATAGTATCTGGTTTGAAAATATTCCCTTAGGCCAGTCACAGCGGCTCACACTTGTAAGCCCAGCACTTTGGGAGGCCAGGATGGGAGGATTGCTTGAGCCCAGGAGTTCAAGACCAGCTTGGGCAACTTAGTGGGACCCTGTCTCTACAAAAAATAAAAAACAAATTAGCTTGGCATGGTGGTGTGTGCCTATAGTCCCAGCTACTTGGGAGGCTGAAATAGGAAGATGACTTAAGCCTAGGAAGTGGAGGTTGCAGTGAGCCAAGATTGGGCCACTGCATTCCAGCCTGGGTCACAGAATAAGATCCTGTCTCAAAACAAAAGAAAAAAGAAAATATTCCCTTAATAGGCTTCCTTATCTTTCCTAGCTCACTTCTCCATTTGCTGTCACAGTTTCCTGGGATCATCTCCCAAGAAAAGCTATTTGCAATTGAATCCTTTCTTCAGGATCTGCTTCTGAGCAAACCTAAACCAAGACACTGGAGGACAAAGAATTAACTTAGAAGGTACATGACACCCACCTCTTGACATTCACACCCTTGTGTAACCCTCATTCCTTTAATGTGGGTTGATTGACTAACTTGTTCCTAGTGAATAGAGTATAACGTATCTGGTGGATATCACTTTCAAAATGAGGCAATGAAAAGACAGTGATTTACATCAGGGGTGCTCGCTCTCTCACCTTCTCTAGGGAAAGCCATTTGTCATGTTGTGAAGCAACCCTGTGGACAGGTCCATGTGACAAGGAACTGAGGCTTGCCAACAACCACATAAACGAGCCTGGACACAGATCTTCTGAGACCTGCAAATAGCCAAGTGGGTGAGCATGGAAGAAGATCCTTCCCCATTAAAGCCTTCAGATGACTGTAGCCTAGCCAACACCATGATTGGAACCTTGTGAAAGATACTGAGCAGCACCTGGATTCCTGACCCAAAGGAGATAATAAATTTTGGTGTTTTCATCTGCTACATTTTGGGTAACTGGTTATGCAGTGATAGATAATAGAGGTAAAAATGACAGAATTCTAGGAAGATGGTGATAAAATTATATCATGGGTTGTCTTCCTTCTTAATTCTCTCCCTGAGGCCATTTAGTGTAAAATAAAATCTTGTTGACATTACTGAAAAATAAAGAGAGAGTCTCACCTATATGTTTGAAATTTTGGATTCTAGGAAGACAGCATTTTAAGAATAAGGAGGAAAGCTTGCCACTGGCCTATCCCCTCTACACCTGGAAGGGACCCTCCTTCTATGTCAGATTTTTAGAGCCCCTGCTCACAGTCTCACCACACCTGAGGAAAGCCTTAGACTCTATCAGGCAAACAATTTTAGAAAAAGGGACTGTTCACTCCAAAGGAGAAGTTTCCAAAACCGCCTAGCTTCCCTATGGGACTTTGTTTGAAGCCAATAACTCCACTGCTGCCTTCTCATCAGGAGTCACTCTTTATGCTAGGAGCTGCATCCACTGTAGGCACAATGGCTGCAGAGATGCTAACAGGAGCCAGGAGCTTTTCTGATAGCCTACAACTTACATGAAATCTCTTGAAAGACACAAACTATCAAAGCTCACTCAAGAAGAAATAGAGCTTTCATATACTGCTGTTGGGAATACAAAACTGAAAACCCCTTTGAAAAAGTTTGGCAGTGTCTTACAAAGTTAAATATACACTTGCTATATGAATCATCAATTTCAAAACTTTGTACACACAATGGCTTGCACATAAATTTTCATAGCATTTTTATTATGTCCAAAACTTTGGGGGGGATGTCCATTAAGTGGTGAATAAATAAACAAATTGTGTTATATCCATAAAAAAGGAATAATACTCAGCCGTATTGTGTTACAGCTTGGCTGTGTCCCCACCCAAATCTCATCTCAAATTGTAGTTCCCATAATCCCCACGTCATGGGAGGGACCCAGTGGGTGGTAATTGAATCATGGGGGTGGTTACCCTCATGCTGTTCTCATGATAATGAGTTCTCATGAGATCTGATGGTTTCATAAGGGGCTTTTTCCCCTTTTGCTCAGCACTTCTCCCTCCTGCTGCCTTATGAAGAAGGATATGTTTGCTTCCCCTTCCACCATGATTGTAACTTTAACAATTAAAAAGGTACTTTTAAAATTTTGCTTAAAATGTATATAATAAAGACTCTCACTAGTAGAATACAACTCAGATGCTAAAATTCCAAATCACTTTGTGTAGGTATGGAGAACAACAACAAAGAGATATCATTCCAACAAAAGTTAGGAAAATGGAAAGATGGACACTAAAATACATAATAAACAGAAGAACAATAGAAGACAGGAACACCACCAGACATAACACTTATCTCAAAAAACACAAGGTGGTTGTTTACATTTCCTTATTAAAAAACAAAGGTCACTTTGGGAGGCCGAGGCGGGCAGATCACGATGTCAAGAGATCGAGACCACCCTGGCCAACATGGTGAAACCCCATTTCTACTAAAAATACAAAAATTAGCTGGGCGTGGTGGTGCATGCCTGTAGTCCCAGCTACTCAGACAGCTGAGGCAGGAGAGTCGCTTGAGCCCAGGAGGTAGAGGCTGCAGTGAGCCGAGATCACGCCACTGCACTCCAGCCTGGCAACAGAGCAAGACTCCATCTCAAAAAAAAAAAAAAAAAAAAAAAAAAACCTCAAGTTAGGTTGAAAAAAAATGAAGCCAATGCTAAATATAAGCTCCTTACAAAATACATACTCAAAATAAAATGACAAAAAAGAAAATGTTTAAACTTTTTACTCCAAATACAGAATGTTATAAGTTTAATTAAGTTTAAAAAGATTTACACACCAAAACAAATAAGCATCTCCATGGGCCAAAAGGAGAATTAAAAAATGACTGTAAAGGCAGATAAAAGAGATGGAAACCAAAATGAAACAAAATTTTATACTTTACCAAACCAAGAAGAGCATCAAAAGAGAGGAAAAATAAATGATAAACAAAAATAAAGCAAGATGGTTGTATTAGTCTCTTCTTCACTGCTATGAAGAAATACTTGAGACTGGGTAATATATAAAGAAAAGAGTTTTAATTGTCTCATGGTTCTGCAGACTGTACAGGAAGCATGGTGCCAGCATTCACTTCGCTTCTGGGGAGGATTCAGGGAGTTTTTACTCATGGCAGAAGGTGAAGCAGGAGCAGGTGTCTCACATGGTGAGAACAGGAGCGAGTGAGAGGGAAGGAGGTGCACATACTTTTAAACAGCCAGATCTCACGATAACTCACTTGCCATCACAAGGACAGCACCACAAGGATGGTGCCAAACCATTCATGAGAAATCCACCCCCATGATCCAACCACCTCCCACCAGGCCCCACCTGCAATACGGATTACAATTCAACATGAAATTTGACTGAGGACAAACTATTTCACTGGTAAATATAATTTATAATTTATGTATAATCATAGCACATTCTTAGTCTATTAAAAGACAGAAATCTCAAACTGGATTTTAAAAATTAGCAACAGCAACAAAATCGGCTATGATTCTACTTAAAAGATCTAGACCCAAACTAAAATAACATGTTTCAAAAAAACAGGAGATAAAGATATACTAGACAAATACCAAAATCAAGCTGACTTAGCACTAATGCCCTCAGGTGAAATAAAATTTTAGGTGAAAAACCTTAATAGGGCCAATAAAGAACACCCAACATATTGAAATAAGAACAATACATAAATTAAATATAACAGCCATGATTCCTGAGTAAAGGGCCTAAGACTCATGAAACGAGTCATGGTCCACCTCCTTTAAAATTTGTGTTTGAGAAGGACACTTCACTTTGGCACACAATGTCTATTTTACATTCCTGCATCAACAAAAATTTCAATGTAAATATCTCATTACAATTCAAAGAGCCTTGTTTCCACCTAGATTTTCTTGTCTTTTCATGGGACATTTAAAATTGGCTGTGCTCTAGATAATAGTTTCAAAGAACTGACATCACATAAACTAGTTTTACCAAATCTTCAGGGACAGAAAATTTTACACAATTTGTTTAAATAAAAAACGGAATAAAGGAGAGTGCTTCCCATTCATCCTATTACATGAGACTAACATAGCGTTGATAATGCAAACAAGAAGTAACAGAACAAAAAAGAAAAATATAGACCAATCTCACAAATGAAATAGAAAACAAACGTAAAATTCAGCAAGTTGAATCCATCAGTATATAAAATTTTGTCACTGTCAAAGAAGGATCTGTCTCATAAATGCGTTGATTCAATATCAGACCTTTCTAATATAATACCCCATATGAATAGTTTAATGAAGAATAATATGCATAGTTATCTCAACACATACAGAATATGAATTTTATAACATTAAACACCATTCACAAAAGATTTTTAGCTATCTAGAAATAGAAAGGAATTCCCTTAACCTGATAAGAACCTATCTGCCAAAAAGGCTACTTACTGTATAATATGGAATAGTAGGAGATAGAATGGAGACTTTTTTTCCTGACTTTAATAGAAAAGCATCAAAAATTTTACTACAAAGTTTTACCATTAAAAGTGATATGTGCTGTAATTTTTGGTATATGACCTTTATCAGATCAAGAAAATTTCCTTTTAGTCCTTCCTTTATAATTGTATCCTGATATTAAGTCTTAGCCAAAGCAATAAGACAAGAATGAAACAAAATTGTCATTATTTGCAGATAAACTATTAGAACTGATAAGTACATCAAGATTGCTAGGTGTATGATAAGCACACAAAAATCAATAGCGTTTGACCACAAGTGATAACCAATTGGAAAATGTAACCAAAAACAAGACAGAATTCACAATTGCATCAAAAATGCACAGAATCTTAACAACAGGTCACTACCAAAGTGAATCTAACAAACCACATGTAAAACTTTAGGGGGAGAAATACATAAAGCATTATTAAAGAACATAAAAATAAAACTGGAATAAATGATGAGAGATCATGACCACGATCATGGAGAGGAAAACTAAATATCAGAAAATGCTCCTCTTCAAATTATTCTTTAAATTCAATGTAATTCCAATCAAAATGCCAACAGAATGTTTCCTGGAAATTTAAACACTATTCTAAAATTTATGCAGGACAATGAATGTCCACAAATGAGTAAGATATTTCAGAAAAAGAACAAAGAAGATTCCTCTATGAAAAATCAAAATTCTTTATAAAATTGTGGCTTAACAATAAAAGGCAGTATGTTATTGGCAGAGAAACAGACAAATCAATGGAATAAATTAGGAACACCAGAAACATACCCAATTTACAGGGTACCTTTGTATAAAATAGAGGAGGCATAAAAATTAGTAGAGAAATAACAAACCATTAGGTGAGATTGGAAAAATAGACTATTTTTTTTAAAGATCCTATTTCTCCCATTATATGTAAAAAATTCTATTTAATTAAATATCTAAATGTAAAGAAACAAATTTCTATAATGTTAGAAGAAAAAATAAAAGAACATCTTTGTGAATTCAGTTTGTTCTAACTGGATATGGCATTTATTTTGATTGGTGATTACTCATGCTGTACTGATGTTTCAGTTCTTTTTGTTTCATATTTTTAACATCATCTCTGACAACAAAAAGTCATATTCAAAATACATGAATAACTCCTATAAATCAATAAAAATAAACAGCACCATAGAAAACAGGCAGTTAACAAATGAGAAAACGACCAATATATACAAGTATTTTGCCTCGAAAGTAATCGGAGAGATGCAGTTTAGAAAAACAAACGAAAACACAACAAGATGCCAGTTTCCACCCTTAGACTAACCAAAATGTAAAAGCCTAACCACACCAATTACTGGTAAGAATATGACAAAATAGAAATTTCACACACCACTTGTGTAAATTGACACAATCACATTGAAGATAAATTTGGTAATATCTAGTGCAGCTAGATACTCTGCAAATCTTGTAACTCAGAAATTCCACTTCTAGTTTCATATACTACAGAATCCCTCTCATACAAGCACAATGAGACACTGAAGCTTCGTTAATAAGTACAAAAAGTTAAAAAGAATTCACATGCCCAACATAAGGGAGTGGATATGAAGTGTGATATATTCAGGTGATAGAATATATTAAATAAGTAAATCTATATGTATTATCAGGCATAGAATTTTTAAAAACAGAGAATGAAGTCTTGAAAAATGTAATTTGCAGTATGAGACCTTTTAAGTCATTTTTCATGCACAAAATGACTATTAGTGATTACAAAATATAAAATATATAAAATAAGTAAATATTTAAACGTCTAGACTGAATACTCATCAAATTCATGAGAATTGTTCCCTCTGAAGAGAAATAGAAGGGAATTGGACTACAGAAGAAACTATAGGGGATTTAAACTTCATCCGTGATATTTTATCCTTTAAACACCAAATCTGCTGCAGACTAGAAGAAAATATTTACAAAAGCTATATCTGATAAAAGATTGTCTTCTAAAATATACAAAGAACTCTTAAAACTCAACAAAAATTTATTTTAATGGGCAAAAGATCTGAGCAGACACCTTGCCAAAGAAGATACACAAATGGTAAATAAGCATATGAACAGATGCTTAGCATCATACATAATTAAGAAATTAGAAATTAAAACAACAATGAGATACCACTATACATCCATTAAAATGGCCATAATCCACTGACAGCACCAAATACTGGTGAGGCTTTGGAGCAACAAGAACTTTCACTCATTTGTTCATGGGAATGCAAATGGTACAGTCAGCCACTTTGGAAGATGGTTTGACAATTTTTTTTGCAAAACTAAACACACTTTTATCATAAAATCTGGCAAGTGCACTCCTTGATATTTATCCAAATGAGTTAAAAAATTATATCCATACAAAAACTAGCAGAAGGTTATTTATAACAGCTTAATTACAACTACCAAAACTTGGAAGCAATCAAGATGTCCTATAATCAGTGAATGGATAAAGTGTGGTACATTCGGACAATGGAATATTACTCAGCACTAAAAAGAAATGAGCTATCCAGTCATAAAAAGACATGGAGGAAACAAATGCATATAACTAAGTAAAAGAAGCTAATCTGAAAAGGCTGTATACTGTTTGATTCTAACTATTCAGACATTCTGGAAAAGGCAAAACTATGGAGATGGTAAAAAGATCGGGGTTAGAGGGAAGAAGGGATGAATAGGCAGAGCGCAGAGGATTTTTTAGGGCTGTGAAACTACTCTGTATGATGCTATAACGATGGATACATGTTATACATTTGTCCAAACCCATAGAATATACACCACCAAGAGTGAACCCTAATGTAAACAATAGACTTTGGTTGGTAATAATGTGTTGATATTAACCCATTGATTATAAAACATGTATCACAGTGACACAAGATGTGAATGACAGAGGGAATTATACATGCAGGGAGAGGGGATATCCCTGTACCTCTGACTCAATTTTGCTGTGAACCTAAAACTGCTTTTAAAAAGCTTATTAATTTTTTAAAAATCTGAAGTACGAAAAGTGTTAACATTTCTTCACTTTGGATGGTATCTGGGTTTTATTATATTAACCTTTGTGGCTTGCTTTTTGTTTTTCACTTTCATATAAAATGTTTTAAAGAAAAACATATCAGAAATATAGATCAGTAACTACAAATTTTAAAAAACAAAGATTGATATTTACAGTGATGAAAGGTACAATTCACAAAGATAGGATCATAAACATTTACACTTCTAAAACCTCAGAGAAATGTATAAAGTAAAATCTATTAGAAATATAACAAAATGCTAAGAAGACTACAATAGTGGGAGATTTTAACTTGCCTTTCAAAAAAATCAATAGATGAAATAGATAAAAAAAAAAAATAAGGGTATAACAGATTTGAAGATCTCCATTGCAAGCCCGATTTAATAAAAGGATTTTGAACTTTGTAAAACAGAATACTTATGCTTTTCAAATATCCTTGGAACATTTTTAAAAAGTTATATTAGATCATAAATAAAACTTTAAATATCTTAAAAAATAGAAATATGAAGAGCCTGTGTCCTGGCCCTACATTAGACCACATTAGGAACAGGTGAGGCAGCCACAGAGGGTTTGTCCTTGCCAAGTTCAGCACCACTAAGTCATTCAGAATGACACTGGGATCTTTCATCAGGGGGAAGGTCTCACCACCACCCAGTGGGATTGCCAAAGATGCTGAGAGTAATTGTGTCCCTCTTTGGAAATTTGCTTTCCTGAGGAAGAATAAGAAATGGAGTTGAATTGAGAATGGCCACAACGTGGATTCTTCTTGACCTAATTTACATGGGTCCTAAACCCTATTATGTAAGTCTAAGCCCTGTCTCTTACAGCAAACTGCAATGATTCTCTGTAAATCCTCTGATGGTTAAATTTCCCTTCAATTAGTTGGACTTGGTGGAGTGAAAGCAGCAAACAGGAAAATAGCACAAGGGCAACAGTCAGAAGAGAGAAAAGGGTAAGGAACAGGTGAGTCTCCAACACCATAGAAGTCCTCTCTGCAAAGCACATTCCTCCAGCTTCCTGGGTGAAATTTCTCTGGCTGAGTTAAAACATGTGTGAGCTGGGCTTGTTCACCATTGTAAGCAGAGCATGTCAGGTTTCTATGGCATGGGTGAAACGGCTGAACAGGCTAGGTCTTCACCCTCCCCATAAACCTGAGTCAGAAATAAATGGAAAGATTTATAAAGGGGAGGTGCAATTCTTCAGCTACATTGGTTTAAAGCTGGTGAAATAAATGAGTTAAACCATTCACTCAGAGTGTTTCATGAAGCAGATCTAATGTGCAGTTTTGTGACCTGATATGACTTTAACTCCTCACTAAATCAAAAAGCTTAACAAATATTAAGATGGCAACGACTACCTGTGTGGGACAGATTTGATCTCTCATCCACTATCATTTAGGAAACAAGGGCTCCAGAGGAAAGCAGCCAGCACGTCATGTGACCAAGCAGGGGGCCAAGCCCAGTCAAGATCCTCCTGGGGAATACCGGTCTTTTCAATCCTCCAAGGAGGATGCCTGAGGTTTACAGCCGGGGAGGTTTCCAGAAAGTGAGGTCTGCTTCTTTGCTGGGTGTTTCCTGAGGGCCTCTCTCTCAGCATCCTGACACTCCTCAAAGCACACCAGTCACACCAGTCACACCAGTCACACCAGCCACTGTGGGCCGCAGAGATGAGGCACTGCTGAGGGCCCTCTCCAGGGAAAAGATGTGGATGTTGCCCCAGGCCACTCCACTGCAATGGGGAATATGCCATGTGGGAGAAGATTCCCCCAAGTGTACAGTTTCAATAGACTGGCTTAGGAGACTCCAAGGTTTCAAACTTTCTGTCTGAAGAGGGTAAACTAGCAAAAGGGTAAAAGCAAGAGGCCCCACCATCTCTTTTCCGCCATACACATCAGAGCCAATATGGAGGCCAAAGATGGCCATTTCCCGGTGAAATAGCTAGAACCTCCAAACTCTAGAGCTTGAAAGACTTGGCAGTCATCTAGTCCTGGAAGCTCAAACAGTGACCCATGGAACCCTGAACTTTCATGGCCTCGTGGACATTGGGGGCCCCCGAAGAGACTGAGGGAGAGGCAGCGGGAGGGACGTGGGGTGGGAGGGGCACTCCTCACTGGATGTAGCCAGGCAGCTCCACCGGCATGTTCTTTTACCCATTGAAATTTCACATGAGACTTCTGAGAGAAAGAAAAGCTGCCTCTGCTTAGTTTGCAGATGATAAAACCCAGGTCCAGAGAAGAGAAGAGCAGGGCACAGCACGCACCCAAGCTATAGATGTTTCAATGCAACAGAAATTTCAAGAAAGAAAAAAAGATTATGCAAGCCCCTCTTAGTAAATATGCCTTTGAAAGGGGGGACAAATGAAGAAAAGTCGAGCTTCTGGACCCCTGAGGTAGACTGATGACTACATTTGGAAAATTGCACCAAAGTCTGGTGAGTGGGGAAAGGAGGCCCATGGCAAAAATCTTCTCCAAGTCAGACACCACTGTGTACCTCACAGGTTCCCACAGTGCCGGGGTAAGAAGTCTGTCCAAGATGGCACGGCCCCGTGCTTCCCCAAAGTACATGTCCAATAAAACGGCCCCGCAATCACTCACTTTGCCAGCACAAATGCTTCCAGAATCAATGCTCAGAATATATCCAGTTGTTCCTCCTCACAGCTTCCGTGAGGCCCCACTTATGGAAGACATTCTTGGTAATGATGCTTAGAGGCCTCAGCTGTTTCTCAGAGCTGGGGGTCGGGAAGGAACTCTCTTGTATCCAGGGTCTTGCCTTGATGTTGTTAAAGGGAGAGAATGGGGAAAGACAGAAATTAGTTGTGAAGTTTTATATTGAACTTTGTCCTCATAGCTAACCAGTGACCTTTTTTTTTAATTTGAATTTTTAAAGGTATTAGCCTTTGTTATTATTTGCCTGGGAGTCTGTAATAGCCTCATTTTATTAGATCCAAATTTCCTATTTAGACAACCGAGCCTAAGAGCCTGTTCAGAACAAGTAAATAATATGCATTTTCCAAAGTAATTTGCAGACACAGATACATATGCGCTCTGCTCAGATTACCAAAAAGACGAAATCACCAAGATGATGTTGTTTAATAATTTCAAAACTAAATATTTTTGCACCCAAACAGAAATACCTACTGTGTCCTGGAAAGGTCCCCTTCAGCCTGCTTGATAAATTGCACCTCATTTTCCCACCTCCCATATGCCATTTCTGATGGCTTTGAAAAAGCAGCTGGGAGAACATCATCTTCAAACCTGCACTATTTTCAGGAATGGATTTTTCCCTGTCCCTCTCTCCACTCCTATAATCAAACACATGAAATAGCCTTGTGTCCACCCTCAGAAACCAGGACTTAGAGCACCAGTTCGCTGCAAGCTTCAGGTCCCTTCCGCTGGCTGTCTCCAGGCTCAGCTCTGCTTGGGAACTGGGATCCGGGCCAAGGAGAGCCCAGCTCATGGCTGACATCCACCGAGCAACCCCAGGCAGACCGATAGGAGCAGTTGCTCCATCTACCCCCGAACCCAGGAACAGTTGAGCTAAAATTAGTCAGAGGCCCAAGGACAGACTGCTGGGAAGGCAAATGAGAGATAACAAAGGGAGAGGAAATCGCAGCCTAGAAGACCAGCTTTGGAGAAGCAGCTGGGTATCTCCTAGCTCTTCCTTAAGGAGAGAGAGGGAAGTGCTTGGTTCTTAGATTCGGGCTGGAGGGCAACTGCCTCCAAACCTGACAACAGGTCTAAGGTCAGTGACTCCTTCATTATCCACTCAGGCAGATCTAGTTCCATGCCCCTCTTCTGAAATGCACTTCCCACTCTTGCCTGCTAGATTCCAATTCTTCAAACCTCTGCTACCTTGTCTATGAAAACTTCTCGAAATGAATCCTGAGTGGTTTGGGGATACTGAGTTATTTTAGACCATAATCTAAAATGGTTACATGCAGTAGAGGATTGAAAGTCCTAAGTAGTATTCACAAACCTAACGTGGACTTCCGCAAATATCCCAAGATTGTTGGACTTGGCGGGTGGGAGGTTGGATGTTTTAGGGCTATTTGTCCTACTCCCTTCCCTATAAATCACTTGGGTTTAGTTTCCCTCCTAGGAATTTGCTTAAAGCAAAAGTAAATCCCATACCCATCTCCAGATAAAGAGAGGTGAGTGCCAACCTGCAGTGACTTCAGCAGAGAGTCACTGCTATGCAGTTGATGTCCTGGGGTACATACTCCCACTTCATCTCACCCCCCTCACATTGGCAAGAAAGAGAAGTCAGGAACTAAGTTGAGGGAAAGTGACTTCATGCCTACTGTGGTTTATTGGGGTCAGTTTTATAGCTAATGCAAAATGGAAAAGATCCCTGTCCACTATTGGGGGATAGCAGATTTTGCACAAAGTGCTGGTGTGTGTGTTGTGACTGATGAGAGAACAGTGAGGTCAGCTACTGGCCTGACTATGAGCATCAAGGGAAGCTTGATTGGTGTTGGCTTTTGCCATTGCCAGACTGATTGGTTCACAGGTGGAAAAGGGGGTCTGGCCTTCACCCTTAAATGTAACATTGCCCAATCTTTCTTTGTTCTGTGAACAAGGGTCATTTTCCCTGTTACAAAGGCAAGGCAGATGTTTTATACTAGGCATTTAAAACGGCAGATGCCAGACTCTGAAGACATCTCCCAAAGCACAGTTCATTGGAATAGGTGTCCCCAAAGCACCAGCATGGACTGCTATGCTGATGTCTTGAAGGAGATAACATTCAAGGGGATGTTTACCTTCTGATATGAATATATTCTGAGAAATAAATTGCCAAACTTTAGAGTCACACATCAGAATAGGTCCATAAAACTACTTTTAGTTGAATATACTTAGATTTCTTTGGCATGGATGTCCTTTATACTTACTTATAAAGCTCTTCTGTTTTCTCTATTAGATTGTGTACTCCCCAGGGAAAAGATTCATGTTAATTTTTTTCTATAGCCATTCCACTTCATACTCATCTCCTGGGGCCCAAAACCTAGAATATGCTCTACATGGGTGCTCCAAGGAAACTGTCAACATTTGATGGTGCTTTCCAGCTGCTGAGCATAGTAGAGTTTCCATTTCATGAAGACACGTGCACATAGAACCAAGGCCCTAAAAACTATTGTAGATAAGGACACCCATTGACAAACATCAAACATCACTGATTTCCCAAAGCCTCACGGGCTCTATCAGAGGGCCAGGAGAGTCACAATGGCTACATAACAATGAAACTCTTCCAGGTGTTTTCATGTTAACATGGTCCAATGTAATGTCAAGCTGGGAAGAATAAAGGTTAATATATTCTATTAGTCCCAATTGTCACAAGAATTTTACCTAACAATATGGTTCATTAAATGCTGAATCTAACAATTATGTTCACCATAATAGAAATTATTCAGACAGATATGATCTGAATAGTTGTGTTTTATTAATTTAGACACAAATTTAATTAGCAATTGATTTCCATTGTGTCTCCCTCTGAACAGTAAGTTTTGTGGAAAAGCATCCTAGAAAAAAATCAACTAAGAAATATCGGGTAACAATAAAGGAAGTAACCACTCCACTTTCAGAAATGCTATTATGGCTTTGCCCTGAAACAATAACAACAAAAATCATTCCAGGCAGCTTGAAGAGGTGGCTATTTTCCCTCCATCTGAGATGCCGCTGCTGACCCTGGGGAAATGACACCCTGTTGAGTCCTACAGCTGTGTTGGTGAAGACACACTCAGAGCAGAGCCAGTTCAGGGTCTCTTGGAAACCCTCTTTTCAGCTCCAAGTCAAAATAGAGAAGGACTGCTGTGGCTCCCAACTCTTGTCCCTGTCCTCACCATCTCCATAAGTTTCTGATATGTTATACTTGGAACCAAAGTTTTGCATTCCTTTTTGGGGGTTGAACACAAAAGAATGGTATCCATAATCCAAAAAAAAAAAAAATGAAGGCAGAAAAATAGAAAGAGGAACACTGTTTTTAAATGGGGAAAAATGGAATTTTCTTCTCAGTGGTCCTTTAGTCAATTTCCTACACCCAACTTCATTCCCACCCCAACTATATCTGATAGATGAGTAGCAATTATGTTTAGAAAAGGGAAACATTTGGCTTCTCATGATGCTCAGAAACTTGGGATAGGAGGATGACAGTGAGGGAAGGTAGGAGAAGGTGGAGGGGAAAACTGGACTTGATGTCGTCCTTCTCCTTCCACTGACCTCAACCCCAACTGGCTACTGGTTCTGTGCTTTAGACTATCAAAGATTGTTAACCATATTCCTTTAATAAATAAGCATATTAATAATGGAAGTAGACATTTGGGATTCTGGATTTAAATCTTTTTACACTCAGATTTTGGTTTCTAATTTTTCCCTAAAAAAACCCCAGAGTTCCTTGGCAGAATGACTGATTCTAAGTCTGGGGCAGGAAATACACAAGATGAGCCTGGAGCCTCTAGTTATACCAGAAAGAAAGACAATTAGAGTCTTTTAAATGGACTCACTTGCCCACTTAACAGGGCTCCAACTACAAAGAGTGGGGACAACTTTATTGAAACACACCAAAAACAGAATGAATCTATGATTTCCTCATGATATACACACACACAAAAATCACCATTGCTACCTCCTCACTGGTCACCCTTGAAGAATAAAAGAAAATCAACTCATTCCGAAAACTGTTACATAAAGGGAAAGAATTAAGCATTTATTGTTCTTTTCTGTATGAACCAATAGTTGATGAGGGGACGTTTCTCTTTATAGAAGCATTCCAGGCCAGGCATCGTGGCTCAGGCCTGTAATCCCAGCACTTTGGGAGGCTGAAGGAGGAGGATCACTTGAGGCCAAGAGTTGAAGACCAATCTGGGCAAGATAGAAAGACCCTGCCTCTACAAAAACTTTAAAAATTAGCCAGTTGTGGCAGGTAGCACATGCCCATAGTCTCAACTACTCAGGAGGCTGAGGTGGGCGGATTGCTTGAGCCCAGGAGGTCAAAGCATGCAGCATTCTACGATTGTGTCACTGCACTCCAGCCTGGGTGGCACAGTGAGACCCCATCTCTAAAAAAAAAAAAAAAAAAAAAAAAATTAAGAATAAAAGAAATATTCTAGCTGACTGGAATAAAGGAAGAATAAAATTTGAATATTACCATTTTGTAGCCCTAATAAATAATGAATCCAGGCAATACTCTTTAATAGTTACTGACATCATAAACAGGAAGACAACCAGGCTGGCTGGATGCACAGAACATCATCCATGAAGTATCCTTGTGAAACATTCAATCCGGTCAAACCACTAGAACTAATTACCAGTTTACAGGACAAACTAGAGGTAGAAGAAACACAATGTGTTCCATAATTTTGCATGCAGAAAAATTAAGAATGTGGAAAGCTTTACAGAACCAATCACCTGTTTTTAACTCATAAATTGCAAGGAAAACACAAAACAAAAAATAGCAACAAAAAGAAGGATGAGGAAAGCAACAGATTGAAAGAGACTCAGCCATATCAACTAAGTGTGACGTGTGAACCTTGCTTGGATCCTTCAAACAAATCAACCTAAAAAGGTATTGTGAAATAATTAGGGAAATTTGAATGCTGACTGGCTATTCAATAACAATAAGAAATTGTTTGGGATTTTTGGGCTTTGCTTTTGTTTTGCTTTAGAGACAGGTTGTCACCCAGGTTGTCACCCAGGTCTCTCTGTCACCCAGGTTGGAGCACAGTGGTACGATCATAGCTCAAACTGAGTAGGCTCAAGCGGTCCTCCTGCCTCACCCTTCTGAGTACTAGCTGGGACTACAAGCATGTGTCACCACACTCGTCTAATTTTTAAATGCTTTTTCGTAGAGATGGGGTCTTGATATGTTGCCCACGCTAGTCTCAACCTCTTGGTCTCAAGCAATCCTCCTGCCTTGGCCTCCCAAAGACAAATTGTTATTTTTAAGTGTGATAATGGTAATGTAGTTATGTGATTTTTAAAACTAAAGTTTGTTTGTCTTCAGAGACACATGCACACTTAGACACTTACTGTTGAAATGATATGATGCAGGACTCACATGATGTCAGGGCTTGGGAAAGGCTAGCGAGGAGCCTGGGGTGTGACATTGGAGGAGGCCTCACTCTAGGTCCTTAAGTCATGAGAAGGCAGGTTCAGCACCCACAAATCAGGGCTCCCTCCCTTCCATGTGTACCCTGGGCACCTCTTTCCTACCCCTAGTCCTAGCCCTCATGTGATGCCTGAGATTGGCTTCAAAACAATCCAATAGTGAGGAGAAAAGGATGGATAGGCATATATATGAGACAAAAATTAAAACTTTCTATAATCAAAGAATACAATTTTTAAAAATCCTTAAAATCAGTAGTGCCATTTTTTAAATTTTAAGCTAACAGTAACTTTTGAAATAACTTGCAATAATTACTGTTTTCAGGTTTACCACCACTCAGCTGTGAGCTCTTTCATATCAGATCTTATTCAGCTTTGATTGACTCTAAATATACATCCTGCATCTCTCTGAGCCAGGCTGTGTTCGGAGTTGGAGATACAACATGGAATAAGAAAGTCCCTGCCTGCATAAACCTTGCACTCCAGTAAAGGACAAAGACAAAAGGAAACAAACTGGCATTAAAGGGGACAGCGGGATTACCAAGACAGCAAATCACAAAAGGGGTATATTTTAGGAAGGACAGCTGGGAAAGCTTTCTCTGAGGTGTCGCTAAGTAAGCTGAGACCTAGAAGAGAAGGAGTGGGCCATGTGAGGAGTGATGGGCAACTCCAGGCAGCAGGAGTCAAGCATATGAAGGCCCAGGGTCAAGAAAGACCTGGTACATTCAAGAAAACAAGGGAAGGTGGGGCTGGCACATCGTGAGTGAAGGGCACTCGGGAGCAGATGAGATTGAATAGGCACGAACTAGATCATTTAAGTCTTCGTGGGCATCAGATGTTTGTTTGCCTGTTTGCTTCTTTTTTAATCTTATATGCACTATAACAACCAGAATGTCTAGTGCATAATAAACTCAATGTATTGATCTGGATTAACCACTATATTTGGAAAGTTCCTGTTAGAACCTCAGACAGATGTTCTTCATGGATTAATTCGTAAGTTTGTATTAACCACAATTCTGTTGATTTCTCAAGTCTCTCTCTCTATTTCAGGAAACCTATAGAAACTGATCTATTTAACCCTTTCCCTGCTTCAGCACAGGTTTCACAGAACAGAGAATAATGTATGAATGAGCCTGAGAGTCCTTCATGCTTTTCCACAGCTTGAAGTGAGTTGCAAGGTGGAAGTAATTGAGGTTGGCAGGACTAGAAATTGGACATAGCCTCTTAGCTGCAGGAGCATGAAGTCTTCCCAGCTTGGCTTCCTAACTTAGTTTGAAATAAGTTTTTGGAATGTCAAACATTTCCATATTCAAAGGTAAGTATACACGTATATTCCAAAGCCAAATAAAAATAGCTTTTGGATTATCTGCCATTTTCTGTTACACAGGATAAGGTTCCACTCATTTAGTGCCTATGATCAAGAATTAACTTTATACATCAAACACAAATGGATGGGAAAGGCAACAGAGGGGAAAGCCTTTCAAAATAGCCTGAAATGGAAGTAATGTGTTTATGTCTAATTTGTTGAACAAAAGGACTTTCACCCGTTAGGAGAACAAGGTAATCTAGTTTTAGATCTTAAAGGAGAGAACAAATGGAGTGTTCTTTTTCTTCGTAATTGTTTACCTTTAATGCCATTACAAGGGTGTATAATGAAATGGAAAGCCATTTAATGAAAATGTATGCATATTGACAGCAATGATATGTTCACACCAGAAATGAAATGCAAATCTGTGGGGAAATGAACACTAAAGAAGGCACCAACAAGCCTTGTTCATCAATTAACATGGAAGTGAGCCCTAGAAAATAATAGCCTGGAATATGTTCTCCCTTCCTGCAACCTACAGGCTGTGGATGCAGGGAATTCAGGTAAATGGAGAAGGGAAGAGGATCTCTGTGGTCTGAAACCACCACTGAAGGGAGCAGATCCTACCACATGGAATTTTTACCCCTATCCTCAATCCCAATCTATTTCTTCATTTGCCAAAAACAAAAACCAAGAACCAAAAGACCACGTGTCAAATCCATCTTTAGCAAATCTTCCCTGATTAACCCCATCTAGATTGGTCACTGCCCTTAGTTCCCATTTACATAAAGAACTTTTGCACATGTTAATGTATTGCTTCAAAGAACACAGTTCGCTGATACATTGTTCCGGATCATTTCATCTCAATATTTTTGTGTGCATTTGAGAATTCAGGTGCCTGGAAATTTTCCCTTTCATTTGGGAATTCAGGTATAAAGTCAATTTTCTATAATTGCTTGTGGCGTTATTCCCAGTAGGGGAACTATTGGATGACATTTCCATCCAAGATGAAAACTGACCAGCCATTTTGTTTAAACAGTGCTTGGTCACTAGAATTCCAATTCAGTTGGTATAATTTATATTGATTCCTTCCATATGTTCTTTAATCAATTCTCAGTATCTCCACTTCCTTCTTTACCCCTTTGTCAGTAGGCTCTGGGAACACAGACATCTGCCCAGAGGCAGTCAATTCTGCTGCCAATAGGGAGTTTCACACCCACAGATGCAAGAGTAAAAATAAAACAAAAATCTAAAACTAGTTAAAAAAAAAAAAAGATTGGTAGATAGGTTTGGACCCATTTCCTTAAGGCTCATAGGCCTCCTTAAGGCTCTTATGCCTGCCAATTTAATAGAATATTAAATTGGATAACTGCTTTCCTGTAGTCAGTAGACAGGACACATGGTCATTTAGGTTCATGGTTGACTGGACATCTTCACATATGAAAGCAATGACCTGCCTGTCAGAAAAACCACAGCCCATACATTCTTATGGGCTTGCATATATTCTTATCTCAACCCCAAAATCTCAGGAGGGAGGAGTCTAAGACTCTGAACCAGAGACACTGCATTGCTAATGATAAAGATACATTAAGAGTGACACTAGGTCTTATCTGGAGCAGATTCCAAGGGCCTTAGAGCATCCTGAAAAGCTGTGTATTTAGCATCCATTCATTTCTCTGCATGAAGCATTAAACATGTACAAATGTACAACCAGAAGCAGAATGAATAATGTCATCTCATCCCCTCCTTCTCTTTGCCATTCTGTTGCCAGCTTAACTCCATTCTCCTCAGCAAGGGCTCCTCTGGCCACCCCAGGACTGGTAAGCATTTCATTCCTGGCCACACCTAAAGCACTCTCTCTAGATCATGATCCTGGTGTTTGCTTTTATTCATTCGAGCATGTTTGCCCAATCTTGCCATCAGACTGTGTGCTCTGAGAGGGGGAGACAGTCTCATTCAGCTTGTATTCCCATACTTAACAAAATAGTATCAACAATTTTTTTTCAATAAATATTGACCCCTCTAAAATCTTAACTTTTAAAAGGCCAGATCTTTTTTACTTAGGTTGTATGGCATCTCAAACAAAATATAACTATATAAATAAAAACAATGGAATGAGAATTGGTGAACATTGTTTCTAGATCAGTGAGTGGGAAATCCAAAAGAATTTGAGTTAGGTGGAGGTTGTGGGGGACAGGTGGGGAGAAGCAGTATCAAAGAGAATGAAGAAATTCATCCCAATCTTTTCCTCCCCACTTCTGTGCATTCTGCCCCCCAAAGCCTGACCCCAAGCCCCTGATCACCATGAGAAGCAAAAGATTTTTCTCTAAGAAGAAGAGCAAGGATGGTCTCTAAGGCACGACCTCGGTATGGGCAGTGGGGAAATGAGGGCAGTTGTGGAAGGAGAGATAGGGACTGAGCCTGGGAATCACAAGCTGTCAGAGTGGAAGGGGCCTAGGAGAGTCTCTCAAACTTACATATTTAATAGATAAGAAAATAGGAGGTCCAGAGAGGATGAAATTGAATCTAGGCCACAGAATTCATCCTAGGCAAAAATACCGATTAGAGTCCAGGTTTCCTAACACAGAGTTTATATTTTGAACTAGAAAAAGTTAATTGTATTTCTTTAATTAAAAAAATGGGAGTGAACATCCAGAATTAATCTATTAAAGGTAGAGACTCAATGAACGAGTTTTTTAAAAACCACCTATCAGCTGTTTATGAGAGACACACCTAGAGTGACCTGGGAGAGCTACAGTAAAAGGATGGTAACAAAGTGTTAGCAAGGATGTCAATACACAGCTGATTGGCGAGGAAACTGGCACAGCCACATCAGGAAACTAGTGAGTGATACCTGGTGAAACTGAAAATGTGTATGCCCTTTAACCCAGTGATTCTACTTCCAGGTATAGAAACTCTCCTACCTGTGCATGCAGAAAAAATGTTCACTAATGTAAATTACATTAGAAACAGCAACCACAAGATAGCCCTGTTAAAGTTCAGGTTCCCCAGGAAACAAACTGTGAGATAGATATCTGTGAACAGGAGGTTTTGAGTCATATTCCCTAGAGCAACACCTGCAAAAGAGAGGGGGTAGGGGAAGAAGGCGAAGCAGAACTGGGCAGAGGGAGAAGGTGAACCACAGTGCAGTAGCAACAGAGGTCTTGGATGATCCTACAGATAAATCTGGATCTAGGACTGCCCTTGAAGTTGTCCTGAACTGAGGCATGGAGGTAAGGCCTTTGTACCCCTCAACCAGTCACAGATGTAAGCTGCCCTGGAAAGGGGTGTGACTTTGGGTGAGTAACTCCCTTTGGCTGAGGGCAATGCCTAAAGAAGGACTCAGCTGTGACCCATTAGCAGCCGATATTCCCTGCACCTGGGAGAATGACTGTCTTGGTCCTAAAGAGAGAACTATGTGGCACACCACACCATCCACTGTAGCACCCTCTATCCATAAAAATATGCAGCCAGAAATGTAAATGCATTTCTGATTTAAAAAAAAAAACCTGCAAATAACAAACTATTTTGAAATGAAAAACAAACAGAATACGACATACCGAAATCAATGGCATGCACCCTAAATGAATCCTAAGAACATTTATGGCCTTAACTGCATGGGATAGAAACTAAAATTGTGAATAAACTACTTAAAAATCTAGAAAAGGAAAAATAAATATGCCAAATAAAGCAGAAAGAATTAATGAAGATACACTCAGAAACTAATGAAAGATAATATATTTTTTTAAAAGCACTGATCAGTAAACTAAGAGCTAAGTCTTTGAAAATAAAACTGAGTCTGATCAAGAAAAGGATGAAAGTTATAAGTAAATGGAAAAAGGTACTATGGCTACAATTTTTTAATTGTAAGAGAATTCTATGTAAAATGTTATGCCAACAAATTTGAGAACTAGATTTAAATGATTTTATGGAAAGTATAAATTATAACAGTGTGAAAAATAAACAACAATAAACCAATAAACTTTGGAAAAATTCTACCAAGCATTCAAAGAACAGAAACTATCCAATCCATATCAAATACTGACATAAAAAAAGGTGGAAAGCTACTAAACTGATTTTATGAAGCTAGCATAATAATTCTAGTTCTGAGACGGGACAAGGACAACACAAGAAGATGAAACTATCAGCCAATACTACATGTGAGCAGACATGCAAAAGTCCTAAAGAAAATATTAGCAAACTTAATAACAGCATACTAAAAAATAATGAACCAAAATCACTTTATTCTATGAGCTTTTACATATCTATTGATGTAATCTACCACATCAGTACATTAAAGGGAAAATCAATATAAGTATCTCAGTAGACATCTCCCAAATCAACACGCATTTATAATGTTGATTATTCTGATATCAATGACTACAATGGCCTATAGTGGCTTAAATGGCCTACAAAGCCCAAAATAATCTAGCTAGCCTATTACCTCTCTGACTGCAACTTTTTCCAGATCACTGGATAGAGGAAACAGAGAACAGTATTAATAGTTGCCAGAGTGATTGAATTCAAGTGGGGCAGAGTTTCAGAGAGGAGGGACCTGAAAACGAGCCCCAAAAACTCAGCATAAAATTGCCCTTGAGTGTTTGGCCAACTCTTGAGGGCAAGACCTCAAAAAACCTAGCAGAGAATATTCTGGGAAGCTAAAAGCTGAGCAGAGAGCTCAGAGGACATGTACTGCGCTAGGGAGATATTGAGATACAGGTCCAGCTAAAGTAGATAGATCCTGGTGAATATCTCAAGCTTTCAGTACTATGGTTTTGCAAGAGTTTACTATTGGGGGAAACTGAGTAAAAGGTACACAAGATCCCTCCGTACTGTTTCTTAAAACTGTACATGAGTCTACAATTATCTCAAATAGAAAGTTTAATTTTAAAAAACAAAGGCAAAAAGAAATGTTCTCAGACAAGCCAAAGCTAGATCACTCAGCTGATAAGTGAAGGGCTCAGATTCAAACTGAAGCAGAGCCTACGGCTTGCCCAAGCAGACAGGCCCCAGAGTCTGTGCTCTTAGAACTCTACTGGATGAGCCCTTGGGGCTCACAAGCAGCACTCCAAATTTTCAACATTGACTCTCTCTAGCAGGAAAAATGGGATCAGGTTGGCAGTATGATGGAGTTTCAGCTTTGTGTTGTTTGAATGTATAACAAGAATAAACACATTGTTTAGGAATTTAAAAATAAAAATTCAAGTTTAGGAGGACAGTGATGAACCTTACTTAGTAGGAAACAAAAGTTGGAAATGAAGTAAGAAGTTTAATTCAGTGGTGGCCTAAGAATAAGGCCTCTACACAGCAACATATGTCTACATGTATCCACATGCAAATAAAGGCAATTTGCAAATTGGTATCTGAAGCAGTGTGGAGTTTTTTTAATTATACTTTAAGTTCTGGGATATATGTGCCAAACGTGCAGGTTTGTTACACAGGTATACACGTGCCGTGGTGGTTTGCTGCGCTCATCAACCTGTCATCTACATTAGGTATTTCTCCTAATGCTATACCCTCCCCTAGTCAACCACCCGCCAACAGGCCCCAGTGTGTGGTGTACCCCTCCCTGTGTTCATGTGTTCTCATTGTTCAACTCCCACTTATGAGTGAGAAAAATGCAGTGTTTTCTGTTCCTGTGTTAGTTTGCTGAGAATGATGGTTTCCAGCTTCATCCATGTCTCTGCAAAGGACATGAACTCATCCTTTTTTATGGCTGCATAGTATTCCATGGTATATATGTGCCACATTTTCTTTATCCAGTCTATCATTAATGGACATTTGGGTTGGTTCCAAGTCTTTGCTGTTATGAATAGTGCTGCAATAAACATACGTGTGCATGTGTCTTTATAGCATGATTTATAATCCTTTGGGTATATACCCATAATGGGATTGCTGGGTCAAACGGTATTTCTGGTTCTAGATCCTTGAGGAATTGCCACACTGTCTTCCACAATGGTTGAACTAATTTACACTCCCACCAACAGTGTAAAAGCATTCCTATTTCTCCACATCCTCTCCAGCATCTGTTGCTTCCTGACTTTTTAATGATTGCCATTCTAACTGGTGTGAGATGGTATCTCATTGTGGTTTTGATCTGCATTTTTCTAATGACAAGTGATGATGAGCTTTTTTTCATATGTTTCTGCAGCATAAATGTCTTTTGAGAAGTGTCTGTTCATATCCTTTGCCCACTTTTTGATGGGGTTTTTTCTTGTAAATTGGTTTAAGTTCCTTGTAGAGTCTGAATATTAGCCCTTTGTCAGATGGATAGATTGCAAAATTTTTCTCCCATTCTGTAGGTTGCCTCTTCATTCTGATGATAGTTTCTTTTGCTGTGCAGAAGCTCTTTAGTTTAATGAGATCCCATTTGTCAATTTTGGCTTTTGTTGCCATTGCTTTTGGTGTTTTAGTCATGAAGTCTTTGCCCATGCCTATGTCCTGAATGGTATTGTCTAGGTTTTCTTCTAGGGTTTTATTGTTTCAGGTCTTACGTTTAAGTCTTTCATCCATCTTAATTTTTGTATAAGATATAAGGAAGGGGTCCAGTTTCAGTTTTCTGCATATAGCTAGTCAGTTTTCCCAACACCATTAAGTAGGGAATCCCTTCCCCATTGCTTATTTTTGTCAGGTTTGTCAAAGATCAGACGGTTGTAGATGTGTGGTATTATTTCTGAGGCCTCTGTTCTGTTCCATTGGTCTACATATCTGTTTTGGTACAAGTATCATGCTGTTTTCATTACTGTAGCCTTGTAGTATAGTTTAAAGTCAGGTAGCATGATGCCTCCAGCTTTGGTCTTTTTGCTTAAGATTTTCTTGGCTATATGGGCTTTTCGGTTCCATATGAAATTTAAAGTACCGTTTTCTAACTCTGTGAAGAAAGCCAATGGTAGCTTGATGGAGATGGCATTGAATCTATAAATTACTTAGGGCAGTATGGTCATTTTCACAATATTGATTCTTCCTATCCATAAGCATGGAATGTTTTTCCATTTGTTTGTGTCCTCTCTTATTTCCTTGAGCAGTTGTTTGTAGTTCTCCTTGAAGAGGTCCTTCACATCCCTTCTAAGTTGTATTCCTAGATATTTTATTCTCTTTGTAGCAATTGTGAATGGGAGTTTACTCATGATTTGGCTCTCTGTTTATTATTGGTGTATAGGAATTCTTGTGATTTTTACACATTGATTTTGTATCTGAGACTTTGCTGAAGCTGCTTATCAGCTTAAGGAGATTTTGGGCTGAGACGATGGGGTTTTCTACATATACAATCATGTCATCTGCAACAGAAAGGTCGGGTTACCCACAAAGGGAAGCCCATCAGACTAACAGTGGATCTCTCAGCAGAAACCTTACATGCCAGAAGGGAGTGGGGGCCAATATTCAACATTCTTAAAGAAAAGAGTTTTCAACCCAGAATTTCATATCCAGCCAAACTAAGCTTCATAAGCAAAAGAGAAATAAAATCCTTTACAGACAAGCAAATACTGAGAGATTTCTGTCACCACCAGGCCTGTCTTACAAGAGCTCCTGAAGGAAGCACTAAATATGGAAAGGAAAAACCGGTACCAGCCACTGCAAAAACATACCAAATTGTAAAGACCATTGACACTATGAAGAAACTGCATCAACTAATGGGCAAAATAACCAGCTAGCATCATAATGACAGGATCAAATTCACACATAACAATATTAACCTTAAATGTAAACAGGCTAAATGCCCCAATTAAAAGACATAGACTGGCAAATTGGATAAAGAGTCAAGACCCATAGGTGCACTGTATTCAGGAGACACATCTCATGTGCAAAGACACACATAGGCTCAAAATAAAGGGATGGAAGAATATTTACCAAGTAAATGGAAAGCAAAAAAAAAAAAAAAAAAGCAGGGGTTGCAATCCCAGTCTCTGATAAAACAGACTTTAAACCAACAAACATCAAAAGAGACAAAGAAGGGCATTACATAATGGTAAAGGGATCAATGCAACAAGAAGAGCTAACTATCCTAAATATATATGCACCCAATATAGGAGCACCCAGATTCATAAAACAAGTTCTTAGAGACCTACAAAGAGACTGACTCCCACACAATAATAATGGGAGATTTTAACACCCCACTGTCAATATTAGATCAACAAGACAAAAAATTAACAAGGATATTCAAGACTTGAACTCAGCTCTGGACCAAGCACACCTAATAGACATCTACAGAACTCTCCACCCCAAATCAACAGAATATACATTCTTCTCAGCACCACATTGCACTTATTCTAAAATTGACCACATAATTGGAAGTAAAACACTCCCTAGCAAATGCAAAAGTATGAAAATTGTAACAGTCTCTCAGACCACAGTGCAATCAAACTAGAACTCAGGATTAAGAAACTCACTCAAAACCACACAACTACATGGAAACGGAACAACCTGCTCCTGAATGACTACTGGTAAATCACAAAATGAAGGCAGAAATAACAATGTTCTTTGAAACCAATAAGAACAAAGACCCAATGTGCCAGAATCTCTGGGACATAGCTAAAGCAGTGTTTAGAGGGAAATTTATAGCACTAACTGCCCACAGGAGAAAGGGGGAAGGATCCAAAACGACACCCTAACATCACAATTAAGAGAACTAGAGAAGCAAGAGCAAACACATTCAAAAGCTAGCAGAAGACAAGAAATAACTAAGATCTGGGCAGAACTGAAGGAGATAGAGACAGAAAAAAACCCTCCAAAAAATCAATCAATCCAGGAGCTGGTTTTTTTTAAAAGATTAACAAAGTAGACCTCTAGCCAAACTAATATAGAAGAAAAAATAATCAAATAGACACCATAAGAAGTGATAAAAGGGTTATCATCGCTGATCCCACAGAAATATAAACTACCATCAGAGAAGATGATAAACACCTCTACACAAATAAACTAGAAAATCTAGAAATTCCTGGACACATACATCCTCCCAAGACTAAACCAGGAAGAAGCCGAATCCCTGAATAGACCAATAACAAGTTCTGAAATTGAGGCAGTAATTAATAGCCTACAAACCAAAAAAAAGCCCAGGACCGGATGGATTCACAGCTGAATTCTACCAGACGTACAAACAGGAGCTGGTACCATTCCTTCTGAAAGTATTCCAAACAATAGAAAAAGAGAGACTCCTCCCTAACCCATTTTATGAGGCCAGCATCTTCCTGATACCAAAACCTGGCAGAGACACAACAAAAAAAGAAAATTTCAGACCAATATCCATGATGAACATCGATGTGAAAATCCTCAATAAAATACTGGCAAACTGAATTCAACAGCACATCAAAAAGCTTACCCACCACAATCAAGTCAGCTTCATCCCTGGGATGCAAGGATGTTTCAATATATGGAAATCAAACGTAATCCATCACATAAACAGAACCAATGACAAAAACCATGATTATCTCAATAGATGCAGAAAAGGCCTTCGATAAAATTCAACACCCCTTCATGCTACAAACCCTCAATAAACTAGGTATTGACGGAATGTATCTCAAAATAATAAGAGCTATTTATGACAAACCCACGGCCAATATCATACTGAATGGGCAAAAGCTGGAATCACTCCCTTTGAAAACCAGCATAAGACAAGGATGCCCTTTCTCACCACTCCTATTCAACATAGTATTGGAAGTTCTGGCCAGGGCAATCAGACAGGAGAAAGAAATAAAGGGTATTCAAATAGGAAGAGTGGAGATTTCTTAAAGAATATAAAACAGAACTACCATTTGACCCAGCAATACCATTACTGGGCATATATCCAAAAGAAAAGGCACTGTTCTACCAAAAAGACACATGTACTTGTGTGCTCTCTGCAGTGCTATTCACAATAGCAAAAACACAGAATCAACCTAAGTGTCCATCAACGGTGGGCTGGATTAAAAAAAAAGTGTTACGTTTACACTATGGAATACTAGGCAGCCTTAAAAAAGAATGAGATCATGTCCTTTGCAGCAACATGGATGCAGCTGGAGGCCATTATCCTAAGCGAATTAATGTAGGAACAGAAAACCAAATACCATATGTTCTCACTTATAAGTGGGAGCTAAACTTTGGGTACATATGGACATAAAGATGGCAATAATAGATACTAGTGACTTGTAGAGGGGGAAGGAGGATGGGGCCAAGGGCTGAAAAACTACCTATTGAGTACTATGCTCACTACCTGGGTAATGGGATCATTCACACCCCAAACCTCAGCATCACGCAATATACCCACGTAACAAACCCACAATGCATCCCCTGGATCTAAAATTAAAGTTGATAGTATTTTTTAAAAATAGTTTTTGGAAGTACACTTACTGCTATAAAAATCTAATTGAATCAGAGGTAAAATGTTCCCAGAAGTTGAAAAGTCACAAGACAGGAATGTGGTTGAGGAGTAAGCCAAGAATCTTAAAAGTATTTTCCTATTTATGAATTTGGGGAAGCACATGGGTCTCAGACTGTGTCTTTTGTGTATGTCAAGAGTCTGTTGCATTTATATATGTATGAACCCAGCAATTAAGTTATTGATCCAATTGTTCCTTGCAAAAGACATTATTTAAACCATTCTGTTGCCAATTAAGTTATTACTGTATCTAGAATACACCACTTGCTGGATCACTTTGTACTCAAAAAGGAATTAAACAGGCTTCTACTTAACTTGAACCATACCTAGGACTTGGAAATCAACCTGAGCTCTGGTAGTTGAACTAGATGGTCAGTTGCAGAAGTGGGTTGCCCAGTCAACCATGCATAACCAGTGAGTGTGAAAGGGACAAGGTAAAAGGCAGTGTCCCTGCTCAGTGAGAGGATGCCCGGAAAGTCCCTAATGAGTTAACTAATGCAGGCAGAAGATCCCTGGAAGGGGTTCATCAGCTTCACCTGCCATAGGCCTTCCCTGGAAGTCAAACAGTCAAAGCAAATCAGAGGAGCCAATCAGCCCTGGCATGGAATCCCCAGAGAGCACGGTCAGCCAGCTGGCTCAAGGTCCTGGGTTGCCGAGGATGGCGTGGAGCTGGAAGTTTCTCACTTGGAGCTCAGCTCCAGCAGGCAAAGCTTGGATCAAAGACAGACAGCTGGAAAGAACAGAACAATCACATCAAAGAATCTTAGGGCTGAATCAGACCTTCAGAAGTCATTTAACTCTTCCCTCCAGCCCTCACAGATATAGGGTGACCTCTCCCCTCCCCTTTTAAAACTATTACTATTATATTATTTTAAACGAAACATTCTACAACCTTTCTGTGTCAGGAAGTCCTTCTTGAGTCCTAGCCCAGATTATTCTTAGGATATTTAGAAACTTCTGCCATTTCAAAAGGAGTTAGAAATGAAATATGAAACCCCCCAAAAATATTGACAAGCTTCCTTGGGCTAAAAAAAGAGATTCATAGCCACATTAAGAAACTACATACAAAATTCTGTACTTAACAGAACAGATCAGTTGTGGGACAAGGGGTAGGTAGAGAAGGAAAGGCACGTTTCAGTGTTACAAAGGGGAGTTATTAAAAATGGAATTATTGCATGATTTTTAAGGTGCATTATTATGGTCTATTTAAGTGATTGTTTATGGAATAGCAACTGCTTTATAGAACATTTTAATAGGCAAATTAAAAGAAATTACCCATTGCCCCACTGTATATCTGTAAATCATGAAAGGGTATAAATTAATAGGTTTAATACTCCTCAATCCACCCAGCTAGGACATGAGCCTTACTGGGACCTTCATGTGGCAGATAAGAGTAGGGTATAAGTGGGCCTAAGTTAGGAAGACCAGCAGTCAGAATTAGAATACCTGAAGAAAGGCGACAAATGAAGATACGTTCAGGACAGACATCAGAATCAAAAACATCCAGTTGCCAAACAGGTAGCATTCTTATGCCTCCTGGAAGGTTTATCCAGCATGAAGCAGGACACAGCCAGGGGCTGGTCAGACTATCTTTTGTGTATGTCAAGAGTCTGTTGTATTAAAGTATATATGAATATATAAAAATATATATTAATACAAGGACCTAGGGTTCAACCTCTTCAACTAGACAGGAAGCCAGGCCTCCAGACCAAAGGAGACTAAGGCAGCAGCCCAACAAGAAGACATGCTGCACGGGACGCACACTCCGTGGCAAGTTTTGAGCACAAAACTAATCCCTGACCCCATGTGCCGATAGGAATGAGGCATCTGTGATACACAAAGCCTCGCTCCTCATTGGCTATGGGTCTCTGATGGCACAGGCTGGGTTCACCGAAGCAGGTGTAGCAGTTGTAAGGGCATGAGGGGCCATGAAAATCTAAAGAGAAGCACTGGAATTATAAAAGAGGTTACCCCACGGGTAAGGTGGGGAGAGTGGTGAGGAAGGGGCTCCTGGGGGCCTTCGGCTATGTTCAAGCAGTGGAGTGTCATGGATGTCTGTCATAATTTTCTGGTCTACACCTTTTCAAATATCTGCAATATTTCTTGGTAAAAATAAAATTATCAATAAAAACAAAAGGCAATGAGACAAAAATTCAGAATTGCTTCTTACTGTTGGTCAGTTTCTGTCTCCTTAATCTCCTCTGTAGCTTATATTCCATGGCTTCCTCCTTTAAAACTGGTATTAATCAAGGTTCTGTCATGGGCCCTTCATTCCACTTAATCTATACTCTCTCTGCATAATCTCATTCCAAGACTTCCTTCACCTTCTATATGAGAAGGACATCTCAATTTTATATTTCTCACCTGGCCACAGCTCCCGTGCTAGAACCTCATCCACTCAACTGCTTATTTGACATCTCACTTAGGATAGACCTGAAATTCCCTTTGTCCAGACAGAACTCAGTACCTGTCCCCTACATCTAGCCACCTTTTGTTTCCCACTTTGGTCTAGCATCAGCATCCACCAAGTTGCTCAAACAAGAAATGTAGGCACTGTCCTGACATTTCCTTCCTTCTTCAAATCCAGTCACCAAGTTCTGTCAAGTCCACTTTTTAATGTTCTTAAATTGACTTATCCTATTTCCACTATGAATTTCCTGGTTACGATCCACCGCCATTCCTCATTGGAATCACCAACACTCTCCCTCCACCTCCTTGCAGGGAAACAGATGTAGGACAGCCAGCACTCAATTTCCTTTGAAGTTCTAATTAAAGAGCTTTTCTGTCACCTCCATCCTTTTCTCTATCACTCTGAGTTGCTCCAAAATTCTTAAGGTTCTGGGAGGAATCAAATTTGCCTTTCTCCCCTCAATGTCCACATGGGAGTCAGACAGAACCAGATTAACTAGGTCCTCGTGGCCTGGACGCTCCCTGAGGCACCTGTTGAAAAGCACTCCGAGGCACTGCTAAAGTAGATCAAACAAGTGTTACCAGTTAACTCAGGTTCCTTGACAAAGGATAAACTGGTCCCAGTCTGGCAAAAGCAGATGGGTCCCCGCCAGAGTTGACCTAGCTCTGCCGTGTATTTTTAATAGTCACAGTGTGATTTGCTTAGTGCAAGGCTAAGAGACAACACCAGCCAGAGGGCACGCCTCTAAAGGCACCCATCTCGATCAGCTGGAATTTGGACACTGAGTTATTCAGGTGCAGTTCTGATTAGGAAGCAAGTGGTTTGGGTTTATCTAAATCTGAAGGCCTTTATTAAGCCTCCCTATAAGTTGCTTCTTTCAGAAAAATCACACATACACACACACACCAAAAAAGGAAAAGAATTAGAAAATTCAGAATACTTTTTGTCTACAGACATGCCAGGGAAAAGAAAAATTTTAAAAATATATTTATCAAGATTGTCTAGCCACATTTTTGTGAATTACACCTGTGTGTGCCCAACACCTTCCAGGTATAAGTTTAGACAGAAAAAGAACATTAATCCAAATATGTTACATTGTTACATTGCATGAGGTTAACTCCCTTATTTTGAACACAAAGAAAAATGTGCAATTTTATTAATAGAAAACCAGTTTCTCCTTATCCTCTAAAAATAAGTATTAAATGTTTTTAAAATAGCCCTTGAAGGGGTGTCAGATTGATATTAAGAATATTCATATTAATAAATTTCACGTGTCCTTGTTTGTTCAAAGAGCATGGTCTTTGTAAGCAGCTGTGGCAGAAGGACTCTAAGATAGAGTTGACCCTTGAACACAGAAATTAGGAATGCTGACCCCCCCCATGTGGTCAAAAATCTGCATATATTAATAAACTTTTGACTCCCCCAAAACGTAATTACTCATAGCCTACTGTTGTCCAGAAGCCATACCAATAACATAGTGGATTAACACATAGACTATTATCTACATACATTTTATGCATTCATGACAAACCTTTTTATTATTTGACAAAGCTTTTTCAATATTTTTAGGCTACATGGTTTGTCCGCAAGTTTTTCAACTTGTTGCAAATCTCCAAAAAATTTTCCAATGTATTTTTTGAAAAATATCCATGTATAAGCGGACCTGCCACAGTTCAGACCTGGACCTGTGTTGTTCAAGGGCCAACTATATTTGGATTTAGTCCCAGCTTTACCACCAACTGCTTAGGCAAACTTCTATGGTTTCTTCCCATTCTCAGTCCTTCAGTTACTTACCTGTAAAACCAAAGGCACTGACTTGTTCAGCGACTTTCAACTTTTTACTGTTACCCCAAAGTGCTTACCATTTCTACAAGACCCTTCCTGAGCTCCTGAACCTCCGGCCTCTGACTGAGCTCCAACCACACTAATTGCTTTTCACGGTCTCTGGCTCACTATTCTTGTACTCACCTGTCCTGGCCCTTAGCAGAAGGTACTCTCCCTGCCTAGAATACCCTCCCTCCAAATCTCCTGAACAACTCTCACCTGTTTTTCAGGTCTCAGGTGAGATTTCTCCTCTCCTTAAAAGTCTCTCCTGTGCCCCCAAGAAGTCTCCATTTGGTGGCCCCACAAGGTGATCCTGGAACAGCCTGCTCCTCTCCCACCACAACTCCTACCACACTCATAAGTGTCTGTGGGCATGATTATCTTTCTCATATGTGTGTAAGCTCCATCGGCTCCATGATGACTTCAGAGTTGTTTCCCCAGTCCCTAGCATAGTGCCTGATGTATAGAAGATATTCAATAACTATTTATTGAATAAATGAATCAGTTGGTAAATTGCCTCTCCTTACCGTCCAGGAGTAGAAATGTGTCAAGATACCGAAGTATACCCAGATGCTTTCAGTGGATGAGAATAACAAGGAGAAATGGCCACGAGATGAAATGATGGGAGGGCAGCCAGCTCAGTGATACCATACGTGGATTACCTTTGTCAGATGCTCCTTCCCAAATTGATTTCCCTTCCACACCAGCATGTTAGCAGGGTGCTATCCTCACTAGTAATCCATGGACAGATTGGAAATGCTAACACTATTCACCCAAGCAAAGCGGAACCAGCCAGGTAAATCTGTCCTGTACAAATCATACAAGGCATTCCAAAGCCAAGTAGAAATGAATATTGGATTAGCCCTCACTCATGCAGATAATTGAGAGTTAGTCCAGTTTGGGGTTTGTTTGCTCGTGTACTTTTATATCCTGGCTGTGGGATCCCGCCAGCCTGGGAGGAGGGTGGAGCCAGCAGCACAGGACAGGGCTGAGCCTGCTACTGAGGAGGTCTCTGTGCTGCGGAGGCGGGGCAGTGGACAGTGCTGGCCACAGCCTCTGCTGGTCTCTGGGATGTGCTGTATTGCAGGTCCATGAGAAACTAATTCTGTACCAAGTTCTTTCATTATTTCTCTGGACCTAGAGAAAATGTGGGGAGGAAAGACTTAACAGCCATTTTATCTAGGTGCTAGAAGCTCACACCAAGAAGCAATAAGAATTTGAATAACAAGTACATTGTCCTCAGAGAGAAAAGAAGAAAGGGAAAAAAGTAACCCACCCACCCGTGGATGCCAAGTCACAAAATTTAATTAGGAAGATAAGAAGTGGGGGAGGGCGAGATAGGGTTGATGTTCCTTTTTTTTTTTTTTCCTAGTTATGAGCTCAGAGAGAGGAGTGAGAGAAATAATTTAAGCACAGAATTAACATCTTCTAATAATCTTAGACAAAGCCCGAGTCTGTTTTGCTTTGGTTTGTAAATTAGCTCATGATTAAAGTGTCTCTTCAGCCATGGGCCATTGTCTTCCCAGGCCCGTTTGCTGAATGCAGCCTGACCTAAACGCCCTTGTAGCTCAAGAACAAGATTCAAAAGTGTGAGGGAACAATTATTATAAAGTGAAGGATTTGCAGTTTTACTGAAAAATCAATGAACTTTTCAAATGATTTTTATCATATTTTGCAGCTGTTCTGTTGGCTCTTGAGTGGGCTATCACACCGTCAGCCCCAGTGTTTTTAAAGAGACTTGTTCATCTGGAAGTCTCGCCTTCTCCTGGAATAGCAGCTGACGCCACCCAGGCTGGAGCACCAGGCTACTGGAGGGGGGAATTCCTGGAGATGGTGTGAGTGAAGGCGAGCCTTCCATCCGGGACTCCCCTGACCTTCACCTTTTAGCCTTCAAGGCAGTTCCAGGCCTGGGTTCTTGCCCCAGCTCAGGTTTACATGGTTCACGTTAGAGAGAAACTCCAGGAAAGCTGATCTTGTGTCTTCCAACATCACAAGCTAATGGGAATGGAAAGTACTTTCGAGATCAACTAGTCTTCATGTTGCCGATAGGAGCTTAGCCTCATGGAGATGGTAGAATGCATTCCCAACACCCTAGAAAAACAGGCCTTAAAGTCAGTGCAGACTCAGGAGCCACGCGACCTCCCCCACACCCACTGTGTGGGAGCCTAGGAGACAACAAGGCAGCTGAAGTCAGCTGCTGTGAAAAGAAACAGAGGAGAAAGGGGAATCCCTGTTCCATGCAATCTTCTGTCAACTGCACGGATGAACTAAACCATGTCCTTCAGGCCTGGAATAAGTTGAGCTTGAAGACACCAAGGAAGTAAAATCTACCAGGAATCTTTGCTTAAAACCTATTTGGTTCATTTTCTCATATTCACTGAGAATCCAGGTGACCCACATAAAATACTAAAGCTTCAATGCATAGGTTTCCTTAAAATGACTCTAAAATTGACCTATTTCAGAACATTAAATAACACTATATTTAGTTATAATACTGAATTAGTGAGAAATGTAGAAATGTGACAACTGTTTTCTCCTCCCTTACGGATTCTGAATTCAGTGGGCTATCATCCCATTAGAAGAATCAGAATGGGGGGTTAGATTTGACCCACGGGTGAGTGCTCTTTTCGATGTGAACTAAGTATTTTTTCCAATAAACTTACCCAAGATAATCTGATGGTTGTGATCAACAGCCAGTTAACCAACAAATATTTCTTTCTTTTTTTTTTGAAACAGAGTCTCCTCTGTCACCCAGGCTGGAGTGCAATGGCACGAACTCAGCTCACTGCAACATCCGCCTCCCGGGGTCAAGCAATTCTCCTGCCTCAGCCTCACCAGTAGCTGGAATTACAGGCACGCACCAGCATGCCCGGCTAATTTTGTATTTTTAGTAGAGACGGAGTTTCACCATGTTGGCCAGGCTGGTCTCGAACTCCTGACCTCAGGTGATCCACCTGCCTCGGCCTCCCAAAGTGCTGGGATTGCAGTCATGACAACAAATATTTCTGAAGCACTTGCTATGTGCTCAGCCCAGAGATAAGTTCTATGAGTTCCACAAAATAAGGATAAAATTTAACTCCTGACTCCAGGAGACAAAGGACAAAACTCCACAGCACTTACTCTAAGAGGAACCTTGATTGGTCTCTCAAGATGGGTCAGCTTTAGACAAGTGGAGAGAGGAGGAGGACAAGCCACCACAGGCACCCACACAAGAAAGGGTGAGGTTGGTGCAGCTAAGAGTAAGAGCATTCCACTTGGATTAGTTCAAAGATTTTCCTGAATTAGAGTTTTCATTCCACCCAATGGTGCTAATTTGCGGGTAAATTAGGAAAGTAATTTAATATGGTTATCCAAAAAAAAAAAAAAAAATCTACAAACTCAGCTTATTGCTAGTCTTTGATGAAACCTGCTGGCTTTGAGAAAATACAATCGCAAGCCAGGGATCACTTACTAGGGACTAGTTGATTGCTGGGGAAGAAAAAAAAGTTGACCACAGTAATAATGAACACATATTGAGTTCTTTCTACATACCAGGTGCTGTCCTATGTACCTAACCTTCTTCAAGTAGGTTCTCAGTTAATCCTGGCAACCACCTCATAAGGCAGGTACTATCATCTCCATTTTGCAAAGTGGAAGCCGAGTCACAGAGAGGTTAAGCAGTTGCAAACATGAAGGCAACTAGTTCCTGTTCTCCTGCTGAATCTGGGGCAATGGAGGGGAAAGCAGGTCTCCATAGGAGAGAAGAGTGGGGAAATGGGTGTTGCGTGCACAAAAATCAGGTTTTACATAAAGCCTGGAATAATTTCTGAAGAATAGGAGGTGAAGAGCAATCTCTAATAAGAATTATTGTTGCCCACAAAACACTCTTCTGAAAGCCAGCAACGTCACCACGGGTGGAAGGGAACACAGCTATGAAGGCTGTCCTCCTCCAGAAAGAGACGGTACACAAAGCAAACATTGATGGTAGAGGCAGGAGACAGAGCCGTCAGAAACACAGAATGCAGAGAAAGTGGAGCAATAAGCAGAAACCATCTTAGTGGTTGTTATAGACTGAATTGTGTCCTGCAAAAATTCATATGTTGGAGTCCTAAGCCCCAGAGACTATATTTGGAGATATGGCCGTTAAAGAGGTAATTAAGGTTGAATGAGGGCATAAGGGTGGGACCTTAATCCCATGGGACTGGTGTCCTTCTAAGAAGAGGCAGAGACACTAGGAGCACACAGAGAGAGAAAAGGAAGGCCGCATGAGGACACAGGAGCCTCTGCAAGCCACAGAGAGAGGCCTCGGGGGAACCCAAGCCTGCCAACACATTGATCTTGGACTTCTAGCCTCTAGAATTGTGAGAAAATAAATGTCAGTTGTTTAAGCCACCCAGTCTGTGGTCTTTCGCTGTGGCAGCCCTCGCAGATTAACACAATAGCATATTGAAATTTTGTGGAAATAGACTAAATCAATCTCTAAGTGGGTACTGGGGCTTGGTGGGGCGGGTCCCAGAGCCTAAAACGACTCCACTGGAAGAACCTCAAACAACTCCACCACGGCACAGCAGAGGCAAAGGCCTCCATTTCCCTGCAGAAATTCTGGCCTGAAGGCTGATTTAAAAGTTTCAAGCCACACAGCAAAGATCCTGTGAGGAAAGCCTCACAGAGAGAGAAGGTGACAAATTACAAAGGACATCTGTGATGGTTTATATAAGGAAACTGCTTCCGATATCATCCAATCACCAAGACTTCCCGAGTTGAGGCCACTGGGATTTCTATAGGGAGCCTTAGCCCAAAACACAGCAGCAATGAACCCTGGGGGTCAGGGACAGAAAATCAATACACGCACTGCCTTTGAAAGCTCAAGATGTTCTATAAAAGCTTTGAGCAAGGACAAGAAAAAATAGAGTTCCTTTAGCTCCAGAGATTTTTTTCCTTTTTTTTTTTTTTTTGTAACAGATTGCCTGTCTGCTCCAAGAGATGGAGATTGAAAAGTCTTATTCTCTGTGTGAGGGATCAGAGAAAACCTTGAAAATCTCACTCTCCTAGAGGCTTCACACAGGGTCTCAAGAAGAAGCGGGACTGTGTGAGACTCATGCTCTGGCTTGCGTGGATGTCGGGTGGCACAGGGCTCCCCACCGGCGCTGGGACCAGGTCTTTGAAGTCAGCAGAGCTGCCCTTGTTACGAAGACCCGCCCAGGCTTGAGGCTCTGTTTCTGGACACAGTAATTTGAGGGAAAATAAAATGAGGTCTATATTTCTTGGGGGTTTGGGTCTAATTGCAGAAGGCTCAAACTTGCATGTGCCTAAGAATCATCCGGGGGTTTCGAAAAACACACAGATTCCCAACACCCACCCCAGAGACTCTGCTTCCATCCGTCATCTAGAACTGTTGCTCAGACTGCCTCTGATGAAAGGCCAGTTTTTATTTATTTTCATTCCACCACAAATAGTTTCTTTTTTTTCTTTTTCCTTTTTTTTTTTTTTTTTTTTTTGACAGTCTCACTCTGTCACCCAGGCTGGAGTGCAATGGTGTGATCATAGCTCACTGAGCCTCTGGGCTGGAGCAATCCTCCCACCTTAGCCTCCCAAGTGGCTGGGACTACACGCACATTCCACCACACCTAGCCAATTTTTTTATTTTTCTTTTGTAGAGATGGGAGTCTCACTATATTCCCAGGCAGGTCTCAAACTCCTGGCCTCAAGCAATCCTCCTCCTGCCTCAGCTTCCCAAAGTGTTGGGATTACAGGCATGAGCCCCCATGCCCAGCATGGATAATTTCAAAAATACAATACAAATGCATTTATCAAAAAATTAAATTATAAAAAAACACGTAATATAGTTCCTGATTTTTTTCAACTGTTAGATTCAAAGAATGTAAAATTACTCTGCCAATTGTTATATAACTTTCTAAATGCTAACTTTTAATTTCTATTTTATCTTCCTGAGGATTGGTTATAAACCACCCAGGAACAAGAAGGCATAAGTCTGGGAATCATTCAGAGATTGTCCTAAAGTAGGGCCCACCCTACCTGAGCCGCATTGATTAGGATGCAATTCTTTGAGAAATAGACTTGAAGAAACATTCAGCTAAACCCATGTCATCCAATACAGTAGCCACCAGCCATATGTAGTTATGGAGGATTTGAAATGTGGCCAGTCCAAATGGTGATATGCCATGAGTATAACACATGTGCTGGGAAAATCATGTAAAATGTCCGCTTAAAAATATTTATATTGATTACATGTTGAAACAATATTTTGGGTATTGTTATCTGTTTCTTTTTTTAATATGCTACTAGAAAGTTTTAAGTTACATATGAAACTGGCATTATAGGCCAGATGCAGTAGCTTACACCTGTAATCTCAGCACTTTGGGAGGCTGGGGTATGAGGAGGCCAAGGTGTGAGGATCGCTTGAGGCCAGAAGTTTGAGACCAGCCTGAGTAACAAGGAAAAATCCCCATCTCTACAAAAAATTTCAAAATTAGCCAAATGTGGTGGCAGTGCCTGTTGTCCCACCTACTTATGAGGCTGAGGTAGGAGGATCGCTTGAGCTGAGGAGTTCCAGGCTGCAGTGAGCTGTGATTGTGCTACTGCACTCCAGCTTGGGCAACAGAGTGAGACTCTGTCAAAAAAAAAAAAAATACTGGCATCATATGTGTATTGGGCAGCACTGACCTAAGCCATGCTTCAAAGGACTTTCTTTTCACTTATGCATTCATTTCTTGATATATATTGAGCATTTATTCTGAGCTATGTATAAATCACTGCTTGCCCTCCAGGAGCCTACTACTACTGTGTTTGCATAGTTTAAATTCTGCTTTCATAGCAAACAAACATCCCCTTAGATGTGATGTATCCGAGTGGCAAATACCTAGGAAAGAAGCACAGGGCTTTTGTTGAATCAGTAGCAGACCAAAAAGCAAGACAAAAATTAAAATCATAGCAGTAGTAATAACGAATCAGTGCTTACCATGTGCCAGCTACTGCACAGTATCTGACTTCATCCTCATAACTCTCCTATGACAGAGTGTGACGGTCAGGCTTAGGTGTCAACTTGGCGAGGCTATAGGAAAATCAAACACTCATCTAGGTATTGGTGGGAAGGCGTTTTGTGGCTATGGTTTACATCTACTATCAGCTGACTTTAAGTAAAGATTACTCTCAATGATGAAGATGGGCCTCATCTAATCCTTGAAAGCCTTAAGAGAAAAACTGAGGCATCACAGAGAAGAAATTCTACCTTAAAGACTGCAGCATCAACTCCTGCCTGAGATTCTAGCTGGCTTGCCCTGTAGATTTTGGTCTTGCCAGCTCCCACCATTGCATGAGCCAATCCCTTAAAAATAAATCAGTCAAATCCCATGTATCATCCAGGGTCCACATACTTTTATTTGAATAACTCCAGGAGGAATTAAATAAAATGGATAGAAAAGAGAAATCTGGGGTGTGGGCAAAGGCTTGCCTGGATGTACGAAAGCAAGCAAGTCATTTTTTGCAGGTTCCCTTTGCAGCACTGGACACCCTCGTGGGGAAGACATGAGGAATGATGGTGGCTGGAAGCTGGAGTGGAAAGTCATGCAGGCCCTTGAAGCCCAGACTCCAAAGTTTGGACCAATACTCATTTCAACAGCACGATCCTCTCCAGAAGGCTCCAAGAGGCAGCATGGTCTGGGAGATAAAGCTCGGGTTTGGAAGCAGAAGACCTGGACTGCATTCGTGCCACCACCGACTCACCCTGTGCCCACCAAGGGTGGGAGGAGGCATGGGGGTGGAAGGCCCAGCTTCCTCGGTGCACAGGGCTTCTCAGTCTATAGAATGGAGATAACACCTCCCATTAGGAAAGCCTTGAGACGGCTTTGTGCACCATGAATGCGAGGGGTACCTGGTACTTGCAGCCAGAAACCGGCCACTTAGCAGTCAGCCTGCAGCAAAATTCTGCCTTCTGTTGTGCTCCAGTCCCCATTTCCCAGGCGAAAGTGTGGGCCACAATAACGAGGGTGTGGCTTCCTCGGCTACTTCAGATTCCTGTTTTGTTGTGTTTTGTTTTCCCAGTAAAGCACAGGCTAGTCTGTTCCTCCTCTCTCGCATCTGTCCCTCCAGAGATGCAGCCAGCTTGACCCTGCTGTGTGCTTCCTGCACTCTAAGTCCCCTGCCCTTCCCTCCTGCTTAGACTTCCTGAATTTCATCAGTTTCTCCCTGGACTGCTTTCCCCAGCCACTGAAAAGATAAATAAGGTGAGAATGTCACTTCTGTAAAGAAAAACATACACAGTATTGGGTAGATTTGGAATGATCAGCTTTGGGAGTATTGATGAGGATTCTGGTTCTTAAAAATAAAGTCACCATACAACCCAGCAACTCCACTCCTAGGTATATACCCAAGAGAAATGAAAATATATGTCTACATAAAGACTTGTACATGAAATGTTCGCAGAAGCATTAGAAACAACCTTAACATCCACTAACTGATGAACGGAGAAATAAAACATGATATGTCCATAGAATATAACGTTATTCAGCCATAAAAAGAATGAAGTGCTGATGCATGAGACAACATGAATGAACCCTGAAAACATTATGCTAAGTCGAACAAGCCAGATACAAAAAGCCACATGTTGTATGATATGAATTCTCCAGAACGGGCAAACATATAGAGTCAAAGCAGATTGGTGATTTGCTAAAGGCTGCAGGAAAAGAAGATAGGGATATTGGGGATGATGGCTAAGTGGCATGGGGTTTCTTTTTGAGGTAATGAAAATGTTCTCAAATGGATTATGGTGATGGATGCATAACTGTGAATAAACGAAAAGTCATTGAATTGTGCCCTGTAAATGGGTGAATTTTATGGTATGTGAATTATATCTTAATAAAGCAGTTTAAAAAGAAATAGGTATGTGAGTGAGCCCACAGTCCACCAACTTCATTTTTTTCTGTTCTTTTTTCTTTTCTTTCCTTTTTTTTTTTTTTTTTTGAGTTGGAGTTTCACTCTTGTTGCCCAGGCTGGAGTGCAATGGCACGATATCAGCTCGCTCCCAGGTTCAGGTGATTCTCCTGCCTCAGCCTCCCAAGTAGCTGGAATTACAGGTGCACACCACCACGCCCAGCTAATTTTGTATTTTTAGTAGAGACAGGGTACCAGCCTGACCAACCTCATTTTTAAAATCTCACCCATATGATTGATACTCATAACGAAAACAAAGAGACATTATTGCTAAAGCTTTTGCACCTGAGGCATATGCAGTTCTGAAATGCAGCTCACATGGAGGAGACTCCAGTTTAGCCCAGGGAACAGTCATATAGAAACCAGCTTAACTGGGGCCGCTCTACCCCACATCAGAGAAGGAACATCCCAAAGAGAGTGTGATGAGTTGAACTGTGCCCGCCCCCCACCTGCCACAAACATGCTGGAATCCTAACCCCTAGCACGAGTGAACGTGACAGAGGTAATCAAGTAAGATGAAGCCATCAGGGTGGTTCTAATCCACTATGACTGGTGTCCTTATGAAAAGGGGAAATTTGGACACCAACAGACATGCACAGAGAGAGAATGCCACATAAAGATTGGAATTATGATGCCACAAGCCAAGGAATGCTAAAGATTGCCAGCAAGCCACCAGAAACTAGGAGAGAGGCATGAAAAGATTCTCCCTCACAGCCCTCAGAAGGAACCACCCTGCTGGCTCCTTGATCTTGGACTTCTAGCATCCAGAACTGAAAGACAATAAACTTCTGTGGCTTAAGCCACTCGTTTGTGATACTTTGTTATGGCAGCTCAAAAGACAAAGGGAAAGCACCAAAAACTTCTCTTTTTTTTTGAGACAGGGTCTCATTCTGATTGCCCAGGCTCAAGTGCAGTGGCGCGATCTCACTGCAGCTTTCAGGTGATCCTCCCACCTCAGCCTCCCCAGTAGCTGGGACTATAGGCATGCACCACCACACCTAGCTAATTTTTTTATATTTTTAGTAGAGACGGGGTTTCGCCATGTTGCCCAGGCTGGTTGCAAACTCCTAGGCTCAAGCAATCTGCCCACCTCACGCTCCCAAAGTGCTATGATTACAGGCATGAGTCACCACACCTGGCCACAACAAAACTTCCGACAGCTCACCTCCACCTGACAGCTACCCCCAGCCAGTCTCCCAGTCACAGGAAAGGAATGCCCAAGAACCCAGCCCAGCACGTTTCCATATAGACAAAATACATGGTCTTTGAACTATTAATTAGGACCCCTGGCTAAAATGTACAGAAATCCAAAAGGCCAAGGAGTTTGTCCAATAGATAGCACCACTGTGATGAGTTGTGCAGGTTGTACACTGTACAACCCTACAAAGGGGCATGTGAACATCACGGACATCACAGATTTGTATATGGACTATAACAAATTTTTAGATGACAGGTGTCTTGTCCCAACAATATTCAAGTGATATGACAATTTTCTGACAGGTAAAAGTGAATCATGTTGAGAAATAAAGACTTCCTCAACTTAAACAATGGCACCGTATGGGCTGGCTCTGCCATCGTCATAGCCTAGAAAAGGTAGAAAAGTAGCTGGATCTCAGGTAAGCCTAGTACAGGACTCCTACTCTGCCAAATTGCTTCCATTTCCAACCTCCACTTCTATCAGAATATTGGCTTAATTCTTACTAGTGAGAAACATCGCCGCCAACAGTTCTCAAATTCTGCATCTAATAGTGTCAGCTACCAGGAGGATAAAGAGACACCCCAATGCTCTTGTTGCAAGTCCTAAAAAAAAAAAAAACCCTGAGAAAGGAGTCCAGTGGTCCAGTAGGTTTTGGGTGCCCACTCCTGAACTGTGGCCAGAGGGCAGCAATTTGATTCATCCCAGATGGATCAAGTGCCTGGAAGGAAACAGCTACATGTGGCCATGGGACAAGGCCATGTAGGAACACAGCGTCCCCAGGGGAGCCATTTGGCTATTGAGAGAGCAGTTCCCGAGAAAAGAGATGTGTACAGAAACAACCCCATGGAAGTCCACCACCATAGCTAATGCTAATAGGAGCACTGGGTACCTGCCAACCACCATGGCAAAACAAATTTCACATACATTGTTATCATTTAGTACACTTAACACATATGTACATTGTAGTAGTTAATCCTCTCCACAATACAATTCAGGAGCAGCTTCCACTTTACAGATGAGGAAACTAAGGTTTAGAATAGTTGAGTAGCTCTGTCCAAGACACGTAACAGATCAGAAGTGGCAGGTTTGGGATCCCAACCCAAGTTTTCTACCCCTAAAATTCATGTTCTTGACCTTTCTGCTAGACTATATTATTTTAAAAGCTCCCAACTGTTAAGAAGCTCATGGTTCAGTGATTCTTTCATTCCATCAAAAAATGTCTGTTGAACACCTACTGAGTGTGGGCACTGTTCTGGGCACAGGGGGTAGAATGATGAATAGGACAAAGTCCCTGCCTTCAAAAGGGCTATGTGGTGTTATGGGAGCAGAGGGTATAGATAATGAGCAGAGGAACAAATACCATAATTGGAGAGGCACTCGTAGGAATCAGGGTAGTGTCAGAATTGCCTGGCTTTCTTTTCCAAATTAGACAAAGTTCCTTTCCAAGAGATTCTGGTATGTCTTCCCTTAAGGAACATGCCTACCTCCCCACACACACATTCAAAATTACATCTTAAAGAGCCACTGTTACTCATGGCAAAGTCTCTCCTCCCACAGAAGTGATGGGAAGTTAGCCTCTTTTTAAATTGAAAATTGAAAGTTTATAACTGTATAAATTTATGGGTACAAAGTAAAGCTATAATTTGTAAATACAATGTGCAATAATTAAATCAAGCTAGTTAACATAACCATCACCTCAAATACTTAACACTTTTTGTGTTGAGAACATTTGAAAATTACTCAGCAATTTCAAAATGTATAATACTCTATAACAGATATTAACTATATTCACCACACTATCCAATAGAACTCAAAAAAACTGCATATTCCTCTTGTGTGAGATTTGGTTCCCTTTGACCATCATCTCACCACTCCTCACACTCTTTAGCCTTTGCTGAGATCCATTTGTCAAAGAGATGTCTGCACCCAAGGTCTGTCGCAGCACTATGTACAATAACCAAGTTATGGAATCAAATTAAGTGTCCATCAACAGACGGATGAAGCAAATGTGGTATATACACCCAAAAGAATACTATTCAGTCTTTAAAAAGAAGGAAATTCTGTCACTTACAACAATGTGAATGACATTAGAAAACGTTATGCTGAGTGAAATAAGCCAGGCACAGAAAGACAAATACGACATGTTCTCAATTATATGTGGAACCTGAAACAATTGAACCCATAGGAGCAGAGAATATAATGGTGGTTACAGAGGAAGTCAGTTTTTAAAAGAGACTAAGGAAATACATAAAAAACTCAAAATTTAAGGTAGTGACTCCCTGGTGAAGGAAGAAAGAAAGAGAGAGAGACAGATGAAGTTGAGGAACCCCAAGGATATCAGCGATGTTTTTAAACTGGGTGTTAGGCTAAGGAGAATTTCGTAGACTTTCCTGTACAACTGCTGATACATTTAAAATTCTGTTTAAAGGGGCCTATGTGAAGTATAGCACTGAATTTACTCTATATGAGATAATTCCTTAACCCTCCCTGTTTATCAGAATCCCCCGAAGAGCTGTGTATGCTCAATGGCCGGAGCTGACCTCTACAGATTAGCTTCCACTTGAACGGGGGAGAGCCCAGACATGAGTGTTTTTTCAAAGTTCCTCAGCAGTTTTCACATGCATCCAGTCTGCTCTGGCTGCTCCAAGTCTGAGCTCTCAAGGCTTCCCCTCTATAAATAAGGACGCTAATTTTACCCACCTCACACAATGGCTATGAGGCTTAACTAGGGTGATGGGTGGGAAGCCCTCAGCACAGGGGCAGACCTGTAGTAAGATCTAGGTAAATGTAGCCATTATCAGTATTACCCACAAACACTCACCATCTATGAGAAATGCTACAAGAAGACTATCCTACCCATTCTGACAGGGCCAACTCAAATCTCACCTTTTCCATGAGGCTTCTCCTCTTGCTTGAACTTGGTTTGTGCAAAGAACCCGGTGTTATGGGATAATAGAGTTCTTTTTTTTTTTTTTTTTTTTTTAGTTCCATTAATATGTACACCTAAAGTTGTTTTTCCCTAGGTCATTGGAATGAGCACAAAAACAGCTTTATGATTCTGTCATTTAATCATAGCATTCATAAGAGAGTTACTTGTTTATATTAACATTTTGCAGTTCAAACCTAGCACTTCCCCAAAACTTTTTAAGCCTAGAAAGAAGTGAGTTACAAAGTTCTCAAACTAGGAGAAAAGAGAAAGAAGTCTTCACATCCACCTCCTCATTTTCTTGCTTTCTTTGTGAATTTTCTTACATCATTTGGTTGTGACTTGTCTTCAAGTCTTCTGGACTTAGCCCTGAGCCTGACATATAGGATGCTCAATAACTACTTTTGTTTTTATAGTGCTTTTGCCAGCTGCGGCTGGCATTTTTGAGCTCGTAGGGAGTTGGGGAAGGATGATGGAAAGCGTTTGACTTCACAATGGAACTAGTAAAGATTTTTTCACACCCCCTTGCTGTGCAATGTATCTGATTATGCACATAATAAAAAACATTCCAATGGAAGGTAATTGTCTCATGAACAAGGCAAGGCATGTCATAATCAAACCAACAGAAAACCGTAGCTATGTACCATTGGCAGGAGATAGGTACTGCTTTCTATAGGCTGATGTAGAAGCCCCTTTCAATAAATTAATGCCATTAACCAATAGCTTAATGGCATATTATTGCATCACTTGCCTCATTAATCTTTTCGCTCTCTCTCTCTCTCTCCTTCTCTCTCTCTCTCTCCCACTCTTGCTCCATCTCTGCCTCTCTCACTGGTCTTTTATTGATTCACCAACACCTTCTTACAAATAATTCTGGCCCAACTGCACCCCATAATTACACAGTAAAAGTGATAACAGGATAATAAGAACCATTTTAAGAAGGGTTCATAATAATGAAACTATTTTATACCCATGTTCTCATTTCCTTGCCAAGCTTGCTGAGTCATTGTGAGGCCTGCATCTGAGTTCAAATTTTCCCTCTTTTCAATCCTGCTTCCTGCCCCTTCCTTTCACAGGTGCTGCTCCTTAATAAACATCTGGCACTTCAACCTCTCTCAGTATCTGTTTCCACAAAACCCAACCACAACAACACATTAGGCCTTTGCTAGCTATCTTAAACCACCTGGAGTCAGTGCTCACACCAATAAATACTTCTTAGTTCTACCAATAAGAATAAGCAACTCTTAGCAAGAAAATTAATCGTCAATTTAACTATGGATGAGTTGCTTGCATCAAACCAATGTGTCTGCCAAGAAGAATTATAAAACATGGGTGGGGGTGGGGCATCAGAGAGTGAAAATTAATATCCTGGAGAAATGAGAAACACACATTGAAGTGAGCTAGACTTTCTGTGCTGGTTTTTCCTGTAAGGGCATATGCCAATTCACATCATGGGGCAACATGACCTAGAGCATTTGGAAACCCCATGGTGTTGGGAATACAAAAGTTGGAATTCAGGTGTATCAGGGCAGTTATAACTTAAGAAACCAAGATTCTGGCCAGGCGCAGTGGCTCACACCTGTAATCCCAGCACTTTGGGAGGCCGAGGCGGGTGGATCATGAGGTCAGGAGATCGAGACCATCCTGGCTAACATGGTGAAACCCCGTCTCTACTAAAAAATACAAAAAATTAGCTGGGTGTGGTGGCACGTGCCTGTAGTCCCAGCTACTCGGGAGGCTGAGGCAGGAGAATGGTGTGAACCCGGGAGGCGGAGCTTGCAGTGAGCCAAGATCACACCACTGCACTCCAGCCTGGGTGACAGAGCGAGACTCCATCTCAAAAAAAAAAAAAAAAAAAGAAACCAAGATTCCAGAGAAACAAGAGCCTCAAAGAAATAAGACCAAAATTTTCAATAGCTTTTGTTGTTGAAGTATTTGCTGAATCCTAAGCTGTACTAGAATGAGAGGCTGAGAATTCAAGTAGAAAATAGGTATTAAATGGCTACAAATGCAAGAAAAAATTTTGTAAGCTGTTTTTAGTATAAAGACAAAGTAGACTATGAAGCCCACTAAGGAGGAGCAGCCTCAATTAGACACCTGACTTTCAGTTGAGATGCCAGAAAGGGAAACTAGAAATTAACCAACTCATATAAACCTGAAACTGACTTGAACCATCTCAATTCACAATTGACTCAGAGTAATTTGCCCTTTTCTAATTACTGGTCAAAAAAAGAAAATTAAATCTTCTCTAGAGGAAAATAGTATCATCAGAAACTCATGATTTTTCATATACAATATCCAGCACTTAATAGAAAATTATGAGTCATACAAGGAGATAAGACCAAATGACTGAGACTACGGAGAAAAAACAGACAATAGAAACAGACTCAAAAATGATCCAGATATTTGAGGTATCAGACATTGATCAGAAACTATTATAATTAATGTGTTCAAGAAAATGGATGGCAAAACGGAAATGTCACCAGAAAATTATTTTTAAAGGAATCAGATATAACTTCTAACACATCAAAAATACAATTACAAATGTTAAGAAGTAAAGAGATGAGTTGAACACCAGATTAGATACAGCAGAAGAAGTTATTCAACTGGAAGATAGATACACAGAAAATGAAGAAACAGACACAGAGTAAAAAAATGAATTGAAATAAATTTATAAATAACATAAATCAAAGAAGAAATAAAAAAGAAAATCAGAAAATATTTTGAATGAAATATAAAATATATTACTAAAACTTGTAAAATGCAACTAAAGCAGTGTTTAGAGGAAAACTTAAGCTTTAAATTCACATATTAGGAGATTGTAAAGGCTGAAAATTAATTATCTAAGCATTCAAGTCAAAAAGCTAAAAAAATCCCAGCGAATTATAAACAAAAAAAAACAAAAGGCAGAAAAATTAAGCAAAATTGACAAATTAATTTAAAAACACAATATAGCAAACCTGACACAATAGCAAATAAAAAATCTGAATAGTGTGTATCTATTTAGTAAATTGAATTGATAGTTTAAAACTCACCCACAAAGAAAATTCTAGACCCAGATATCCTTATCTGTTAATTTTTCTAAATATTTAAGAAAGAAGCCCCAATCTTACATCAACTTTTTGAAGCTTATAATGTAAAACCAGTATAACCTTGGTAGCAAAACCAAACAAGCACATCACAAGAGTAAAAAAACAAGCGGTTATCTCTTTTAAACTCAAAAGTCCTAACAAAAATATAAGCAAAAAGAATCCTGTGATACATAAAAAAATTACATTACAACCAAATAATTTTATTCAAAGAATACAGTGTTAATTTAGAATTTGAACATCAGTCAATGCAATTTATCTCATTGACCAAAAAGATGAAGAACAAAATATATAACCATTTCAATAGATGCAGAAAAAACATTTAATAATATCCAACACCTGTTTATAATTTTTAAAAATATTCTTTGCAATCTAGAAATTTTAAAAAGAACTTCCTTAATTTGATAAAGGGGATCTTCGAAAAATTATAGCACACATCATACTTTCATAGTGCAATACTGAAGGTTTTTACTCTGAGATCAGGGACAAAATAGGGATGTCTATTATCATCAACAGTGTTGAACAATATACTCCTAGAGGTCCTAGTCAATGTAATACGGCAATAAAAAGATATAAACAGTCTACAGATTTGAAAGGAAAATATAAAACTCTCATTATCCATAGATATATAATTGGTTACAAACAAATTCCAAAAATAATCCACAGATAAAATACATAAGTGAGTTCATCAAGGCCACTGACAAATGGTCAATATACAAAATGGATTGCATTTCTATGTATCAGAAACAAAAGACTAGAAAATGAAATTTTGAAAATTATGTTATTTATGAAAACAACCAAAATTTCAAATACCTAGGAGTAAATCTGTTGAAAAGTGTCTAAAACCTTTGCCAAGAGAGCTATAAAATATTATCACTGAGAAGAGTTAGAGAATGTCTAAACAAATAAAGGAATAAACAATATTCATAAATAAGAAGAATGTAAATTTTAAAGACATCAGGTCTCCCTACTTGATATGTAGAGTCAACGCATTCCAATCAATATCCCAGAATGTTTTTTCCCTCTGGGAATTGATGTTTCTAAAAATTTAGTATAAATGCAAAAGTCAAGGATAAACAACACACCTGGACATCCATGTTGAAAAAACAATATTATCCTGACTCTTAAGTTATACTATACAGAACAATAGACCCAGGTACTTTTTGTAAAATAAATAAATTATAATTCTATCACAGAGTTTTCCACTTAAACTTTCTATAGGGATGAAAATGTTTTATATTTATACAGTACAATGCTGTACATTAACCACATATAGCTATTGAACACTCGAAATGCAGTCATTGTGATTCAAGAACTGAACTTTTTATTTAATTTAATTTTACTTTACCTTATTTCACTTACAAAATAATTCAAATTTAAATTGTCACAAAGACTGTTGCGTTCAACCCAGAGGGACTGGAAAGCCAGCTTTACCCTTCTACCTGAGAAACTCCCAAAAAGGACAAAACTACAAAGCAATGTTTTTCTAAACACAATATTGAGCAACAAAGAATAGCGACCCCTGAAAGACATAACAAACAAGGGGAGCCCTACAACTGCTTCAGCATAATGCCTTGAGAGGATTCCAGGATGTGCAGCAGGGAGAGAACTCAGGCAGAGCCCAGAGGACTCTCTGACTTGAGGAGATGGAATTCAGACTCCAAGGAAATCAAGGCTGCTAGGGTTGGCAGGAAAGAGTACAGGGGTGGGGGCTGGGGCAGAGAGATAGCTGTGTATAGAAAACTCTGTAGATCTGCACAAGTTCCCATCAAGTATTTAACAAAGAACTAATTAACATGTGTGTCAGGAAATTACCCAAGTCCCAGGAAAGAACAACAAGAAAGGATTAGAAAGAACAGTACTCAGCATTGACACAAAGCTGGAAATAGTACCTGTTCCCACCAGCCAAATTGGAAAACCTCATAATTCACAGGGCATCAGGTAGAGTACTCACAGAGGCTTCCCTCATTAGTGAGCAAACATAAACTAAACACTGCTCTGTTTCTGCTTAACAAAGCTTACAAACAAGATTGAAAAGTATGAAACTGTTTCAAATAACTTGTCTACTTCCCCAAACAAAGTCTAAGAATACTTACAGGAATATAAAAATATCTAGTACCCAATGAGGCAATATTTACAATGTCTTGCATAAAATAAAATTTTACCAGTTATGCAAAAACAGGATAAAACAAACAATAATGAGAATAAAAATTATTCAAAGCAGAACCAGAACTGACACAAATGTTAGAATTAGCAGACAAGAACATTAAAATGGTTATTATCACTATTCCACATGTACAAAATTTAAGTAGAGGACTGGAAGATATTTTTTAAAAGATAAATTTCTAGAAAGAAAACTACAATGTCTGAGATGGAAAATATTCTAAGTGAAATTAACAGCAGAATAGACATTCCAGGAGAAATATTAGTAAACTTGAAAATATTACAATAAAAACTATTTAAAATGAAGCACAGAAAAATGAATTTTCTAAAAATAAAGACAGCATGAGTATGCTGTGGGACCACTCTAAGCAGCTTAATTATAGGAGTGCTGTAAATGGAATCATCAAAGAAGAGGAGGCAGAAAGAGAAAAATTACTTGAAGAAATAATGGTTGAAAAATTTCCAAATTTGATAAAAACCATAAACCCACAAATTTAAAACATTCTACTAGCCCCACAAAAAGAAACACAGAAAAAATACAACAAGGCACATAGTAATCTAATTGTCCTATACCAGTGACTGAGAAAATCTTAAAAGCAATCAGAAGAAAAAAAAACAGTCAGTTATATAGAGAAACAAAGATAGCCAGGTGCAGTGGCTCATGCCTGTAATCCCAGCCCACTGGGAGGCAGAGGCAGGTGGATCACTTGAGGTCAGGAGTTGGAGACCAGCCTGGCCAACATGGCAAAATGCTGTCTCTAATAAAAATGCAAAAATTAGCTGGGTGTGGAGGCATGCACCTGTAGTCTGAGTTACTCAGGAGGCCAAGGTGGGAGAATTGGTTGAACCCAGGAGGCGGAGGTTGTAGTGAGGTGAGATCATGCCACTGCACTCCAGCCTGGGTGACAGAGCGACACTCTGTCTCAACAAAAAAGAAAGAAAGAAAGAAAGAGAAACAAAGATAATAATGGTAGCAGATTTCTCATTGGAAACAATGCAGATGAGAAAATAGTGGAATATCTTTAAGATACTTAAGGGAATTTTTTTTAAAGGTGTAATCTAGAATTCTATACCCAACAAGAATATCTTTCAAAACTCAAGGTGAAATGAAGACTTTTTCAGAAATACAAAAGCTGACACAATTCATCACCAGGATATCTGTACTCCAAGAAATGTTAAAGGACGTCCTTTAGGCAGAAGGAAAGTGATACCAGATGGAAATAGCAACTATACAAATAATGGGAGAACAGTATAAATGTTAACCAAATGAGTAAGTGCTTTTTTTTTTTGCTTATCTGCATGTTGTTAAATGAAAAAACAAACACTAATACACAGTAAAAAAAAAAAAGGTAAGAAAAAATCTTCGTGATGTGTATTAGGGAAAAATGTCTTAGACATACAACAAAAGCAGTTCTATAAAAGAACAAATTTATAAATTGGACTTTCTCAAAATTAAATTGTCTGCTTTTTGAAAGACAGTCTTCAGAGAAGGAAAAAACAAGCCACAGACTGGGAGAAAATATTTGTAAGTCATATATCTGATAACAGACGTAAGTCCATAATATTTTCTTAACTTTCAACACTCAATAATAGTAACCAAACAATAATTTTTTAAATGGGCAAAAGATTTGAATAGATACTTACCCAAACACATAAAAAATGCTCAACATCATTAGTCATTTGGGAAATTAAAATTAATGTCACAATGAGATGGCACTATACACCAACTATAATCGCTATCATCAAAAACACAGAAAACCAAGTGTTGGTGAGAATACGCAGCAACTGGAACTCTCATAAATTGATAATGGCAACGTAAAATGTTACAGCCACTTTGGAAAACCATTTTTCAGTTTTCTAAAAGGTTAAACACACACCGTATGATCCAGCCATTTCATGCCTAGGTATTAACCTAAAGGAAATTAAAGAACAATTTAGAATAGGCAAAATAATCAACACCAATCTTCCAAATGTCCACACTCTAATCCCTGGAAGCTGTGAATATTTTACCTTACACTGAAAAGGGGGCTTTGCAGTTGTAATTAAGGTTACTGACTTTGATGTGAGAAAATTATCCTGGATTATGAGGGTAGACTTGATCCAATCACAAGAGTTCTTAAAAGCAGAGAGAGATTTGTTCCCAGCTGTGGTCAGAGAGAGATGTGATCATATCAGACAAGTCAGAGAGATGCAATATTTCTGGCTTTGAAGACAGAGGAAGCAGTCCATGAGCTAGGAACGTGGTTAACCTCTAGAAACTGGAAAAGGCCAGGAAACAGACTCTCCTCTAGGGTTTCTAGAAAGGAACTCAGTCCTGCTGACACCTTGATCTTAGGCCAGTGAGACACATATCAGTCTTCTGAGCTACAGAACTTTAAGATAATAAATTTGTGCTGTTTCATGCCACTAGATTTGTGATAATTTGTTATGACAGAAATAGAAAATTAATACATGTTCATAGCAGCTTTATTTACAATAGCTAAAAACTGAAAACAACACAGATGTTCATCAACAGGTGAATAAACAAATTGTAGTACATTCATACAATGGAAAATTACTCAACAATAAAAGAAATGAAATATCAATATACTGAACAACATAAGTTTCTGAAATAATTATGCTGACAGGAGCAAGACCAAAAAAAAAAAAGGGAAATGATTACATGCTGTATGATTCTTTTATGTAAAATTCTAGAAAATACAAACTAATCTACAATGACAGAAAACAGATCAGTGGCTGCCTAAAGATGGGGGGCTATGAAAGGTTGGGAGGTGGAAGGTTGTCCCATTACAATGAGACACAAGGAAGCTTTTGGGGGATGATGGTTATGTTTACTATCCTGATTAAATGGTTCCACAGGTGTATATATGTCAAAACATCCAACTGTACACTTTAAAATGTGTCATTTATTGTGTGTCATTTACACTCCAATAAAACTGTTAAACAAAATTTAAATAACTGCACAAGGCTAGTGGTTACTTAATTGGATAGTGCAGTTCTAGAAGATAAAAATAAGAGAATATATTTATAATGCTGAATATAAGTAACTGTTTCTTTAACTAAAAGTAATAACCATAAAGGAAATGACTATAAATTGTACTTCATTAAAACTAGGGATTAAAGCTCACCAAAATATAGCATTAAGAGGGTGAAAAGGCATGTCACGGAATGGGGAAAGATATTTGCTATGTAAATAGTAATAAATATGTGTGTGCACACCAGTGTGCATAGGACTTGTATCTAGAAAACATAAAGAACAACAAATCAAAAAAGTAGAGAACCCAATTTCTAAAATATGGGCAAAGACTTATACTGGCACTTCTCAAAAACACATGAAAAGGTGATCACTGTCATTAGGCACGTGGGAAATGAGAATTGAAACTGCAATGAGATACAGTATGCCCCTGCCATTTTAAATAAAACTGGCAATATTCAATGCTAGTGAGGGTGTGGAGCAGCTGGAATTCTCATACCTTGCTGTTGTCAACTGGTACAACCACTCTGAAACACTCTTTGGAAATCTTCATTATAATAGATCTGAACATAGATAGTCCCTATAAATCAGCAATTTCATCCGTAGTGCATGCCCACATAATACACACAATGTGTATTAAAACACATGTACAAGAATGTTCATAACACTATTATTCATAAAAGCCAAAAACTCAAAAACAACTCAAATGTCTACCAGTAATAGAATGGGTAAATAGTAACACACACACACACACACACACACACACACATACACACAAACAATGGAATACAATAGAGCAGTGAAAATGAACAAAATAACTGCCATACGCTAAAAACGGAATGAATCTTACAAACATAATGCTCATGGAATAAAAGAAGCAAGACCTAAAAGAATATATACTGAATAATGAATTAATGGCAATAGAAACCAGAATATTAGTTAGCTTTAGGGGAGAGTGGATAATGACCAGAAAGGGTAAGAGGGAGTGTTGTGAGCAGCCACTAAGTTTCTGCCTCTTGATGTGCCTGTTGGTTACACAGATGTATTCACTTTGGAAAAAAAAATCTCATATAACTAGGAATTATGTACTTTTCCGTATACTTGTTATTCTTGAACCTAAAAGTTTACTTTAAAAAAATCTCATTAAAAAAATCTAAAAATGTCAAATAAGAAATCAATAACCTAGATACAGTCTTGCCCATCAAGTCCTGAATGGGGGCTTTGCAAGTGTAAGCACCCATGCAGTGCTGGCCCATTCTCCCCACCTGTCATCTCTCAGGAGCAGATAATAAATATTCTCACCAGAAGAAAGAAATAATTGCAGCCACACAGTTTTTGACTTGAGATTTTCCTGGCTTTACACCTAATTTAACTAAAACATTCTCCTCCCCCTTCCCACACTCCCCCACCCCCAACCCATTTCTGTGTCCATTTCACTCAACTGAAACAACGGCAAGCGCGAATTCAGGTAGAGTGCAGAGGCAATTATAAAACAGATACTTGTAAAGGCATTGCTGCCATTTGTGCCTCTTGAAATATTATCCCTTATGAGTTTTCTCACTGAATTAGTGCCATTTAATGTGTGCATATGGCCAAGAGGAAAATATAAAATTGATCAATGAGAACAGGAAAATTACTCCAGAGAATCTTTGTGGCTTTGTGAATTGTTGCTTGACATTGTGGTTTTACCAAATATAATGGCATGATTTACAATTTACAACAGGGCTTGGGGGATGCAGATACAAACATTTTTACTTAAAATACCAGGAGCAGATGGGAAAAAAAAATACAGACTGGACTTCGTCCAGATGCTGAGGATGTTGCACATATTCCGACTCCTACATGAAGGCATAAATAACACCAATTCCTCATCATCCACAGAAATGCAAGAGAGTCATCACATAGGTAATCCAAACAGTAGATAAACACAAAATAATTCCTTATGTCAAATTGTCCTGGTATATATGTGCTACAGTCTCTGGTTCTGCTTGCTTTTTCTTATGGGGAGATCTGATGTCCTAGTTATTCATGATATTGCACACAAAATCGTGAAATTGCACCCTGAAGAAAAACTACCTGTGGAGCTGTGAAACTAAAAACTATCTCATTTTCTCAGCTCTGTCCCACCGTGCAATTCTGCTCAATACATTCCATGCTGGAAATGGGCAGTTTCACCTTTAAGACAGATAAGTAAGAATCATGATAGACTCGAGAGGTATCCAGAACTGGGTCTTTGTATTAGAACTTCCTCCAAGTAGCTCTGTGACATTTGACAAGCCTCTTACCTGATCAAGGCCTTGATTTCCCATCAGTAAGCCAGTGGAAGACGACTAGGTGACTGCGAAGGCTCACCTGGCACTAGGTAGCCCAGGGTCAGTCTAAGCAGAGCCAACCCTTCCTTCATGATTGCTACTTTCCCCAGGCCTCAGAATAATTATTTTCATTTTAAGTTTCAATCTTCTAGTTCCTGTTGAACTCCAATTTCAGTAGCAGATGGCAATGGTTATAAAAGCAATAAAGAAATTAAGTAAGCAACAGAGATGTTAACTAAGAGAGGAAAGCAAGATTTGCCAGAGATAAACTGCCACATAATCTACTTACAATCCACTGAAAGTTGGCTATATTTCTAATTATCTGGGTATTAGCATGATGCTCATTCCGTCTGGGGAAAGACCTAGAGGAAACAGAGATAAAATGCAATAGGAGGGATAGTGGGTGGAGATGAAGAAGAACTTCCTGAGAGGTGTTCAGACTAGAATTCATCATAGAGTTGCTTTGGGGGCCTGTTTCATACTATCTGCTCCAAGTATCCGGTTTTTCTAAGGTCTATGAGAGTGGGGAAGAGGTGATGATACTGAATTCTCAAAAGTATTCTTGAAAAAGCCAACAAGTCAGAGAACATTTTCCAATAAAAAGGTAGCGAGGGAAAGAGCAATTTCAAAAACAATTGTTAACATGTCCCCACTCCAGAAATGTTGGCCTAGCATGGTGGCTCACACCTGTAATCCCAGGGCTTTAGGAGGCAGGTGGATCACTTGAGTCCAGGTATTAGAGACCAGCCTGGGAAATATGGCAAAACTCCATCTCTACAAAAAGCACAAAACTTAGCTGGGCATGGTGGTATATGCCTGTGGTCCCAGCTACTACTCAGGAGGCTGAGGTGGGAGGATCACTTGAGCCCAGGAGGCAGAGGTTGCAGTGAGCTGTGACTGTGCCACTGCACTCCAGCCTAGGCAACAGAGCAAGACCCTGTCTCGGAAAGAAAAAAAGAAAAAAGGAACATCCTACTTCAGGGGAGGTCTTTGAAAATAAACTCCCAGATTTTTTTTTCCAACCTGGGCGCAACAGAATAGCTCCTACAAAAAGGGTAGTGAGAAGAAAAGGGGCTATTCTGATGTCAATGAAGTGGTGACCAGAAAGCACATCATCAACAGTCACAAGGGCAGCCATCGAGTGGACCTCAAGAAGTGTGGCCCTTGGGCACTCAAAGAGATCCAGAAACTTGCCATGAAAGAGATGGGAATTCCAGATGTGCACATTGACACCAGAATCAACAAAGCTCTCTGGGCCAAAGGAATGAGGAGTGTCTCATACTGTGTCCACGTGAGGTTGTCCAGAAAATATAACGAAGATGAGGGTTCAGCAAACAAGCTCTGTGTGTTGGTTACCTACGCATCTGTCACCACTTTGAAAAATCTACACAGTCAATGGATATGAGAACTAATCGCTGCTGATTGTCAAGTAAAGTTATAGCACAAGAAAGAGAGAGGGGGAGAGAGAAAGAGGAAAGACGAAAGAAAGAAAGAGAGAGAGGGAGGGAGGGAGGGAGGCAGGAAGGGAGGGAGGGAGGGAGATAAAGAGCGAGCGAGAGAGAAAGAAAGAAAGAGAGAGAGAGAGAGAGAAAGAGGAAGGAAGGAAGGAAGGAAGGAAGGAAGGAAGGAAGGGAGGGAGGGAGGGAGGAAAGAAGGAAGGGAGGGAGGGATGGAGGGAGGGAGGGGAGAGGAAGGGAGGGAGGGAGGGAGGTGGAGAGAGAGGGAGGTAAAAAAGAAGAGAGGAAGGGAAAGGAAGGGAAGGTCTCTCATATCAGCCTCTGGAGAATGGCTCTGCTTAAAGTAAGTAAAAACTAATAAAAGATGATTGCTATAGGCCTGCTCTAAACAGATGATTCACATTTGGAGCTAAAATGAGAGCGTGTCCAGGCAGCTGTTTGACAGGTCCCAGACTCTCTCATATAACTTGGTTTGAAAGGAGGCAGCCTCTGTGAGGCTCCTGAAAAGTCTGAGGCAGAAAACCTGTTCCCTGGTCTTCTGTAGTTCCTCCCTGAGAGAGGAAGTCACTTCTCACCTTGACCTCAAGGCCATGCAGAGGCTGTAGCAAACCGTGACTTCTCAGAGTATAACAGAAGGAATGGCAGGTACCACAACTGTGAAGACCAGGAAGTCAACCCCACAGCACAGAAGGCCATGAGAGCATCTTTTCTTTTGCCTCAGTCCCTGGATGTTGTTGGATGGATTCCTACTGCTTAGCATCCTAGACTTTCAGGGAAGAGTAAGAAAGCTGTAATGGAGGCTAACAAATTATGTGAACCTTGCCAAAGATAAATTAAGAAGCCAGAGCCGATCACAAGGTAAGCTGATTTTAGCAGATTTCATAGCTAACACGAGAACATTTGGAAAAACCTGCTCTTGGCACAAGAAAGACTTCTTGACTGCATTCATTCCTGTGTGACTTAGGCAAATGACTTAACCTCTCTGGTCTCTGCACTAGGACATTTTTCAACCAAGTATTTAGATACTGTACAAAAATGCATATAATAATTCAAAACGATTTAAGAAAAATAAATATTTATAGGAGCCAGAGCAAAAAAATATGATTTATAAATGGACAGAAAAATAATAAAGTTTTAGTGACATTAGCACATAAAATAAAGGCCATCTAGTCCTATCAAGCCTATGGATATGGGCTAAAATTTGGCCTTTGAGGTTCCTAGTAGCCAAAGCAAAAAGGAAAAGATCATCAGTTATAAAATACAGGGTGTGCATATGGTTCAAGGGAAGCGGAACCTTTCCTTAAACAGAGACCTACAAAAAATTCTTAGATGGTCTTTATAAAAATAAGGTTCTGTATGATGCAGTGACAGCATCTTCCACAAAGTTCCAAAACACAAAGAGATACATATGGCTCTTAATGTCCCCAGTTTTCCTATAGAGAAAATAGGGAAAATATCACAGATCAGTCAAACTCTTTCAATGCAATATTATAAACAGATAAAAAGAACTGACTTCTGGAAGCCTGAGCACTATAAGATGGCAGTGATTTGGCTGAAGTGGGAGAGTTTGTGCCATGCATCCACATGGGAAAACTCTGGCCAACATGATGGAGCATTTAGCAAGACCAGATGACTTCTGAGACTTGGGCTCTTACTTGCCTAAGGAACAAACTTGCCTTTTATTTATAACTCAAAGTTCTATTAGACAGGAGCTACATCCAGTATACATAGCAGCTAGAGGGCCTGTCATCATAACACAAACATAGTAGGGGTTTTATTTTATGTTTTCCTAGATGATAGACTGAATATGTAAATGTCTGTTCTCAATCTAATACTTCAGTATTAGCTACCACAGAGTCTTTCAGATCATATCACAATTAAATGTTGACTACGAAAGAATACACAAAAGCAAAATTCATCACTGTGTTAGCCCCAAAAGACTCCATTTGATATGCTAGCCTATTTAAACGGCAGCAGTGATGGGGCTAAATTAACCAACCATTAGATAGTGAATACTGGTATCCCAACAGGCACAGCTCAGTGACCTGAAATAGACATTAAGTCATTAGACATTAGTAGCCGAACCATATGTGTCCAGTTGGTCTCAAAAATTTTAGTCATAATCCTTTATTCAAATAAAATTGACATAGAAGGATATACAAATAATGGCTGAGCTACTCTAGTTACGGGGGAAGGAGACCGCAAAAACTCACTTGAGTCTGCACCAAAATCGGCCCTACCAGCCTTCCCAAATAAATCCACGTGCCACCCCAGTCCCCGAGGGCATGAGGTGGCCCAGCCTTCTCTCCCAGGTTATGAAGGAGGAGAAAAGAAGGCCTTCCACAACCTGCCCCAGGACTCACAACTTCATTCAGACTGCAGAAAAGCCCTCCCGCAGCCAAACTGAACCAAAGGGTGTTTAGAACACAATACCAGACACAAGGGAGCCAGGAGAAACCACAGCCAGTTGGAGAGGTCACCTGGCAGTCAGAATGTTCACACCCTGGCAGTGCGGAGGCCACCACTGATGTCCTCGTCCTCAGGTTAACTCTGGCTCTGCCGCAAAGGGTGCAGCTTCACCCACATGGGGAAAAAGGGGGCTCAACCACAGAAGAAGAAGAAAAGGAACAAAAAGAGGTATAAAACACTCTACTCCAATCTTGGGAGAATCTTTATTCTCTCTCGAGGACACCTGCCAAACTCGGGGACATTCCTCCCTCAACCCAAGCGTCTCCTGCAGAGGCCACGGGAAGCCTCCCCACCTTCCCGCTGGTCACCATCCTTCAGCATCCGCCCCGGCCACCACCACCGCCACCGCAGCAGCAGCAGCAGGGACAGCAATCCTGAACAGACCTCAAAAACTCTGACTAATTAAAGACAAATAATTAAACACATTCAGGCGGGGGAAGGTTGGCAAAGCCCTCCTGCATTGTGTGGCCACCTTGGCACCGAAATGGTTAGAGACCATATCCCTCCACGTCGCCTCCTCTCATTGTGGTGGAGAGCTCTTGAGAACGTTATTAGCTGGGTGTGCGCCTTGCCGTTTTTCCACACGAGGCAGATGGGTAATTACGAAGCTAATAGTCTGATTGAGAGAAATCAGATGCAGTGGTTTGCCCAATTAGATGATACATTAGCTTCCTTCTTTGTAAGCAGCTAATGTGTGAAGCAAAGTGGTATTTTCGAGGGTCAGAATCCTTAAACAAGTGCCGAGTTGCAGATTATTGTATCTCTCTTTTTTTTTCTAATGGAGGAAAAGTGCTAAGTCTTCATTACTAAAAGCATAGAAAATGCAAATCAGCTTCTGAAACAAAAGAGAGAAGGGACAGGCGAGAATATTTGGTGTCCGATGTGTCAACCTACAACATCAATTACATTGAAATGCAATGCATGGCAGCCTAATCAAGGATAGTATAATTGTAATAATTGCGTGCTTTTGTTGGAGAGCTGCTGCTGTTGTTATTTGTCAACCATTTGTTCCTCTCTATTGTTAAGGGGGGGAAAGATTTTTTTTTAATGTAACTGAGAGATTGTGTAGGTAATGGGTGAGCGGGCGGCCATCCTCAGAATGTGGATGAGGGGTCTTGCTTCCCTGCTACATGGCGGCTCCTCCGTGGCCCTGGTGAGTTGCTGGAACAGCGATGTGAGCTTGGGGCAGGAAGGGACAAAGTGGCTGGCTATGTGAGGGTGGGCTTCAGCCTCTGTCCTTGTCACAGTGCCCTGGGACAGAGGCAAGCTGAGGGACAGGCCTGAGGATGCTGGAAGAAGAGCGGTGCTGGCGGAGGAAGCCTCTCACAACATACTTTTTCTCTTTAGTAAATATAACAGGTAGGGAAGAAGGATGGGAAGGGGCTGCTACACCTCATCCTGCTTCTTGAAGTTTGGGCCTACAAAAGGACTTGGTTTATTTTGGTAAAAGACCATTGCCTGCAAAATGCCCAAGAGAAATAGGGTGTGAAATCCTGCATAAAACAACAACAAAATGAAAGTCGCAGTAGCTGGTATTCCAGCCAGGAGAGCACTGTCCATCAGGGTGCAGATGGGAGCATGGGCACTAACGCTCAAACCCAACTTGACCACTCACTGGCCTGGGCCAGGCCCATGGCCTTGTTATCCCCTGGAGTAACACAAGGGCACCAGCCATCCTGAGCAGCACCATATGGAGAGATACAAACCTCCAATGCTCTGAAGCCTTTGGCAGATAGAAAGAGCTCTCGAAACGCTTCTAAGTTACCTAAACCCATTTCTTCCCCTCTCCCTCCCTGCCATCTACTTTTTTTTCATGTGTGTAGATGTTCCCTCAAATGTACTTATAGAGAAGGGAAAAGAGAGAAAGCCAGCTTAACAGCCACCTTTGGAAAGAACAAGAAAAGAAAACACAAAACAAAAACAAAACAGGGATGTTCGTAGAAAGCCGAAGTTGAGTTGGAAAAGTCTTCTTAGGAGCAGCTCTCAGCATTCAGATCAGATAAGAGGTTTATTTTCTCACTTCAATTGGTCTTGCCAATAGGTTGAAACAGAGGCACAATGGAAATGGGCTAAAACATTTAACAGAGCTGTTAAATCTCATTCTCCACAGCTAAAAAAGAACAATCCCGGACCATCTTTACCAAGGGGAGGCTTCATGGGCTGTAGGAGGCTTTGCATGTATCCCTGACAATCCTGTACATACTCCAAAACTCACACTAATTAAAAGCAAATAATCAAATACATTCAATTTGAAAAGTTGGCAAACTCGCGTGTATTATTGCGTTAGCACCTTGGCATGGAAATGCTCACATCGCGCTAATCTCGTTGTGCAGAAGAGCTCTTGAGCTCGCTATTCACCGAGCCCATGCCCCCTCCTCCCGCCGCCTCCCCTCTGGGCCTGCCTTCCCCACCAGCCCCCTGCCGCTCCCCCTCCAAGGCTCCCACTTTAAAGGCAAAATAAGGAAAGAAACTGTGCCTCAAGATGAGCATTTGCTAACACTTGGAACTAACAGAGGCTTGACATAGGAAAGAAGTCCTTTCCTCTTGCTGGCTTCTCAGCTACCTAGAGAGAGAAGGTCGGCGTGATGCTGCAGTTTTTAAATAAAGTTTTCAGCAGTGAGCCTTGGCTGAGCTATTTGCAGTCGACATCCTCACCCCCCAAAGCCACCCTCCTGGGTACTCTCCTTGTCAAACTGGTGGCTAAATCTGGGCGATGAGCTGACAAAATGAGAAGAAAGCCTCAGATCCGATGCTGCTGCCTCTGGGACTTGAGTTTCTTAGGGGCTGGTTGAAGGATGAGAGGAGGGAGTTGCCCAGAGAAATACAAAACTCCTGCCATCAAGAATGGGGTGAAATGAGCCCAGACTGGCCAGAATTTTTCTGGCAGATCTGCTACCTGAGGCGCATTTCTCTCTCATCCTGGGCTGCTGCCAATCACAGCCTCCCAGCATCCAGGGCTCAGAGGAAGATGGGCAGCTTGTCCTCAGCTCCGAACAAAAGAAAAACAAATAAAGTCACATTCAGCCACATGACATTCGTGTCAGATGGAAAAGGAGCAGGTCATGTGGGCAGTGCCTGTAGCTGGTTCTGCAAGGCCAAGAAGATACACATGAAGTAGGCACATGTCTGCAGAGCTCCTGGAAGTAGGTGCCTGAAGAAGTCACAGGGATGCCTTGCTAGTGAAACTCCAGGTTTTTCTGTGGGTGGAAAGGCCTTCAGGGCTGTTCCCTGCAAGTGTAACATTTCAGACCAATTTCTAATGTGTCCTGGGTCACCGTAGTAATTAAGCAAGAGCATCAACCTATTGGTACTTCTGTTACCTCTGGAAGAATTTTTTGAGGGAAGCATTAGGCAGATGCCTTGGTTGAATCCTTGCAGGTGTAATATGGTGTCAATACAAACAATGTGTTGGACAGTTCTTGCAAAATCTGACCACTCCCTTCTCCTTCCTTCTAATACAGTCCATGGACTGCATGATGCCCACTGTCAGGATGACTCCCTTTCTCCTCGCCTAGTTCCTCTTCATTGTTTCTTTCCTTATTCAACAACTCACTCAATCACTCATTCCTTAATGTATTCATTCAACAAACACTTAATAAGTAATAAGGTTTTATAGATACTATAATCAACCCTTAGAATACAAAGGTAAATAAGGTTAGACCCAGCAATTCCACTTCTGCATATTTCCAGAATTGAAAGCAGGGACTCAAACAGACATTTGTACACCAATGTTCATAGCAGCATTCTTCAAAATAGCCAAAAGGTGGAAACAAACCAGATATTCATTGACAGATGAGTGAATAAACAAAATGTGGCATATACCTATAATAGAATATTCAGTCTTAAAAAGGAATGTAATTCTGACACATGCTACAACATGGATGAACCATTTGAAGACATTATGCTAAGTGAAATAAGCTAGTCACATAAGGACATATACTGTATGATTTCACTTATATGCAGTACCTAGAGAAGTTAAATTCATAGAGATGAGGGCTGGAGGAAGGAGGGAATGGGAGCTGGTGTTTAACGGGTACAGAGTTTCCATTCGTGAAGATGAAAAAATTCTGGAGCTGGACAGTGGCGATGTGAATGTCCTTAGTGCCACTGAACTGTACACTTTAAAATGGTTTCAATGGTAACTTTTATGTATATTTTGCCACAATAAAAAATAATACCAAAAAAAAGTGAGTAAGTTTAGTCACAGTCCTCTAGGAACTTGGGGTCTAGCAAGGGAAGAAGCAAGGTTAAAACACATAAATAGTAAATTCAATCCCATGAGGTTGGCACTATTACCACACTAGGCAGAGGGAGACGGGGACCCAGGGTCTGCCAGAGATGGCTGTGATGCTGCCTCCAGGTCAGGTCATCTCCAAGCCTGAGCACCTTTATCTGCAAGCCAGGATGGTAACAACCTTTCTCTGTGCCTCACAGAAGTGTTGGGAGCACCTACCACGTAGCAGGTACCACACCAGGCCCTTTAGTTCATTCAACCTCACATTCAATCAATGAAAGAGAGATTTGACCAGTCATTTCCACTGAGGAAGCAGGGGTAAGAGAGGCTGAGGGGTGGTGGGTTCCACCATCACACAGCTGGCAACCTGGAGCCCCAGGGTTAGAACATAGCCCTGTATGGATGTCAAACCCATGTTTTTCTCACTATACTATTTGGTCTCATTCAAATTTTACAAGTGGCTAACCGAAAAAGACATACCTAATGAAGAGACAGACTATTAGGATTTAATTGTGTCCTCTCAAAAAAGATACATTGGAGGGCCGGGCGCAGTGGCTCACACCTGTAATCCCCACACTTTGGGAGGCCAAGGTGGGTGGATCACCTGAGGTCAGGAGTTAGAGACCAGCCTGGTCAACATGGTGAAACATTGTCTCTACTAAAAATACAAAAAATTAGCCAGGCATGGTGGCGCGCACCTGTAATCCCAGCTACTCGGGAGGCTGGGGCAGGAGAATCACTTGAACCCTGGAGGCAGAGGTTACAGTGTGAGCCGAGATCACACCACTCCAACAAGACGGAAACTCTGTCTCAAAAAAATGAACAAACAAAAAAACCAAACATATGTTGGAATCCTAACCCCTAGTACCTCAAAATGTGACCTTATTTGGAAACTGGGTCTTTAAAGAGGTGACTAAGTGAAAACAAAGTCATTAGGATGGGCCCTAATCCAATATGACTGGTGTCCTTATCAGAAGGGAAAATTTGCATACAGAGACAGACATCACCCAGGGATAACGCTGTGTGAAGACTGGAGTGATGCTGCCATAAAGCCAAGGAAGCACCAGAAGCCAGGAGAGAGGCGTGCATGGGGTCTGCCCTGCATGTTCAGAGGGAGCGTGGCCCTGCCAGCACCTTGATCTCAGATTTCCAGCCTCCGGAAGTGTGAGAGTAAACCCGTAAACTACCCAGTTCATAGTACTTTGTCTCGGCATCCCAAACAAGCTAATACAGGGGTCAACCAAGGGAAATTGAGGGGGAGCCTTCTGTGAGGCTTTGAGGACATTCACCTGTGGGCCTTGGGGACTCTGGCAGCCCTCAGGAATGGGCCGTGAAGCAGACAACTGGGATTCCAGTTTTTCTCTCTCCTGCCACACCCACTCCTACTCACACTCCTCACTACCCTCCACCAGGATAGGTCTCCTTAAGAACCAGATCCATGATGCTTTGCTTTTGCCTTTTTGTCTTGTCTGTAAGCATTGTTGGAGCTTCAGGGCCGTTCTGACAGCTGTTTCACAGTGTAGAGTTGTTTCCATTGTAAATTACAGGTGGGAGTGCACCTCTGCTCTGGGCCTCACATCATATCCCATACCCCACAATGCATGGCTGTCCCACTTTACCCTACTTTTTCCTTTTGGGAACCTAGAACTCTAACCTGAAGGCTACATACTCTCTGAGAAAACCAGGACAGCTTTGGTGCTATAGTTTCAGCACATGGGTTTAAACAGAGCAGGGGCCGAGCTGCCCAGCTTAAACAGATCTGGAAGCCAAGGGACCTGGGAAGCCACATTTCCTCTTCCAATCCTCCCACGCAGTGGCGAGATTAAGCAGAGGGCTTTGCAAAGGAACTCCAGGAAAATACTGATAAATTGAAGAGCAATCGACAAGGCACTCAGGCTCCCTCCCTGAGCTCCACCCAGCCCCCTAAATTTGTGTCAAATCTTTTCTCTTCTCCGCATCAACTAAGCTCATGTGTGAATGGAAATGTTTCCGTGCATTAAAGAAAATCAATGAAAATATCTCAAAAACAATTTCAAGCTCCTCTTCCTCCCACAGGGTGGCAAAGCCAGACCCTGCTGTGCTGTGCAGGGGTGCCAAGGACAGCCAAACCCATGTAGGTGGCAGATTTCCACTGGAACAAAGCCACAGACCCTGACACATGCAGCTCACTTCTCTCTCCCAACACAGGACAGCATTCCACAAAGCCAGCCAGCCTAGAAAAATTCTAGCTCTCTTCCTATACCCCTTTTTAGTTTCATTCTTCAGTTCTATTTGTGTATAGTTTTTGCCCCTGACCCCTGAGTAGGGCATCTTTGGTTGCAGTTGAATGTTAGCACTGAGACAGACGGGGGCAGTATGCTGAAGGAAATTGCACAGATATGGAGTCTGTAGATCTAGGTTTGAACATCAGCTCTGCCACTAACTAGTTGTGCCAGTCACTTAACCTCTCTGCCTCTCAGGTTCCTCCTCTTTAAAGTCAGGATAGTTAAATAGATCATGCCTGGTTACTGTGAGTAGAAAATGAGATAATACTAGGTAGGACCCAGCACATAGTAAGTGCTCAATCAATGGCTAATTACCACCATTATTTTTGTCACCAAAAAAAGAGTTGAAGCCCAACAAATTGCTTACTGATCCCAGCTAATGGCAGCCCCTTTGAGAGCAGACAAAACCGGACAATGTGGATAACTTGGATGGGACCTTTTGCTGCTGGCTGAGGGAGAGCACTCTGGAGCACCTCTAGGAGGGGCATCATCAGAGGTGAAGAACAGCACACTTAAGCCACCAGAAGACACATTGAGAGGTTTACTTAACAGCCAAAGTAACTGCACTGAGGCAGTCAGGCCAGGGGGACATAGAGGAAGAAGGATAGGGAGTCACACGTGGCAGATGTCTTGGCTGAGAGAGAAAGTTCCAGAGAATGTGCGTGGGTTGGGGAACTGGGAGCTTGGGCTCAATTCAGAACAACCCAGCTCCCTTCCAGACGGGAAACGCAACACAAGAGCAGCATCCAGAGGGAGCCCCAGGAGACCCCGGTGAGCCGGGCCTGGCAGCCGAGCCACCTGCAGCTGGGGGGAGCTGAGTACACTCTGCCTGGCCTTGGAAGTAAAGCTGTTTCACCTGAGAGGGCTAGAAAACGCTCACCCCGGGGGAGGAAAAAGAAGATGGGATTTCTCCTGGGGTCGGAACAGGACCCGGCCAGCCAGAGACAATGGCTCCAAGAGCCTCAACAACTCCACCCCTGTTGACAAGGGAACTCAACACCCTGGAGATCGGCGTGTGAAATCTGTACTGGGGAAGAGAGTCCTCATTTAGCAGAGAAAGTGCTGTGCTATCTATGTGTGAAAGCTTTTTTAACACTGTTCCCTGCTCTCCATATGGCGAACTTCACCCAAATTAGGAGGAACTGATGAACAAAGCTCCAACGACTTGAAAATGAGAGCAAGTTCCAGGGGCCCATCCCAGAGTCAGCTGCCGCCCAGTGCTCAGGGTGGGTCTAGCAGGCCAGAGCACCCAGACGCCTCTCCTTGCACCCCTGCAACCTCACCCTTGGTCCCCAAATGCTCTCCTCAGGGCGAAGCTGTGTTCCCTCTCAGTGGATCAAGTCACCATCATCAATAATTAAAATACTAAGAATCACTACCCCCATTTAGTGTACAAGCACTGTGTTACACACGACCCTGGGCACCTTGCACATATTATTTCATGCACACACATCAGTTCATCCTCACAAAAACCCTGTGAGTAGGTGTCTTTATGCCTATTTAAGGTTGGCAAAACCCAAGACCCCACAGGAAGATTCAAATGCAGACTGCTCATTCACTCAAGGTCACAATCACGTTTCTCAGCATCACCCTCGTGCTCCAAGAGTAAGGCCAGGAGCGGGAGCTGGGGGTTTGCTCCCATGGAAGCTGGGGGGAATGGGGAGCTCTGTCCTTTCCCCTCAGTCAGAGAGCATGTGGCCGGGACCCCTGACAGTGTCACACCATGGGAATTTGTGGGGGCTACAAAATCAATGACCATCAGGTCTGGAAGGGAATTTAATGACCGGTATCACCTGCCTCATGGAAAAGTTAAGGTTCAGGGAAACAACACTGAGTTGTAAAGTATGTTAATAAAACAGCCAAGACCCAACTCACCTGTGTGTGTTCTATGACAGCATAAAGATGTCCAGAAAAAGAGCAACCTCTCCTGTTCATCCTCTACCCTGACTTCTCCCTAGTCCTGGCTGAATGAGGGAGCCCGCCCGAAAGCAGGCCTACTTTACTTGACCCACCCTGCCCCCAACCTACCTCTCCACTAGTCTCCCCCATCCCCGACCCCATTTGAACGCAGCTGTTTCTGACTGCAGTTCCCACCACCTCCCTTCCCACATTGCCTCCCTCCAGCCGCACCCCGAGCCCCCACTGGCTTTCCCCCAGGGTCTGGGGGCTGCACCTTCCCCATCTCTTTCCTTCCAGCCTCCCTGGCTGAGTATAGCAGGACAAAAGGAAGCTCGATGCAAAGATTTTTAGTATGTTTATCTCGGTTATTGTATTATTTACAGCAACTCCGCGCTGTGCCCGGGGCATTGCGTGGTTTGAAAGACGCTATACAAACTAAAATTGTGTGGCATTGTTTGTTCCTCCACATTCTGTGAGAGAGAACCAATCTAGTAATCACTGTTTTTGCTCCTCAAATCAGGGACGCTCCATTTTGTGTGCATGGTGACTAATCTGGAAATAAAGATTCGTAGCAAATGTATAAGGAGCTCTGGAAGCGGTTGGGGCCCGGCGAATGAAAGAAAGGCAGCGAGGAGGAGGAGGAAAGACCGTGGAGGTGATGTTGATGAGGGCCCGATGGTCCCTCTGAGGAGGGACAGTAGCCCATCCCTGGGGTGGTGGGAAGTGCCACATCACATATCTGTTCCCGGCAGACAGAACAGACCCCGGGGAGCACTTTGCCCCAAAGTGCACAGGGCCAGCTGCAGTCCACCTGCAAACCTCACTGCGGCTAGGTCTTCACCCCAAGGTCAAATTCTCTGGAGCTGGAGCTCACCCTTTCAGAACATAAGCCAGGGGAGGTGAGTGAGGAGGAGAGGAGAGGCTCAAACCATGGCTAGGAATGACCATGTGCAGACCCCAGTCCCTCTTCAAGGGCATGGCAGGAAGAGGGGAGTGGAAGGGTAGTGCCCAGGGTCTCTGGAGCTGGCCAGATGGTTTCTGGCACCATCCTTCTGCTCTCAGGCCCTCGCCCAGCATAGCAGACCCCAGCCTGACTAGCTCATGTTCAGTCCCAGCGGAGGCACGACACCAGGGTCTGGGTGTGGCAGTGGGACTGTGACAGGGGAGGCTTGCATTTGTGAGTTCACTGGAAGCATTTCCTTGGGAAAGGGGTGAATCTGGACTCACAGCCCAGCCCCGGCTTACCACCCCAGTGCCCTCTGATTTTCACGCTACCCTTTCACTCGCCCTCCCACAGCGTGATCCAGCCACACTACTCACAGCCTGCCTTTACTGGCCAAGCCAGGCCTCTTGGTCACTCTCTATCTAGCTTTGCCCTTCAGCCTGCCCAAATCCTATGCATTCTCCAATGTCCAATTCAGAGATCACTTTCTCTGTTACACTTCCATCATCCCCCAAGCCCCATGGCAAGATGACTCAGTCACCATGAAGCCCTAGATCTTCAATTTGTAGGTCTGCAGAGTGCCTACAGTGACCTCTGAAACAGAGGCCTGTGGGTTTGCCCCCATGGGAGCACATTCCTGCAGGACAGAGACGGGCATGCTCTTGTCTTCAGCATTCTTCCCCTCAGCATCCAGCAGAGTGCCGGGTGCATGCGTGGGAGCCTGGGAGATCCCCCGGCACTTTCACACCCACCTCAACACCCTCACCCCGGGTGACACAGGGCCAGGTCTGAAGCAAAGGGGAGGTGGTCATGAGGAATCAGCTCTTGGTACAAGATTTTGCTGACTTCTCCTTTCCAGAGCTTCTCCGTCAATTTCCAGGTTGTGCTGTAAGTTAACAATCCCCAAATAGTTCACATTCTCTCCCTTTGCCAAGTATGAGCATGTCATCTGCCGAGTTAAACTGCAACCAAGTCACACAGCAATTTAACCGGTCTGAAGCATGAGGCCTCATCATCCATTACCATGAGCATTTAGAAGCGAGGTAATTACAGGCTGCATTCCTGAAGCCCGAGGCTCCACAGCTACAATCCTGGAGTTTTTTATAATAATGGTGATAGGGAGGGGTCCCAGGGATTCCATTTCCAGACTGTTCACATTGGCATTAAAGAACCCCGCAGGAAGGGACTGGGGACAGTGCTGCCCCTCTCAAGGTCAACTCTACCCCAGGAGGAAGCCCTGGGCTGAGCTATCCCATCCCTACCGCTTCGCCCTTGAGGGGCTGGAAGTGAAGCTGCCCAAGGGCAGGGATGGTTCCTTCAGTTTCTCTTGTCCCCAATCCCAGTCCTGCCCCACCTCGGATTGTACAGAGAAGCCGACCCCTTTAGCTTGTCACCAAATGACTCAAAGCAGAACCGAGTCCTCTTTGCTCCAAGAATGAGGAGCTGTAGGAAAGAAGAAGACTTACCCTCACCACAACAAAGTTGAAGCCCCAGCACTGGAGAGCTATTATGGAGCTTTCCAGATCCCACTTTCAAAATGCAAATACCCTCTTGAGAAATCCATGTGATCATTGGTAATAATATGATTAAGTTGGTATGAATTGCGATAGCAGCTTCTTTCCACCTCACTGGAACAGTATCAGCCTTAGGAAAAGTGTTTGGCCCCTGGATGAAACATAGGAGTAGACACAGTAAAAAAAGTGGAAGAAATAAATGGCACAGCTTTGCTCATAGTAAACCTTGAGTTAATAATGAGTTAATTGATCACTGGATGACTCGCTGATTAAGCAATGAATGGGTCACTGGATAGAATAGGTCCAATTTTCCACTCTACCTTTTCCAGTGAAGAAGCCAGTGCTAAGCCCTCTGGCCTCCACACCCACCCCAAAGAATCAGCAATCCCAGGGGTCTCATTGGGTAGAGCACCACTGTGTGGGGGAGGCAGGAAGGTCTGGTCCTAAAGCCCCAGGTGAACACGCTGTTCTGAGGTTTTCCAAGTTATGGAAAAGACCACCTCTGCCCCCACCCTGCCCCCCAACTAAAACCCCCTCCTGCTTCCAGTTACCCATCTAAATCATGGCTGGTCTTAGAAGATCTTTCAAAGATTTTATTTTACTCCATTTATCCATCAGTTTCCTAGGGCTCCCATAACAAATGACCTCAAACCAGGTGGCCTGAAACAATGGAAATTTATTCTCTCACAGCTCAGAAGACAAGAAGTATGACATGCAGGTGGTCAGAAGGGGCTGGTCCCTCCTGGAGGCTCTGTGGGACAATATGCCCCGTGCCTCTCTCCTACTTTCTGGTGGCTGTTGGCAATCCTTGGTGCTCCTCAACTAGTAGAGGCATCACCCCAATCTCTGCCTCCTTCTTCACATCACCTCCTGCTCTATGGCTCTCTGTTCTATCTCTTGTGAGGACACTCATGGGATTTAGGGCTTACTCCAACCTAGTATGTTCTCATTTTGATCCTTACCTTAATTATATCTACAAAGACCCTATTTCCTTTCCAAATAAGGTCACATGTGCAGCCGATCTCCAGGTGCACATGAATTTTGAGGGAGGACACTATTCAATCCACTCATCTTCTTAAAGCCAAACAGCAAGAGATGAACTTGGTGCCATCATAACAAGAAGAGTAAATGATGAGGAAAGTTTCTTGGGAGTGAAAGGCGTTGGTAAGGTCCCTCTGACAGAAGCTTTCCAACTCTGCTCAGCTCACCTTCCCCCATCCCCACCTCCAGGCCTGTCAAAATCAGAGTATGAATGGCAGGGGTGAGGGGAGATGGTCATTAGGTCTCACCACATCAGGAAACTGAAAGTGAAGACCCCTGGGTAAGGTCAACCACAGAGGACAGACAGACCTCCTGGCTTTTATCCTCGGAGTCAGCCAGGCCAACATCATTTTTAGCTTCCCCTGTGGTCTCCTAAGTATCTCACTGAGCTATGCCCTGATCCTGCAAATCCATTTCTGGCTGTCTTTGTGAGTCATGCTGTGGTAGACAGCCTCCAAGATGGCCTCAGTGATTCTGGGTTCCTGGTCTTTATGCACTGTGTGGTCTTTTCCACTGATAGAGCTGACCTGTGTAAACAATAGGATAGCACAGAAATGAAGAAGTGTGATTTCTGAAGCTAGATCATAAAAGATACCACCTTCTGCTTTGCACTCTCTTGGTTCATATGCTCTGGGGGAAGTCAGCTGCCATGTTATAAGGATACTCAAGTAGCCCAATGAGGATGTACGCATGGATAGAAACTGAGGGCGCCTGCCAGTAACCAGCACTCACACTTGCCAGCCACATGAGTGAACTATTTTGGTGGTAGATTCTCTAAATCTAGCACAGCCTTCATAAGACTGCAACCCCAGGCAACCATGAGTACAACCACATAAGTGAACTACCCAGCTAAGCCACTCCAACCTCCCAGCTCCTAGAAATTGTGTGAGATAATGTGTTTATTATTGTTTTAAGACACTAAGTTCTAGGGTAGTTGTTGTGCCTCAATAGACAACTAAGGCAACTACAATTAACAATAACTTATTATATATTTCAAGATAACTCAAAAAGTGGAATTGGAATGTTCCTAATACAAGGAAATCATAAATGCTTGAAGTGATGGATACCTCAATTACCCTGATCTGATCATTACATGTATACTTCTATCAAAATATCACATATATCCCATAAATATGTATAACTATGCATCCATTAAAAATTTTCGAAAGTAGATAACTAATACACATACTCCGTCACATCGTCATTCATTCATTCAATGAACATTTACAGAGCAAACAAAATGAGACAGACATTCTTGAGAAAAAATGTTTAACATGTTTAAGATCCTCAAGGATCTTAAAACATAGTTAAGAGGAAAAGATTATAGACCCAAGTCAGTCAAAGAACGTTGACCAAAGCCTGCTGAATTTAAGAATATGGAGAAAGAGCACTGTGGCTGGGGGGAGTGTTTCTCAGCTGTCAACAGAACACAGTGACTTCAGGAGAAAAGACATTTGTGGGAAGGAACATGGGAAGCTCACAGAGGCAATGGGAATAACAGAGAAGCAGCCAACTTGCAGAGCAGGAGGCAGGAGCTGAGGACGCAGCCACTGCATCCCTGGGTATAGTCAGGCCAGTGGCCCCTGGCCACTCCTGTCACCCACTGGACATGCACAGACTCCACTGGATGCTCATTGCTCTCCCCAGATTGAAAGTCCATCAAACTGGCCAAGACTACATCACTTGCCTGTGCATCAATACCAAGAGACAGGCAGGGCACATCTGCCCCCACTACAGCTTCTGAAGGGAAAGCAGGGACCGCTACAAAATGTGTGAATTGCCCCTAAGCAGGAAACATACAGAAATGTCAAGAAGCCACTGCAGAGAGGGAAGGGTCACTTGGGGCATGACGTAAGGTGGTCAGGAACTAGACCATTCTTCTGCTTCCTCAGGCTGGGCCCCCAGCATGCTCAGTTTCCTCATCAAAGAAATGGCACAAAAGTGTCTTCTCCCTCTCTCCTTTTCTACTTCCTTGCCCTAAATGTGAAGCCTTCTTTCTCTAATAGAGAAGGATGGATCTAAGACAGATGGTTTAAACTAGAATTAGTTTCCTCAGATGGAACTTAATAAAGATTTTCCTGATAGATAGGAATGCCACACCATGGCCTGTCAAGTACATAAAACGGGAACTTAGTGGTCTCAGCAGGAATCAATGATGCTGACAATATGATGGGGAGCAGACCAGGTCCACCCTCTGCCCACCCAGGCTTCCAGAGGTGGTTGGTTGTAGCAGCCATTCTGTGCCTGCTATGAAAACAAGTGGGAACATTGGAAGTGAGCAAAAAGACTTCTGAACACCCACAAAATATGCAGGGAGGCCAATATGATACACTGTGCTAATCTGCAGCATAACCAACTCACCAAGCCTCTTGCTGTGGCAGAGGAGGGCTGCCACACTCTCACCCCACGCCCATTGGTGCAGCAGCCAGAAAGGAGCCCTTAGGTCTAATGCAGTCCCTGGCTTCTCTGAAGCACTGCCCCCAGCTGTGCCCAACCTACTCCACCTCTAAGCCCAGGCTGTAGAAATGCACCCATTTTTAATTACCCAGCGCCCCCAGGAACTCCTCTTTGACCACTTCAGCCTGATAGCCCACAGCACTGTCCAGCTGTGTCACCCACTTCAGCAATTAATGACATGTCACCTTGAAGGCTTGCTGCATCATGAGCTAACCCACCCAGCCAAAAAAGACCAATGTCTATCAGCCTGGATGCCCAGGGGTACCCATCTCTCCACTCAGCAATGATGTTGGCCAAGGTCAGAAAGCCTTGAGAATCCCAGTGTCTCCCATCCAATTCAAGCTACAACACCCGCTCCACCCTGGCAAGTCTGAGCTCTACAAAGGCCCAAAGCAGTACTTCTAATGTTCTCTCTGCAACTTTGAGCAAAAGCCCGATGGCCTACTGTATCACAAGAGATGAGGGACATCACCTCCCAAGGGCTTGCAGCAACTCAGAAACAACTTCATGCCACAGCACCTCCCTCTCGGCCAGGTGGGTCTTCACCTCTGCCACACACCTGTGCTCACAGCTGCTTTGTGCTTCTTCCTCATGTGACTTTCCTCAGCCTCTAAAATCTGGAAATCCTTATCATTATATTAAGAAGGCCTTCCGTAAAGACAGGACTAGAGAGTCAAACAACAAGTGAATGAGCAGGGTGGAAAAAGAGATGAGTGGATGGCAGCCATCAGGATGAAGGCTGCGTGCTCTAACCTCCTGTCACCCCTCCTTGCTTATCTTGTGCCTTCCTCTCCATCCTGGTCCTGCCATCATCCTGGGGGACTTCACAGGTGTAAGGACAACCCTTCGTTGCTTCAGCCTCATATCCCTTGACCATCTCCATTCCATCGACTCTGACCCCTTCCAACCCTCATCTCATCTTTTCAACATCTTCAGTCTGAAAAGTCAATCCCCTGCTCTGATCACAGTCTCTTATTCTTTTCCTCAATTTCCCTTTTTTAAAAAAAAAAATCACTGGCACTTTCTGTCCCTGACAAGTTAACTTCTCTCCATTGATCAGCTCCCTTCCGGCTTCACATCCTTCCCTTTCTGAGACCTCACAGTCCACCCCTTCAATCACTTCCTCACCATTCTCTGTGAGGCCTGTGTCCATGACTTAAAGTCTGAACTGGGATCCATCAAACTCCCCTGCTCCTGCAGCCAGGTTGCTGAGGCTGGAGAAACCCACACCATCTTTTGAGCTGGACTCCCCATGAATCTGTGGCCTCCAAATTCAATCCTTCCACCAAGTCCTCCCTCTCCATCCTCTTCAACAACCTTTCTTGATATTTTCTCTCTCCTTAAAACCCCTCCCCTACCACTTTCCCCTCACTGGATCTTAGCCCCAATGCCTTCACAAAGACTTTGGAGGCCCTGGAACAAGCACTCCCTAAGCTTCCTCCCCATCACTGACCTGCCTCCACCTTAGCCTGGCCTTTCTCCTTCCTTCTGCTTCCCTCATCTCATCTGAGGCAGACCCTTCCACCTGGGCTCTGGATCTCACCCCCTCTCATTTCCTCAGGGGCCACATTCCATCCGTCACTTTCCCCCTCTCCTGTCTCTTTGGTCCCTTTCTGCTGCCTCTTTTCCACTGGTATGCATCCTAAACATGCTCAAGTCTCTCCATTGTTTTGTTTTGTTTGAGTCACAGTCTCACTCTGTTGCCCAGCTGGAGTGCAGTGGCATGACCACAGCTCACTGCAGCCTCAAACTCCTGGGCTCAAGCAATCCTTCCACTTTAGCTTCCCAAGTAGCTAAGACTACAGCCACACTTGGCTAGTACTTTTTAATCTTTTTAGAGACGGGGCTCTCACTGTGTTGCCCAGGCTGATCTCCAACTCTTGGCCTTAAGCAATCCTCCTGCCTCAGCCTCCCAAGTGGCTAGGATTACAGGCGTGAGCCACTGCACCCAGCCCAGCAATTATAACACTGTAGTATCATAAACAAATCACCTGTCTGTCTTTCCCTGTTGGCTTATAAGCTCCTTGAAGGTAGGACCCTATATAAATTCAACTTTATATATTTCAACAGTTCCTGGAACATGACAGATCCAGCCCTGTTACACAGAGCATGCACTAAACACATTGGAGCCATTGAGCAGACCGAACAGAAATGGAAAACAGCACCCATTCACAAAGTATTGTCATTCTGCTTTGCACGTGATCCCAAATCTGAACTTTCAGTTCAACTATTTTCTTATTCAGGTCCACATACACTTGGTGTTCCTTTTCTTTCAACCACAAATCAGCTAAGCTGAATACTAAACATACTTTCAGAGCTGCCTGAACCTGCCTCATGTTTTTTTTCTGCCTCTGTGCCTCCCTCACAAACAGTCTCCACACCCCTGTCCTTGTCCCTCTGGCCAAAGATCAGTCTTCATCCAAAACCAACTAAAACAGAGCCTCTGAAAAGGCATACCTGGCCTTCCTCAGTCAGAACCACCTCCCCTTCCTCGCATTCCTTAGCACTTTGCCCCTGGTCTGTCACGGCATCCCCACAACGTATTAGGTTGGTGCAAAAGTAATTGCGGTTTTGGCCATTGAAAGTAATGGCAAAAACCGCAATAACTTTAGCACCAACCTAATACTTTGCACTTGGTTGGTTGCACGGGCTTCTAGAGGACAAGCGTGGGACCTGCCCTGGAAAGGCAGTAATAATCGTGTGGCACCAGGTTGAACGGAAAGCAGTGAATCCACTCCAACGTGCTCTTTACATCATCACTCCTCCGCTTTCCACCTTCTCAAGCAGCTCCAGGAGGCCTCTAAAGAGGCCTTGAAGGACAAGTTCTTCACCTCTTGAGCAGAGGAAGACCTTCCAGTGAAATTACCAGTGCTATGAGGGGATACACCAAAGAACAGGAGAAAAGAGATGCGATAGTTCTCTACCGTTCTGTAAGGACCTGAGAGGGAAAGCCATGTTTTTCCTCCTTTGCCTCTGTAGTATATGGCACAGTGCAGAATATGACTTGCTAGATATCACACTGTGTGCTCCATAAATGTGGTTATTGAACAAGAATAATAATACAATCCTTCCCTAAGAAATTATGAAAATATGTGTGTATATGTGTGCATCTGTGTGTATGGAGAAACAGAGAATGAACTGACTTATGCAATTACAGGCTCCGACAAGTTCAAAATCCATAGGGCAGGTAAGTCTGAAATTTGTAGGTAAGGTCAAGAAGCTGGAAGAGCAGATGATAGTTGGTGCCGCAGTCTTGAGGTAGAATTCCTCCTCCAGGATACCTCAGTTTCGGCTTAAAGTCTTCAACTGATTAGATGAGGTCCATCCAAATTTTCAAGAGTAACCCCCTTTACTTTAGGTGCTAATCACATCTATGAAATACTTTCACAACAATACCTAGATTTGTATTTGATGAAATAACTAGGTACTGCAGCCTAACCAAGTTGATACATAAAACTAACCCCCACACCCTGGAAGATGAGATGATCAATGGAAACATCCAGAAGGATATAGGCACATGCCACCAACCTTGCCCATCAGCAGTGAAGGGGTGCGAGGCCCTGCATCATGGTAAGCTACACAAGAGCACCATTTTTCCTGGCATATGGACCATCTGCTGAGTGTGACTTTAACCTTGAGCTTTCCACTAGCCAAGTCACCCAGCCTGATTGTGGCTAGATTGGGGAAAGACCCCCAAGTTTAAGAGAGAGCCAGGTACATTCTGACATTATAAGGACAGAAGAATGAATGTCCTGGTGTCTCCCTGTGCTTCCAGCAGTAAAAGGTGAGTCCTTGAGGACACTCAGATTAAGATCACTGATGGAGCTTCCATATCTGTAGCTATGGGAATTCATTCAATAAATTTTTATTAAGCATCTATTATGTGTCAGGCTGTACTCTAAGGGCCACGTATACAACCATGAGCAAAACTAAAAAAGTCCTTACCTCATGGAGCTTATATTGTAGCAGGTCAGGTTTCACTCACCTGAAAAACACATGCAATCATATGGACTGTCCAGTCAGAACACATATCTCTTCCATGCAGCCCACAGGACCTTTTACTCATCTAGAAGGGCCAAACTCACATAGACCAACAAAAGGCAAGAAGAGCCCTACTTAGAAAATGAGATGTTCACAAAGAAGACTCCAAAACACTAGAACAAAAATGTATATGAGAGGAGCAATGTTAAATGCACAGTATGTTTGCCATAATCTTAAGTAGTCAAATAATCAAAGGGTGTTTATTAGGCATCTTCAATGTCTCAGAAAAAATAAAGTTCCCACGGTCTGCTTTCATTTTGGATACCTGTCAAAGCCTTGGACAACAACAGGCAAGCTACTTCAGGTAGTGCTAAGCCCCTTCCAAATTGTGGTTGTGGATGTCAGGGATGATTTCCGCTCACTCTCAGTCCCTTCTTCTCCCTCCTTTAGTCCTTCACTTTCACTTTTATGCAGAAGGGAATGAGCAAAATCTAGGGCCCCTTTAATCCATTCCATAGGGGTATAGGGGCTTCCCAAGTAATTTACTCCAAAGAATCATGCCGCCCTTTGTGCCCTCTCTCGCTTGTGCACTCTCTCTCTCTCTGCGTGTGTGTGTGTGTGTGTGTGTGTGTGTGCGCGCGTGCATGTAATATTACACATACACTCTATATCCCAGAAGTCCCAAATCCAGTGAGAAACCCAGATGCAGTCCTGGAATTCAACCACTGGCACTTGGTAGAGTGAGTCCACCTGTAGGATGTCAGGCCTCCGGGTAGGACCTTGGGGGCTGGGGCCCAGGCTCCTTTCTCCCACACCTGGGCCAGCAAAGGCACCTCAGCACCAGGACTCCCTCACCCTCTGAGATGCTCCAGCCAGGCCTTGCAAGTGAATGAACTGGGTAAAAGTCCCAGCCCTATGTGACTTTGGGAAGTTAAGGTCAAGCCTCAGCGCTCTCATTTGTAAAATGACGATAATCATGCCCTCTCAGGATCAGCCGAGGACTCAGTGTAACAATGTGGCACGATACTCAGCCCAATGCAAAGGGCCATAGCAAGGACTCCATCAGTAGGGCTGCCTCATCATCATTCCTAAGTCATCCCCATCACAATAGCTTAGTGCTGTGTTAAAGGGCTGTCAGGTATTTGAGGGGTAGAGAGTGAAGGGGTTGCTGTTGCTGGCTGTTTGTTTTTATATGACCCCTTCAACACTTGCAATCCATTAGAAGAGTTGTGATTAAGCAGATAAGTCAGGGAAGTGATTAATCCAACAGTGCCCTCTCTTCTAGGGGTGATAAAACAAGGAGCTCTTTACACACGAGCAGCTCCACCTCTCCAGGGGCCTCCCATCCCACCTTTCCTCTGACCTCCAGGGAAAGTCTGGTGGCCATGCCATTAGTTCATGTGGCTAGTCACATGTTCATTGATCCTCCCAGTTCTATAAAGTATCTGACCACAATCTGAAAGAAAGGAAAGGAAAATCTAAAAACTCTAAAAAAAAAGGAAAGGAAAAAAATGCAACTGAAAAATAAACTGAGCAAATAGCCCTTTATCTGCTACCATCATCAAACTTCCAGTCCAGCTTTTAGGCCCATGCCCATGAGAGAGCATCTCAGGGTCGCATCCCTCCTGCAGCCTGCTCACCAGACTCCTAAACATTCCAGGTGGGTCACATACACTCCGACCCCACAGTGGAGCCAGTGGAAATTCACCAGCCCCATTCCTGCTCACTCCGGGTCACTGGCCCCTCCATCTGCGTCAGCTTTTCTGACTGGGCAGCTCCTGTTTTCCAGGCAGTGTGCTGCAACCCCAGAGGGCAGACACCTCGGGACTCACCCTGTGGTCTCACTTTCCAGCATCGGGCCCCCTGGATGCTCTCCAGCCCCAGCAGGTGAGGAGTGACCCTTGACTCCTCCCTTAGCCGGGTCGGAGGAGGCTTCACCGCCATGGCCCCACACTGCCCATTTCTTCCACATCCTTTGCCCCTCTCAGAGTCCTCCTATACTCCCACCTACTTATGGCATGCCACTGGTTCATGTGTCTGTCATTCTGTCTGGATACACGCTCTTATACAAGAGGAAAGATGGGCAGAAAGAGCCCAGACTTTCACTGAAAAAGACCCCACAAGTCTCCCGAACCTCAGTCCTGGCCATTCTTGTCAAACATTCATCCGAGAGAACCAGATTGCTGCTGCTACTGCTGCTGCTGAAATTAATGGAATCTGGCAGGAAAAGCTTTTGTTTTTCCAATCCAGGATTTTGCCAAGCAAACACAGGGATCTTGTTGAAAATGGCTGCTGTTGAGGAGTCGATTTCAGTGCAATATGGAAGCTCCCACCACACCACCCTAACCCATGCACACCACATACACAGGCACTGACTCCTGTCCTCAGAGATGCTGGTGAATTTTTTTTTCATGCAAATAAAATGTTAAACAGGAACCTTTCAGGATCCCTGCCATGGACAATAAGCAAGTGCCAATTCCCCTTCTCTCCAATGGCAGCGGCTCCAACCCGACATTTTGTGACTTGGAGTTGCTGATTACAGGTTCAGCGGATTCGAGCCAGGGAACCTGGAGAAAATCCTGTTGCCTTGAAGGATTTCTATCCTCCGTATCCCAATGCCTATCAACCGGGCCTGAGGTTCTAGTGCCCAAATGGGTAGCCCTACTGGCACTAAAAGGATAGATAGACATGGATTGCATCAAAAGTGCACTCTGATTTCCCAGGTGAAGAAAGAATCCCTTTTCCACATGCCTTGAATAGGTCAAAACTGCCATGGTCTCCTCCCCCTCACTTTTCCACCTGGTTTCATCCCACAGATAGAGCCGAAAGAGGGATTGGGTTACGCCGCAGAATTGAAAGGTGGCGTTTGTGCCTCCACCTCACTCCACCACAATCTGTCCCCACCCCATTGTTTTAGGAGATCTGCAGAGTCACCCCTATGGAGGTTTTTGTTGAAACAGAAACTCTGCATGGCTTAAAAGGAACTGAATTAAGTAGGAGTGTGAACTGAACACAGCATTTGTTTTCCATTAGTATCATTTGAGAAGAAAGAAAGAAGCCAGTGAAGGGGAAATGGGAGGCCGTGGGTGCCATCTTTGGCAACAGTCAGTTCACAGGTAGCTTTGGAAATGTGGCTTTACCTTTAAATCCCTTGAAATAATCCCAGTCCTCACTGATCTCTAGGTACAGCCACAAAAGTGAATAGTCAATTAAACATTGCTTCACCCGCCACCTGGTGTGGCAGGTCATGGCATCCCAATGAGACAGAAAGAGCCTCCTAGGAGGAGACAGTGTCTTGAATGTCCCATTGGTCCTCACGTAGCATGGATTCACTAAATGTTTGTGGAAGGAAGAAAGAAAAGAAGGGAGGGGAGGAGGAATGTAAGAATGAAAAAGATAAAAAATATTTGGTGATTTGTCAAATGAAAATAGTGGTAATTATCTCTCACTGAACACAGATAAGGAGAATCCTGTAGCATCCACACTGTTGGAGCTCCCCGCTAGGTCCCCTCTACCTGGCCAGTGCTCCCATCCCCCAGCTGCTGTGAATATTGGCCCACAGCTGCCTCCTTGCTCAAAGAACTTCCTTCAACAGAACAGCAGCCACCTCAACCCCAGTGTAAACCCCCGCCGAAGGCAGCCCACGGCCAATACCTGACTGACATGAAGGTGGAAAGGCAGCCCCCTTGCCTCAAGGTGGGCCCCACTCACTGGTGTTATCTACGCACAGGAGCTCCCTGTGGCCCAGGCTGAGGCAGGTCTCCAGCTGAGATCATCCCAGCCCCCGCGACTATCCACATCCTCGCTTAGGGCCTTCTCAGCTCTACCCAGCCTCCCTCATCTGCCTTCTCCTAGGACAGCCTCCAATTAGCCAGGTGTACCCCAATCCCTATGGCAAGCTCTGCCTCACGAGAACCCAAACTAAGACACAGAGATCCAGTTAGGAAAGAGCAGAAGGGAGCTCCCTCCTCCAGTTCAGTTTTCTCATGATAGGAATGGCAGGCCTCACCCATACATGGATTATTTCTAAATTAATTAATTTTGGGTGTGATGGTGTGTGTCAGAATGATAGAACTACCCCTTTTCCCCCAGATAAGTGTTTATGCATCTATAAAAATGAACTGGCACCTCCATCTTGATTGACATATTTGGTGGAACCAACTAGCTCACATACTATTAAGAAACGGGAGGAGCACGTGAACATGGGTGAGCTAGGAGAAACCCTCAATGAGTGTTCATGCTATGGGGAGCTGCACCTATTTCATCAAGGCTGCAAATAGGAAACAGATGGCACACTCAAATCAGTCTAATTTGATGAAGGTCTAATATAGGAACCATTTTTTAAAGACGTGGGCAAGGTAAAGGGAAGTCACAAGGCATTGGTATCATAGCCAAGGCTCGTAACAGAGGAGCTGTTACTATCCTCGGCCTAAAGGGATGAAGGCAGAGGGAGTAGCCACAAGAAAAAAAGAGAGTCCTCGACACAGCCTGAGGGCACCCCTCGGGGAGAGAGCCAGGAAAAGTACCCAGATCTCACCCACTTTCTTCCCTCTGTCTCCCAGCAGGACTCCCCAGTGAGAAGCCAGAAGGCCCAAAAAGTCTCCTGAGCTGAGAGGAGAGTTGAAAAGCGTGGCAAGTGGATGGAGAGGAACAAACACAAGATAGCCAGCTTCTTGAATGTTTTATATTTTTAAAATATTTTTAATTAAAAAGTGTATTTTTTTTTGAGACGGAGTCTTGCTCTGTCGCCCAGGCTGGAGTGCAGTGGTGCAATCTTGGCTCACTGCAAGCTCTGCCTCTCGGGTTCACGCCATTCTCCTGCCTCAGCCTCCCTCGTAGCTGGGACTACAGGCACCTGCCACCATGCCTGGCTAATTTTTTTTTTTTTTTTTTTTGTATTTTTAGTAGAGACAGGGTTTCATTGTGTTAGCCAGGATGGTCTCTGTCTCCTGACCTTGTGATCTGCCCGCCTCGGCCTCCCCCACCCAAAAAAAGTATATTTTTTAATTACCCCGTGATGTGTTCTCAAATTCAGAATGATCTCAAGTGCATTCTATTATTTTCCAACATGTCAATATTCAACTCTTCAGACACCTGTAGATCTCCTTATGAGTTTATTGGAAAGAACCCATTGAATCAATCCATTCTCAGGCACATACCTGTTCATTCAACATCATACGTATTTGCCATACACCAGAGCAAGAGCTGGGGATATAAAAATGAACAAGACAGATACATCTCTTAACTCCATGGAACTTAGAGCTTTCCTTCTCCTGTTCTACCTGGAACCTCCCTACCTGTGAAAAGTTAGATCTCAGTTCTCCTCATTATTCCCAGAGTCATTTTAGGACCCTCAATATCATCAGGATTCAATGGGATGTTGGAATCTGTGTGCAACAGGTAAGTTATGGGTGCTAGACAAAGCCTAATGCGGAAGCCTGTGCCATCTGAAGAGGTTGAGGAGGGGGTGTGTGAGTATTTCCTGGGACTTAGAGGTACCACGGCCACTAAGTGGCCAAAGGCAGTGTCAGCTCCTGCACCACCAGCTGGCGGCATCTGGGAGGCCTGGTCACCTGGGTCCTTGTCTTCCTCCCTTACTAGACTGTCAGCACATTGAGGCTGCCTGGCACCATGTTTGCTAAAAGAATAAGTGAGTGGCTCAAGGCCCAGTCCTGTCATAAGATCTGAAGAGCCATGTCTGTGACACCACTCCTGGCTCCTTGGGAGGAATTTGATAAACACTCATTCAATTATACTAACCTGAATTTTTTAAAAATACACTCAGGCCAGGTGTGGTGGCCTACACCTGAAATCCCAGCACTTTGGGAGGCTGAAGCCAGAATTCCAGACCAGCCTGAGCTAGTATAGTGAGATCTCATCTTTACAAAATAATTTAAAAATCAGCCAAGCATGGTGGCACACACCTGTAATCCCAGCTACTCGGGAGGCTGAGGTTGGAGAATCACTTGAGCCCAGGAGATAGAGGCTGCAATGAATTATGAGCACACCACTGCACTCCAGCCTGGGTGGCAGAGTGAGACCCTGTCTCAAAATAAATAAATAAATAAAGTAAGTAAAAATAAAAATAAAAAATACACTCAAGAAACAAATATACACAAAAAGAGCTCTGATACAAAGGTAAGAGCTCAGGGATGCCATCGCAGCTGTAAAGCAAAGTTGAAGGCCCAAGGAAGGAGGTGGTAGAACAGGCTGGGCCCACTCTGGAGAGAGTTCCGGTGGGGATGGGAGACATTTCATTTATTAGTAAGTTAATAGTGTGATGGGGCACATGACATCTCCTCCCACATTTCCATCTTCAGGTTCCGTGAAAATTCAGGTTGCAGGAGAACATAGACAGCACACTCCACCGGCCAGGGGGCCCACCATAGTGACCACAACTCCAAACAACTCAGCCCCAACAGTATTGTGAAAACATCTGGGTGTCAGTGGAAAGAGCCCTGGTCATTGTGGCAGACAGACCTGGCTTTTAATTCTGGCTCAGCCACTTGGCTGTCATTGATCTTGAGCAAACCCCCTTAGCCCCTCTCTATCTCAGCCTTCAGATCTCAAAAGACAGGTCTGATGCCTTCCTTGCAGGCTGTTTGAGTAATTCATAAAATAATCCATGTCAACGTACCCAGCACGTGCCTTCTGTGTAGTGGATGCTCAATAAATACCCACCTAAGCAGAGGAAAACCAAAAAAGATAGCCAAGAAGGAAGTCTGAAAAACTCTCATGGTTCCAAGGCTCTAAGCATGGCCCTGGACCCAACCCTCAGCCCACTCCCCATCTCAGGCTGTCTGTTAAGTTGTTATTTTGATTTGTTCATTAAGATAAGAACAAAAGGGGACGAGCACGGTGGCTCACACCTGTAATCCCAGCACTTTGGGAGGCCAAGGCGGGTAGATCACTTGAGGTCAGGAGTTCGAGACCAGCCTGGCCAACTTGGTGAAACCCCATCTCTACTAAAAATACAAAAGTTAGCCAGGCACGGTGGTGTGTGCCTATAATCCCAGCTACTCAGGAGGCCGAGGCAGGAGAATGGCGTGAACCTGGAAGGCGGAGCTTGCAGTGAGCCGAGATCGCGCCACTGCACTCCAGCCTGGGTGACAGAGCGAGACTCTGTCTCAAAAAAAAAAAAAGAGAGAAAGAAAAAAGGCAGGCAAGATAGATGTTTCCAACAATGTAAATATAGAACAACAGGGAACTTGGTGTCAGGACACCTGGGTTCCAGTCCCAAAGCTGCTGCTAATTAGTAGGACCTTGCGCAAGTCACCTGACCTCTCTGGGCTTCAGTTTCCTCATCTCTGGAAGGGGCAGGGACAGGGGTGTCTGGCAGGGAAGAGAACTAGGGAAACAGATTAAGCTGGATGATCCACAGATCTTCCAGACCAAAAATTGTACATTGCTATAGCATCAATGAATAAATGGATGGGAAAACATTTGTTCATTCAGTCATTCCTTTGAATTAATCAATAAATATATATAACTACAAATTGATTTCAAGTTCAAGAGAAAAGTTACAATTTTCATTTCACTACCACCTGTTCTCTTATGGTCGAGCTCAATAAATGTGGTTTCGTGGCTGGGTAGTTTCTCTTCGGTAGCTCTTCAACCCCCAGGCAATTTCTTTCCTGCTCTCCCTTCCTTCCTTCCTGGGATCTACCTCCATGTCACCTGAGCAGTCAGTTCTGAGGAGGAACAAGGAGACAAGATTAAAATAAAAATAAAATAAAATAAATCGCACAAGACCCGAGGGTTCTGGTTATGCAGCCCCGCCCACCTCTTTTTTCTATGAATTTCTCAGCTGAGCCTGCTGATCTTTCAAGTGATTCGGCGCCCAGCCCTCCTCGGCCATGCCTGTAATTGGAAGAACACAATGCCCATGCCTGAAGCAGAATCTCTTCGCTAAAAATACCCTGCATTCCTGAGTGACAACAAAAGCTCTCTTGTCAAGCCAAGCTAAAAACAGTAACCGGCAGCTTCAAATGGCACAGGCTACAAAGGTAGAGGGCCTGAAAACAGCATGCCACTCCAAGCCATCTGCCATCTTGGCCCGCCCCAGCTCCCTTCTTCCCACAGCGATGGACATCTTAGTGCCTGCCATTCATCGCCGGGCTTCTACAGCAGTGGGCACCAGGCAGTTAGCTCAGCTCCTGGGACTGAAAGAGCAGGATGGTCTGGTGCGGGGGAGGAGAGGGTGGGCGGCTTCATGCACCCATTGGCCCGTGTGCTGTCAGTTCGAGGTCTGGATATCTTTTAAGAAGAAGCTCTCAGTGTAGCTAGGGAAAGCCATACTGCCCTCAAGCAGAGAAGTCAGGGAGTTTAAGCAGTTTTGGAGTCAACATTCACCTCCTTAAGTAAAGCAAGAATCCATCCGTGGTAGGTAAGGAAAGACTGCTGGACTCACTCAAGGCACAACAGCCAAGGCTCACATCTTTCTGGAAGAGGCCAAGGATCTACTCAACTCTACACTTGTCTGCTAGCTCAGTCTTACAAGTCATCTCCTCCAGAAAGCTGCTCCAGTCCACTCCCTCCCAGGACTGAGTTGCATCCTGCCTGTGTGGACCAATGGCTTTATTACACGTATTGTAATTGCCTTCTTACTTGTTTCCCTGCTAAGTAGAACTCCTGGAAGGCAGGGACTATATCTTGCTCAACATTGCTGCATAGGGCATAACCAGGGCTTCATGCATAGTCTGTACTCAGTAATATTTCTTGGATGAATGAAGAATTAAGTGAAGCCTTTCCCTTGATAATGCCTCTATAATTTTGTAGCTAAACAGTCCTGTTAACTTAAATCTATATGTTTTGTCTATGTCTTGGGATTAGAATCTCCTTGAGGACAGGCACTTGTCTTTTATTTAATGTATAGCCATATATAACCCTTAGGGCCCAAGGTTGTTTGTTGAGATTTCATGCATTGATTTGCAAGCCATCCTATAGACTCTAAATGGACATTTATTCAGTGTAGAGGCAGAATATTATGGGGATGACTTTTATGTAACTCTAAGTCTAATGTCTCAAAGAACTGAGGAGGATTATATACACAGAGAGATTAGGAAAAATAAGTGAGGAAATTAAAGAAAATATAGGTGAAAAAAATAGGATAAAGCCAAGGGTGAATTATAAATAAAATGATGCCTAATAGGTGCATTTTAAGACATGCACTGCAATTTGGTTCTGAGCTTCCAAGGAAAAAGAGAAAACATGAATAATTACACAAATTGCAATGTCAAAAGTAAAATAAATAAATAAAGGAAGTCCTTTGAGTCCAGCATGGCAAACATGCATCTGGGGTCACAACCTAGGTGAAAAGGAAGTGTGACAGGCTCAGCAAAACCCATTCCCGTGAATGAAAACACAGGCCAAAGAGCCTGTCCTCACCACCATGAGATAGATAGGTGGTGCCATATTTCTGTTTGAAGCATGGCAGGTTACTATAAAAAATGTTCAGTCACCCACTGACCTGAAAAGAGGGTCCAAAATGAAAGTCAAAGCTGATGAGGCCAGGCACGGTGGCTCACACCTGTAATCCTAGCACTTTGGGAGGCCGAAGGCAGGCAGATTGCCTGACATCAGGAGTTCAAGACCAGCCTGGGCAAAATGGTGAAACCCTGTCTCTACTAAAAATACAAAAAAAAAAAAAAAAAAAAAGGCCAGGTGTGGTGGTGAGTGCCTGTAGTCCCAGCTACTCAGGAGGCTGAGGCAGAAGAATCGCTTGAACCCAGGAGGTGGAGGTTTCAGTGAGCCGAGATCGCACCACTGCACTCCAGCCTGGGTGACAGAGCAAGACTCCATCTCAAAAAAGAAAGAAAAAAAGACGGTCAAAGCTGATTAAAGTTTCTCTGCACCCCTGTCAATTTTGTCATTGTGTTCCAACCATGTGTCCCCTTCAGCCTAGCACTGCCCAGGCCCTTCTGTCTCCACGGCCTGAGCAGATTCACTCCAGCGGCAAACAGAGGAAGCTTTGTTGGGATCGGAATAGCCTGGTATGAAAGGCTTCCCAGAGTGTACGTTCCAAACGGTGTCCTCTCCTGCCCCTAACCTGACCCCATTGGCTCTAATTACCCATGAGTAGCTCTCCTGCCTAGCTCTTTGAAGCTTGAGTCCATTTGCTTTTAAAATGTCTTTTGGGTTTCTTCTCTACCATTTTGCCTTGACCTCCAGCATTTCAGATCATCTGCTAGCCTTCCGGGATTCTGATTGCCCTAACTCAAAGTGTCTGTGTGTGTGTGTGTGTGTGTGTGTGTGTGTGTGTGTGTATGTGTTCCTGACTCTTGAGCTAGCCTCAGCACCCCTCACACCCCAGATTCCCCATCCTTTCAGGACCACCCTTGGTGCTGACAGATCCTTCTTCTTGGTGGAATGCAAGCTACTGGCAAATTGGAACCAACACTTTCTTCTACAGGCTGAAAACAGTGCAAAAAAAATTTTAACTAGGAATGAACAATTTCTTTAACCCTAAGAACCACTGGGGGCTGAGTGGTGCCAAGAGAGTCCTTTGAAGGTTTGTGGGGAGAAGAATTTTTTTAAAAAAGAAAGCAGAATGGGACAAAACATAAGAAAAGCAGGAGAAAGGAGAAGAAAGAGTAAGGGTAGTCTTCTGCCAAACGCTAACTGATGTCAGAGTTGGGTCGCCTGAGCAATGGGCTTCCACGTGCTTATATGCAGTAGAATGAGCCACGATGTGGGACGGGGGAACCTGCTGTACCATAAGAATTCTCAACCATTTAGTAGCATCAATATCTTATTCGATGTGTTGGGCACTTTTAGTAGATCTTTCCCAAAAGATGTAGATAGATTTTACACATGGATTTTCTTTAAAGGACTTATGTTTTGAGAATTTAGAAAGGGCTTTATGGAAGCCTCTACAAAGAGAGGAAGGAGACCCTGGCAAGACCCATGAGCTCACCCAACACCCTGGCCATCGTGGAGCCTGTGCCTACGTTGGCCATGGCATGGATGCACACCTCCATCACAGCAGGTAAACACTACTTTATAACTGAGGCCCCACCCCACTATCAGCTGAGACCCTGAGGGATGTCTGTGCCTTATTCCTCTTGCTTCCCAGCGATGAGCACAGTGCCAGGTGCAGGAGCGCCACAAACGCGTATGGAACAAACAAAAGGAGGTCCACACAGCAACCCCTTCCCTAACACTGCTGCACAGAGGAGAGCATGTACAGACAAGGAAGGGGCTCAAGGGGCAGCAGCCTCTCTGGAACTCTCGAGGTAACAGGCTCCACCACACAAAAGAAGGTAGTGAACCCAAAGCTTTCAAAGCTGCCCCCTGACACTAGTACAGGGAAGGGCAAGGAGGGGAGGCCGTCCACACGTGTTCGGTGGTCCAGCCTCAGCCCAGAGATGGGTCCTCAGTCAGAGTATGTGGACACCCAAAATGTGCCACACCCTGTGCCAGGCATGAAGAAGAAAGAAATGGAAGATGCAGTCTCTGGTCTTAGGGACACTGAAGCCTAGAGAGGGAGAGACTGGGCAGGTGGCAGTAGTAGCAGCCACCCTTCACGGAGCCCTCACTGACTCCAGACACCACCATGCCCACATTCTGGCATCATTATCTCATTTAATCCTCGCAACATCACTAAAGGGTAGATTGCATCTCCCCTTGACGGCACTAGGGAACAGAGGCCCAGAGAGGTGATAAACTTCCTAGATATCAGTGATGCAACCAACATTCAAAACTGCCTTTCTCAGGCTGAAGAGTCCAAGATCTAAGCCTCCAACTCACTGCATGGTCTTTCTCCATGCTATTCCCATCCCTCCCCTAAGCCTGACTCTTCGGATTTCACCTTCAAGCCTTTGCCAATGCCATTTCTCTCCTCTTAAACATCTACCTGCCCTCTATCGAATCCCGAATCCTTTCACATCTGAAATGCCAGCCCAGACTCCGTTCGGAGCCTTCCTTTTATGGAATACCATCCAATGTAAATGGATTCTTCGCACTGCCTTGTGCTGCCTTGTAACTACTCTGAAATGTTTGAGTGTTGGTTGTCACTGCTATTTACCATGTGTTTTCCTGCAGCCCGCCCACAAACCTGGTCTGCGAGCTCCCTGTGAACAAGTGTCTTTTCCAGGGCTTTTCTGGATCCAGCTCAGGCTCGTGCCAATTATTAAATCTTTAGAAAGTTTGTAAGCCAGGTATTAAACCATTAGTAGCTTGAAATCAGACATGGTGAGAGAGTATTTACACTACAGAAATTGGCAATGGCTACAAACTGGGGCCTTTTTCCCCCTGGGATGCTGGTTGTTAGACAGTTAGCAGAAAATCACTGCTTTTAACTCTTGCTCCCAGCTCACTGCCTGCCCAGTTTCTTATACCATAAAAAGTGTTAAGCCTTGAGTGTCAGCATGCAATGAAGCAGATGGACAAGGGGCACTGTCAGAGGTGTCAAGTGACTAGTGAGTAGGGGAGAGTAGCAGCAGTCCAGGAAGGTTTCCTGAAGAAATGCAATATTGAATTCATAATTAATCTTCCCCACTGACCCTTCACCCAACACTCTTTGAGATCCTACCGTGCGCCAGACTCTTTACAAACATGATCACATCTAATCTTTCATTACACAGAGGAGAACCCTGCAGCTGGATATTTAATACCTTGCCCAAGAATACCAGGAAATCACCCACCAGAGCCCAAACTCAATCCCAGATCTGTGGGGCTCTAAAGCTGGGATTCCTCCACCATCCTCCCTGGACTACAGACCCATGACATTCCATGTTCCGGGTTCCCAACACCTGCTATTGGCCAATGGCAGCCAGGGCAAGAGCAGGTGTGGGAAGCTGCGGCAGGGGAAGGAGGGTGGGAAAGGGCACAGCCGCTCTGCTAGAGAACTGGGAAGAACAGAGCTGTTTCTAGAAGCCCACGCCAGCCCTCTGTCAATAAGTTCCACAGTGCCACTGCACTGATGGTGCCCTGAGCCTCAGCATGAGGGGCAGCTGCACTGTTTCCTTCTGTGTGTGCAGTTCGTGGAGCTGGGAAGGGCAGGGAAAATCCCTCTTCCTCCAATATGCAAGTACAGAAAGAAAACAAGCTAAAGCTTCCTAGACTTGCGAGTGCGTGGAGAGAGTAAGAGCATATCCACAGAGGAGAATTTCTTCCAGAAAAGCACCCACGAACACCCCAATACAGCCATTCCCCCTGTGATGTTCATCCAACACCTCTCAGAGACCATGCTCTGCTGCAGGCATGGCCCATTTCCACCTGACTTCCCAGGCTGCAAAGACCTGGGGATAGAGGAGGAAGCTGAGGCACAGAAGAGCAAAGCCATCACATGCACTCTATAAGGCGTAGAGCAGTGCACCAAACCGAGGGAGGTAAGGAGCAAGAGTTGAAAGCAGTGCTGAGTGGCTGAAGGTCTAGCAACCAGCATTCCGAGGCTGGCAGTGGAGGTGGGGTGAGGGGTAGGGGGGTGTGAGGGGTGCATTCACAGTGGGAAGGCCCTAGTTTGCTGCCATTTCCAATTTCTGTAGTATAAATACTCCCTCGCCATGGCCGATTTCAAACTACTAATGGTTTAATACCTGGCTTGCAAATTTCTCTAAAGATTTAATCATTGGCACGAGCATGAGCTGGATCCAGAAAACCCCTGGAAAAGATGCTAGTTCACAGGGAGCTCGCAGACCAGGTTTTCAGGCAGGCTCCAGGAATCCACATGGTAAACAGCAATGACAACAGCCAACTGTATTGCCCCTTCCAGGACAGAACTTCGGACTCTGCACTCAGCTAAGCTGCCATGAGGTCACCCAGCCTCCTCCGTACACCCCTTCATCCTCCTCAGCCTCACAGCCAACCTGTCCACGGCTCCATGTCCCTTGGCCTCCCTTCCATTACATCTGTCTTCGGCTGTGGCTAATCCCTGCGCTGGTGCTCTAAATCACATGCCCTCGCCCTTCTCAGAGATTAATCCTCAGCCTCTCCCTCTCTCCTTACTCCTCCCCATCAGTGTTTGAACATGCCTTGAGATCTTCCATTTTTATTAAGCAAGCTTCTCTTGACCTTCCATCCCACTCCCAGGTCCTCCTCCTTCTCCTCCCTTTCACAAGCAAACTTCCTGAAACCATTGTCTGCCCTTACTCAATCCCATTCATTCCCCATTTCCTACCTTCTGGCTCCTGCCTCACCATTCCCCTGAAGCCTTAGGGAAAAGGCTAGCAAGGACTTTCTGCAGATATGACAATCTCATAGTCATTTCAAGGACCAAATAGCAAAAAGCATAAACAAATGCTTGGATCATCAGCGTGGAAAATGGCGATTATCCAAGTCCTTCCAGAAGGAATGCTAGTCAAGTCAAAAAAAGATAGTTGGTCTTTTTTGCTCAGAAGGTCTTTAAATTGCCTGTGAGCAGCAGCATGCAGGATGGTGATACATTAAGAGTGAGATTAAAAACTCCATAACAGCAAGGGGAGGAATTTGAACTTCGGAGTGAAGGGAGAAAAGACACAGGGTTAAAACCTATTGATCCGGGTGGACCAAAAGAGAAAGAAAAAGGGATTCTTGGTGGAATGGCAGCACCAATACCTCCAAGAAACTGTTTTTGGATCCCAAGAGATATTTAAGTGGGTGACTGTGAAGTATGCAATGTCAGCCCTCTCTTGTGTCTCTCCCATGAGACCCTCAGTAAATGCCATGAGGCTCACTAATGCATTAGTATGAGGGGGTTGAGGGAGGGGACACTCGAAGAGAAAAATAAGGGACAGCTGACATCTGGGTTACACCAGCTACAGCAGGGAGGAATGACAAGTGAATTCAGCAAAAATGTTTTATTTCCACATCTATTGTCAAGTCTAATTATTGGTTGAAATTAGAGGTTCTGCCCTGATCATGGCCATGAATAAATAAAAATATGTTTGAATTTCAGCAGATGTCGTTGAATTTCACACATATTTCTCTTTCCAGAAATGAAAAGAAAGAGCCAGCTAGCCCTCTCATACACCAACATCCGCACTTTAGGTACAGAAACTTGCTCTGGAAATGATTTAACTGACCAAATAAATATCAGTTAAATCAGAATTCCTGAATTTTCCTCCAGGCTCTGGAAGATGCATGCGTTGGTATTGCATCCAAACTCAGCAAGATAATGTCAGTTTGTGGGAGCAGTTTTCCTTGGCACACTACACATGTGCAGTACTCACATAGTCAAGCATTTAATCACATATAGCAGGAGCAAACTCTGGGCCAGGGAAGGCAAGTGGCATTGAAATAAATACAAAGATGCATAAGATGTGGCTTTTGTTCTTGAGAAGTTCATGAGTTGATGCCCATCCACATTTTGGAAGCTGTAATTCCATGTGTGACAAGATAATGTTGACATCTAAGTTGGGAATAAGGATTACTCTGTTCCTTTTCCTGTAATCTACCCTTAAGTTTTACTTGACAAAAGCAGTACAGCAGTATCCCCAGCCCTGACCCTCCTCCTCCCACCTGCCAATCCATCTCTGCTTGTATCGTGCCACCCTGGTGCTTTTGCTGCCACTGTTTGCCAGCCTCTACCAGTTGAGACCGGGCTGTAGGTGCTGTGTTACTATTTCTCCTGCCTTCCCTACTCACACTCTTCAGCAGCTGTTCATGAGCAGTGCTGCGTGCATAGTGGTGGTGAGTTTCAACAGCACCAGAAGCAGACCATCGGTTCTGCTGATAAAATTTTTAAAAATCTACGTGTAATGATTCAACAGAACCAGATTCCCAACTACATCATGGGTGGGACTTTTTCTGTACTGGGGGCTGTGCCTAATTAACCACTTCCCTGCCTACCAATTCACCAAAAGGCACAACTCCCCTATGGCCAAGCCCTGCTAAGGCTTTTGAAGCAGAAGAATTCAAAAAATTCAAAAACCAAATTGCTAAGAGTAACTATGAGAGGTCATGCAGCCCAGCTTCCTGCCCTCAGCTACATCATAGGAAGCGGGCCTCCCTTTTACTGAAAAGACAAGTATCTTCCTTGTCAAGGATGATCCTAAGGACAATTAACACATATTTGGCCCTGCATCTCAGACAGGAATAGAAGCAGAAATGAAGATAAAAGATATATAGAATAAAAATAATTCTTTGCATGAACATTTTTGGTCACATACTTGGTTTGGTGCTAGGCACTGTGATATATTCTGTCATTTAATCCCTAGGGTGAAATTACAAAATAGGTGCTATGATTCTACCTATTTCACAGATTTGAAAACTGAGGCACTAAAAGATTAAAGCCAAAGATGTTTGAACAGTAAGTGGCAGAGCCAAGACTTGATCCATGTCCAGAGCCTCTTTACCACCTGTATTCCTCTACTAGGCCTACCAGACAGGTCTGAACTGTACACCCACCCTGACCAAAAAATTATTCCAATGTGTCAATCAAACCAGAAGCTAGTCACCCAAGGTCTGACACATTTAACAAATGTTCCACATGCACGGACTTCCATCTCCTCTGCTTGTTTAGTTTACTTGTCAGGGTCTGATCAATCCATCAGCAAGTTGTACTGGTCTCTTGCTCTCAGCACTGCATGGGGAGATGTAGCCACAATCAACCTCCCCCAAGAGCCATGCTCTCATCTCACGTCTCACTCATCAACTCCCACATGCATGGCCCTCGTTGGCTGTTTGTCTTTCTGTGTATTTAATTATTCCAGTCCAGTCTCTACCAGGAAGTTTTTAAGCTGTTCAAGGCAAAGATCACATTTCTGCCTTTCTCTGTTTCCCTCTGTTACTCCTAGACTGCAAACAGGTGATGCTCGGTAAGTATGCACAAAACTACTGAATCTCCATATGACCCCAAATCCCAGTGAATTCAGGAGGTGAGTATAAGCTTGAGGTAACATCAGACAATTAGATGGGGGGAAAAAAAACTAGAATCATATACATCGGTATCACATATACCCAAAAAAGTGCACTTGGACCTTCTTTTTCCTCTGTATCCAGTTGTTTGAGAAGTATGGAATTATGGCCCCTCACCCCCACACATGCTATAAAACCCTTTGCCTCCCCAGAACATAATATATTTGGCTGCAAAATAAAGATCAAGGTCAATCCAGCTTTGCTCTAGGTCTGTAATTCCCAGGAGGGCAGGAAGCAATATTTCCAGGCAAAAATATAGAGCCCTCAAAACACGAGGTCTATAGATCCTTTGCAAAGTGCTTGTTTGTGTCGAGAAAATTTCAGCCCAATGAGAAACCAGATGGGTAGATGCACCAAATATTGAAGACAGGCCTCAAGGCAAAGCAGACACACACTCTCTCTGGTGTGCACTAAACTCAGAAGTGATCCTCCAGCCGTTACAAGCAGAGAAATGTCCCACCAGAGTTTTGCAAATAGCAAACTCTTAGTCCGATGATTGTTTCTATCATTTGCCATATTTTCTGTCCAAAAGCCTCTCTCGTGCCTACATGGTTAGCAGCTTTTATAGCCCCAGATAAGTGTCCATCCCTTTTAATTTTCATTGTTGCATCTGTTTTGCCATTTCTCTGCAGCAGGTTGTATTACAACGGAAGGATTAATGAGGAAATGGATGCAAACATTTTTATTTCAAATAGCAGCTCTCAGACAAGATCTGGAAAACGGAATCAAGCCATATGATTGTAAAAGAAAAAACCCTCGCCATCCAACTATTGGGCATTTTGCCATTATTTGTGAATAGCATGTAAATACAAACAACTTAACTGGGGTGGGGGAGAGATGTACATTTTTCATTTGTGTCTGGCTAATCATTTTTTTTATTATTAATTTGGTCCCTTTTATTTCACATAAATGTCATCTCAAGCAGCAAACATCAACAAATAAGATCGTTTATCTTGCTGGGGAAAGCAAAACATTGCATTGCCATTCAGAGAAGGCAGCTGACGTCCCTACCGCACCACTAATAAAGAAGGCCTTCAGTACGAAAAATAATCATTTTCTATTACTTTCCACCATGCCTCATCCATAAACACAGGGCCACTGGTAATTACATTTAGCGAAGAAGCATGCTCTGTGTATTACAATTTCCTGGGATGAAAAAAAACCCTAAAGAACACCCCAGATTCAGGGCTGAGATGAAGAGCAGGAGATAAACCCAGATTGCCCTTTGCTCGGGTGCCTCTGTATGCTATTGAGGGGCAGAGGACCGGGAAAGAGGGAAAGGAGGGCAGCATTTCCGTGAGATTTTCTCTTTCGTCTTCTTGGCCTGGGTAAAAAGAAAGGGAAGGGAGCCACGGATGTTCAGGAGAGAGCAGAGACTCAGAGCACATGGGGACCTGGAGCCCGGGCCTCGGGGGTGACACTGGTCTTGCTGCTGCCGCCACCATGCCCAAGCCGCCATCAGTGTGCACGCGGATGCAGACGCGAGACAGCCATGTCCACACGCATGTGCACGCGAGCCTCTTGTGAGCAGGGAGGTGGCATGGCTGCGCTGATAAATCCGCCGCAAGCCCGCAGACTCCACGCTTCCCTGTCGCCCAAGCATTTGGCTGGCCTGCCCGCGCTGCCTCCTCTGCCAAGCAAGGCACTGACTCCACAGGAGAACCGTCCTGTCGATCTCTGCAGGAATATAAGACCTTTTTTTCCAAGTAAAATGTTCCCCAACTCTGCAAGGGAGGTTGGCAGTACATCTCCAACTCTGGCCTGTCTTTTTAATACCCCTACAATAGCTCGGTTGGACTGAGACCAGCTGTTGGTACATTACCATTTGTAAATGCTTAAAACAGCTACTCCTTGTTTTCTTGGCAACACTGACTGTGGAAGAAAAAAAAAAAAAGCTAGCTCCAGCCACTTCCATTCAAACATTAAGAACCACTGACTGCCAGCTTTGGCATGCACCAGCCATTGTTTGCACAGCTCTCTTCAACAAGTTTCTTGTCACCCCACTATTCCTACCCAAACCCCCTCTCTATGAAAAGGAGAAAGAAAGTCAGCATAAAGCAGTCCAGTCCCCTTCCCCTTCATCCTAACTCTAGCTCTCACTGCCCAGGTAGTCAGGCCTCATCTGAAAGAAGACAGGGGAGCCAAAGTGAACTCTCTTTGTTTGGTCTTGTCTTTTATCTGTTTCTGTAACCCTCCCTCGCCAGGGCGGTCATCATCTTACAGGCCCCCGCTGAAGATCAGCATCTCCTGATGTCCCTGGGAAGTGACTCCCAGGGTGATCTCCTCCTCCTTCTCCTGCCCTGTGACTGTACCTTGCCTGGAACTAGCACAGGGTCCCAGCGAGGGAGATAATTTAGGGGTGATGAGGAGATGGCCAAAGTCCAAGTCTCCCCTCCAGATGGGGCTGCCCTGAAAAGAGACTCTTGTTCCTGGTGCATCCCTCACCTCACCAAAGCCCTCAGGTTTTCATTTGCAACCAGAGTCAGGTTCCCAAAATCGATACTTGGCTATGCAAAATAGAAGAAGAATTGCATGAAGAATGTGGGAGGCTCTTTCCTGCCCCCCACCAGGCCCCCACCTGAGTGGCTGTTGGCTGGGGCAGCGTCCAGGGCCACATGCCTATCCAGCTCCCATGCTCCACACACCTCAAGCGGTAGCAGCCCAAGAGAACAGGCACTGAGGTGCCCAGCATGGCCGCAGCAGGGACAATAGGCTTTGTGTGCCACGTCTTCGTGCCCTTCTGTTCAATGACTTCCCCCGTCCAAGGGCAGTGGTGGCTGCATCTGTCCTTGCTCCTTTAGTGGGGTTTCTGGGCACAAGAGGGAGAGGTCTGTCAGCATCATGCATGCTCTTGGAGATCAGTGAATTCAAGTAGCCAAATGTCGCAGCAGGATTGAAATTCCACACACAAGCTCCAAGAGGAAGGAGAATGCCCAAAATGGGGCCCAGGAGGGCCAGCAGTTGGGGGGACAACTCAGCCTGAGATTAAAAACTCCTATGCTGGTTTTATGGAAATATGATAGAGTCAGTTCCTCACACTGAGGTTAGGAACCCAGAACAGATAAGGCAAACCAACAGATAACCCAGACAGACTAGACAACTGGTTTAGGAGCAGGGCACACAGGAAGGAGCAACAGACAATGAGCCTGGGCCCTGCCTCTTGCCAGCTCAGCCACCAAAAACATCCATGTCTTGTGTCAAGGTCTAAATCACCTCATCTGTAAAAATCCAGAAGTTGAGTCAGATAATTGCCTAGGTCCCTCCATTTCTAGAATGCTATGTCATTGTCTTCCTAATTTTCTTTAGCTTCTGCTAACAGGAGTGTATGTATGCCCCACTCTAAAAACACCCAAGGTACAGAAAGTCAAACACTAAATTTGAAGGTTCCTTTAAAAAGTAAACTCTCTTAGTACGTTAGATATCAGATTTACAAAAACCAACATATGCTCAACTTTTCAGGAAAAGAGAGTAAAGTCCTTTGAACTGAGGCTTTCAATTTCCAGGCCTGGTACACAATAGGCTCATTATGAATAATGTGTGTTGAATGGGACAAGTTGGATGTGCAAAGTGGAGTCCCCAGGAAGCCTGCACAGGTGACTTAAGAAAACAGAAGTGATGGTGATAGGTCAATCTGGGACTAAAAATTGGCCACAGGCAATTGGAAGTCAGGCAATTACAATGCAAATGAAAACCTTAAACCTATGGGTTTTATAAAACCTTGCAATGTGCTTATTACTACTAAGACAGAAAATGCCCTAAGATTCCCTCAAATATGAGTCGGTCTGGCATATTGGATACAACTCCCTCCAGCAACCCTGCTACAGATAAAGTCTCAGTAGAGCTTTGTCTGGGATACCCTGATTAACTCTCTAGATCCTCTTCATGGTTGTTGAACTGTCTTCCCTACTGGGCTGAAAGCTCTTTGTGGGCTGGTGCTGTGTCCAGCTTGTCCATATTGTGTTCTCAAAGACTTGCACAAAAGGCGCTCTAGCAATAGTTGGTTGGTACTAAGGTAGTTTGAGAGAAAAAGATGCAAGAGCTGACTCTCTGCCCTCAGATCCCTTCCTCTCATCGTGTCTAAAGGCCTTGATGACTTTACTTGTAACATCTATGGAGATGGTTTAAAAAAATGACAAGGACACCTTCTGACACCAGAGAAAACAAGCAATTCCACAGTCATTAAGAGCCAGAGGTGAACTGAAGGACCAGGCCAGGCAGGGTCTCTGACCTCAGCTCTGACATATGGCAGCCAGCCACTGATCCCTCAGTTGGTTAGATCTCAGCTCCACAGAGCCATAGAGGAGACGTAAGGGAGTTGACTTTGCTGCATCCGAAATCCCTACCGAGTCCCCCAACATCTGCCATCAGTGATGAAGAGGCTGTGTGAAAGAGGACAGGTGAGTTAGCGGCATCCCTCCTGGATGTAGATGGAAGACCTGCAAAGTCTTCAAGCCGCAATGGTGAGTCAGCCGTAAACACAGGACAGCCAGCCCCACTGCGATACAAACAGCAACAAGAACAGTAATATGGGCACTGTGTGCAAAGCAAGGCTCTAAGCACTTCATCGATCTCATCCTCATCACAGCCCTGAGAGGGAGGTACGGTAACAACCCACTTTGCACAGATGAGGAAACCGAATGTCTTTGTCCATTTGTTTGCCATAAAGGAATACCTGAGGCTGGGCAATTTATAAAGAAAAAGAGGGGTTTTTTTTGGCTCATGATTCTGCTGGCTGGAAGACTGGGCATCTGGTGGGAAGCCTCAGGCTGCTTCCACTCATAGGGAGAGTGAAGGAGAGCCAGCATGTGCAGAGATCCCATGGCGACAGAGGAAGCAAGAGAGAGTGGAAAGGTGCCAGTTGCTTTTTAACAACCAGCTCTCCAGGGAATGACTGGAGTGAGAACTCCCTCCCTCCCTTGAGGACAGCACCAAGCCATTCATGAGGAATCCGCCCCCATGACCCAAACACCTCCCACCAGGCCCCACCTCCAACATTGAGGATCAAACTTCAACATGAGGTTTAGGGGCACAAACATTCAAACTACAGCACTGAGACACACAGAGATTAGTAACCTGCCCACAGTTAGACAGCCAGTAAATAACTGAGTGGATTCAAATCCCAGCAGCCTCCACTCTTAGCCGCACTGTCTTCCTGGAAGGCCACCAGTCGAGCTCAGCACCTGTGAACAGTAGCAGCACTGAAGGGCTTGTTCACACCACACAGAGCCCTGTAGTGTCTAAGGAAGTGGAACAGAGGCCTCAGGAAAATTCCCCAAATTGTCAACTCAGTGCACCTGTCCTGGTGAGGTCTACTGTCATCAGTAGCAATCTATTTAGTCAGCATGGAGCTAAGAGGAATATCCTCCAAGTCAGTACATAGGTCCATAATGCCACCAGCTTCTTGGACACACAGGACATATGCATCCTACAAATCCCCACTCTGTCAAGTCCTCAGCTAGTGAGGAGAAATGCAATACCATCTTCTTTATTTTGCCTATAACATCCTCCACCACGTCAATGTTACCATACAGTATCAAATCTCCATTGAAGGCAGCATGGCATGATGGCTAGGAGAATGGAGTCAGGAGTCAGACCACCTTGGTTCAAATCCTGGCTTTACCATTACTAGCTGTGTGGCCCTGGGCAAGTTTCTTCACCTCTCTGTGTCTCAGTTTCCTCACCTGTAGAATGGGAATAATAATAGCACCAACCTCCTGAGGATGTTGTGAGTATGAACCCACAACCTTCTCCTGCAAACACTGTTGTGTTCTTCTGTGCCCAATTTGCTGCCACACAGGCACAGTCCTGCCCCTAAAGGGCCCGGACACCACCTCTTTCCTATGTTCAGTCGCTTATCATCATCTGTCATCTTCTATTTTTAAAGTTACTGCTGCTGTCATTGCATCAAAACCCCACCATTAAGAATTACATTCTTGACTCCAGAGCAGTATAACATCATGGGAAGTTTTGGAATCCAGGTGGAACCCAGTTCAAACCCCAGTCTGGCAATGTGGGATCTGGACCCATTATTCAGCCCCCCAGGCAGTAAAACATATGACCCTAAGCACAGGCTCCAAAGTCACCTGCCTGGGTTTAAAATCCCTGCACCAGCATCACTAACTGTGTGACTTTCAGCATGTCACTTAAAAGCACTCTGCTTCAATGTCCTCACCTATGAAATGGGGATGATATAAAAAATGTACCTTGTGGGGTAGTTGTGCGAACTGAGTGAGAATATACCTGTACCTGGACACCTGCAAGTGAGAAGTGAATGTCAGCTCTCCTCATTTGAAACCCAAGGCATTTCCTTGTCTGTAGAATGGAGATGGGGTGGCCTCCTGGGGGAGGGAAAGTGGAGAGCCAGGCAGGGGCATCTGTGTGAAGCTCTAGGCAAAGACCTGGTGACAGTCGGCCTTCGATAAATCACCATCCCCTCCTGCCCTCGACACCTTCCCGTGGTGGCTTCAGTTCACCTCTGCCCTCCACAGACCTCCTAACCATCATGCAAGCCTCCGACCACTGCACCTCCTCCATAGTCTGCCAAGATTCATCTAAAGACATCTTGGCTCTTCCCCATCACAGACCTGGAGGCTCCTCAGTCTCTCACCCCTCTTCCTCCTGGCCACATCCCCTTGACCTCCCAGACCACAGATACTCAAGAAAAATGTCAAACCTTCATGATTTTCTTTACTATGTGCCAAACACCATGCTGAGATTTATATATATATATATATTTTTTTTTGAGATGGAGTCTCGCTCTGTCACTCAGGCTGGAGTGCAGTGGCATGGTCTCAGCTCACGGCAAGCTCCACCTCCTGGGTTCACGCCATTCTCCTGCCTCAGCCTCCCTAGTAGCTGGGACTACAGGCACCCGCCACCACACCCAGCTAATTTTTTGTATTTTTAGTAGAGACAGGGTTTCACCGTGTTAGCCAGGATGGTCTCAATCTCCTGACTTCATGATCCACCTGCCTTGGCCTCCAAAAGAGCTGGGATTACAGGCGTGAGCCACCACGCCTGGTCAAGATTTATATTTTTATATGGATTAATTCCCCTGTCTCAGCTTAGTCTTCATAACAAAATACCATAGACTGGGCAGCTTCAACAAAAGACATTTATTTCTCATAGTTCTAGAGGCTGGGAAGTCCAAGATCAAGGTGCCAGTTGACTCAGTTTCCCAAGAGGGCTGTCTTTCTGGCTTGCAGACAGTCACCTTCTCACTGTGTCCTCAGGTGGCCTTTCCCTGTGTGCGTGTGCATGCAGGGAAGGGTAGGGGTGGGGGTGGGGAGGAGTGTTCTGGTGTCTCTTCTTATAGGGACACTAATACCATCAGATCAGGGCCCCATCCATAAGACTGCATTTCACCTTAATTCCTTCCTTAGAGGCCCGGTCTCCAAATACAGTCATACTGAAGGCTTGGACTTCAAAATATGAATTTGGGGTGGGGGACACAAATATTTAGTCCATAATACCTCCCAATTAATTCTTTGAAGTGGGTGTAGAGTTTACAGATGCGGATATGAAATTCTTGCCCTGGAGCACACAACCAGCAAATGGGCAGTCATCCCAAAGGTCTACTTTCAAGGGAAGGGCCTCACGCAGGTCATGTTGCCTGGGCACAGAACTCCCAAAGAGCCCCTCGAGGGCTGTGGAGATCCAAGGTAAAGGGGGCTTCTGGTGGGATGGGAGGGCTCCAAGGAAATGCCCCTCTCACCTCAGACTTTCAGGAAGGTTGCACATGACTCCATGAAAGCCTGTTTTAATTTTGAAAATATCCTTTCACATTCCATCGACAGTGAACCAGGTAGACCTGGTCCCCATTCAGGGGGGGATTTCAGTGTAGCGGAGGGTCACAGATGAAAAGACAAACACAGTACAGAGCGGACGGCCGGGGGTCGACACTCAGCAGGACACACGACCCAGCTTGGAGGCTCTGTGGGGCAAGAAGGAGGAGACTTCACTCTTCCACAAGAGGCTTCGCTTATGCACTGGCAAAGGCTGAATGCCAATCTAACCCGTGAAGACAAACAAAACTGGCCAATCCGTTATTCGATTTATTTGACCATGATAACAGAGGTTAAGAGTGCCGAGTCCTGCCTTCCACCAAAATGGCCTCAACTCAATCCATTTTGCCAGACCATCATTATCTACCAGGGGCAAAGCCCCATGCTAGGCACCAGGCAAGCACTTAGGGATACCGAAAGGAGAGGCCCTCCCCACAGGAAAATGGCTCGAACGGGTGTCCAGCACAGCGATGAAAATGGCCTGTGCCTTTGGCACCCTTTGATGGCTGAACTCTGAGATGAAAACCAAACTCAAACCTCAGGCTTGACCTTGGTTTGGCCTGCTGAAGGTCAGGAACCCCTCCTGCCCTCCCAGTCTGAGCTGGAGAGGTGAGAGGAAAAGACAGAAGGTTTTATTATACCACCCAGGCCACGCCTGCCAAGTTCTCCCTACAACCGCTTCAAAAAAAAAAAAAAAAAAGATGGAGTGAAAGGGAATTGGAAAAATGGAACCCCCTACATCCCAGAAATATTACTTTCATGAGCTGTATGAATTATTTAACAGACAGCTGAAAAGACCAAACTCAACAGAAGAATACAAAAAACCAGCTCGCCATACAGACACCTTCCCCAAAGCCCATGACAATGAAATGTATTTTATGCCACAGATCAACATGCCAGAGAAGGAGGCTTCGGAGACAGATGCCCACAGGGATCATTAGCCCCTTATCTCTCAACCCTTTGCCACCAGCATCCAGATCTCTGAGCCTGGGCAACCCAGGGGGAGAAAAGCTGAAAAGTGTGTATATTGTAAGTGTTGGTTAAACAACCCCACCGTATTCTTATTTGCTGGAGGTTTTAGGGAGCAGATGTAGGACTGGCAGGGCTTGGAGCTGGCGATATTGTTCTAGCTCAATCAGAGCCAACACGGAAGGGAAAAAAGCCACACACACAAACACAAAAAAATCGGCATTTGGTGTGTGCGCCTGGGTGTGCACACTCGCCTCTGTGCCATCCCCTCGTCCAAGGTTCCTTGGAGTCGAGCTGACTGATGCAAAACCAGTCTGGGGCCCAGCCAAGAAAAACACAACTTCTCACAGAAGCTGCACGAGGGTGTCTCTCCATGCAGCTCAGCTCGCTGCAAGTCTCCCCTCCTGCAGGCGCGAGGGGGCTGGGGCGGCGACTCGCCCACTGCAGGCTTGGTGCTATCGGTTGCTAGAGAAAGGGCAAACAAATGGAGAACCAACTATAAAGGCGGCCAGCAGCAGCGAGGCAGTGCTGCAGCTGCCAGGCAATAACTTAGATAGTTACAGCTGCCATCACCTAGTTCATGCAAGCTTTTTAATATCTTTTGGCAGCTCTCGGTGTCACAGCACAAAGGGAGAGTTGGCACTTCGCAGCACACTTTGTTTGACATAACTGTAGGCAGGACCCAGCTGATACCTTCAGTAAAGTGGATGGGTTTGCTCTTAAGGTGCATTTCAGCAGATCAAACGGGGTTTCTCCCCACCGCTGCCTCTCTCTCTCTCCTCTCCTGCCCCCCTCCTCTCATTCAGGGCACGCAACACCCCTAAATCACATGTTGGGAACTAGATCAGATTAATGGGGGGACTCGGCAGGTGCAACATAAGGTTGGCCCCATAAGCACCCGGCTAAGGAGGAGAGGAAAGCAATGCACAGAGGACAGGGAGCAAAGAAAAGAAGGAGCGAGGAGGAAAGAAAAATACTGTGCTCCAGGACTCGTCCCAAGCCTCACCAGGAGATGCGGTGTTTGCTCTCCCACTCCTCCACACACAATTTTAAATAAATCAGAATCCCACTATCTTGCTTCCTGCTCGTCACTCTTTAAAGTTATTCGTCGCTTGGCCACACACCCTCTTCCCAGTCCCACAAGAACCCAGCCTGTTCCAGGTATCTCTCTGCCCAGTTGTGACTGTTCCGAGCGCCAATCGTTAAGAAAGCAGTTTGCAGAAGCACTTCCCAAGCTCTACGAGTTGTCATGACAATTTCCTGTGATCCCTCCGCCAAGCCAGGCATCCTTGTTTGGTGGATCCAGGCGCCTTGCTGGGGCTGGAAATGGTGTTCCCTAAGACCCCACGGCACAGATGGGCATGAAGAGAACATGTGGGCAGAAGGGGACTAGAACAGGAGCCCTGAGACATGAGAGGGAGAGAGGTGGACAGACGCTCTGCCCAGGGTGAGCTGCGGATGGCGGAAATACTGAGACGAGGAAGAAGAACCATCACTGCTCTGGTCTCAGCACCCAGTCCTTTCACCCCGCAGCACATTTCCTTTTGTTTTTCTTTTCCAGCTACATTAAGGAATGATTGACAAATACAAATTATATATTTTCAAGGTATACAATGTAATAATTTGATAAATATACACATTGTATAATTATTATCACAAATTAATCAATACACCTATCACCGCACATAGTTACCGTGCGTGTGTCTGTGTGTCTGTGTGTCTGGTGAGGGCACTTAATATTTACTATTTTAGCAAATTTCTTTTTTTTAACTTTTATTTTAAGTTCAGGGGTACATGTGCAGGATGTGCAGGTTTGTTACACAGGTAAACATGTATATCATGGGGGTTTGTTATACAGATTATTTCATCGCCCAGGTATTAAGCCTAGTATCCATTAGTTATTTTTCCTGATCCTCTCCCTCCTCCCGCCCTCCATTCTCCAGTAGGCCCTATTGTTGTGTTGTTCTCCTCGCTGTGTCCATGTGTTCGCATCATTTAGCTCCCACTTATAAGTGAGAACATACAGCGTTTGGTTTTCTGCTCCTGCGTCAGTTTGCTGAGGATAATGGCCTCCAGCTCCATCCAGGCTGCTGCAAAGGACATGATCTTGTTCCTTTTTGCGGCTGCATAGTATTTCATAGTGTATATATACCACATTTTCTTTATCCAGTCTACCACTGATGGACATTTAGGTTGATTCCATGTATTGGCTATTGAGAATAGTGTTGCAATAAACATACACATGCATGTATCTTTATAACAGAATGATTTATATTCCTTGGGTGTATGCTCAGTCATGGGATCACTGGATCGAATGGTATTTCTGTCTTTAGGTCTTTGAGGAATTGCCACACTATCTTCCACAATGACTGAACTAATCTACACTCCCACCAAGAGTGTGAAAGCATTCCTTTTTCTCCACAACCTCACCAGAATGGTTATTTTTTGACTTTGTAACAATAGATATTGTAACTGGTGTGAGACGGGACCTCACTGTGGTTTTGGCATTTCTTTTGTGCATCCCTCCAAGCAGCTGCTCCAGTTGCCTGCAGGATACCCTTGGAGGAAGGCACCAGGAAGAGAGGGAGAGGAGGAGTCACAGGGTTATCAAAGATGACAATGGTGTATGCGTTTGCTAGAGCTGCCATAACAAAGTACCACAAACTGGGAGGTTCAAACAACAGATACTTATTATCTCACAGTTCTGGAGGCTGGAAGTCCATGATCATGGTGTCAGCAGCATGAGTTCCTTCTTGGGGCTAAGGCGGAATCTGTTCCAGGCCTCTCCCCAAGCTTCTGGTTTGCTGGCGATCTTTGGCATTCCTTGGCTTGTAGTCACATCACTTCAATCTCTGCTTTCATCTTCACATGGCACCCTCCCTGTGTATCTGTCTCCAATTTTCCCATTTTTATAAGGATATGGATCACATTGGATTAGGGGCCTACCCTCCAATGTGACCTCATCTTAACTAATTATATCTGTAATGACTCTATTTCCAAATAAGGTCACATTAAAGGTACCGGGGATTAGGACTTCATCATATGAATTTGGGAGAGACAGAATTCAATCTATAACAATTGAAGATCCACACGTACCAGGCCTTTAACAGTCCTGTAAGGTAGGTGTTCTCATTCCCATTTCACAGAGAATGAAAGCAGGGCTCAGAAAGGTCAAGGGTCTTGCCTGAAGTTAGACAACAATAGGACCATCTGAAAACAACCACCCAACCCTTGCCGAGAACCTGGGGGTTGGCCACTGCCACACTTCTCCCCTAGGACCCTAGCAGGGAACTCTCTCCCCCTCAGCCTTCTCTTGATGAGCCACCCTGTCTAGGGTAGCCTGGCCTAGGATCTCTGTCAGATCCCAGCATAAATCACTCACCAAGCTGTGTTTTCTCCAGAATGAACATGGCAGGTGACCTGTGAGGTGTGCCTTGGATGGATGTCGGAGGAAGGGCATGTTGGGCTAGGGCCTCGTTCTCTTATGCACATACTGCTCTTGCTTGGCAGGATTCTTCACTTCTTCTCAGCTCTAAAGGAAACAAAATATTCTGGCCTTTATTCTCACGCATTCATTTCACGAATGAATAAATATGGATATATAAAATATGGATATGTGTATCCATCATTTATTTATTAAATAAAATAATGGTGGGGCAGTACCTGCTACATAGTTTGGGTTCAGTAAACATCAGTTTCCTCTTTCCTTTTCAACACATTTCCAAACTTTCTCTCCCCACTTTCCCTGCCCTCTGCTCAGGGAGCACAAGCTTATATCAAGACGAGAAAAACACGAATGCAATTTAGCAAGCAAAGGCTATGTACATGACCATCCCAAAACAAATAACTAAATGTATTTATTGATCACTCACTTCATGCCAGGCATTTTTCTAACCAATGAGTTGAATTAATCCTCCCACCAGTCCCATAAGGAGGACCCATTATCATCCCCTCTTTACAGATGGGGAAACAGAACAAAAAGGCAAAGTCACATGGCATAATTCCTTGAACAAAGCCAGTTATTCTAGAACTCTATTTTTATTTTACTAACTACAGTTTCACACTTAGAGGGAGAGTTAAATTAGGAGAAAGTCACAGTTGTGGTTGTCTGGTAGGTACTGCAATTATCAGCTTACAACAGCGTACCTCAGTTCCTCAGATGGCAATGCCTCCATTAAGCAAGGTTGCTGGGTGGAGGGCCCTCAGAGCTGCCCTAACAGGAGCTGGGGAAATAGGTCTCTCAAGGGGCTTAAACCTTGCTCCTGCTATTTGCATTATTCTTTACTTGCCAAATCCTTCTTCCCTATATCGTGTCAAAGTATAAATTGTTATCCCCAAATGCCAAGTTTTAGGACTAAAGTCCCAATGTGTAGGATTTTCCTATTTATTCAAGGTTTGTCAAGATGCTGTCAAGCTCAGAGGTAGGGCTTCCCCATGAAGGTAAGAAACATATTCAGCTGCCAGTTCTCTTCCTCCCAAACTGAGCAGGAATATTTTTATTTCCTATTTTCCCACCCCCAATCAGACATGTAGCACCTCTTAGCCTTGTCGTATTGAATGATTTTAGCAGTTTCCAAAACAAAATTAAATACAGCTCCAGCTTGAGAAATGTTCCACCTCCTGGAGTCATGGCATTTAGTATTATTATTCACTTATTATTATTCAAAACAAATAAGGATGATAAAACATCAGTTGGAGCCACTCCAGGACAGAAGGAACTGGAATATCTAATAAAAACCATAGTATTCCACAAATAGAAAGTGTTAGAAAATGCAGAAAAACAATGACAAAGGACATTCTGCACCTTCTCCTCAAAACACAGAACACCTGAAACAATAGAGCAGCTCTAAATGACCAGTGAATCTGACACAGAGAGAACTGTTTAGGGTACTCCCAGTTCAGACCTCAGAAAGATCAAATCGATGGGAAGCATGCAGCACAGAGTAGGTCATGATTTTTACTTTCCTTCCCTCTCTTGTGAATTTCAACGGAACTTCCTTCAAAAAGTCTAAACTCCCTGCAGCTAAGGAGAAAAGGTTATCGCATTCAGGAATTTGCTCTCCACTAGAAAACATCCAATGACCCCCACGTTCAGGAAGTCTCAGAGCCTTTAAAGCACATTTCAGCCTGAGCAAATGTTTAACTCCAACTTGGGAAAAGTCACAGGATGTTGCAAACCACCAACATCCCAAGACGGGCCTTCCCAGACTTACCTTCCCAGAGGAGAATGTGGCAGATTAGTGGTTTGGCGACTCTTACTTGGTCCCCAGTGCAAGGTGGTCAGGAATGTTACACAGATTGAGAAGCCAACCTTTGCTGAGGTCCCCCCGACCACAAGCCCTCCACCTCATTCTTCTTCTCCCTGATTGTCTCCAGTCCTGTATTATCTCGCACTACTTCCTCCAGCTTCATCTGAAGAGAGCCTCATTCCTGAGATGCCTAACTTTGGGGGTGTTGATTGTTACAAAGTAGCAGGGTTTACTTGTATGGTTCACTCTACCTAGATCTATTTCCAGAAAGAAAATAGGCAGAGACAAGGCAAACCTGGAGCCCCAGGGGACCCCCTAATTGTCTGTCTGCCCACTCTCTGCACTGCACAACCATCAACTCCTACTGCCATTTCCAGTTAGAGAAGGATAGAAAGGGAAAGAGAAGCAGAGCAGGAGGCAAAATCGGAGGAACGGTTTGCATCAATTTTGAAATAGGATGAGGAACTGTGGGACCATATCTTTTTTTTTTTTAATTCTCAATAATGTACCTAATTCTTGCATGAAATGAGGAAAACTGTCTTCTACCATCGCATTACTCATGATAGCTGAAATTTTTTAACACCTCAACATCATTAAGTATGCAATTTTAAAAAAAATAGAAACAACCTAAATATCTAACAACTGGGAATTTGCTAAGTAAATCCAAATTATTGAATACAATGCAATAATTCAAAATGCAATTTACAAAGATTTTAGGGACTAGGGAAATGCTAATGACATAACATTTAGTTAAAAACAAGATTCATTTACATACAGTTTAATCTCAGTTATACAAATATGGAAAACATATACAGTACTAGATATTGTTTTGTCTGCCAGTATCTACTTTCTCTGTCCTTGTTTCCAGCTTTTCTGGAAACTTTACACACACACACACACACACACACACACACACACACACACACACACAGTTGTCACGAGAAGAGCCATTATACACAATATGGCTGGCCCCTGGCCACAGCTGATTGGTCCAGGGTGGACATCTGACCCAAGCCAGGACAATTCTCTCCTTCCCCAGTAATTCTGGAATTGGAACTGAGGGAGTCTTTCTCTTTCCAGCAGCAGAAACGATAGGACAGCATGCCTAGTAGTTGCAGCTGTGGGCCCATGTGTCTGGCCCTCTGGGCCAGAGACCCCCCAGCAGCCAATCCATAAAAGTAGAGCGGGGAGGAGGCAAATGCAGAAAGGAAGAAACAGTTAGAGAAGGAGTGTCCTGACAAAACATAGGTCCCCCTGTCTTGCTGTTTCTGAGCCCTGGCCACATTTCTGCCCTTGGGGTGCATGAGACAGACAACCCCAGATCCTTATAATCAAGCCACCATTTTACCTAGGTCTTTTGAATTGGATTTCTGTCACTTATAACCAAAAGAATCCTAACCAATATGTGCTCCCTCAAATGCCCAATTACTTATACAATCTCCTACATCCCTCAACATGTTCTTGGGGGTGGGGGATCCGATGGCAAGTGATTTCTTTTTGCTTTTCTGTGTTTTCCCCCAAATTTTCTATTATGAACACTTTTATTATCTGGCATTCAGCATTCACCTCGAAATCTACCACCTTAATTCACTTACAACAGATATACACACTTTGCACGAGGTTAAGAGAAAACCTTATCAGAAAATATGTATTTATTAAATATGTGTGTATATGTGTGTATGTGTGTATATATGTGTATATGCCTATGTGTGTATGTGTGTATGTATGTGTGTATATATGTATGTGTATATGTGTGTATGTGTGTATATATGTGTGTATGTGTATGTATGTGAATATGTATGTATGTATATGTGTATATGTGTATGTACATGTGTGTATGTGTATGTGTGTATGCGTGTATATATGTGTATATGTGTGTATATATGTGTATGTGTATATATAAGTATATGTGTTTATATATGCGTAGATGTGTGTATGTGTGTATGTGTGTGTATGTGTGTACGTGTGTATGTATGTGTATGTGTGTGTATGTGTATGTATGTGTGTGTATGTATGTGTGTATATGTGTGTGTGTAGTAATAGTTGTTGTCGTTGTAGTAGTAAATATATGAGACGTAGAAACCAAAAATCCTGGAAACTGTTCGCCTTTTAAATTTTCCCTCCCCATCACACACGTTCCTGGAGGTCCAGGGCCAAGGCCCCCCTCCCAGAGGCCTCTGGAGGTGTGTTGCAGGCCCTTCCCTTTCTGTCCCCAGCCTAGTCCTGACCTGGTCTTCAGGCCACATTTCTCATTCCAGCCATTCTGGGATCTCTAGTGATTCATTATCCGAAGGTCAGCCATTTGTACATCTCAACAGAAAGGGCAGGAAAACTTCTACCACCTTTCCACGTGGTGTGATCACGTCTCTTTTCTTCCCTTGCTTCTCAAAGTCATTGCCATTTTGGAATTTTGGTCTCTCCTGGCATGCCCTCCCTCTCCACTGAAGCTTTCAAAACCTCTATTCTTTGGAAGCCCAGAGCAAACCCTCTTTTCTCACCGAGAATCAGAAAACTTGGCTGGCGCACCCCCTAGTGGTGGCCTAATGAATCCCCCTCAATTACTACAGGGTACAACCCCTGGGGTTTCTCAAAGTGTGTTCCATTGGACCTTAGTTCTGCAGAAAAATAGCCTAAGAGAAAAGTATTGTATGTTAAGTGAGATTTGAAAACACTGGGATAAATAAAAGTTATCAGTTTGCTTTAGTGGAGGACGTCTTCAATTCTTTAAATATACTAATGAACACTGTGAATCTCACTGATCCAGATTTATTTGATTGAACTTTTGTGAAATAATAGGATAACTATCATTTATTGAGCATTTACTATCAACCATAGTATTAGCATTTATAAATAGAGAAATTGATACATGAGGTGGTCAAATAACTTGCTTCAGTTAGGTTCACATGACACCAAGGCCCATGCTCTTAACCATTACAAGATCCTGGCTTTATGTTTGCTCCAGGATGTTATTCTGCAAATTCTACTTATACATGCCACTCTTATTCCCTATATTACCAGTCAGGAATACTACAGATTACCTCTCTATGAAACAAGAAAAGCAGGAGCCTTCAAAGGATACAGAGGTCTCCCTCACTGCCCTTGGGAAGCTTCTGGTTTCGGTGGCGATAAAGGGAAATTCACTGTCTAAATGCCACAAACAGATCCTTCTTGAAATTATCAGCAAAGAGGATGTGATAGGGCATCGTGTTAAAGATCCAGATACATATTTTCCAATGATATTATGGGAAGGTGCAATAGGCTACTTTTTTATTTCTTCTAAGAGAAGCTTGCTTTTGAGCCCTAAATACTTGTTGGCCTGCTTTTATAAGCAATAGGATATTCTGTATGGATATCTGGTTTTATATCTGTTAAGAAATGGAGATGATAATATGCCCCCTCCCATTTTTTTAAATTGTCAAATACATAATATGTTGTAAACCTTAATTCTGGCAGCATAGGTTACTTATGGATGGGTTTTCTTTTTTTGTTGTTTTGTTCTGATTTTTTATTTTTTATTTCATGTAAAAGAAACCCAAAAGTAGTTTATTGACATACATAACTGAAAAATGTAGGCTTCAGGAACAGCTGGATCCAAGGGCTGAAATAAGAACATCATTAAACCCAAATGCATCGTGCCGTACTTGGATTTTTAGAGAAAGGAAATAGCACGTAGTGCTCTAAATATGTCCTGGTCCCTTGTCCTAATTAACATAGAGAAATGAACAGATAGTTGTATGGATGTCAGGATTTAAGGATGGGCCCCCAATTCCAACACTGGCCCTCCAGCTACCCTTCTTAAATATCTGTGTAAAGACTTGATTTTTCCATCTGTAAAAATGGGCATGCTACCCCTCCTTTTTGACCTCAGTGGAAGCTGAAAGAAGCTGTAAAGTTTTCAAATGCTTTTTCGTTAGAGGATTAGATATTGTGATAATTTTTTCGCTATTAATGTTCACAGAGATAGCACTTCACACTGGCAAAGGATTTTCTAAGTATTTATTTGTTTTACAAATTTATCATTTAAAACTCCACAATTAGCTTGTCAAACATACACCTTCAACATTACAACCACAGTTTAAAGCCAATCAAGCAACAAGAGGAGAGAGGGGAATACAGATATTTATTTATATATATTAAATATGTATGTATTTGTATATCTATCCTTCTATATTTAAATTCACATTGTGTGTGCATGTGTGTGTTTGCAAGACACATATAAATGGCAAATAAGGAAACTTAAAAAAAAAGAGCGATAGATGGATGGTCCCAGATTTTAATACCACCCCCAAGGTAGAACAGGTGGTGAAAATATAATAAAACATGTTGCACGGAACTTGTCATGAATTTTAAAAACAAAAATGCCTACAGACCAAATAAACTGCTCTGACACTGGGCTAAATCTGAAGTTCCCAAACTATTTTAAATGACAAAGCGAAGTTCCCAAGAGAGGGAGTTCAACAGAAATGGTTAGAGGGCAATTGCTGCTGAACTCACACAGAAAAAAGCTAGGGTAGACGGGCAGACACCCAGCCTGCTCCCCCTCGACAGGATGGGCCACACGCAGATGCCCAATCCCGTAAGGCCAGGCCTATCTATGTGCAGGACCAAAGGGCCTGTTGACAAAGGCCTCAGGGAGCCTCCTGCACCTGCATTCCTGCCTGATAGGTGGTTTCTCAATAGATCTGAAGGCAAACATTAGGGGCATTTGCCCAGAAGCTGAGCTTATGCTTGTCAACAACCATTTTCAGGTGCCCTGTTAGAAGGTGGGCTGGAGGCCGCGGCCCAAGTGGTGCAGGCAGACACCCCTCTCTCAGCAGCACCCACCTGCACAGGTCCCACCCATTCATTCATCACAACAAGCAGCCTATCCTTTATTTTCAGTCAACAGTTTATGAAGAGCTTCCACTTCCGCTGCCTGTCTCCATTACAACAGAATTCCTGGGAGCTGCACAGCAAAGATGGCAGGACTCCATTTTGCAGTAAGGAAGAGGTGAAGTGATTTGCCCAAACTCACAGAGGTGGAATGACAGACAGCTCAAGATTTCTGACTCCTGTCCAGTCCTGTGACTACTGGAGTATGTTCATGAAGACCCTCCAGGATGATGGCGAGCAGGGAGTGGGCATTCTGGTCCCCCTCCCCCAGACTCACAAGTTCAAATGCCTGGAGAGGTGAGGTCAGGAGTGGAGGAGGTCAGTGTGCTCGGCAGCTAACCGGAAAGCCTGTGCCCCATTTCAGTGCAGGCCACTGCCTTGGCCCAGCAGGTTTATGTTATGCAGAAGTGGCAGGGTTTCTTATTTTGTAAAGTGAAAGCCAGAGATCTGAATCATTATGTAAAATATCTTCATTTTTAAATATTTGCCAACCACTAGGATAGCCACTATTAAAAACAAAAACCAAACAACAACAACCAGAAAGTAACAAGAAGATGTGGAGAAATTAGAATCCTTGTGCACTGTTGGTGGGAACGTAAAGTGGCTCAGCCACTATGGAAAACAGCATGGCAATTTCTCAAAATATTCAACATACAGTTATCAGATGATTCAGCAATTCCACTTTTGGGTATACACCCAAAAGAATTAAAAACAGGGACTCGAGCAGATATTTGCACACCCATGTTCATCACAGCAGCCAAAAGATGGAAGCTGCCAAAAAGTCCCATTGACAAATGAACGGATCAACAAAATGTGGTGTCTACATAACAGTGGAATATTATTCAGCCTTAAAAAGGAAGGAAATTTTGACATGCAACAACAGGATGAGCCTTGAGGACATCATAGTAAGTGAAATAAGCCAGACACAAAAAGACAAATACTCTGGCTCCTACTCTACGGGAGGTACCTAGAGTGGTCAAATTCACAGGGCCAGCAGGTAGAAGGACAGTTGACAGGGGCTGGGGGTAAGGAGCAAGGGGGAGTTGTTGTTTAATGGGTATAGTTGCAGTTGTGCAAGAAGGAAAGTTCTGGAGATTGGCTGCACAACCTTGTGAATGTACTTAACTCTATTGAACGGTGCACTTAAAAACAGTTAAAGAGATCAATGTTATGTGTATTTTACTACAATTAAAAATAACCACACTGTATGAATCTAACAAACCCATCTGCAGACTGCTTCAGGTCATGGGGCACGAGTTTGACATCTCTGCCCCATTCTGGTACTCAATGCCACTGCCCTGTCCCCCACCCCAAAGGCCAAGATGAAATGCATTAGAAGAGGGCCCATCTAGAGTAGAGTCTCTCTACAAAGAGGGTCAGCAAACTTGAGTTTACATCCTGGCTCCAACTCGCGCTAGCAGCAAGACCTTGAGCAAGTCAGTCATTTCATCTCTTCGAACCTCAGTTTGCTCATCTATTGAATGGGACTAATAACACTTCCCTTGTTTCCTCGGCCCTCTCAGGGCTCTGGCTCAGTAAGAGCATGTTGGCCTCCAACCCCATTTAATACCCCCATACCTCTTCCATTGAAAGCTATTCTCTCTCTTCCCATGCTGCAGTGTGGTCATGTGTTGCCCCATGAAACTGGGGGCTCTCAGTTTAGGCTTGACTATTTCATACATCCCGAAGTGCACAAGCCTGTAAGTGCCCAACAAATCTTATTGAATCAAGCAGTTGGCCAGCCAGCTTACTGAGCACTAATTATGTGCCAGACATTCCACCAGGTGCTGAGGAGACCCATAAAAAATCATGTTCTTAAAGATGTATCCTGGTTGTGGAGACAAGATACATGCAAAAAAAATAAAATAAAATAAAATAAAATAAAATAAAATAAATAAAATAAAATAACAGAGAAGCAGGTAAGGTCCAAACTGTCTTAGTACAAGCAAGAGCCTGGGGTCCCACCACCCCTGAGAAGGAGGTAAGAGAAAGAAGAGCTCTTTCCCTGTCTTTTGCACAGCATCTTTTTGAGCTTTTCTTGGCCCTGGAGGTTAGAAATTCATCTTCCTACATTGCAATTGCTTCGAGATAAGACCATCCTATGTCCTCAACACAGGCACCATAGTGAGTGAGAGCAGAATTAGGGCAGCTCTCCTAGACAGATTTGGCACCATCTTACACGCTGGCCTAGAGGGTTTCTTGAGGAAAATTGCAGGCTGGACCACTGTGGCATCTTCCTGCCTATAAAGCCAGGAGGGCTGAAGCTCTCACTTCCCCCGAACCCAGGCCCTCAATTCTCACCCTGATTAAATGGACAGTTCCCTGGGTCGACCAGGTCGAAAATATGTGCTAATTCTCTAATCTGACTTGTCCTTGGAGGTTCCCTCCCCATCCTGCTGGCCACACCAGCTGCCTAGGGGAGCACAACTGAGAAGATATTTGGCAATTATCCAGTTAATTTGATCAGTGGAGACAGCCAAACAAATAATCCAGGCCAAAAATGTCCAGATCAGCTGTCTACATGGATCAAATTCCACTTCACTGACACCACGCAGGTTCAGCCCTAAAGAATGGGTTTCACTGAGAAACACATCCCAGTATCCCGGCATGCTAGGCTGCACCAGCCTTTAGTGGAATTGCGAGCTTGGCTGCATTTCTCTGTGACATCCTTTCCATTCCCATTCAGTGCCCTTCCCACCCCCAGGACTTTGGCCCCATAGGGCCAGGGGTCTTTGGTAGCTGTCAGGGGCTAGAATATTCTTGTGTCCATCTCCTACTCTAGGTATTTGAAACTCATTAGGAAGAGACTTTCAACATCTGAAATGCCTTTGAAAATTAAAGGAATAGCAATGTAATGGTAGAATGTCAGGATCCAAACAAGCCAAGGTGCAGGAAGGTATGAGAAAAGAAATCTCACTCATGCCCTATAACTTCAACCATCTTAGAAGTTGCCTACTCCATACCTCCCCCAGCCCACTCTTCTCAGGTCTTATCTGTAGCATACTGACTCCTCAGCATGACAGAAGAAAACTTTGGATCAATTAAGATCAAGTTCCACTATGTAAACAGAAAATCCCGAATCTCAGAAGCTTATAGACAAGGACTTAATCTCTAACATAAAGTAAGTTCAGAGACAGACAGTACGCAACTGTGGAAGATAACACACCTAATTCTGACTTTGCTATGGTGGGCCTCAGCCTTATTTCCTGCTAAGGTGTTGATTTGGAGATACTACATATTAATAACTCCTACTTCATCTTGCACATAAAAACCGACAAAGCTTCAAATTATAGGAATCTCAATCAACTTAGATTGCAGGCCGCAGGCTGAGAACACCTCCTAAGCAAAGCAGCATTTCTCTCCATATCTGTCCGCAGACTGGCCAGCTCTCTTTTGCAGGACTTTGCTAGAAGTGGCAAGAAGGAGACAGCAAGCCAACACTCTTGCTGTCATTCTGAATTTTTGCTGCCATTTCCCCTAAAGCTACAGCTTCAGTCAACTTACGGTTTGCTTTCCCAGTTACAATAGGCAACAATTCAATCAAATGCTCTAACAATGCACAGCAAGGGTCCCCACATTTCTAATTTGCAAAATCTGAGCTCTAAATATCTGCCTTCCCATCTCCTCCCCTAAGTCAATAGCACATTTTAAGTTATGTTTCTTATAGGAGCCCCCTCCCTAAGAATCAAATTCTCTATTACTTTAGGATGAAGTTCAGCTGTGTATAGCAGGCGCGGAACTCACAAGGACCTACCCTCTCGTGTAAAAGAAGCCCAGAGTTAGACAGGACTGGAGGCTCCACAGTCATCAGAGATCTGGGTTCCTTCCACCCTTCTGCGGAAACCCCTACAGCATAAAACCCCCATCATTAAAGCCCCTTCATGCTGTGAGATGATTACTGGAAATCACATGATTAAGCTAACTGCAAAGGAGGCTGAAATACGTGGTCTTTTATCTGAGGACACAGCTGCTGTGAATACCATCAGCATTCTGTTCCTAAGGTAAAAGGAGAGAATTATGTAGGAGGAGGCCACTAGCGGCCTATGCCACAATTTGTTACTTGTTTGCATCTCAGACTCCCCAACCAGGTCTCCGGCTATATCTCAGTTAAATTTGTAACCCCTCAGTTCCTAGCTCAATGCCTCTCACAGATTAAGAGACCAACAGATGTGCATTGAATAATCACTGAAATCCAGCCCTAATTTTAGGGATAAAAGAAACTGAAGAGGTTTCCCATTAGGATCCTAACTTACACTGAATCTCAAGGCTAATTTTCATCTAGTCACCATAATCCTTTCTACTATTTCTGAAGATGTTTCTTCTTCTTATCTACCCTCCTTAAGCCAGTTAGAGTTTCAATCAAGATCTTAGAGAGTCATTTAGAGCCCTACTAGTCAAAATGTGTGGTCTGAGAACCCCTGCTTTTCTGCTGTCTGCAAATCAGCTATGTCACGAAGCACCATGTTTAGTTCAGCTGACATTTTATTCACACCAAGACTTTCTCAATGAAGGAAACAATGCTTTTATTTGCATTCTGGGGTAAGCGCCTTATCTTTTTAAAGGCTAGTAATAATTGAGTAGCACTGATTTAGAGGCTGTATCTTCAACCACGGCAGAACTCATGGTAGGCTATGTGAAGACGTGGTTGATTTCACGTCACAATCACCATTCTCATTAAGTCACAGACCACCCAAAGATTGAAAAGAAATGTAATCTCAATTCAAAAGGACTTTGACCTTGAAAACAAAGCAGCCGGAGGATTTTTACTGGAAATCCAAGTTATCCTTACTCTGCACTAGTCAGGATGGGGTAGCCATGACTTTGCAGTATGCAAGAAAAGGACTTAAAAGTCTCAGTCAACATCAACCCAGTAAAATCCAGCATTGTGATGTATTCACCCAAAGAGCACATATGACCTTAGGCTGCATTAACAGAAGCATTGAATCTGGAACAAAGGAGGCTACAATCCTACTCTATATTAGTTAGAACATGCATGAAATATTGTCCCCAACAGTGGATATACCATTTAGGAGGGATGCCGAGGAACTGAAACTTGTGCAGAGGAGAGCAACCTGAATGGTGAAAAGTCAAAACCATGTCATATAGAAACAGTTCAAGGAACTGCTGATGTTTAGCCTGGTGAGGAGAAGACTTGAAGACTACGACCTCTATCTTCAAATATTCAAAGAGCTGTCATATGAAGAAGAGATTAATCTAATAGTTCTGGAAAATGCTGAGGCATAGAACTAGGACAAATGCAGGGAAGATACAGAAAGACAGATTTTGGCTGAGAAACAGCAAGAAATTTCTGATAACCAAAACCGTATGAAGATAGATCAGCCAAAAATATCATGAACTTGGCCACTGGAGGAATTAAAACTCAAGGTGGACAATTTCCCAGAAGGGTAGTAAAGGGTGGGCTCTAGACCCAGATGCCAGGTGGACTAACACCCGAAGGGGTCATTCCCATTCCGCAACTCTGTGATTGCTTTATAATCCAGCCCACTGTCTGCTTTTGTAAATAAAGTTTTATTGAAACACAGCTACACCCATTCATTCATGTGTTGTCTGTGGTTACTTTTGTGCTACAACGAGAGTTGAACAGGAATGATGGAGACTGTGTGGCCCACAAAGCCTAAAATATTTACTATCTGGCCCTTTACCAAAAACATTTGCCAATCCCTGCACTAAACAGCCATACTCTGATCCACCTTTGCTTTGATTTCCTCTGCTATGGGGCCGAGAAAGGGAATACTCAACTTATCAAGCAACATCTTAGTAGCCGCAGCTGTTATGGTTCTATGCCTTGGTGGTTTACAGTTTACAGTTCACAGAGTCGTTTCCCATTCATTGTCTCCGTGCGTCTCACAGCTCTTTGGAACAGGTGGTAGAGGGCATTACAGATGAGAAAATGTCATCCAGTTAAGCATTCAAGTCAGGAACTACGCCAGGTTATCTGGTCCCTAGTCCACCCCTCTGTGGGGGGATCACTGTGAGAAACCACCCCTCTTAATGCGAGATGGACAAGCAGGGAGAGACCCTCACAGATAGCCCAGTAGGAGCTCCCAGTGGCTCCTGGTGGCTCATCCAGCCTTCTCCAGGTATTGCTCCCACTTTAAGGGGCAAACTGCAAGTTAATTCCCTACCCTTTGAGACCAAGGCTCTAGATAGATGTCTGCAAACTTCAATCCATGGGCCAAATCTGGCCTGCCACCTGTTTACATAAAGTTTTATTGGAACACAATCTCACCCATTCATTACATATTGTCTATTGCTGTTTTTCTGCCATAAAAGTTAGAGTCCAGTAGTTAGGACAGAGTGCATATGGCTCACAAACCTAAAATGCTTACTATATGTCCCTTTACATAAAAAGTTTGCAGACCCCTGCTCTAGAACATCGGTGTGGAATATGGGTATTAGCTCATGTTCTCTATTATAATAGACAACAAAAAAAATGAGAAAAAGCCTGTTGGACTGGAAGCCCCATCCAGGAAGCAAAATTCCTTTCACAACTACTTCCTAATGCAAGAGAAAGAGCCACAAGTCTTTTGTAGGCCAAAAGTTTTTATCTTCTGTCTGTCGGGTTTTGATATACCACTCCCCTGGGAAACAGCTATTATGACTATTTAAAACACATAATAAACCAATTGTTCCATCACTGTGTCTATTTTTAATAAGCACAGACAATGCACTACAGCATAGTTATGGAAAAGAGCAGTGTAATTCTACGAATCAATATTAGGACCTAATTAGCCACTGAGCCCAGGCTGATAACAGCTTGTCATACCTTTCAGCCCAAAGAAAGCTCAGGTAGAAGGGGGAGAGACAGAGAGAAAGAAGAGGGAATAAATAGCTAATTATGATAAACTAGTTTCCTTGGTAACTCTGTTTATGACTGCAATGATGTTGCCACATTTTTAATGATAAATACAAAGGTTTGATGTGAGATTACACAATGCATACCGTCTTAATACTGGTTCTGCATTTGCAAAGGTAAAGTGTTGTGAAATTTTGTGAGGCTAGGAAAATTCGAGAAGATTTCTCTAACCCTAAATCCAAACATGTTATTGGTATATTCTCTGGGTACCAAAGAGCTCAAGAATATGGAAACAGATATTTATGGTGCTCAATGAATCCTATGTGCCCATTCAACCCTGAGATTTTTATTTTTATTGTTTATTTTTTTGAGATGGAGTCTCACTCCATTGCCCAGGCTGGAGTGCAGTGGTGCGATCTCGGCTTACTGCAACCTCCGCCTCCTGGGTTCAAGCCATTCTCCTACCTCAGCCTCCCGAGTATCTGGAAAAACAGGTGCCCGCCACTATGCCTGACTAATTTTTGTGATTTTTTTTAGTAGAGACACGGTTTTACCACGTTGACCAGGCTGGTCTCAAACTCCTGACCTCAGGTGATCCGCCCGCCTAGGCCTCCCAACATGCTGCAATTACAGGTGTGAGCCACTGCACCTAGCTGAAGCCTTAGGCTTTTAGTTACAGCATTTTCTACCCTCTCTTTTCTAGCTGGGCACCCCCTGGTCATCTCTTTGACCAGATCTGTGGTTTAAAGACAGACAAGCAGTGAGGAATGCAGAAGAGAGGTCCTCTCTACCAGGCTGTCAGCCATCAGAGTCAACCCTGGGATCACCACAGGTTGTGAACCCACCAACAACAACCACAACCACAGCCCAGTCTTCTCTGACCTCTTCTCTGCCCAGAGGGTAAAGTACCAACTCCTTAGCATGACAGAAGAAAACTTTGTATCAGTTAAGATCCAGTTCCACTATTTCATATCCATTCCCCACTCTCATCTTTTAGGGGTGCTGTACCGCAATTTGTGAAAATATTTTTGGCTGAAATATTTGAGTCCAGTGGCAGATATTATAGATTGAATCACTAAATTAGGGGTGGACAAACGATGGCCCATCGTCCAAATCCAGGCCACTGCCTGTTTTTGTAAATAAAGTTGTATTGAAACACAGCCACATCCATTTGTTTATGTATTTTCTGTAGTTACTTTTGTGCTACACCACAGAGTTGAGTAGGCATAACAGAGACTGTATGGCCCACAAAGCCTAAAACATTTACTATCTAGCCCTCTACTGAAAACACTTGCCAATCCCTGCACTAAATAGCCATATACTGACTCACCTATCCCTTGATTTCCTCTGCTATAGAGGACAGAAAGCAAAATACTCAACGTCAGCCTCCTTTGTGGCTAAAGAAAACAATGTGAAACTCTTCTGGCCAATGAAATATAGGTAGAAGTCCCTGCAGAGGTTTTCCCTCCCTCAATCTCCTCACGCCACCAGAAAAAAAAAAAAAAGAGAGAAGAAAGAAAGAAAGAAAGAAAGAAAGAAAGAAAGAAAGAAAGAAAGAAAGAAAGAAGAGAGAAAGAGAAAGAAGAGAGAAAGAAAGAACGAAAGAAAGAAAGAAAGAAAGAAGGAAAGAAAGAAAGAAAGAAAGAAAGAAAGAAAGAAAGAAAGAAAGAAAGAAAGAAAGAAAGAAAGAAAGAAAGAAAGCAAGCAAGCAAGCAAGCAAGCGAGCGAGCAAGGGCTAAAGAATAGAGAAATTTTGCCCTTTGTTTCTCTCACTTCTCCCTTCTCTGCCAGGCCCCTTCTGCCTGGAACACAGATACAACACCTGGAGATGCAGCAGCCCCTCTTGCAACCATGAAGACAAGGTCTTCCCTAATGATGGCAGAGTTGGAAGATGGGAGGAGCTGGTCCTTGTTGACATCCTAGAGCAGGTGCTCAGCACTAGACTATGTTCTAAATACCACCAGACTTCTTGTGATGTGAGAAAAATCAACCTCTTGCTCACCAAACTACTCTGGCAGGTTTTCAGCTACTCACAATAGGAGTGAATTCTAACTGATCAAGGGGATATAAAGAAAGTGAAGTCAGAACCTAATAAGTTGAATGATGATGCAGAGGCAGGAGGAAGAGTCAGAGAGAGATTAACTGACCCACCGAGGAAACAGACTTGTGTCCCTGGGTAGATGAGGCCAAGAAATGAATTGTTAGTCCTAGAGCAGGATGCTGCTGATAGATGTGGCCCAACACTCTGATGACCAGATGATGCTATGGAGCCATATATTAGCCAGGATTTCCCAGAGAAACAGAACCAACAGGATAAAGAGAAAGAGAGAGAGATTATAAGGAGTTGATCACACAGTTATGCAGGCTGACATGTCCAAAATTTGCAGGGTGGGCCAACAGGCTGAAGAACTAGGAAGAGCCCATGTTGCAGTTCAAGTCCAAGGGCAGTCTGTTGCAGAACTCCCTCTTGCTTGGGGAGGTCAGTATTTTTTCTTCTATTAAGGGCTTCAACTGATTAGACAAGGCCCACCCACTCCATGGAGGACAATCTGCTTTACTCAAAATCCCTCCTTTTTAATCTCACCCAACAACACCCTCACAGAAACATCCAGAATAATGTTTGACCACATATCTGGACACTGTGGCTCAGCCAAGTTGACACATAAAATTAACCATCATGAGCCAGTTGTGCCCCCAGGACTTAACGATATATATGTAATCTTCTTACTCGTCTCCTGACCACGTGTTTGCCCATGGCATGGCAGTTGAGGAAAGAGTGCTGACTTGAGCCAAAATTCCTGGGACCTATCATATCTGGCTGTGTGGCCTGGGGTAACTTAACTTCTCTGTGCCTCAGTTTCTTCATCTGTAAAAGGGAGCAATTCTATCTCATAGAATTAATGAGATATAAGAGTAAATCGGGTAAAGCACTTAGAATGTTGCCTAGCATATGGTAGAGTGCCTGGGCCCATTTTACAGCTGGAGATGTGAAGGTATTAGGCAGCTCTAGAGTTACATAGCCGAGAAAAAGTGTGCAAAATTTCTTTTAACTCTCCATGATGTTCTTCCAAGCATAGCATAAATCCCTCACCACTGTAGTCCACTGTATTTCCAGTTGGAAACTTTCAGCAAACATCTGGATGCCCAACTCCATCCTCTTCTCTGCTGTGCCCCTCTCCCTCGGTACAAATAGCTCCCCTTGAACAGGTTCCAGTTCTCAAACCTGACATCCCTGATCCAGGCCTGGTACCCTGGCAATACAGCAAGCCGCAGGTGAAGGATATATGCAAAAAGAGAAAAAAGGGTTTTAAAATAATTTACCATCTGTCAGTCATTTGGGTGCAAGTTGCAAACACACAGAGAGACACTTGTGCACACAGACAACTGTAGAGGGTATTCCATCACCCTTCACAGCCAAAGCCTGCCCTGTCACAGACACATCCACACCCACAACAGCTTTTTGTTTGTTTCAAAAGAGTAACAGAACAGCCGCAAAGACGCCATAGCCAGCTTGCAGTAGAGAAGAAAACGCCCTCTCCAAGTTGTCATCATAGAAAAGATCTCATTCCTGGAGTGCGTCTTTGTAAACTGGGGCATCTTTAGGTATGTGGCCGAGTGAGCAATAAGAATGACCGCAGGGCAGTTCCAAGATGGCCGAATAGGAACAGCTCCAGTCTACAGCTCCTAGCATGAGTGACACAGAAGACGGGTGATTTCTGCATTTCCAATTGAGGTACCGGGTTCATCTCACTGGGGCTTGTTGGACAGTGGGTGCAGCGCACTGAGCATGAGCCAAAGGAGGGCGAGGCATCGCCTCACCTGGGAACTGCAAGGGGTCAGGGAATTCCCTTTCATAGCCAAGCAAAGCTGGGACAGAGAGCACCTGGAAAATCGGGTCGCTCACACCCTAATACTGTGCTTTTCCAATGGTCTTAGCAAACAGCACACCAGGAGATTATATCCCGCTCCTGGTTCAGAGGGTCCCACGCCCACGGAGCCTTGCTCATTGCTAGCACAGCAGTCTGAAATCGAACTGCAAGGCGTCAGCAAGGCTGGGGGAGGGCGCCTGCCATTGCTGAGGCTTGAGTAGGTAAACAAAGTGGCAGGGAAGCTCCAACTGGGTGGAGCCCACCGCAGCTCAAGGAGGCCTGCCTACCTCTGTAGACTCCACCTCTGGGGGCAGGGCATAGCTGAACAAAAGGCAGCAGAAACCTCTGCAGACTTAAATGTCCCTGTCTGACAGCTCTGAAGAGAGTAGTGGTTCTCCCAGCATGGAGTTTGAGATCTGAGAACGGACAGACTGCCTCCTCAAGTGGGTCCCTGACCCCTGAGTAGCCTAACTGGGAGGCACCCCCCAGTAGGGGCAGACTGACACCTCACGCAGCCGAGTAGCCCTCTGAGAGGAAACCTCCAGAGAAATGATCAGACAGCAACATTTGCTGTTCAGCAATATTCGCTGTTCTGCAGCCTCCGCTGCTGATACCCAGGCAAACAGGGTCTGGAGTAGACCTCCAGCAAACTCCAACAGATCTGCAGCTGAGGGTCCTGACTGTTAGAATGAAAACTAACAAACAGAAAGGACATCGACACCAAAACCCCATCTGCACATCACCATCATCAAAGACCAAAGGTAGATAAAACCACAAAGATGGGGAAAAAACAGAACAGAAAAAACTGAAAATTCTAAAAATCAGAGCGCTTCTCCTCCTCCAAAGGAACGCAGCTCCTCACCATCAACAGAACAAAGCTGGACAGAGAATGACTTTGATGAGCTGAGAGAAGAAGGCTTCAGACGAACAAACTTCTCTGAGCTAAAGGAGGAAGTTCGAACCCATCGCAAAGAAGTTAAAAATCTTGAAAAAAGATTAGACTAATGGCTAACTAGAATAACCAATGCAGAGAAGTCTTTAAAGGACCTGATGGAGCTGAAAACCATGGCATGAGAACTACGTGACAAATGCACAAGCTTCAGTAGCCGATTCAATCAACTGGAAGAAAGGGTATCTGTGATGGAAGATCAAATGAATGAAATGAAGCAAGAAGAGAAGTTTAGAGAAAAAAGAATAAAAAGAAACGAACAAAGCCTCCAAAAAATGTGGGACTATGGGAAAAGACCAAATCTGCGTCCGATTGGTGTACCTGAAAGTGACGGGGAGAATGGAACCAAGTTGGAAAACACTCTGCGGGATATTATACAGGAGAACTTCCCCAACCTAGCAAGGCAGGCCAACATTCAAATTCACGAAATACAGAGAACGCCACAAAGATACTCCTCGAGAACAGCAACTCCAAGACACATAATTGTCAGATTCACCAAAGTTGAAATGAAGGAAAAAATGTTAAGGGCAGCCAGAGAGAAAGGTCGGGTTACCCACAAAGGGAAGCCCATCAGACTAACAGCTGATCTCTCAGCAGAAACTCTACAAGCCACAAGAGATTGGGGGCCAATATTCAACGTTCTTAAAGGAAAGAATTTTCAACCCAGAATTTCATATCCAGCCAAACTAAGTTTCATAAGTGAAGGAGAAATAAAATACTTTAAAGACAAGCAAATGCTGAGAGATTTTGTCACTACCAGGCTTGCCCTAAAGAGCTCCTGAAGGAAGCACTAAACATGGAAAGGAACAACCGGTACCAGCCACTGCAAAAACACTGCCAAATTGTAAAGACCATCGATGCTAGGAAGAAACTGCATCAACTAACGAGCAAAATAACCAGCTAACATCATAATGACAGGATCAAATTCACACATAACAATATTAACTTTAAATGTAAATGGGCTAAATGCTCCAATTAGAAGACACAGACTGGCAAATTGGATAAAGAGTCAAGACCCATCAGTGTGCTATATTCAAGAGACCCATCTCCCCTGCAGAGACACACATAGGCTCAAAATAAAGGGATGGAGGAAGATCTACCAAGCAAATGGAAAACAAAAAAAGGCAAGGGTTGCAATCCTAGTCTCTGATAAAACAGACTTTAAACCAACAAAGATCAAAAGAGACAAAGAAGGCCATTACATAACGGTAAAGGGATCAATTCAACAAGAAGAGCTAACTATCCTAAATATATATGCACCCAGTACAGGAGCACCCAGATTCATAAAGCAAGTCCTTAGAGACCTACGAGGAGACTTAGACTCCCACACATTAATAATGGGAGACTTTAACACCCCACTGTCAACATTAGACAGATCAACAAGACAGAAAGTTCACAACGATACCCAGGAATTGAATTCAGCTCTGCACCAAGCAGAACTAACAGACATCTACAGAACTCTCCACCCCTAATCAACAGAATATACATTCTTCTCAGCATCACACCACAGCTATTCCAAAATTGACCACATAGTTGGAAGTAAAGCACTCCTCAGCAAATGTAAAAGAATAGAAATTATAACAAACTGTCTCTCAGACCACAGTGCAATCAAACTAGAACTCAGGATTAAGAAACTCACTTGAAACCACTCAACTACATGGAAACTGAACAACCTGCTCCTGAATGACTACTGGGTACATAACGAAATGAAGGCAGAAATAAAGATGTTCTTTGAAACCAACGAGAACAAAGACACAACATACCAGAATCTCTGGGACACATTTAAAGCAGTGTGTAAAGAACTAGAGAAGCAAGAGCAAACATATTCAAAAGCTAGCAGAAGGCAAGAAATAACTAAGATCAGAGCAGAACTGAAGGAGATAGAGACACAAAAAACCCTTCAACACATCAGTGAATCCAGGAGCTGGTTTTTTGAAAAGGTCAGCAAAATTGATAGACTGCTAGCAAGACTAATAAAGAAGAAAAGAGAGAAGAATCAAATAGATGCAATAAAAAATGATAAAGGGGATATCACCACTGATCCCACAGAAACACAAACTACCATCAGAGAATACTATAAACACCTCTATGCAAATAAACTAGAAAATCTAGAAGAAATGGATAAATTCCTTGACACATACACCCTCCCAAGACTAAACCAGGAAGAAGTTGAATCTCTGAATAGACCAAAAACAGGCTCGGAAATTGAGGCCATAATTAATAGCTTACCAACCAAAAAAGTCCAGGACCAGATGGATTCACAGCCGAATTCTACCAGCAGTACAAGGAGGAGCTGGTACCATTCCTTCTGAAACTATTCCAATCAATAGAAAAAGAGGGAATCCTCCCTAACTCATTTCATGAGGCCAGCATCATCCTGATACCAAAGCCTGGCAGAGACACAACAAAAAAAGAGAAGTTTAGACCAATATCCCTGATGAACATCGATGCAAAAATCCTCAATAAAATACTGGCAAACCGAATCCAGCAGCACATCAAAAAGCTTATCCACCATGATCAAGTGGGCTTCATCCCTGGGATGCAAGGCTGGTTCAACATACGCAAATCAAGAACGACCACAAGGTAGCTTATTCGTATGCCTCATGCCAAGCGGTACCACCTCCACCACCCTGTGGAAGCCCAGGAGGAGGGTCCCGCCACACAAGAGCCAGCCAGGTTGTTCCTGGACTCAGCCAGAATCCACAACCTGGTTTACCTTTCTCCCTACCGTGCATTCAGCCGCAAATGGAGCCAACCTCAGTTTGGCCCATCTGAATGCTGAAAAAATAATTCCAAGTTCAAGCCCTACAGATGAAGTGAATGGCACTTTCTTTGGTCTCCACACCTCAGACCAGGGGTGGCCCTAGTGAGAGGACCACTGTGGTCATACAAAGAGCCAGTGGCCTGCACTCTAGCCCTGGCCCAGAGCCCTGCTGGTCAGACCTTCAGTGCATCACCTGACTGCCCCAGGTCTGATGTTTCACCCACCAAATAAAAAGTCTGTATGGACCCATCGCTAAGATGCTTTCCGATTCTAATCTTTCGTGATTCTGCAATCCACAGAAGCCAGCTCCAATTTGCCAGTCATTCCAACATCCTTACCCCCTCTCACCCTTCCTGGTGCATCTAGGTAGACCCAGAGCCAGCTAGACTGTGCACCAGGCTGAGGGATCTGAGAAAAGCTGGCAGGACAGGGCCCCAAGAGGTGTGCACCACTAGGGAAGAGCAAGGAAAGGTGTTTGTCTCCAACAAGGGCTCCAAGCAGACACACGGGCCCACCTTTGAGGAGTCGTTGCCTAACAATCACCAAGAAAGCTGATTTAATATGTGTATTCCTGGATCTCACTGGGTCTGAAGCCAAGGAATCTGATTTTTAAACAATAATCCCAGGTGATCCCGATGTAGGTGCTGCACAGATGGTAGGCTGAGAAAATTGGAGGGAGGTGATCACTACTCTCCCAGCCCCTGGTCCTGGCCCCTGCTTTCTGCCCCTCCCTGTGCTGGTGCCCACAGCAGCCCTGGTGACCACAGTCAGAGTCACGGGCACAGAAACAGAAAAACAGTCCAGGTGCAGTGCCCAGGTCCAAGAATCAAGAATGCTGGGTCACAGAAAAATGCAGAAAGCAGCTCCATTCCTAAAGACAAGTTTTGAGAACCTCTTCCCCAGGCAGGCTCCTAAGCATCTAAGAAGTTCCTGAAAGCAGGCCACCCCAGGCTGAGGGATCTGAGAAAAGCTGGCAGGATGTAAACTGCAGGGCTAGCAGCTTCCGGTGTAGTGATGAAGGCAGAGAAAGAAGCAGACATGTCTATGACGTTATCTGGGGGCAGGCTTTTATTTTGTTTGTTTTTCTTGAGATGGAGCTTTGCTCTTGTCACCAAGGCTGGAATGCAGTGGTGCCATCTCAGCTCATTGCAACCTCCACCTCTCAGGTTCAAGTGATTCTCCTGCCTCAGCCTCCCAAGTAGCTGGGATTACAGGCACCTGCTATCACGCCCCGCTAATTTTTTGTATTTTTAGTAGAGACAGTGTTTCACCATGTTGGCCAGGCTGGTCTCGAACTCCTGACCTCAGGTGATCTGCTGCCTCGGCCTCCCAAAGTGCTGGGATTACAGGCGTGAGCCACCACACCTGGCCTGGGGGCAGGTTTTACTTGGGTCACTGAAATGAACCAGTGACCTTTGAAAACGCTTTTCAATCCTGGGGATTTATGATGTTAAACAAATCAGTCCATGTTAACAAGATAGGAAAAAGAAAATATCCAGCACATCTACAGAAGCCTGTAATTACTCTTCCTAGAAAACCTTGTACCACCCCTGTTATACCACACATCGCCCTCATTGTTGACTAACTGCCACCTCTCTCACTTCTCCACTAGACTGTAAGCTCAAAGAATTCAGGGACCTCGTCTATCTTTGGAGTTCTATCCCCAGCTCCTGGCCCAGTGTCCAGCACATAACCAGACTGACCTGTATTGAATATTTTCCATGAGCAGGCACCGTTCTGAACACTTTATTCATATTAGCCCATTTAATCCTCATAACAACCTTATGACATAGGTACCTGTCTTACAGATTAGTAAACTGAGGCAGAAGATGGTTAAATAACTGTCCAAGATTACACAGCTAGTAAGTGGCAGAATCATGAATAGACCCAGACAGCCTGGCTCTCAGGGTCTCTGCTCTTAAATAATAAGTCGTGCTGGTTCATAGCAAGTGCTCCATAACAATATTTGTTACTTTGAAAACATCTCTGAGGTGTTGCCGCTGAGTTGAAACAAGAGTTACATAGAAGATCATCCAATTTATGAAAACAAAAAGGTAACTAAGTATAAAATAAGCTAATACTTTGTGTGTTCTGCAAGAGACAACTTAATTCAAGTTTAGGTAATTAAAGCTTTCATAATTTTTTTAAAAATACAGTGCATTCATTTATGCAAATCTACTCCAGAGCATGATTTTTGCAAGATGCTATGTGTCTCACTTATCACAAAAAATGACTTCTGAGTCTCCCTAAGAAGTGAGAATATCAGATTGCAAACACTCCCTTCAACTGCCCCGTGCCCGTGCTAGTGTATAGACCCCTGTCTAAGGCCGGTGGATCCAAGCAGTCCCTACAGCTCCCGATTCTGCAAGGGGGCACGGGGGTAGCAAGAATGGGCCCTTCCAGCTGGTCTGAAAATGACACGCCCTTGTACATCCCGCCAGCCTTCTTCCACCAGCCCCCTTCACCCACTCCCTTCTTTGGGCTTTCCAAAGATTTCCTTCTCTCTCTCTCTTTTTTTTTTCCTTTGTGAGACAGAGTCTCACTCTGTCTCCCAGGCATGAGTGCAGTGGCGCGATCTCAGTTCACTGCAACCTCTGTCCCTGGGTTCAAGTGATTCTCCTGCCTCAGCCTCCTGAGTAGCTGGAATTATAGGCATACGCCACCACACCTGACTAATTTTTGTATTTTTAGTAGAGGCAGGGTTTCACCATGTTGGCCAGGCTGGCCTCAAACTCCTGACCTTAGGTGATCCGCCCACCTCGGCCTCCCAAAGTGCTGGGATTACAGGTGTGAGCCACTGCACCCAGCCTGATTTTCCCTCTCTTGCCAAGGGCTGGCTACGGTTTGAATATTTTTCCCCTCCAAAATTCATGTTCAAATTTAATCCCCAATGTGGCAATATCGAGAAGTGGAGCCTTTAAGAGGTGATTGGGTCATGAGGGCAAAGCCCTAAAGGAATAGATTAATCCATTTGTGGATTAATGAGTTAATGAATCAATGGATTATCATAGGAGTGGGACTGGTAGCTTTATAAGGAAAGGGAGAGAGACCTGAGCTAGGACACTCAGCCCCCTTGCCATGTGTTGTCCTGCACTGCCTTAAGACTCTGCAGAGTCCTCACCAGCAAGAAGGCCCTCACCAGATGCAGCCCCTTGACCTTGGACTCTCAACCTTTATAAGAAATAAATTCCTTTTCTTTATATATTACCCAGTTTCAGGTACTCTGTTATAAGAAATGGAAAATGGCCCTTAGTGTTCACTTCAGCCTGAATTGACTCATCAGAATAAAAATATCTCTTGGGGAAAGAAGTGACAAAATGATTTTCCCAGGTCAGGGCAGGTGAGCAGTTGTGAAGTTTCAATGAGTTCATACACATGAGAGGGTTCTAATTCCTGAGCTCTACAAAAGTGCAGGGGATCATTACCATCATCACCTATGAGCACTCAGACAACTAGGGTGGAAAAGAGCAGCAAGGTTAGTGAGCACTCATGGTGCCAGGTGATGCTAAGAGCTTCGTCTACATGACCAGCTTGGATTCTTCCAACAAACCCTTAGGGTAGATCCTATTAGCTTCTGTTTTACATATGAGGAAACTGAGGCTCAAGGTAGTTTGACAATTGGCACCAGAGAGGAATGGTGCCAAGACAGGTAAGGGTCTCAGAACCCATATGCTAGACACATTCTTAGATTGCCAAAAGGGCAGACACACCAGGACTTAATGGACTTTCTTTTGGTCCATGGGAGGAAGGGTTCTGACTGTGAGGGACTCTGAGCAGCAGCTAACAAAGGATCCTCTGAGATGGCCCTCTGTGCCTTTGCTCAGGCTGTTCCCTCGGCTTTTCCACATCATTTTTCCATGTCTCTGAACACAGCATAGGGAAGCAATAGCACCTTCCTCTGAATTTCCATAACATTTCTTTCTGTCCCTTTCTCATGGTGACTCCATTTTCTACATACTACCAAAAAATTGCTTGCAATTGTGTCTTATCTTCCCAACAAGATGGAAAGCTAATACATACGCCTGACTCATAATAAGAGCTCAGCCCTGAGAAAGGCTGATTATGCAGTCAGCCTGAAAGAAACATTAAAGGCAACCTCCTGGGTAGAAAGAGCCAGAAAGGAATAGGCCAGTTCACTTTGCTATTTCACAGCCACAGAATGCAACTTTGTGCTGAGTAGACACCTTGGACCCAAGTCCTGGAGAAGGAAAACAAAGTGATAGTGAAGATATGGATGTAAGAGCCAGGCTGCCTGGGTTAGAATCTCTGTTTCAGCACCTACTGGCTGGGTTACCCCAGGTAAGTTACTCCTTTTTGCTTCAGTTGCCTCTTCTATAAAATTAGAATGATAATACCAGTAGTTACATCAGAAGATTGATCAAAGGAGCTAAGATATGTTTAGGGCTAGAAGAGTGCCTGACACATTTTAAGTGAAATATAGGTGTACTTATTTTTGTAAGTACAAATGGATGGGCATTCTTGGAGAAGCATACCGAGGCATTCATTTACTCAGTAGATATTCAATGGATACTGAACATCAACTCTGGGCCAAGCATTGCTCAAGACCCTGCTGGGGAAAACAAGACAAAGATCCTTGCCCTGCTGAACTGACATTATAGCTGGTGGAGATAGACAATACACATAATACATTAGTAAATTCTACAGTATGAGCAAGTACATTCCTTTCTTTAGAAGTCCCAACGATGTTGTCTTGTAAATGCCTGAGGAGAGCCCTCCCCTCTCACATTGTTCTGATTTCTCCCCATGCATTCACCTGGGGTCTTGAAGGGTGCTCAGCAAATATAAGTTGGTTGACTGATTTTTAAATAGACAGCATAAGTTCCTAACAGTACATATCTTCCACACCTTCTTGCATACCTTGTCAATGCCATAGGTGTTGATCTTAGGTAGAAGCATCCATAGGTCCAGCTCCTGCCTCAGCCTCCCAATGCTGAGATTACAGGTGTGAGCCACTGCATCCAGCCAAGAGTTAGTATTAATCATAGATCAATCATAGGGAGACCCTATAGTCAAACACAACTGGGTTAAACTCTGATTGACAGTCACCTGTGGATCTGTTTTCTTGCCCAATCTCAGACAGAAATTGTAGAAGCCTCCTTCCAACTGAGAAGCTTCAAAGAGCCTATCTTTATAGTATGTGTTTCCTTTACCTTCTATGATTACTTCATCTAATTTCTTGGGAAAAAAGACCTTCACTTCCCTTGCCTCTTACAATATTGTGGCCCCTGAGAAACTCTCTGTTCCCAGATCCCCAGTCTTGCCACCAGCACCCCCTCCCACGAGACACAAAATTTAGAGGATAAATTTTAAAGCAAACATATTTAATTTTTCATCATTTGCATGTTTCAATTAATAATTTGTACTTATTACTTGATACACAGCTTTTATAATATTTTATTTTTAAACAGGTTTTTCCAAATTTTAGAATTACAGTAGAGAATATTGAAGAACGCCTCAGTTCATTTTGCACCTTTTACACCACTTCCATGCACATTCTGTTTTGCTCATCAATGAACACATTGTTTACTACACTGAAAATTTTTCTTGCACCTGCAGTTAAAAAATAAATAACGGAATAAAGGAAGGAAGAAATGAAGACACTGATACTGAATACTGAAACAATTTCAATAAATTTGGAGCTAATTTTTGCCTTGCTTCTTTCCTCCATAGCCCTTTTCCCCAAAACTCTATCTCCCAGCTCGTAAGGGAAAGTCACCAATCTCCTCATTAAAAAAAGAAAAAAAGAAAAAAAAATCCTGAAGTGTCCTCCCACCACCTCCAGCCCAGAGTAGTATTTGATATTAATAAACAGAATACTCAGCATACCTGTATATACATTTGGTTCACTTAGCCCTAAGAAAATCAAGTAGATAGTTAAATCCCTTCTACATGGCTAAGAGGACTCACAAAAGTGATGCCACCTCCCAAAATAAAAGAGAAGAATCTTTCCCAAAGACCAATCTCCGCTTCCACCTTTAGAGTTCCAGAAGTCACCTCTGGCAATTTTAGAAGAGCCCTTTTGTCACAGTTTCCAGGTACCAGGACTTCAGAGACCCTGTGATCCCTTCACTCAGCCCCATGCCACACAGTCAGAATACACATTCATGACCACGTGTCATGACTATAGCATTCAGTTCTGGGCACTTGATGATACTACTTCATAATGACAAAACTCCACTCATATAGCCATTATCTAAAATCTTACAGAATCTGTCTATATTTTTAGCCAGTTGCCACTTTTCAAGGCAAAAAGATGCACAGATCTTCTCTCTGCCAAGCAAATCACACCTTCTTTGCATTGGCTCCAAAGCTACCCTCATGGAATTCCAAAAATTGCTGTGTATTTGCAATATTTCTGGGTTTGGTTAGCAAATCTCTACTTGACCAATTAAAGCCTTTTGCGCTTTTATAGACTTCATCTGTGTCTCCGTTCAGCAGTTAGCTTTTCATGCTGACAAATCTTCATCTTCTAAATTCATTTTGTGTGTCTACTAAAATCTAGCTACAACTTTAAAAGTGTTCAAAATCTAGCCCTGTAATTTGACATCTAAGAATTGATCCCAGGGAAATAATCAGAAATGCCCACGAGGATTTTGGTGGAAAACATTCCATTTCAGTGTTAATTATTAAAGTAAATATGTACATGTACTTAATTAAATATAATCTGAAAATAAACTAAATCTAAATAATATAAAAATCATCAAATATGTTTTTGTAGACCCAGCAATTGCTACATTAGTCATTAAAATGTTTTAGAAAACATTTGACGACAAGAAAACATATACCCAATCATATATAAAACATGTACCAAATAAGATACAAAATTTTATATACGTGTGTGAATAAACATATGTGAATATAAGTATATACACTATACATACATATATATGATACCAATTTTGTAATACATATGTTTGTGTTCTAAGAAAAAAACTAAAAGGCAATACAGTAAAATGTTAAATTATCTCTGGATGGTAAGATAACATATAACTTCATTTTATTGTTTGCCTTGAATATTTTCCAAATTTTCTATAATGAATACGTATTACTTTTATAATCTGAGAAAAAAAGTGTTTTTAATAATCATTCCAACTCTTTAATTAATTCAGCTGCCCTATCCTGGATCTCTTCCAGCTCTATTATGTCATCCTTAAGAAGCAATAGCCAATATGGCACAGGATTTTCCAGGTGTCCACTTTTGGGAAATCTGATTCTAACACTCTCAGAGGCAGTGCCCCAAACCCCCACCTGTCATGCACATGCTAATACACACACACTCCCACATCTGCCCCAGAAGTGTCTGTCCTATTTACCAGGACTCCTCGATAGCTCTTTTCCTGATAAAAGAGAATTCTGTATTTGCACAGAAGCATTCTGATTTTCAAAACATCAGAATATCACCCACTGCACATGCATGTGATGGACAAAAAGAACCAGGTCAGTTCCCACTGCAAGGCTGCAAGATTGATCTCTCATTTGCTTTCCATCCACATGTGACCTGAGAGACGCAGGGCTTTAATTAGTGAGAGAGAGAGAACCAGGAACTTTCTGAATCATAACATCACCCCACACTTCTGCAAGGGAACAGAATCCAGGATCAAGGTTTTAGCCAGGTAGAATGAAGTAACATGCCATCCTGTGACTTTTCCTGGGGAGTTTAAATCCATGCCTCCCAAGTTGCTTAGTTTCCAAACCCCTAGGGACTTAAAAAGAGTATTCAGACCACCCAGTGGTGGTCTCAGCCATGAGTTGGGTGAGACAGGATGTGGGGAAAGACAGGATATAGAGTCTGACACACAGCATAAATGTTGATATTTACCATAGGAAATTTTCTCTGTCTCTGGGAACAGAAATGTTAATAATTCCACTCTTTAGTGCATGCTTATGGCCCTGTCAAGTTTGATCATCACTTCCAGGTCCAGCAGTACAGCACATCCTAATCAACTTCACTCCAAAGGACAGAAGGCCTGTTTTTCCCAATTTATTTTTGAAATGCTGAAATACAATATTGACTGTTTCTCATGTGGTCTGTGCTTTTGTGTTTGAGAAGGTTTTCAGGTCTGACAAATCTGGGTTCAAACAAGAAGTAACTACGAATTATCCTCCTGCTCTTCAAGACCTGTTTGCCCATCTATGATCCTCCTAAGTGTCTGATGAACTTTAGCATTTGACTCCAGCCTGAGTTCTGCCTGTTGTAACTATAGTAAGCTGCAAAGTGTGCAGCAACTCGAGCAAACCCAGGGTGTGGAAAGTGCGGATGCTGCCTAAGCATCTTGAAGATGCACCCAAGTATCATATCATATAGCCTAAATCCATCCTGCTTCTCCTTACTGTGCTGAATTGCCCAAGTGGTCATGCATTACCGTCCCCCACGTCAGCCCTGGCAGTGACCAGTGGATAGGGTATAGGCAGAGGGTTAGGAAAACAAGAAGGGAAAAGGAAACTGCTTTGAAATGTCAATAATATTTTTGGGTTATGTTCAAAGTGTGTTTGTGTAGTTTTTATAAAGGTAAAATAATTGATTCTTCTCTTTACTTAGAAAGGAAAAAAACATGAGACCTGCATCTGTTGAATAAAAATATATAAATAAATAAGCAGATACTTCTTTTTTCCTAAGCTGACAGAAATTTATTTTTAAAAGAGTAATGATTAGCAACAGGATGGTTGCCAAAGAAAGCCAAAGTAATCTTCAATCCTGATTTGAGAAAGAGACACCTAGAAATGAAGACCAGTATGTGGTTATGTTATTTCCATGTTTACCTACAGCCTTTCAACAAATGCAATCACCCATTCACCCATTCATTCAATTCAAGGAGCACTTATTAAACACTTCCTCTGTCCAGACACTGTGCTAAGCACTTTAAAGATTATTTCATTGAAACCATTTATGAGCCTGCTCCATAGGGTTTATTGTTATACAGAGGAGGGAAGAAGCAAGGAGCTATAGCTTTCTTATTTTACCCATAAGGAGAATACGGAGCAGCTTGAAAACCTATAGCCCATTCTTGCCATGTCATTTAAGAATGTTTCAGCTGCAACTTGTAGGAATTCCAACCCAAATTAACCTTAAAGAGTATGGGAATTTATTATTTCTCTTAACAGAACATCCAAAGACAGGTGAGTTTGGGATGGGTTAATTCAGTCACTTAATAATGCTAAGTCCCACGTTTTTTGCATATTTTCTCCACCCTCCTTGGTGTTGGTGTCATCCTCAAGATGATAGAATGACAGCTGCAATGACCCAGATAGTTTTTCTTTTAAGAGCAAGAACAGTTTTGCAGAGCACCCTTGAAAGACTTCTCTATGTTTCATTGGCCCGAATTACATCACCTGCCCTCTCCAAAATGAGTCAATGGCAAGAGGAATGAAAACAACCATGGAGATAAGAAGAATTGGACAGTTTTCTTATGTTTATTATCACAGTCCTCTGTGTCATTTTCATCTGGTGCAAGTAGCCATAGGCTGTAGCTTGATCCCACTGCAATCATCTGGGATGCTTTAGAAAATATCGTCTCTGGGGCTTTTCCTCAAAGCCATTGAATGAAAACCTCTTGGGCCCGGAAATGTACATTTCAACAAGCTCCCCGGTTGGTTCTCATGTTCAGTGACTTTGAGCATATTAAAATCCACCCTTAGACTCGGTAAAGAGATGACTGAGGTCATTAGTGGGGTCTATCAGGCCCTTCATGAGCAGCTCCCATTTTCCTCTCTCATTCCAACCACACAGACCTCCTTGAATATGCCAATCACATTCTCACCTCAGGGTCTCTGCATTGATGTTCCTGGGGTATGCTTAATAACCCCCAAAGATGGCTATGTCCTATTGCCATACTGGTGATATGTTTACTCCATGGCAAAGCAGACTTTGCAGATGGGGGTACGTCATGTCTGCCTTCTTATCTTTCCCATTTCCCACCTCCTACAAGTTTTCTTTACTCTTTCATTTTTCTTCTGTTGATTTGAAAGCTAGACTTATACTATTACTCTAATTACCCATACATTTTATTTGTTTATGTTTTAGGGACAGGGTCTCACTCTGTTGCCCAGGATGGAGCACAGTGCTGTGATCATAGCTCACTGTAATCTTGAACTCCTGGGCTCAAGTGATTCTCTTGCCTCAGCCTCCCAAGTAGCCAGGACTACAGGTGCATGCCTCCACACCTGGCTAATTTTTTAAAATATTTGTAGTGACAGGGTTCACTATGTTGACCAGGCTGGTCTCAAACTCCTGGTTTCAAGTGATCCTCCTGCCTCAACCTCTCAAAGTGTTGGGATTTCAGGCATAAGCCACTGTGCCCAGCCAATCCATACATTGTAATATACATACATAACTATATGTTTTCCTAATTCTGAAGTTGCTTAATGTCTCTAATCTCCTCTAAAATAAAGCAAGAACTGTTTATCTCCTGAAAGCCAATAACAAATTTTCTTGTCAGATCTTTTGTAAAATAAAGAAAAAAAGTGTTTACAATCATTAATCTTATTACCAATCAATGTTAATTTCATTTTCACCACCTGTTTTGCATCCAACTCCTTGCTAGGATCACTTCCTTTGAAGTATATTTACTAATTTATTCTGGAAAGGTCTTGGAGGATTAATTCTCCTAGTTTTTGTACCTGTGAAAAGGTCTACGTGTCACCTCAAATCTCAAATATTAGGGGGTTTTGGCGATGGAAGCCAGGTTAATGCCTATCGTCACTCAGCCCTTTGAAGATATTATTCCTTTGTTTTCTGGTATTTATTGTTAATTATGAGAAATTTATCATCACTGTAAAATTATTCTTAACTTCCACTAGTGGTAAGAGAGGACTAGGCAAATCTGATTCAGCCCAAATTTCCTGAAAGAAAGGAAGCCTCTGCTCCACATGCGTCTCATCCTCTTCCTGAGACAAGCAGGCTAAACTTACGGGACAAGGCCATGCTGTTTTCATAAGAAAGAAGCATAAGAGTTCAGATATGTTTATAAAATCGCACTGCATACTTACATGTGCACATACAGTTTTTATGTAAACAGTATGATATTTGTCATTTATAATGTATTAAAGGTATCATACTATGTCAGTACACACAGATTATGCTTCATATGGTTAAAAAAAAACTAACAAACCAGCCTGAATATAAGAAAAGCAGAATTTTTGTACCCTCACCGTCTTCTATCCCATTACTCCGAGATAACCACTTTCAATTCTACTTTCTGTCTTTATGATCATTTTCATCATAATTCTTATACTTCTGTATCTTCATTTATGAACTTGACAGTATCATTTGAATCTCCTCTATGAAAAAATGTAAAAATTTAACTCCCTAATACTACTTCCTACCTCGTATCTATTTCTGGAGTTTTATTGGTGATATTTTTTTTTATTGTTCTACCAGTTACCTTTAGAATGTTGAATGTCCAATTTTAAGTCTTCTGTGCCTTATCTATGGGTTAATTATTTAAAATTTTAAAACAAATAAATACTAGTTCTGTTTCTAGCTATGGTATATTAGCTTATAATACATCAGTCCTCTTGCCAAGAATAACTAAAAAGCTGGACTTTAGAAAAAAATACATTTGTTAAATGCAAGGCAAAAATTGAGGAAATTGGAATAAAGTCTGAAATTTTATTAATAGTAGTGTAGTAGTGGACCAATGTTTATTTCTTAGTTTTGACAAATGTGTCCATGATATTGTTACCATTAGGGTGGGATGTATATGAGAGCTCTCTATATTATTTCGGCAACTTTATTGTAAAGCTAAAATTATTACACAATAAAAAGCTTATTTAAAAAATTGAAGGCACTAGACAGCTGCTAAGACAGGAGGATTTGAGGAGCCAAGATCTCAGAAAGAAAAGAAGTGCAGAAGAAAGACCAGGCCACTTTTAGCCTCAAAGTATCTGCCAATTCTTAAAGCTGCAGGCAAGAGGCCAAGGAGCAGAGTGTCAAAGGAGCAGAACAGAAAGTGTCAGCCCTAAGTCTGAGAACCTAAGCAGAGTTTTAAGCCACCTCAGATGGCTTGAAGAATAAAATTGGAGTTCAGGGCCCATCAAAAAGGAGGAGCCCTGGAAAACATCCCAGTCATTCAAGACATCTGAAAGACAATTCCCTAGAAGTTAAGGCAAACCAAAATAGACTTGCCTTTACCAATACCGAAGCCTAGCTTCTAACAAACTTCATTCTAGTCTGTATTCAGGTGAACTGTCTGCCACCTCTGGAGGAAGAAACCACAGAGCCTCAGATGATCTGTAAATTTTTTCATTCGTAACATCCAGGATTCAATAAAAAATTACTTGGTATAACAACAGGTAAGCCCAAATGACCAAAGCTACAAGAAAAAGCAAACGATAAAGACAGACTCAAAGGAAGTTTAAATGTTGGAGTTATCAGAAAGGAACTTTGAAATATCTATGATTATTATGTTCAAGAAAGTAAAAGACAAGATGGATAACTTCATTACATTGAGAAGGTAATTGGGACATTTTTACGATGCTGGTAGTGTTTTGTTTCTTGATCTGGGTGTAAATATTCATCAAACTGTATCCTTATGATTTATGAATGTAGATTATATTTCAATAAACTAATTTATTCTTGAGTAAATAAACTGTATTTACAATATTAAGTTGAGGCAAATATTATTCACTGCAGAACCAAATAGTATAATTGAACTCCTAAGGAAGATATATGACCCTCTGTCATTAAACGTGTACAACTTGAAGAAAAATATACTAAAAGGTCAAAAGAATTTGCATTTTCTTCATATATTCATTTATTCAACAAATACTGGAGTGGCTACTAGGTGCTAAGCAATTTTCCAGGTGCAGAAAATACAACAATGAATGCAATAGGTGAAACTCTCTGCCCTCATGGAGAATACATTCTAGTTGGGGTATAAAAAACAAGCATAGGTGGGTGCAGTGGCTCATGCCTGTAATCCCAGCATTTTGGGAGGCTGAGGCGGGTGGATCACTTGAGGTCCGGAGTTCAAAACCAGTCTGGCCAACATGGCAAAACCTCGTCTCTACTAAAAATACAAAAATTAGCCAGGCGTGGTGGTGCACACCTGTAGTCCCAGCTACTAGGGAAGCTGAAGCATAAGAATCGCTTGAACCTGGGAGGCAGAGGTTGCAGTAAGCCTGAGATCGTGCCACTGCACTCCAGCCTGGGCAACAGAATGAGACTCTGTCTCAAAAAAAAAAAGCACAATAAGTAGGTAACTTATAAGGAATGTTAAAAGATGCTAAGTACCATGAGAAAAAGTTGTACATAGAATTACTCAAAATTATGCCATATTTTAGCTGACTTCATATTTGCACCATGATTTTTAAGACAGCTTTTTATGCTTCTTAATATTTCCAAATTCTCTTCTTTTATCTTTTGAGAAGAAATACACATTTAAAAAATCATATCCATAGGATATTGCAGGTTTACAATCATACTACTTAGTGAGTAAAATTTACTTTTTTCTTAAAAACATTCCTCTTGGAGTTATGTGACTTCCTTTTTCTAACTTGTACTGATTTTTTTTAGGTCTGTTGCACAGCTGGCAGACTGGGATTTGTTCCTGATGCTCTCTAGCAATTGGGTTTTGTATCTTCCTCCTTCTTCAATTTTTTTCTTAAGTTTATGGGTTACATGCTGAAGGTTTTGTTTGTTTGTTTTGTCTTATTTTGTTTAGAAAAGCTATGTGGGAGATAAAATTTCTGGATCCTTCCATCTCTGAAAATTGCTTTTATTTAGACCTCACACTTGAATGATAGTTTGTCTAGGTATAGAAACCTTGGGTCAAAATTATTCTTCCTTAGAAGTAGAAAGGTATCATGCCATTTTCGTCTAGCAATTAGCGTTGTGAGGAGAATGGAGTGGCAATCTGATTATTTTTCTTTCATTAACAATATTTTCCTCCCAAAAAAAAACTTTTTTATTTTTTTTATTTTGTATTTATTTCAGTAGGTTTTTGGGGAACAGGTAGTATTTGGTTACATGAAGAAGTTCTTTAGTGGCGATTTCTGGGATTTTGGTGCACCCACTACCCAAGCAATGTACATTATACCCAATGTGTATTCTTTTATCCCTCACCCCCCTCCCACCCTTTCCCCGAGTGCCCAGAGTCCATGGTGTCATTCTTATGCTTTTGCATCCTCATAGCTTAGCTCTCACTTATGAGTGAGAACATACAACGTTTGGTTTTTCTTTCCTGAGTTACTTCACTTAGGATAATAGTCTCCAATTCCATCCAGGTCAATGTGAATGTCATTATTTTGTTCCTTTTTATGGTTGAGTAGTATTCCATGGTATGTATATATATATATATATATATATATATATATATATATATATATATATATACACACAACACTGAAAAAAAAGTTTAAGCTCCTCTCTTCAGCCTTCATTATTTCCTTTTCTTCATTTCTCTGTTGTTTCTTTCTGGAATTTTTATTGACTGGAGGTTACATTTCTTGGTTTCCTCATCCCTACCTCTTAACTTTTCATTGTGTCTTATATTTTTTTCTTTTTGCTCTATAAAATAGGGAGTTTTTTCAACTTTATCTTCCAGATATCCTATTGAAATGTTTTAGTATTCACATTTTTTTCAATTCTAAAAATCATTTCTTCTTGTTTGATTTCTCCTCTTTTTTTAAGCAGTAGTTATTTTACAATACAATATTGTCTTGTATTTCAACTACAAAAAAATTTTTTTTGAGACAGGGATCACAGGTATGCACCACCACACCTGACTAACTTTTGTTTCTGTAGAGACAGCGTTTCGCTATGTTGCCCAGGCTGGTCTCAAACTCCTGAGCTCAAGAAATCTGCCCACCTCAGCCTCCCAAAGTGTTGGGATTACAGATGTGAGCCACCATGCCCAGCCAAAAAAATGTTTAAGTCCTCTTCCGTTCTCTAAATCATCTCTGTGTTCTCTGGGATCATCTCTATCTTTTAGTTCTTCTCTTTTATGCCTTATGATTTTTCCCAAATATCCAGAGATTGTCTGGTGTCTCATTATTCACTTATGAATAATGGGATCGTGTAGACTTTTGTGTTAAAAGTCAAATATAAGTGAATGAGATGACTTTCTTCTGATAGCATGAAAAAAAATGGCTGCAAACAGTAACTGTATGGAAAGGCTGGCCAATGGCTATAGTTAGGGTACATCGATGGGAACATGAAAACAGGCTGGTCCCCAACCCATGACAAATTAAGAAAGGCTTCACTCTGAGGCACCAAGAGCCATATACTAAGAGCCCTTTCCTATTCCAGACAGACCATCTGCATGTCTTAAAATAACAAGTTTCTGTGTACCAAATACTGCTGTTGCCTACCATGCTGGGAAAAGTCAATTTTATTTTCTCAAAAGAGTTAAAAGCAATTCATATATAAATCTGGTCAATAAACAAGATGATGAAACTTCTCCAGTAAAAACTGATGTGTGAATTCCAAGGAATCAGCAAAATATGACAGGAGGGGACAGTGTCAGTCAGACTTTGGGTAATGGCAGCATTGTCAGATCAAGCAGGTGGCTTCCCTTTTGAACGTCTTTGAAAGGGCACCATTCGTCTGGTAGGTCAGCTGGAATCTGACTCACCCTTCACATCCACATCCCACCTAAGCAGGAAAGGCAACTTGGTGAGAAATTGACCAAGCTATAAACGATGGAAGGTAGTGGGAAATGAGGAGCATGGGAGACACTGCCTGGCCAAGAGAAGAATCAAACGGAGAAATGAACATGCACTGACACTTGGGCCAAGAGGCAAAGTTTGATAGACTAGAGTACTTACAATGTGCTAGCAATGAGCTAAGCACTCTACCCAAGCTATCTCACATAATACCACAGCCCCATGAAGTAGATACGATGATTGCCACCATCTTGCATTTGAAGATGGCAGAAAACTCAGGCTGTAGAGTCAATCATTGAAATTCAAATCCAAGCTCTTCTTCTTACTAGCTATGTGACCTGGGAGGGACAAGTTACTTAACATCCCTGTGCCTCAATTTTCTTATCCATGAGACAAAGACAATAATAGCATGTACCTTGCAGGATTGTCATGAAGATTAAATTAGTTCATATTAGTTAATACAAGTAAGGTCCTTAAACCAGTACCTGCAACTTAGTAACTGATCAATGCATGCTAGCATTTTTATTCTTATTAGAAGGACTAAGTAGTCTGCCAGTGCTAGAGCCAAGAGCTTAACCCCAGGTGTCTGGGACTCCTATTCCATGCCTTTACCCACCACTCTATGTGGCCTCTCTCATGTGAAAGAACAAATTCCTACATGGTAAGATACCATGAGTTCCCAGAAGTGCTCCTGGAGTCCAAACATTTCATTAACTACCTGTTGCCTGGGAATTTTATAAGTAGGGCAGTAGCTGAAGACTTTGCTTCCTATTACAATATAAACATACTCAGTCATCCACCTGCTCCCAATCCTTGGAGTCATCAGTCAGTCACACTTGAGTGTGAATGAGCTCCAGATCATTTTATAAAAGCTGTTCTTAATTGAGAAGGTGGTATAGGCAGCTTGGTGGGTGTCTGAGAGCCGTGAAGATAAAAGGGACATGCTGAGAGGAGCAGAAGGCATAGAGGTCTATGAGCAGGAGCTTCAAAGACAAACTATGGCCGGTTACACAGGATGGCATTTGATGGTTTTATATCTGCTGTCCATGAAAGCCCTGACACGCAGGGATTACAATTATGCCCATTTGATACAATGAGGAAACTGAGGCTCAGCAATGCTAAGTGACTTCTCTTTGGTGGTTCAACTACCTGATAAAGGGCAGGGTAGGACTGGAGTCAGCTTGACTCTGACCATGGCCCCACCTTGCCCCTCTCCAGCCACTACACGGCTTGGCCCTGCTTTATTCCTGCCCCCAATCACACAGGTGGAGTCAGGCAGGCCCCGCCTGCCCTCACATCTCACACTTCTGTCCATTCACAGGAAGTTTCCACAGCAGGCCCAGCATTGTCAACATAGAGGGAAGAAGAGGAAAGGTCATTGTTCCCAACCATTTGCAAGAATATCTGAGTTAAAAATGAAAGATTTGCCATTTGCATGGTGAAGGGAGGCGGGGGAGAGGAAGCATTGTTAGGTGTTGGTAATGTAAAAACATAAGTATGCTGTTATTTATGTAATTAGTTATTGCTTTCATTATGGGTGCAGTCTTAATGGTTATAGTATTTATGTATAATTACCTTAATATTCACTGAAATTTCCAAGTAGCTCCCTAATTAACTGTCTCAAATATATAATTACATTGCATCTTTACGCAAGACTTGCCTAATTAATGTAGTTACACCACTTCTTTTGTGAATGTGCATTATTAAATGCTCTTTGCATCATTCTTCTGACTTCTTGTAATTCACGCTTTACAAAAATTAAGACCCCGAATTAGAAACCTTCACAAGCAACCCAATCCGGCAGCAAAGCAGAGGCTCTGAGCTACTCTGGAAAAAACAAGGACTTGCTAAGCCTCATTATGAGTTTCTCATTATGCAACCTTCCTACATGGAGGTGAGAGAAGCCCAGCATCACAGGGCTCATGAAAACAGGCAGCCTCAGCCAGGCACGGTGGCTCACGCCTGTAATCCCAGCACTTTGGGAGGCCGAGGCAGACGGATCATGAAGTTATGAGTTCAAGACCAGCCTGACCAACCTGTCTCTACTAAAAATACAAAAAATTAGCCAGGCATGGTGGCGCATGCCTGTAATCCCAGCTACTCGGGAGGCTGAGGCAGGAGAATTGCTTGAACCCAGGAGGCAGAGGTTGCAGTGAGCCAAGATCGCGCCATTGCACTCCAGCCTAAGGCGACAGAGCAAGACTCCGTCTTGAGAGAAAAAAAAAAGGCAGCCTCAGAATGAGGCCCTCAGCTCTCAACTTTCTTCATCTAACTCAGGCTATTGCCCTCAGGGCTAACCTGCCCTCAACAGGAAAAGCCACCATGCGTCCTGGGACCTCCACATCACAATAGGCTGAATCCTACATCCTCTTCCACATACCACATCTAAGGCAGCCTCTGTGAGCCTTAATTTCCTGATCTGTAAAATAGGCACGATAACGATTGCTTGTCTTCTCAAATAATCCCGCAAGAATTAAATGAGGTAATGAACATGAAAGAGATCTGAAGTATATTACAAATGCAATCAGAGTTTAAGAGATTATTTCTAGAACTACTTTGCCATGCTACCAGAATGGTCTCACCGAATGATCGCTTATTCCATGCTGCAGAGAAAACCACCCAAAACCCAGTTGCTTAAAGCAACGCTACACTATTTAGCTCCTAACTGTGTGGATGGACAATTTGGACCAGGCTCAGCTGGGTTATCTTTCTGGTCTGAAACAGAGTCAATTGTTCTTAACGAGCATCACTCCCATGTCTGGGGCCACAGCTGTGAGGGCCAAGATTTGTCTACATGTGGTCTCTCATCTTCTTTTTCATTTTATTTATTTATTTATTTATTTTCTTATTTTTTGAGACAGAGTTTCGCTCTTGTTGCCCAGGCTGGAGTGCAATGGCATGGTCTCAGTTCACTGCAACCTCTGCCTCCCAGGTTCAAGTGATTATCCTGCCTCTCAGCCTCCTGAGTAGCTAGGATTACAGGCATGCGCCACCACATCTGGCTAATTTTTGTATTTTTAGTTCAGATGGAGTTTCACCATGCTGGACAGGCTGGTCTCGAACTCCTGACCTCAGGTGATCCACCTGCCTTGGCCTCCCAAAGTGCTGAGATTACAGGCATGAGCCACCGTGCCTGGCCCTGGTCTGTCATCTTCTACTAAGCTAGCCTTGCTCTGTTCAGCGTGGGAAGCATTTCCAGCCCAAGGTCAAAAGGTACAAGGAGCCAGACATGGGAGAACACATCTTTACTCTAAGCTACTTGCTGACACAAGAGGATCCCTTGAGCCCCGAAGATCAAAGCCAGCCTGGGCAACATAGTGACACCTTGTCTCTCAAAAAAAAAAAAAAAAATGCTGCAAGACTTCTAGACCAGAACTTGCACATCACTTCTACCACACATTCTATTAGTCAAAACATGTCACAAAGCCAGCCCAGATTCAAGGACTGAGAAAATAGATGCCAGATCTTGAGGAGAGAAGTCTGTGCCATTGTTCCCAATGTACCACATCACGTTTACCTCCAATCTATTCTTTTGGAGAAGAAAATAATTCTTCAATTAGTCGATATCCAAGGGTTTACTGAACACCTGCTATGGACATAGCTTTGTGGTAGGTCCCATAGAGGATCCAACAGAAGTTTAATACATAGCTCACTCCAAAACTACTAAGCCTCAGTTGAAGAGGCAAATCCAACAAATATGAATGAAAAAGAAAGAAAGAATGTACAAACTATGAAGTGCAGACTCTAAGTACAGTAAGAATGGCCAGGAAAAAGAGATCAGTGGAGCATGAAGCAGACAGGCCTGGAGAAGCCAAGAGCAGGAGGGAATCAGAATCCAGGCCCCGTGGTGTAGTGAGATAATCACATAAGGGGGAGTGAAGTTCATGCTGAAAAGGCCCTTGGAGGTGTTTGGACTTGATGTGAGGATCAATGTGAAAGCAAAGTGGGATTTGGACAGGGTAGGCCTAAGATTCATTCATAATTATTTATTTAACATTAAGGAAACATTTCCCAAGAACTTAGGAATTCAGCTCTTCCCCCAATAACTGAAGAGTTCACTCCTCTTGGTTCAGGTCACCTTCCCAATGGTCCCACATACACTCTCAACCATACATGCAGACATGCACATGCAGACACACACGCCACTCCTACACATGCACACAGCCTCACCCCTCACTAGCCCTGCTTCACTGTCTTCACAGAAATTGTCCCTACCCTATATTACTACAGTACGTACTTTTGTGTTTCTTTGCTTCTTGCATATCTCTCCTTCTTTCCCCTACAGCATGATACGCTGCACGAGGGCAATGACTTGGCCCATTTTGTGTGGAGCTGTATCATCCCTAACCCCTTGAATATATATACCTGGTACACAGCAGACAATAAATATCTGTTGAATGAATAAATGAGTAAGTGGATGTATACAATATACCAGGAACCAATCAACTGGGTCCAGTCATCACCAAGAATAGCATCAACATCAATAACCACAGTGACCATGAGATACTGGAAGAAATGCCATGGAATTTAATGATCACTCCCTGAGTGCAATAACATGGGGTCAAATCAGTCAACCTCACCCATCTGCTGCCCGTACCTCCTGTGTCCTCCAGAAGCAAACAGAGTGGAGTTCATAGAGCATATAATCAATGCTGTCTAGAGGCACAGAACTGGATACACACAATCTAGTACGATAACCATACACAGTGGTAGAGCATCTCCTTCATTTACAGAGGAGAGAACTATCCCCAAGACCATATATCTTGTTAATGATGAAACAGAGATTGAAATACAGGTCTTCTGGCTGTACTTCAGATCTAAGCGCACCACTGCAGATGCTGCTGAAATAATGCAGGCTGGCTGAGTGAGAACTCTGAGCCTTAGCCTGTATTAAGCCTGGAAGAATGAGGAGGGTGGGACTTAGGATGCAGGGAAGAGGGCAAAGTTTAACCCCTTGTCTTTTCCAGGCCTATGGTCTGATTAAAGAGACAAAAAGGAACACAAATTAAATTACTGGAAAACCTACTGCACTCTGTAGACATGCAATGCAGTTCATTCAACAACATCAATTGATATCCCTGGCCAGGTGCCTGGGATACAGAGATAAATAAATCATAATGCCTTCACTCAAAGAACTCCCAATGTAGAGAGAGATACTGTCACCCCTTTGCACAGTGCCAAAGATACCACTGTGGTCTATGTAAATAGACCAAAACATAACTCCTTAGTTTACAATGGGAATGGTACCCCCTAGAGTTGTGTAATGCAAGAAAAGTCTAAATAGGTGTATGAAAAACTCAACGAGCTGGGTGACAACAAAGAACAGAGGTCTGGATTTGGAGCCAGAAAACACAGATTTAGCTTCGGGCTCTGCCACTCAGTTGCCTTGTATTCTCGGACAAGTCATTCAACTCCGTGAGCTTCAGTTTCCTCACCTGTAAAATGGGAATAAGAGTAATATCTGCTCTAATTATTTAATAGGTTTTGAAAGGATTAAATTGGAAAAGGTATGTGATCACACTTTATGAATATATAAAGAGCCAAACAAATGTTAGGTATCGTTATTTCCCCCATACCAAATAATGACTCTATGACCCTTAGGGCCTCTGTTCTCCTTAAGTAAACATACCCCATCATCAAGGAAAAAGCCTTTCTCTTAACAACAAATATGTACTGAGCAGCCTCTCTGCACCCAGCAGTCTTCTAGGTGATATAGAGGGATTTAATAAGAAGTGCTTGGGACCTGTGCAATGTCGGAACCTTAGGCCATACTTATTGACTCATAAACTTGATTTCAGCCTCATTCCACTACTGTCTAGCTCTGGGATGTTGACCAAATCAGCTCACCACTTTGGGCCTTCAATACTTGCTGTACAATTAGAAGTTTGAACTTGATTGGCTGTTTTCAAGCTCAAGTTTGAAGGGGTTCTGAAGCTATTGTATTGAATTTCGTTATTAGAAGTGAACTTTAAGCTATTTATAAATCAGTGGAAACACACACTCAAATGTATTGTGTAGCAAATATTAGCATTTTAGACCCTTTAACTTGACTCCGTGTTGATTTTAAAAGAAGAAAATGCTATAACTTTGAATTCGTGAAATTACTTTTGATAACATATTGCTTTCATGTCTTACATATTGGAGTCTCCTAAAAAATTTCCTTTGAAAAATGAAATATACTGATAAAAAGAAGTTTGAAAATCACTAAACCGGATCACCTCCTTGGCCTTTTCACATTCTCTAATTCAGTGGATGAATACAGAATAGAATCCCCACCTTCAAAGAGAATGCAATATTCTTGAGAAGATAATAAGCAAAATATGGTGAGATACAGCACACGACAGTTGTGCTAGCTCTCTCCTTACATCAGCTCTGCCCCTTTGTCACAGAGTTATCTGTGAACATAGTTGCCTTGAATAAAACCTATATTTCCCCATCTCCCTTGTATCTTGGTGTGGCCACATGACCAAGTTCTGGCCAATGGGGTTGCAGATAGGAGTGGCAGGTGTGTGCATATATGTCTGTGGAGGCACACACATACATAGTTCTCAGTAAGTGTAGTTAAAGAGAAGAAATTAGTCTTCTTCTGCCCTTCTGTCCTTTCTGCTGGTTAGAATACAGACCTCATGGCTGGAGCTATAGCAGCCACTTTGGACCATGAGTTAGAAGTATGTGTTGAGGATGGCAAAGCAATAAAATAGAAGTTGACCCCTGATGATAGCGGACCAGCTACCTGGACGTTCACATTAGTGAGAAATCAGTATCCATCTGATTTAAACCACTGTTATTCAGGGACTTCTGCCACTCGCAGCCCCAGCTAATCCTAACTAATACAACAACCTATCATTATGTACTTAACTTCCCTAAGGAGCTATAAGCTTTCTGCCATCCTATCCTCTTGAGGCCATGAAATGTGATCTTTATTTGTGCTTTCTATACAAGCCATCATTAGTTCATATGAGTGAAAAATGACTGTCAGAGCTGGTTCTTCCCCTGTGTGCTTCTCTAAGCCTTAGCTCCCACATGTGCAAAATGGGAATAATAATTCCAGTCTAACAGGATTATTATGGGGAGAGGTGGGGCGCGGAAGTCATTTGATTTAATCCTTAACATCACAAAGGGCTTCACATTATCTCCAAGTGAGGCTTTATCTCTGTCACAGCAATACCCAACAGGACTGGCAGACATCCATCCAACACCTTCAGTGTGCATCCTGTTACCATATATAGAAAGAGAGAGATGTAGATGTACATATAGATGTGTAAATATATATATCTCTAGATAGATACAGGAAATGGATAGATAAATATAGATGTCTATAGCTATGATGGATAAAGGAGAGAAAGAGAGAGAGAGATATACATCTCCCATATATACCTTAGGGCCAGGAGCAAATTTATTGTACAGTTAATAAGCAGAAGTTTCAGAGTCCCTCCCTCATGCAGACCCTGTCGAAGGCCCTGGGAGGAGCCCTTGCAATGTGTTCACAGGAGCATATGTTTTCATAAAGTGTGCAAAAATAAGCTATGTTCGACTGAGTTGGTTAAGACTTCTCTCTTTCCACTCTGACTTTCATGCCTACTTCCACTTCGATGGTACAGGAATGACTGCGGGTGTTTTGGGGATTCAGCTAAGGAAAAGCTGAGTTGCTGATACATTTCATTTGGATTTTGCAGGATATATCTGTATGGTCCACAGTCCTGTGAGTACTTACTGCTGGAGGTCCTAGTGTTGTTGCTGCCAGGAGTTCTCCTAATATCATCGATTCATGCAGTATTTAAGAATAATATATGAGAAGAATGTAATAAAGGTGTTCCCAAATTTGACAAAATTTGGAAGCACCTGTATGTCCTGGGGGAAGCTAATCAACCTCTCTGTGCCTCAGTTTCCTCATCCATAACAGGAAGATGATAGACTGTACTTTATGACACTGTTGTGAAGACTAAATGAGTTCATTCATGTGAAGCATTATTAACATGGGCCTGACCTCAGTAAATGCTACTATTGTTATTATTATCATCATCCAGAAACTAGGAGAGGTTTCCAGCCACTGCCCCCTTGGAGCCCAGGTAGTACCAATCCCATTCTTGAAGTTCTCCACTGAGTGCCTCTTCTAGTTACTATTTAAAAGCCAGTCCTGCCCTGGCTCAGTGGCTCACGCCTATAATCCCAGCAATTTGGGAGGCCAAGGCGAGTGGATCACCTGAGGTCAGGAGTTTGAGATCAGCCTGGCCAACATTGTGAAAGCCCTTCTCTACTAAAAATACAAAAATTAGCCAGGCGTGGTGGTGGGTGCCTGTAATCCCAGCTACTCAGGAGGCTGAATCGCTCCTGAATAGCTTCAGGAGGCAGGAGAATTGCTTGAACCCGGGAGGCAGAGGTTGCAGTGAGCCGAGATTGTACCACTGCACTCCAGCCTGGGTGACACAGCGAGATTCCATCTCAAAAAATAAAATAAAATAAGATAAAATAAAAGCCAGCCCTTCTTGTTATCGAAATGTCCCTGACCTGCAACACGCGGCACCACAGGTACATAGGAAAGAGCTTAGGAACAGTCCCCTGGCTACACCATACCTGAAGCACGAAAACCTGACCCTGAGCACCTCGCAAGACAATTCCACACAGCTGGAGAAATCACTGGGGTTGATCGTTCTGTAGATCAACTTCTGTCTCTAGGAATGGACATGAATGTTTCCACTAAACATGAAACAATCACCACATGGGTAAGTCTTATTTGCTTAACACAGTGATATATCAGGGTTCTCCCTTAACTCATGACACGCATTCCATTCCACCACATCCAGCTTTTCATTTATAAAAACCATAGATCTCCAAGTAGCAAAAGAAACAGCAGGAATTGTGGTCATAAAAAGGACAAGGAACGTACAAGACCAGTTGGCTGGCTCCTTCCTGTTGTAGAGACTTGATGGTTTATACCTATTCACAAGAGAAATGCCGGAATAGCTATTTATCCTTAAATACATAACTATTAGCCCAAGAGTCACCTATGGATGGAATAGAAAGAAAAGAAACACATTTGAGAAATAGTTTGGAAGGTGGAAACAATAAGATTTTCTCACTGATTGGATGTGGAGTCGGGTGTTCACAAACAAGAAGAGACCTGGTGAGAAGTCCCATCTGATGTCCAGCCCATTGCTCTGCCAGTTGTGCCACTTGCCCCCTTGGAACCCTGAGTTTCTTTCCAACCAAGTAATGTTTCCTCCTCCTAACCATGCCATGGTTAGAAAAGCCACTGAGGGGCTTGTATCATTTTTGTCAACTGTTATGCATCAGTAGTTATGCCTGGATCTGTCCTGCAGTAGGTATGAAAAGTATATAAGGAAGAAGTTGTCCTGCCAGCACCATCTGAGGTCGGCCTTCTGGGCAGAAGTGTGATCTGTGGTCAGGGCAGAGAAGACACCCCCTCCACTCTAGAAGGAACCCACGACCCAGCTGTGCCTCTGCCACAGCCACCACAGAGGAGCTGACTAAATGGTGTTGAAGCAAACAGTTTACCTACCTGCAGGATCTGGCCCACACCGAATTAACTAATGAGACTCTTCCTATAGGCCTCTCTCAGGCCAAATTCCTGGGCACTGCTGGCCGTCCTGCTGCCAGAGATGGATTAGAGTCCCCATCAGAGTAGCATATGTCTTCTGTGGCATTTCTTTTATTTTGCATATACAGACAAGCATGCCCTCCACTGCCATTTGATTGGATCGCTGTATCAACAGCATTTTCAAAATGACAGCTAGTGCAGAAAAGGTATTTTAAAAGGACTGTGAATCCTCCTACCTAAAAACATATCTCCAGGGAGGGTACACCACTTAATACACTGAATTCAACCAAAGTTTGGTGGGTGCCAACGATGTACAGTGTGCCATGATGGGCCCTGGGCAGGTGGCATAAAATGACAGAATTGTTAATGTTTTAACTGAAATTTACTACATTTCAGTTGGTTGGCTCTGTCCTTGTAACACCCAAGTTATGCATCTGAAACATTGGGATGGTCCATTATCCAACCTGGGACACATGTATGGAAATTTTTTTCCAATATAGGATTTTTCCATTGTCTTTTTTTTTTTTTTTTTAAGATCTTGTGATGCCCCAGATAGTTACCAAAATAACCAATGGCCGCAACATCTGGGAGCCCAAACAGACACAGGAAAAATACAGCAGAAGGGGAAGATCCACAAAAACAGGAAACATGGAGAGGAGAGTAAAAAGATGTCAAAACAAAGGCAGCCTGGGCAGGCAGAGAGAGGAGGCCAGCAGAGAGGCCATGAGCTCAGCTGCGGGGACAAGTTCCTCAGGAGTCTTCAGAGAATTGCAGGGTGACGTAGGCCCTGGCCCACACAAAAGGACCCTGGCCTCTTCACCTCTGTTTTACACACAGTCATGGCCTCCTTCAAAACTAAATAATAGCAATGCCACCGACTTCCCTGTGCAGACAGCTCTCCCTGCCTGTCTGGGCCTACCAGCCCCCAAACATCTGCAGACGTGGAGTGACAGACAAGCAGTGCACAGGACGCAGGTGCAGAGGCCTGGCTCTACCTAGGCCTAGCCTCCTTACAGATGCTCTCCACATGCCCCCATTCATCTCCTTCATCCCTGTGTCTCTGCACCGGCACTGGCCAGGCCCATTCATACTAGTGGCTCAATTAACCGTTGACTCGTCAGAACTAAAATGGCTTTGACCCCACCATCCAATACTCTTACCATACTATTTTCATTTCTTAATCTTGGTTTTCAGTTCCAACTAGAGAAAAGTACTCACCCATAGGTGAGAGGGCCAGCACAAGGAGACCCCTCCTGCACAGAGTGGGCACCCAATGTTGTTGATTAACTCATAGACAAGCAGAACTTTAAGACTTGGATGGAGACCTAGAATTCAAGAAGTCCAACCTTCTTTTTAAATATGAATCCTCCATACATCATTAAATCAACAGATAGAAAAGTTTTAGCTTACTAGTCTCCTGTGCCAGCACATTAGCAGTCAGAAAGGGGCACTGGCTCACCTCCAACCATGTACAATGCAATGGCTAAATGTTTATTTCTCTCTTTATTTTTTTCTTTACTAACAAAAAGCCAACCATCACATCCTCTTCTCTCTTCCTTCTTCCATGCACCAGGATAAAATGCCACCTTCTCTTTCTGCCTTTCCAGCAGATTGCCTCAGTTGTGAATGGCTCAGCAGAGATGTGATCTCCTCTTGCTTTAGTGATCACCCTCTGAGAGTAGCCACCAGTGCCATGAAAAGTTCTCCTTCTAGGAGAAAATGAAAACATTTAAATCCAAGAGCCAGTCACTTAAACCATGGACTCCTCACCGTTCACCTTCTCAAGAAAAGAAGTGATCGCGGAGAGCAAAGTGGACAGCACCCTGTTCCCACGAGTTTGTGGAAATTTCCTTCTCAGTGCTCCAAGCTGGTCACCACTTTGTATGAGTAAAATGAGAAGGGGCGCAGGGTGGTTTTCTATTGTTCCAGTGATCATACTAACTCAGTTTTAACACCAACTTCCCTCCTCTTGAGCCCAAGAAGGGGTGGGGGCATTGCTCAACATCAGTCACCAAAATCAATGAGACTTTCACAACCCCGATTGCACACGGATCTAGAATAGGTGCTGTGCAGAGGGGAGCTTCTATTAGGGAGCTTCTGGTGTAAGCCACAGACATCCAGTCACCTGTCTCAGCACTGTAAGCTCATTGTTTACATGTCTCTCTTCCCTACTAGACTCCAACAGAACACTGATTGAATTATCTGATATCCTAGTACCCAGCAATAAATGTGTATTTGTGCTAAAGAAATACTAACCTGAGACATGAACAGAGAAGCCAGTTGGTGGCATTTACAGATAGAAGGTCGGTAACCCAACTTGGAGATGAGGGGAAATAAAGCATTTTGGAACTAAAATCCCAAGTCCGTATCACAGATGGATGGGAGGGGAGATGGGAATAGGTTTCTCCTGTATCCCATGGGAATCTTTTTCTTTGAGCTGTTTAAAGTTAAAAGTAATGGCTAAGGAGCCAGGGTGGACACAATACCCAGTGTGAATGGGCTTCCATCTCTCCGGTGCCCCTGCGGGAGGCCCTCCACCAGGCTGGTAGAGAGGTCTGTGGCGGGAGCTTTTCCGCACAAAGCGACCTCCCTCTTGAACCCTTCTCACTTCAGGTTTCTTTGAGAGGGTGCCAAGGTTTCACTTGCCGGCTCAGAGAGCAGCTCCTTCCTATGTGAAAGGAAGGGTAGGAGGAGATTTTGTCGCCTGTGTGACTGGGAGGGGTTGGGGGGGTCCAACGGTGAGACCCCAATAGAAGAAGGACCTCGGACAGCTGTCTGCCAAGGCACAGAAGAATGTCTTTCTTACTTTATGAGAAAGAAAACAAACAAACAAACAAAAAGATCTAAGGAAATGGGAAAGAAAGGTAACCATGGAGCTTTTTCCAAGGAGCCTAAGACAGCTATCTCCGCCAGCCGGGGAGTGGGAAAGTTCAGCTTTGTTCTGATGAAGGGATATGAGGCTTATTTGGACCAGAAAAAAAAAAAAATCAACTGAATAATCAGATGCCTCTGGACGGGCTACAGAAGGCTCTATCTGGTGGTGTCCATTCTGCCTGCTGGCTTCCTGCAGAGATGAGAGCCTCCCCCAAGACAACTGCCATTCTCCAAAAGTCGAGTTCTTGGCATGGAGCTGGGGCCCTCATGATAAGGGATTAGATGGTCTGGGGCCTGCTCTGGCCTTCTCCCTGCCAGCTCCACATGGAATTAAAATGCCCAGAGCCAAGCTGCTCACCCAGAACCTGCACCCTACTCCACTTCCCACTCCCAATAAATCTGTGACTCCATGGGTCCCCTGCAGTTGGAAATGGGATCAAGGCCGTTGGGAGACACCTCACTGAGTTTCCTGGAAGAAAGGAGTCGTTCCAAAGGTAAGACTGAGAAAAATAATAAGCCCCAAGATGAATTTAATTTCCATTTATTTTACTCATGGCAAGTTCCAGAAAAGGAAGAATTTGTTTTATTTTGTTATAAAACAAAATCAAAGTGGTACTCTAACCAGCAGAAAAAAACGTCTTCACTTCTCTGAAGAAAGGTACCACCAGCACCACGCCCTGGTTAGGGGGCTCAGGGCTAGGAGACGGAACTCGTAGCAGTTGGAATCTTGATCTGTATAACATGCACCTTAAAAGGGCATGATCAAAACAGAAACAAATGTTTTTCTGTGTGACCCTCTCTGTTTACTCAGCTCCTAGAAAAAAAGCAGTTAACCTACCATGTCCATGCACTTAGTAGGGACCACCCTGGCATTTCACTCCATATTCCAGCCATTGTAGGGTCCATTTACAGTGTCTTCTCTGTCTGTAATAAGGCAGTAAATGACACAGGACAGTGTGTCAGGTCACACAGGGCCCATCTAACCCCCACTGTCTAGAATGTCTTTCCTTTCTCCTCTCCCCTTTTATTCTCGTCCCCTTCTCTCTCCCCACTTTTCTCACACTGCTGAGACCTCTCAGTGGTTCCTACCCACACCTAAAGGACTATACAGAAATATATAGCTGACTTTGTGCACGTGTGTGTGTGATATATATATATATATATATATATATATATATATATAGTATAATGGCTGACTCCCAGTTCCTACTAAGTTGAACACAGACGATGAATTCAGGAAAATAAATGTCTTTCCTTTCTGTGAAGTCAGCCCCACGCTTACCCATCCAATGAGCACCAAACTTAGAAAGGTAAATTGGGCAAAATGTCTTTGTAACTTAAGGATAACAATGGCCTACATTTTAGCCTCCAGGAAGCGTTGTTATGGTATCACAGCACAGCAAAGTAACTTGGGTAACCTTTCAGAGTCCACCGTTAATGTGACAGGACCTTAGGCAGCATTAGGTTTCAGAAATAACTTGTTTAAACAATAAAAATGTATTGCATGCCTATTGAAAGCCAGATAGAGATGTAGAAACTGGGGATACGGAGTTGAAACATACAGGCAATCCTGCCCCGCTCTCAAGAAACCTACCTTCTAACATGGGCGACAGCTACCATACATGTAAATTTAAAAAATAAATAATACTAAAAAAATAAATTTCAGATAATGGTAAGAGTTATAAAGGGAATACAAATGTAGTCCCAAGAATCAGATGGGGTGAACAGGTGACCATCAGCTGACTTTTGGAGGGCAGAGCTGGCCCCTCTGAGGACATGGGATTGATGAGGAGATGACTGATGAGACGACCAAGACTTGGAACGATCTGGGAAAGGATTGTCTGGCAGAGGGAACAGCAAAGCAAAGGGAGGTGGGATAGAGAAATGTCAGAACAAACCTGGGTGAATCCACTTTGCCAATTACTTTTCAACAGTATTAGAAAAGTTACCTCTCTGAATACTTTTTCTTCCCAAATAGAAATCAATCATAATTTATTTCCCAATTTCTTCCCTGTCAGTGCCTCTTGTCTCATACTGAACCTTCTCCTCCCTCTTCCCAACCCCATCCCCAAAACACACACATACACATGCACACACACACGCACGCACACACAACTAGTAGCAATGCAGGAACTTCACAGAGAAAATGAAGTTCTGTCTTCAAGACCTTAAGACCACCCGCAAGTCAGGCACATGACCAAAAACCTGAGTGGAATGTGTGAGTCAGAGGCCCCATGGCTGGAGGCACATGCCAAAGTGCCAGAGAAAAGAGAAGGAAGCATTTGTGAGACTGCTCTGCATGGTTTTGTTTCTTCTTCCTTGGTTGTGTATGAACAACACTGGATAATATTGTGCTTTTTTTTAACGGATTAAGAGTTAGTTTGAGGCAAGGAAGGTATCCCTGTGGTTGGAAAATAGAGCTTCTTTCTTTCTTTCTTTCTTTCTTTCTTTTCTTTTCTTTCTTTCCCCATTTGAGCAGCTTCTCCCTCCTCCTCCCTCCAGTCTAGGGCTCACACCCCCGCACTGCAGGCTTGTGCAATCTTCCCATTTCCTGCATTTCATGTGAAGGAGCATTCAAGAGTTGGACAACAAGGGTTTAATTCAACTTGACCATCTTCTCAAAAAGAAAATTAAAAAAAAAAAAAAAGAAAAAGAAAAAAGAGGAAGAACAAAAGTTGGGAGAGGCCAGACTAAATGGATATGATCTGAATGCATATTTGTGTTACAACTAATACAACCAGCATCAGAGAGGGACCAAGATCAAATAAATGGTAAAACCTGACAAAGAGAAGAATAGATGGTATGTGGAGCCATCTGTTTTGGAGGACACCCAAATCTGTCTGAATCTGTGAGGCCAAACTACCAGCTATTCTAAGACACCCCATTCCAAGAGTGGCCTAATGCGTATCTACACAATCAGTTTCTCTCACCATCACTTTGGCTGCAACTTTTTTGTGCAATTAAGTAATTTATTCCTTTCTTCAGCCTCCTGATTCTAATGAATCCGAGCCACAAACAAGCCTCAGTTGCTCCTATTCAAGGAGTCTGATTGCATCTGGCAGTGATTGCTGAAAATCCTGAAGAGGAAACAGGGAAGGGAAGCATATTGTTTGGGGGGGTAATAGGTGAAGACCTGCCTCTCTTGACCTATAATACATTAGTGTCAGTGAACATTTGGCAGCCTTCAGATGATTAGCAATGAAGATGAATCAAGCAAAAAAGAGGTAGAAATCTGCCTCATCTGAATCACCAGAACTGCATACATTTGCATGCTGATTAGCTGTTCTTTTGTCTGTGTTCCTAATTATTATGACACATTATGTCTTCATCATGCAAGATTCTGATCTGTCTTGTTCAAAATGCATGTAGAAAAAAGTGCTGTTTATTGATTCAACATGTAACTTTTATTTTTATGTTTGCTTTAATTAAATACATATTTGATTGCCTTTGACTGCTGTCTTTTTTTTCTTTTTTCTTTTTTTTTCTCTTATTTATTTCATCTTGTTGACAAACACACAGGTAACCTTCCTCTATCACACTCAGATCATTTGGTGCTCACAGTCTCTCTTCCCCCTCTGCCTCCCGCTCTCTCTTTCTCAGGTGCTCACTTTCATTTTCTTGAATGGGCAAAACAGAAGAGGAAAAGAAAACAAAACAGCATCCCTAGTAACACTGAAGAAGAGGGAGCTGAGGGGTGGGAGAAACCCTGAAGAGGGAGGGGAAATGGCTCCAGCCTTAACAAGAGCAAACAAATGTTTCTGACTCTGGAGAAGGGCTTTCCAGGGGAACATGGGCAGCAGAAGGGGGTTGAAGATAACATGATCCTGTGAACGAAAGAAACCCTCTGTCATTCTCAGTTGTCCTCACAGGTTACTTATGACCAAGGTTTGTGAGCAGGACACAAACATGCCTGTCTCCCAGGTCAGGCCTCTAATTTTCCCATAAGGCCCAGGAGCGCTGCCGGAACTTCCAATAGGGAGGGGACCTGCTTTCCCAGCGGACTCTGCTTAGATCCACTTCCTTCCTCTTTCCCAGAAGCGGAAGTGGTGGGGAAACTTACCATCTATCCGTGCCAGACCCCTCAGGCCCCCCAGGGCAGTTGGGAAACCAACATCTCCGGGGGCAAGGGCACTAGAAAGAGAACTCTAGAAGGAGGGACCTCCCCAAAAGATGCAAAGTGCATGGAGCGCGTACCCTACTGCCTGCTGGGGCTATTCCCTGCAAACCACTGCGGATTCTTTTAGTAGGAGGGTGGAAGGCAGTATGGGCAGAAAGGGAAAGGTATTTGTTTCTGCAGGTTACAGCCAACTCAAACCCTGCGGTCCTTATCACCCTCCACCCAGGGATATGCTAAACAGCTGTAGTTAGCACCAAGCTATTTGGCCAATCCAATCAAGACACTTAGAAAGCGAAAGAGGAAGGGCCGGATGCCGGAGTAATTGAGTGCGCTGAGGGTCCGTAGATGCTCAGAAAGAAAGCGGGGCCCAACCAAATGCAAATGGCTCCTCGCTGAAGAGGGATAATGCCCACCGCTCTTCCCTGCTAATGGGCAATGATTGGCTGGAAATGTAATCAACAGCTCTGCCCCCAACATCTATCCCTACAGTGAGGGATGATGGAAATCCATATTCATGAGAAAGCAGGCCAGCAATGTTTACTGGGTGCAGAAAGGGGGCAGGGCTGGCCTGGGTGAGATTGAGGTCCTTGGAGAGCGATAATGAGGCTGGGAGCAGGGAAAACGGTACTGTTAGAGCCCCCACCCCACGGCAGCCCTCCCCTCATATATCTGCCCCCCATGTGTACACACATGTCCTCTGAACCTGAGTCTCAAGAGAACTCTCAGTGTGGCAAATCCATAATTCACCTAAGCAGAATGTCTAGCTGGGTGCCGCCATCTCACAGCTTCCTGTGTGAAAGCACTCACTATCCTCCAACCCCCTCCCCGCCAAGCACCACAAGATTAGTAGGAATAGATATGAAGCAAATGGTAACAAAAGGTACAGGTATAACACAGACATCTTGAAATCCATCTTGGAATTCCTCCATCAAACGTTGGGTTATCTAAGCTTAAAAAAAAAAAAAAAAAAAAAAAAAGCATATCGAGCATTACACTGGGTTGAATAGTGTCTGTATTAGCATGCTAGGCCTGCCGTAACAAAATACCACAGACCAGTATTTTCCAATAGACCTAAGCAACAGACATTTATTTTCTCATAGTTCTAGAAGCTTGGAGTCCAAGATCAAGGACTTTCCATCTTGAGATCATGTCTTTTTTATATCTTGGATGTTTAAATATCCTACCTAAAATGAAATAAAGGCAATAAGATATGGTAAGAATTATTCTAATGCCCATTCTTAGCAAAATGAAAAGCTGGCAATCTTCTGACTGGCCCCAATTAAAAAATAAAAATCCATGACCTGTTACTTCCTCCAGAAATCCTCTCCACATTCCTCACTCCGTTGGTACTGATGCATAAATCTTAACATTTGATTTTTCACTCACTTATATTTAGCTCTATAATTGTTCTCTTATTCCAAATACATTGCAAGCTCCTGGAGATAAAGACCATGACTCTTATATCTTTTATTTCTGCTTTTATAGCACAGAGCAGTGCACTCAGCAAATGCCCAGTAAATGCTAAATGAATGAATAAAATAATAAACAGATAAAGTTAGTAAAAACTATCCCACAGAGGATTTTTAGGGCAATGGAAATATTCTGTATGATACTATAATGGTGGGTACATGTCAATAAACATTTGTCCAAACTCATAGAATGTACAACACCAAGAGTGAACCCTAATGATGATGATGATTATGATGTGTCGATGTAGGTTCATTGATTGTTAAAAATGTATCACTCTGGTGGGGGATATTGATAATAGAGGAGACTATGCATGAGTAGGGTCACGGAGTAAATGAAAAATCTCTGTACCTGCCTCTCACGTTTGCTGTGTGAACCTAAAACTGCTCTAAAAAAAAATAAAATCTTGAAAAAAGAAAAACTTCCAACAAGTTTTCAATGGCCCCAGGAAAAAGTAGGAATTTATAACGGGGCAATAGGGACTTGATAAGTTTCTATGGTCCCTTCCCACTCCAACTGTCTATGGTTCCTCAGTTTGTGCATGAACCCTGGGGATGAGGAACAGATGCTAAATCAGTTGAAATGATCACGGAAAGGGGGATGCCTTTACCACAGGCCCAGACAGTATGGAAGATTCCATGCTGAAATTGGTCCAAGATGTGTGGCAGCTGGATACATCACCAGGATCCACTGTTTCTCACCATCTTTGCCCCTGCCACCTTCATCCTGCACCTGCCTTCGTGCTTCTGCCTCTGTGCTAGTCTTAATGATGGCCTTACAAAGATGTTCCCAACCGAATCCCCAAAACTTGTGAATATGTTACCCTATGTGGCAACAGGGACTTTGTAGATGTGACCAGAGATCTTAAAACAGGGGAATTATCCTAGATTATGGGGTGGGTCTAGTATAATCAGAAGGGTCTCTATATGGGAAAGAGGAGGGTCAGAGTCAGAGAAGGCAATGGAATGACAGAAGCAGAACTCAGAGAAAGAGAAAGCTTTGAAGATGCTATGCTGCTGGCTTTGAAAACAGAGGAAGGAGGCCCAGCGCAGTGGCTCACACCTGTAATCCCAGCACTTTGGGAGGCCGAGGCGGGTGGATCACCTGAGGTTAGGGGTTCGAGACCAGCTTGACCAACATGGTGAAACCCTGTCTCTACTAAAAAAAAAAAAAAAAAAAAAAAAAAAAAAAAGCTGGGCATGGTGGCGGGCACCTGTAATCCCAGCTACTTGGGAGGCTGAAGCAGGAGAATCACTTGAGCCCAGGAGGCAGAGGTTGCAGTGAGCTGAGTGCCACTGCACTCCAGCCTGGGCAACAAGAATGTAACTCTCTCAAAAAATAAAAATAAATAAAAAATAAAGAAGAAGGAGAAAGAAAATGGAGGAAGGAGCCACGAGCTGAGGAATTCTGGCAGTCTTTGGAAAGTGGAAAAGTCTAGAAAATGGACTCTCCTCTAGAGCCTTCAGAAAGAACACCATCTTGCTAACACCTTGATTTTACGACTTTGACCTCAAGAACTATAAAATAATAAGTGGGTGCTGTTTTTAAGCCACTACATTTGTGGTAATTTGTTAACAGCAGCAATTAGAAGCTAATACACCCTTCTTACTGGTCTACCGGCTCTGCCCTTGTCTTCTGTGGTCTATTTCTAAAACAAAAGCCAGAATGATCCTTTTAAAACCTAAGTCACATTATGCACCTGCTCTGCCCAAAATCCTCCTATGGCACCCTATCTCAGTGTGAACTACAAAGTTCTTAAAATCTCCCACTTGGGCCTACCTGACCTAGCCCTCATAATTTTTTTTCTTTTTTGAGACAGAGCCTCACTCTGTCACCCAGGCTAGAGTGCAGATCACTGCAACCTCCGCCTCCCAGGTTCAAGCAATTCTCCTGCCTCGGCCTCCTAAGTAGCTGTAATTACAGGCGTGTGCCACCACACCTGGCTAATTTTTGTATTTTTAGTAGAGATGGGGTTTCATCACATGGGCCAGGCTGGTCTCAAACTCCTGACCTCAAGTGATCCTCCCACCTCGGCCTCCCAAAGTGCTGGAATTACAGGCATGAGATACCATGCTGGGCCAGCCCTCACAACTTCTGAGGCTCCCTCTTACCCTACCCCCTCTCACTCATTCCACTCTGGCCTTGTTGGCCTCCTTGAGGCCCTCAGCATCCTTCTGTCTCAGGGCCTTTACACTTCCTGTGCCTCTGCCTAGAAAGCTCTTTCTCCAGACATCCCACAGCTAGCTTCCTTAGCTCCTTCATGTCTTTGCTCAAATGGCATCTTCTCAGTAAGGCTTTCCTTAAGTGTCCCATTTCAAAAGGAAACCCCTCTCACTTCCTGTCTTTCCTCCCTACCTAATGTCTCTATGGCACTCAAACTCTCTGACATACTACATATTTTACTCCCTGCTTATTTATTTCTTGTCTCCAATAGAACATATACTTCATTAGGACCAGGATTTTTGTCTATTTTATCAGCAGCATCAAATCAGTGCCTGGTCCATAGTAGGTGCTCAATAAATACCTGCTATAATTAATAAAGGATCACTCTCTGCCAGCCTTTCCCTACAGGAGCAATACTAATATTGCTCCTAGGTCACATGAAATGAGAGAACAAAATACTAATAAGAACTACAATCATGCCAACCATGGTTACATCACTGGGTACTGATTAAGTGCCAGGCATTGTGGTAAGTGCTTTACATGTATTAACACAGTTAGTCAGATCACAGTGGTTCTTCTCATGGGATCCTCAAGGGAACACCTCAAGGAGCAACAAAATTCAAAATATACGGTGGGAATTGCTGATTTCTGATTAAGGTCTCAGATGATTCAGAGCAAAAGGAAGAAACTATCTACCCAGAAAAACTTATACCATCACAAGGACTTTGATAAAATGGAGTTTGAGCCCATCACCCTCTGAAAGGCTCTGAAAACTGTCTGGTCCATCATCGACGTGTAGTCAAAATTTGCTTATTAGAGTTTTTGTTTTTTTCTTTGACAAGAAATTCTAATATCACCTGCCAATATGGAGAGAGAGGACACAAGTTGAGAAGTGTAGAAAACCTCACAAAAATATGGGACTTCTGCTCAACACCTCACCCTTGTCCAAAGCCCCCAGGTCCTACCCACACCGTCAGGGGCCTGAATGGCACAGACTGGGCAGCAAAGACTGTAATGAGAAACAGAGCAGGGGAAAGGGGGCCGAAATGAGGAACAGGACAGGCTGCCCATAAAGGGGCCTGTACAATCTCATGCTCCCCAAAGACTCACAGATGGAGAAACGTGCCTAATGCTGCATAAGTGATTGAGGCTGAGGTCAGATGGGGTTGGTTCCCCAGAAGTCTCCCATTTCTAACTCTACCCCCATGAGTCTTATCTGGAAAATGCATTCTAAAGCAACTCCACTCACTGGTCTGATGATCCCGGAGGGAGAAGAAAAGGAATCCCCTTCGAGGCCACATTAAGGGTGGGGATTTTCCTTTGTTTGCAATTGTAATCTCAGTAGTCACTCTAGTCAATAAACAAACAAGTGAAAAGATTCAGTGAGGTGTAAAAATAGATTTGCACAGGGCAGACAACTGCACATTCCATTTATTTACCTCCTCTAACAAACCAATACCTGGGGTGACATTTATTAATAAACGGCATTACCAGGTGCCTGATATGTGGCTCACAGAAATTAATTACCCAGCCCATGGTAAAACCATAACAAGCCCGCAGTGCTGTAACATTTGTGCTAATTGAAAATGAGATAAGTGCTGTGGGTGCAATTTGCATTCAATGCAGTGTATTAATTATCTTCAGTTCTCTTCGTGATAAATATACCTGACTGAATCACTCTCCTAATTTGCTGGGTAATAGAGTTGCAAGTGCATTCCCTTAGGTAACCAAGGAAAGGCATTGAGTTGTGGGCAAGATGGAGGCCTTCTGCTTTTCCAAGTTCTTCAACCAGGTTAGCTCTGGTACTTTTCAGTGTTCTTAAAAATACAGTGAACTTGTTATACTCACCAAAACTCCCAGCCTCATGCCCTTATTCTACCCTCTTCTTCTACCACATAGGCTGACTGTGCTACAAGCTCAGAGAGTGCTCAAAACATTAAGTTAGAGGGGCTATATTTCTGTCTATTTAATGACTCGACTCTATGTGGAATATAATCTCTTCAAAGAAGGACCTTTGGCTATACACTGCCCCCAAATTAATTCTGGATCTAATTGCATTAGGTTCTGAATGGACATGAATTGAAATTTGCACTACAATAACAATCAGGAGAATCCAGATTTAAAGATATTGGGTAGGTACAGCAGATTAATGCTTAAAGATGACGGTTTGGAGAGAGGGCTCAAATTAGGAGACGCATAGCTCCAATGTGAGATGCAGAGCAAAGTTCCATAGTTCCACCCGACAAGCAAGGCCTGTCTTTCAAGATGGAAAGAGTTAAATTCAGTTATTATGAACTGAAATTTCCCAACCATCCAGTGCTGGTACATCTGCAAAGTCTTCATCATCTCTTCAAAATTCTGGCAATGTGTTCTTGCTTTCACGCATTGTGCAGCATATAATAAGGGAAAGGTGACAACAGCAATAATAACCATAGTAACTATTATGAACTGAGAGCTGACCGCACATCAGGGATCAAGCTAAGGACTTCATTTACATTATGTAAAGTAATTCTCTTCTTAAGCTGTCTTCCTTGCCTACTCTGTCTAAAGAGCCTCCTTTCCTCCAACACACATCAACAGTTACTCTCCATGACAGCACCTTGCTAGCTTTTTTTTTTTTTTTTTTTTGAGACAGAGTCTCGCTCTGTCACCTAAGCTGGAGTGAGGTGGTGCAATCATGGCTCACTGCAGCCTCCACCTCCCGGGTTCAAGCTTCAAGCTATTCTTGTGCCTCAGCCTCCCGAGTAGCTGGGATTACAGGCACCTGCCACCAAGCCCGGCTAATTTTTGTATTTTTAGTAGAGATGGGGTTTCACCATGTTGGCCAGGCTGGTCTTGAACTCCTGACCTCAGATGATCCACCCACCTTGGCCTCCCAAAGTGGTAGGATGACAGGCGTGAGCCACCGCACCCAGCTACCTTGCTTACTTCTTGTATGACACTTGTCCCAACCTATAACTATCCTGCTAGTTGTTTACCTGAGAAATGTCTAAGCCTCCCTAATTAGCAAGCAGACTCCTTAGGAGAGAGCCCTAGCCTGTTATCTTCATCCCTACTATGGACACTGACATGGTTTGGCTGTGTCCCTACCCAAAATTTATCTTGAATTCCCACATATTGTTGGAGGGACCTGGTGGGAGGTAATTGAATCATGGGGGCAGGTCTTTCCCCTGCTGTTCTCATGATAGTGAATAAGTCTCACGAGATCTGATGGTTCTAGAAGGGGGAGTTTCCCTGCACAAGCTCTCTCTTTGCCTGCTGCCATCCATGTAAGACATGACTTGCTCCTCCTTGCCTTCCACTTGCTCTCCAGCCATAAGGAACTATAAGTCCATTAAATCTCTTTTTCTTCCCAGTCCTGGGTATGTGTTTATTAGCAGTGTGAAAACAGACTAATACAGACACATAGTAGGAAACTCAACAAATATTTGTGGAATGAATACAAATTTATAATAATCCCCCAAAATAAGGAGACCAAAACTCAATTTATGATGCAGTCCAAGCAGCGCATCAAATTAATAAATTTACAAGGTATCCCAGACCACCCATAGCACTTCAAGAGGCCAGGAATCCTGCAAGACAAGGGCCTTTAGCCCAGAAAATGCCTACCATGAACTCCCATCTACTTGCTAAAGGGAGGCTCTAATTTAATTCTAAGCTAACAGTCCATAGGAAGAGGAAAACGCAGCTGTAAATATCCATAAGATAAAACAATCCAGGGGTCCAAAGGAACCAAAATGATGTCTGATACTCACACTGGAGAGAAATTTCTTCTGAGGACAGTGAAAACATTATTTGATGTTCAATCAGACACTTGCAGTAAGGAAACAGCTACTGGCCCACAGGCACTTCTGTGAATCAGAAAAGCACATCCCTCTCCAAGCGAACACAGCCCCTGCCCCCCAGGTAGGCACAAAGCTGGGCAAGAGGAGCCCAGGCTGGATTTTCTGCCCTGCTTGCCCCATGAGGCAGGTGCCTCTGTGTCATGCACAGTTGCCTGGGACAGCCCTGCTCAGGGGATGCAGGTGACTGTTTCCTCCTAAAGCCCCTCATGTTGAAGTGAAATCTGGTAAATCATCTCATGGAGACCCATGGGATATGTTCCTGGACCCCAGCTCTCAATCCCCCGGTAGATGCTACCACATCTGGCACAACTCTACTACTAGGTTATGCCTCAGTATGACCAATAACAGTGACTGCTGGGTTTCTCCTAAGAGAAAGGTGATAGATTTCATTTTAGCTCAATGCCACACTCTTCATTGTGGTAAAAAGAACTGAACTTATTTAATATGGCACTTCCTACCTGCTATAGGCTGAATGTTTTTGTCCCCCTCCCCAAATTCATACATTGATGCCCCACCCCTAATGTGATTGTATTTGGAGATGGGGTCTTTATGGAAGTGATGAAGGTTAAGGTCATCAGGGTGGAGCCTTGATCCCAGATAGGATCACTGATAGGATTTGTGTCCTTGAGACGTGAAAGAGCTTGCTCCTTCTCTCTCTGCTGTGTGAGGATGGAGTGAAAAGGCAGCCATCTACAAACCAAAAGAAGAAGCCTCAGAGTGGACCTACCTTTTTCTTATGGCAGCCTGAGCTGACTATGACACTGTTCTCAACATCAGTGATGTTGAGTGGCCCTGGGAAATGGGCAGCTACAGACAGAGAATGTACAATAGGGAATTGAAGATTAGAGCTAGGGAAAGGAGAAAAAGGCAAGCAATGAATCAGAGAACGCCTTCTTCAGAAAGTTTTGTTTGAGAGCCCATTATCTCAATTTACATACACCCAAGTTATATTTGTATTTTAATATCATATATTCTCAATACAGTAGCCAGCTTGGTCTTTCTGAAACATACTTCCGATTTTATCGCTCCTTTGCTGGAAGTTCACCAATGGCTCCATTTCCCTCAGAATAAAAGCCCAAATCTATTACGGCTCCTATAAGACCCCTCACCTGGCAGGCTCCCTCTCTGACCTCACCCCCACCATGATCCTCCCCTTGGCTCACTCTGCCCCAGCCATGCTGGCTTTCTGTAGCTTCTCAGATAACACCAAGCACATGCCTACTGCAGGACTTTTGCATTCCCCGCTCCCTGTGCCTGAAATCTATTTCCTCATTTCCTTTCTGTGTCTACTCCAATGTCACATTATTAATGAGGCCCCCTCAATCACTCTGTGTAAAAATAACCCACAGACCTCCCCTCCAACACACACACACACACACACACACACACACACACTGCATGCCCTACCTACCTTGCTCTATTTTTCTCTGTAGTCATCCTCAGAATATGACACACTATTTGCTTATTAATTTGTTCATCATCTGCCTCTCCCTAAAATGAAAGCTTTACAAGGCCAGGAACTTACTTGTTCTCTCTTATATCCCTAGCAATTTCAGTAGTGCCTAGCACATAATAGACACTCAGTAACTATTTCTTAAAATCATTAGATTCACCAGAAAACACCTTTTAAATATCGTCCCAATTTGGTAATGTAATTTAGGCATGGTTTAACCTGCCTTGGTCATTAATCTCTTCCTCGGACTAAACACCCTACTTGAGTGGAAACTGACTGTATTAGTCCATTTCCACACTGCTATAAAGAACTGCCCAAGACTGGGTAATTTACAAAGAAAAGAGGTTTCATCAACTCCATTCAGCATGGCTGGGGAGGCCTCAGGAAACTTACAATCATGGCAGAAGGGGAAGCAGGCACATCTTAGATGGTGGCAGCTGAGAGAGGAAAGCAGGGGAAACTGCCACTTATAAAACCATCAGATCCTGTGAGAACTCACTCACTATCACAGGGAACAGCGTGGGGAAACTGCCCCCATGATCCCATCACCTCCCACCAGGTCTCTCCCTCAACATGTGGGGATTATGGGGATTACAATTCCAGATGAGATTTGTGTGGGTACACAGAGCCTGATGATGTCACCTCCTGAATAAAGAAGTAATACCATCTTTGTCATAAAAAATAAGTATTTCTTAAATAAATGAAAAATGTGAATGATTATAAGGTAGCAGATAATAACAGTGGCAAATGATATGCATGCTGGGCATTAAGCTAAAATCTTTACAAACCAGGAATAGAGTTTTAAATTCATTATCTCATTAGTTCTCACAATAACCATTTGAGGCAGGTATCATGAGTCCCATTTTACAGATAAGAAAACTGAGGCTAATAGAGCAAGTCATCTGTACAAGCCCGTGGGGGGCAGCAAGGAATGAAGCCAGTCAGGATTTGAACTCAGGTCTGCCTGACTTAAAAACCCATGCTCTTAACCACTCTTTCCTATATACTAATATAGATCTGAAAATTGGTGCTGATATCAAATATTAAAGCTTAACTGAAATATACCAGGACTATTTGCGATTTAAAGGGAACCTGCAATGAATTCCAAGTTGTATATTTTAAAAAACAAATAATGCTTCTTGTGAAATAGCCCTTAATATCTATGTGTGATAAATACATCAGTTTTATGTTAAACTAGGAAACATCCATGAGTCCAAAAAACATTTTTGTTTGGCTTTATGATATAATGTGTGGCATTTTTGCCAGGAGATTGACCTTCCTAATTAGGTTTTGCTCAGGCTAGTGTCAAAATGAATTTGTCCTCCCAAATCATACCAATGGACAGAGAGGGAAGGGAAACAACCTCACAGGTTTGCTAAGAAGTCCACCTGGGATTCGACTTTTGCCAAAAAGACAGGTGAAGAACTCACATGATGTTGAAAGGGTCAAAAAGAATATTTGTTGTTGTTGTTGGAAAATTATCAGTGTTATGTTCCTTTTAATGTAAGCAGAAAATCAAGTTTTCCCCAGGCAGCTTGCTGTTCTATCACATCATTTAAAATCATTGTGAATGAAAGCACACAATAGCAGAAGGACTCACTGACTTTACCGATTTTCCTGGTTGAATTACGGGGCTCGAATAGTAATGATGCGCTGCCCATTTTTAAGACCTATGCTTGTCTCCACTTTCAAGCAAGGAAGCACACCATACAGGGTCAGGAGAGGAGGCTGCACGTGGGGGACTCGCAGCCATTCTATCCACCTCTCGACTGAATTGGAGTATCTCTCATAATTAAGTCCTTAAAAAAAATCCCTCTTATTCTTCAGCACACATTTCATGTTATAAAAAAATTATTTAACTAAATATCATATTATTCTGCTTACCTTATTTTGGGCAATTCATAACAGCATTTAATGGGCCTATTTCCCCCAAAGTATTTTCATTGCTGCTAATAGAGAAAACCCAGAAGGAAAAAAAAAAAAAAAGCCACCGTGGTCCAAAAAGCTAGTGAAAATAAGCTTGACTTAATCAAGTGTCTTCACAGGATTCCTCAGAGCCTTTGGTAGGCTAGTGAGCATCTCAAGTCCCCAGGTCAGGGCATAGGAACAGTGTTTCTCTAATGCATTTGACAATAGGACACTCTCTTTTAAAAAGAATCTCAGGATTCCATTCCTTGCTGTTCCATAGTCAAGGTGTTAGGAAATGCTACCTAAGGGGGTTCACCAAACACTCCAGGCTTCAAGAAGACTACAATTTACTGGTAGGGTGGATGGGGTATGATTGAATTGGGTCCCCCAGAAAGCTATGTTGAAGTCCTAACCTCTGGTACCTGTGAATGTGATCTGATTTGGAAATAGGGCTTTTACAGATGTAATCAAGTTAAGATGAGGTCATTGGAATGGGACCTAATCCAATATGACTGATGTCCTTTATAAGAAGAGGAAAATGCCATATGAAGACAGATACCAGCAGATGCCACGTGACAGCAGAGGCAGAGGTGGGAGTGTGCAGCCTCAAGCCAAGGAAGGCCGAGGACCAACAGCCACCCCCAGAAGCTGGAAGAGGCGAGGAAGGACCTTCCCAGCTGGAGTCTCGGAGGAAGCAGGGCCCTGCCAACACCTCGATTGTGAACTCGTAGCCTCCAGAACTGGGAGAGAATAAGTTTCTGTTATTCTTTTTTTTCTTTTTTTAAATCGAGTCTCCGCCTGTCGCCCAGGCTGGAGTGCAGTGGCGCCATCTCGGCTCACTGCAAGCTCCGCCTCCCAGGTTCACGCCATTCTCCTGCCTCAGCCTCCCAAGTAGCTGGGACTACACGTGCCCGCCACCACACCCGGCTAATTTTTTTGTACTTTTAGTAGAGGTGGGGTTTCACCGTGGTCTCAGTCTCCTGACCTGGTGATCCGCCCGCCTTGGCCTCCCAAAGTGCTGGGATTACAGGCGTGAGCCACCGCAACTGGCCAAGTTTCTGTTATTCTAAGCCACCCAGTTTGTGATACTTTGTGGCAATAGCATTATCAAACTAACATAAAGAACTAAGACATACAAATGACTGACTGCGAAATGGACACAACAAAACCAAAACAGCTGTGTAGGAAACAGCAGGAGAAACGGCAAGAATGGAAGGAGGTGGCATATAGGAAAGTGTCAAAAAAGGGATATAAACAATGAAAATGCAGGGCTTGAGAGAAGAGTTCCTGGTCCCTGGGGTGCTCAGATATGGCTTCAGGAAGGAGTAGGGGAGGTGGGGAGGAGTGGATACACAATTCTTCTGTATTATTAGGGGGAGTTAAAAAAAAAAACCCACACACCTCAACTGAAGTAACTAGAAGAGACTGACATCTCCCTTCTGAGAGTTGCCTCCTCTGGGCGGATTGGTGGCCACCTATCTGCCTTGAAGGCTGAAGGCATCGTGTAGAACCTGCTGATCTCTCACAGGCTCTTGCATGAGTTTTGGAAAATACACGTATTTTTCATTTTCGTGAGCTTTGGGTTTCTGGGTCACTTTGCAGGTCATGAAAAGAACAGATAAATAAGAACAGCAAAACAATTAATGATTCTAGATCAAGCCAGCGACATAACCATCCGGTTTCAATAGGAAGACTCAGAAAAAGAAAAATATCTCTCAAACTTCAGAGTAAAAATCTTCATTGAATAAAACAGCAGTTAAGGGTCTATGTGGGGGAAGGGAAAGGAATCATGAGAACCTTAACTTTTAGCATGAAATGCATCTGTTAAACAGAACCCACTAATGGTGTTATTGTAGCTAAAAACAGCGACTTGAAAATGTTGTGTACATTATTACTGTCATTATCCACCAACTGTAAGAATGCTATGTTAAAACTAACTCAAAACACCTCGAGAAAGGTAATTGCTACTAATGGATCTGAAGTGTGCAAAATTGGACATCATTACCCTGTCCTCATATTGTGGAGCTGGGGAAGCTGCCGGAGATGGCAGTTAGTAGGCTCACTCATCTTTCAATCAGGACCGAGGTTTGAGGAAAGGGCCAGGCTCGCTTTCCTTCCACAGTGCAAGAGAAATGCCACACTGCACAGTATGATAGGCAAGTGTTTACAGGACTGAGCCAAGGGCAGGAGATGGAGTTGCAGCACCACTCTCTGAACTCTCCAAGTCAGTTCTGTTGTGGAGAAGGGGACCAGAGCTAGGATAGAAGCCGCCTGCCCTGAAAATCCCCTTCCAGGTGCCAATTTCTCAGATCAATAGCCACCAAACTGAGTTGTCTTGCTGACTCTGAAATTAAGGAAATAACCCAGAATCGAAGAATTATAAAAGTCAAACAGGTCACCTCAAGTCATTTTCTGCTCCCAGACACCTAAGTGCCCCTGAGAAGAGAGCTACTCAGCCTGCCATGGGGTGCAGTTGCCCCCCCTGCACTGGGAGGTGCCCCAAGCCTCTCCTGGTGTGCAGAATCAGAAGCTCCTCCTGATGGCTGGACAGTGGCTCACTCCTGTAATCCCAGCACTTTGGGAGACTGAGAAGGTGGCCTGCTTGAGGTCAGGAGTTCAACACCATCCTGCCAACATGGTGAAACCCTGTCTTTACTAAAAATACAAAAATTAGTCCGGCATGGTGGCGCACACCTGTAGTCTCAGCTACTTGGGAGGCTGAGGCAGGAGAATCACTTGAACCCAGGAGGTGGAGGTTGCAGTGAGCCAAGATCGCACCACTGCACTCCAGCCTGGGTGACAGAGCAAGACTCCATCTTGGGAAAAAAAAAAAAAAAAAAAGATCCTCCTGAGGCTTGGCCTAACTTCCTTCAGCACTAAGAACTGCTCTTACTTTGGGCTGAGTTCCCCATCTCCCCACCTCACACAGCTGCAAAATTTCCCTTCTCCAGTGCTAATTGATAATAATGTTTAAAATCATCAGTCTTTAAATGTTGTTCAAACTTTCAAAACTAATATCCCCAAACAGCACAGCCCCTTAACATGGAAGCATCCATTTTCTGCACAGCTCTCCATTATACTCCTAAATGTTCACCCCCATCACCCACCCCCAACATGTAGACACCAAAGAAATCCAAGGCTGACTTTGTCCAGGAATTTCAACCTCTCTTCCCACTACAAGTCTGACAACTTAGACCAAATTTCTACCCTCCCTTCTGGCCACAATGCAGGAGTATGACCAGAGGAGCTAAAAGACCAGAAATTGTATATGTAAACCCTGATAAAAAGAGCACTGCCGGCCAGGCACGGTGGCTCACGCCTGTAATCCAAGCATTTTGGGAGGCCGAGGTGGGTGGATCACAAGGTCAGGAGACCGAGACCATCCTGGCTAACACGGTGAAACCCCGTCTCTACTAAAAATACAAAAAATTAGCCGGGTGTGGTGGCGGGCACCTGTAGTCCCAGCTACTCAGGAGGCTGAGGCAGGAGAATGGCGTGAACCCGGAAGGCGGAGCTTGCAGTGAGCGGAGATGGCGTCACTGCACTCCAGCCTGGGCAACAGAGCGAGACTCCGTCTCAAAAAAAAAAAAAAATGCCTAAATTAAAAAAAAGAAAACCAGTCCTTCTCCCATGTAAGACATTTCTTGTCAGCCCCAGCGGCTCTGGTTGAGCGAGACTCCCAGCACCCTCCTAACCCTGAGATCCTGAGGCTCTGAACGAGTGTCTTCGCCCCACTGAGCCACCTAGAACCTGAGAACCAGGGACCCAAATGGTCTTCTGGTTCCCCGTGTGAGGCTTCACCCTGGCAAAGGGGGACAGGAACGGAGCACAGGATGGATCCATGCAGTGCCCAACAATGTGCTAGTGCAGAGGAGGGCCAGAAACACGTGCCACCAGCCCACTTGGCAAAACAGTCTGAATTTTAAGACAAATTCTTACATGAAACCCCAATATACATAACAAAATTTATTCATTTCCATATTCATGCTATTTATTTGTTTATTCAAGAATTACTTATTTAGCATTGACTACGTTCGTGTTCAAACAGTGCCTGCAAACAAAAGAGATACAATGCCTACATACGACGAATGCAGAACTTAGATTCTGATAGGGGAAGCCAGGTAATAAACATAAATATACATCATGTCAAGTATTATTTTTGTTATGAATAAAAATTAAGTAGAAAAGGGTGATGGGGTAGGGTGCTCTTTCAAATAGCTTAGGTACCTGTGAAAGAACCAGAAGGAAGGGAGCTATCTAGGGAAGAGCCTTCCAGGCAGAGGGAAAAAAAAAGTGCAAAGGCCATGAGCAGGAAGCGTGCTAAGGGAATTGAGGAACAGCAAAAGAGACAGATGCCTGGAGCGCAGGGAGGGAGGATGGGATACGGGTGACATCACAGAGGTGAGCAGGAGCCAGATGGTTGGACTTTATAACCTCTGTGAGGACCTGGGATTTTATTCTGAGGGAGATGACAAGCCACTGGAAGTTATGAGCAGAGGAGGAATAAGGTCTGACCTCTTTTAAAAGGGTCACTATGACTGCTGTGTGGACAACAGACAACACAGGGACAAGGAAGGGAATGGGGAAACCAATTGGAAAGCCACTGCCAAAAGCCAGGTGCAGGACACCCGAGGATGGGCTTGGGGGATAGTCAAGGAAAGGAGAAGGAGTCAGATCCAGGTATACATTGAAAGAGGGGCCACCAGGATTTGCTTATAGGTGGAATGTGGGGAATGACAAGAGGGGAATCTGCTGGGCGCAGTGGCTCACACCTGTAATCCCAGCACTTTGGGAGGTTAAGGCAGGTGGATCACCTGAGGTGAGGAGTTCAAGACCAGCCTGGCCAACATGACAAAACCCCGTCTCCACTAAAAATACAAAAATTAGCCAGGCATTGTGGCAGACACCTGTAATCCCAGCTACTTGGGAGGCTGAGGTGGGAGAATCGCTTGAACCCGGGAGGCAGAGGTTGCAGTGAGCCGAGATCTCACCATTGCACTCCAGCCTGTGCAACAAAAGGGAAACTCTGTCTCAAGAAAATAAACAAATAACTAAGAGAAGAGGAGAATCAAGCACAACTCTGGCTGGAATTACCAGAAGAATTGGCAAAGCAGGCAGTGCACCCAAGCTCCAGTCTTGCCCATCACCAGCTTCATGACCTTGTGCAACATGTTCAACCTCTCCGAGTCTTCTTCATCTCAAAAGTGAGATAGCTGGACTAACGATGTCCAAAGTTCCTATGAACTCCGATACTTTTCACTTTATTTTTGCCAAAGAGTAAGATTACACAGCAGACCATTTTTTTAAATACTTGGGTATTACATCAGTGTTCTTAGGGCTCAAATATTTCTCTTGGAAAACATCCATACTGTCCTTATCCATTTCCATTTGTCTTCTTCAGTTTTGTTGTTGTTGTTTGTTTGTTTGTTTTTGTTTGTTTGAGATGAAGTCTCACTCTGTCACCCAGGCTGGAGTGCAGTGGAGCAATCTCAGCTCACTGCAACCTCCGCCTCCCAGGTTCAAGTGATTCTCCTGCCTCAGCCTCCCAAGTAGCTGGGACTACAGGCGTGTGCCACCACGCCCGGCTAATTTTTGTATTTTTTTTTTAGTAGAGATGGGGTTTCACCATATTGGCCAGGCTGGTCTCGAACTCCTGACCTCGTGATCCACCCACCTCGGCCTCCCAAAATGCTGGGATTACAGACGTGAGCCACCGTGCCCGGCCTCTTCTTCAGTTTTTAATTAATCCAGCTCTGCCAGATCTCCAGTTGCCAAACGCTTTGCCCATGACTGGAACAGTTCTCTAATCACTACTGACAACTTTATGAAAGCTGAGGTCTTCTGCAAGATTTGCAGTTTTACTTTTTCATCCATTTACATTTTATTTGTCTTAGTGTTGTCAAATGTTTCCCACACCCTGAAATTATCTGAGAGCCAAAGATGTAAAAGATATTGACCCAATGGGCAGGGTTAAAACTCTAGTGTGAAGCAGGGAGAGATGTTCGAGTAGGGACTGATTTTATAAGTGGTCACTTGTTAGAATGACTTTTCCTTCCATGTGCAAGTGGGGACTCGGATAATGAATACTTAGAGAATAAAGGATCCTTAAGCCAACGAAACAGTCAGCTTCAAAAAGTTTCCCATAATTGGTCTGAAATGACTTTTGGAAGATAGACATTGGTGTTTTAATATCTAGTGCCAAATATGGTTGTATATATTATAATAATTGTAAATGCTAAATATTCAGTGAGTCTCAATGGAGAAAATGTTTTGTATAACCTGTTCCTAGACTTACCATATTTATTACATAGGTACAGAGATAATAAGGAAGAAGAAAAAACGTGTAAAGGTGTATTTCCCATTTTTCTTTAGAAACAGATTCATTTTTCTTCTTTCTCTCTTTTTTTTTTTTTTTTTTCTGGAGACAGGGTCTCACTCTGTCACCCAGGCTGGAGTGCAGTGGCATGATCTCGGCTCACTGCAACCTCTGCCTCCTGGGTTCAAGTGATTCTCATGCCTCAGCCTCCCGAGTAGCTGGAATTACAGGTGCCCACCACCACATCCAGCTCATTTTTTTGTATTTTAAGTAGAGACGGGGTTTCACTATGTTGGCCAAGCTGGTCTTGAACTCCTGACCTCAAATGATCCACTTGCCTCAGCCTCCCAAAGTGCTCAGATTACAGGTGTGAGCCACCATGCCCAGCCTCTTCTTTCTCTTTAAATTTGGCCATAGCCCAGTATCATTGAACAGCCCTGTGACCACTCAAGGCTGGCACAGACCTTGACTTGCTGCCCACTACAGGCCATGAGAAGGTCCCAAGCAAGTACTGTGCTTTCTGGAATGCGGGAGACTGGGGGAGCCAAGAGAGGTAAGCTGATGAGAACAAAGAAAGACAGGAGACCAGAAATTGACCATGTCGGTCCTGGTGAGGCCCTCTCTGTGCAGTGTACCATTCCACTTGAGTTTCACTGTATAGATCCTATGGAGAAGCCACTCCAGGGCCCAGGCTGAGAAGATGCCCCTTGGGAGACCCCGCTGATCTTTGTATCACTTCTGTTGAAGGAACTGAAAAGGAAAGGTGGCAGTTCTCCTGCTCCTGTCCTGGGATGGGTTAAAGAATCATACTGATACCATTTCCATTTGCTAGCTTAAGTTTTCAAGAAAAGAGAAAACTATGTGTGAGGAAATAGGATACGGGACTTTAAGAATGAAAATACACAAAGTTTTACCTAGAAGCCAGAGGAATGAGGTAGGCAGAGAAAAACATAAAGGGAGATGGTACGTCCTTACGCCTTCAGTTTCACATGTCACAGGGAAGGAGCATATGGTTAGTTCTATGGGACTCATCCTGACAAGAGGAAAACCCTTCAAAACCTGCATCCTGGCCAGGCGCGGCGACTCACGCTTGTAATCCCAGCACTATGGGAGGCCGAGGCGGGCGGATCATCAGGTCAGGAGATTGAGACCACGGTGAAACCCTGTCTCTACTAAAAATACAAAAAATTAGCCAGGCTTGGTGGCGGGCACCTGTAGTCCCAGCTACTCGGAGAGGCTAAGGCAGGAGAATGGCGTGAACCCGTGAGGCAGAGCTTGCAGTGAGCCAAGATCGCGCCACTGCACTCCAGCCTGGGCAACAGATGGAGACTCCGTCTCAAAAAAAAAAAAAAAAAAAACCTGCATCCTTCTTATGGGAGTGCATGTGAAAGACAGCAGTTTAGCAATTACTTCTCTTACTTAGATCTGGCACCAACTGGCCACTGAACAGTCAAATTAGCTCAGAGGTGGAAATATGATGTAAATAATGTGCCTCTACTTCCCTAACCCACCACACACACCCACATGCAGACGTCCCACGACAGATGCTGCTAAGTGATATTGATACTGTAAGTTCCATGTGGCCTGGAAGCATCAGCATTTGGTATAGTGCCTACTACCTACTAAGTGCTTTGTACTCTTTGAATGAATGGACCGCTGAGCTCTTCCCCACTGAGCCTAGGTGCTGCTGTAGAGTCCTTCTCAACACAGCAGTTGAGTTCCAAGCAGTCTACAACCAATCAAGTAGAGGTGGCATGTAAATCGAAACCTACTTGCCATTCTTTCCCAATTAGCTAAATCATAACATTCTCCCTTTAAGTGATGCAATTTGTATCTCGAAATATAAGTAGATTCCTGGGTTACCTTGAGCTCCATTATGACATCCAGGTTAATTTGATGCAATTGTTTTCACCATAAGGCATACAGCTTCACATATTTGTAAACAAATTCTGTTGGAAACATAAAGCCTACATAATGGATGCTCTCATCATTCCCTATTTATCAATGCTGCTTGCATATATTTAATAATGATTTTTTTCTCTAATTACTGTGTTTGGAATATATTTTAAGGGTTTTTTTGATAATTCAGGTAGACATAATGCTTACCAATATGTCCAGCTTCTTTCCTTCCTGGACATACAGAGGATCACATTTTCCTGATCCCTGGCAATTAAGTGAGGCCATGCACCTAGTTTCAACAAAACTGTGTCACTTCCAAAGTGAAGCACTTAAGAGAATGCTTAACTTTCTGTACTCTCATCACCTGCTATGGTAATCTCAAAAATCATATCTTAAGATCAAGGTGCCATGAAATCCAAGCCGACTGGATCTTCAAGCCACACTCTCCATTGAAGGAGAGCTGCCTGAATGAGAAATAAACTTGATTATATAAAGGCACTAAAATTTGGGTGTTGTTACCAAAGCATTACCTAGCTTATCCTAATAACGGTAATGAATGAGGTCTGTCACTTGTAATGGAGTACCTGTCTCCTGACCTCAGCCAAAAGTAATTTAGGAGTGGTGACTAGATTCTCAGAAGTTACAGGGTCAAGTCAGTCGATGAAAAAGCAAATCGACTGGTACAAAACAGAGGTGGAAATGGAGAGGGCACGGCACATAGGAGAGATGAGCTGGTAAGAACAAGAAAACATGGACAGAGAAACTCATTACTGGGAAGTTTATAGTAATATATTTGGCCAGTGGGATCTGTCCTTACCTTAGACACTAGAAACACTGATGCCATCTAATTGAATCCCTAGCCTTTACTCCTAACTCTTCTCCACTCCTCTACTCTGTGTTCTGATACCTCCCTCCTGCCCAGCCATGGGCACCATCTCCCTTCCACTGAGTGAAAAGGAGCTAGGCAGAACACTCAGCTGAACGGAGTTGGAGTTTCTGACACTGTACTTTTCAAAGAACTGGTCCCATAAAGCCAGAGCAAATTGGAAACTTATTTCACATACCAGTTGGGCAAATATACAGCAAGAGTCTTAAGCTTAAATCCCAATTTGGTCTAGTAATAAAGACTGTGCATGTGGCCAGGCACAGTGGCTCATGCCTGTAATCTCAGCACTTTGGGAGGCTGAGGCAAGTGGATCACCTGACGTCAGGAGTTCGAGACCAGCCTGGCCAACATGGTGAAACCCATCTCTACTAATAAGAAAAAATTAGCTGGGTGTGGTGGCACGCACCTGTAATCCCAGCTACTCGGGAGGCTGAGGCACAAGAATCACTGGAATCCGGGAGGCGGAGATTGCAGTGAGCTGAGATGGCGCCAGTGCACTCCAGTCTGGGCAACAGAGCAACACTCTCTCAAAAAAAAGATTTTGCATGAATCTCAGACTGTTTCCCAAAGACAGGTTCTGGGAAAGGTGATTGTAGCATTACTTGTAAGAGCAAAAATTGAAAATGGTCTCAGTGATGAGCAAAAGAGGAGTCATTGAAAAACAAACAACAAAAACAGAGGACCTCCATGTAATAGAACACTATAGGTAAAGCAAAATAATATTTTCAAAGAATGTTTAGTGGCACATGGAAATGTTTGTCATAATGTTAGGTGAATAAAAAGACGCAAAATTTGCTGGGCATGCTGGCTCACGCCTATATTCCCAGCACTTTGGGAGGCCAAGGCAGGCGGATCACCTCAGGTCACGAGTTCGAGACCAGCCTGACCAACATGGAGAAACCCCATCCCTACTAAAAATACAAAATTAGCCAGGCATGGTGGCACATGCTGTAATCCCAGCTACTCGGGAGGCTAAGGCAAGAGAATCGCTTGAACCCAGGATCCAGAGGTTGTGGTGAGCCAAGATGGCACCATTGCACTCCAGCCTGGGCAACAAGAGCAAGAGCAAAACTCCATCTCAAAAAAAAAAAAAAGATGCAAAATTTTCTATACAGAGTAATTTCAATTTTGTATAATAATACATAATATGCATAAAAAAGACTAAAAGAAAATAGATTTAAAGTGTTACCAACACTTATCTTTGAGTGGTGAGTTATGGTGCCTTTGTTTCTTCTTTGAAAGTTTCTACATTTTTCAAATTCTCTTTAGTTAATATGTATTATTTTAAATTAGAGAAAGCAGTTTTATTTTAAGTAAAATACATTTGTAATGAGGCTTCAGTGATCTTAATTATCCCAGAGTATGTCCTGGGTTAAGGAAGGCTTTGGCTCAAGCATCTATACCTTCTTTTTTTTTTTTTTTTTTTTTGAGATGGAGTCTCGCTCTGTCGCCCAGGCTGGAGTGCAGTGGCGGGATCTCGGCTCACTGCAAGCTCCGCCTCCCGGGTTCACGCCATTCTCCTGCCTCAGCCTCCCAAGTAGCTGGGACTACAGGCGCCCGCCACTACGCCCGGCTAATTTTTTTGTATTTTTAGTAGAGACGGGGTTTCACCGTTTTAGCCGGGATGGTCTCGATCTCCTGACCTCGTGATCCGCCTGCCTCGGCCTCCCAGAGTGCTGGGATTACAGGCGTGAGCCACCGCGCCCGGCCTCAAGCATCTATACCTTCTAAACGCAATTCAGGCAATGGTCATTAATGTTCGGTACAATGGCTCTATTGAGGGGATGTTTTATTTTTATATCTCTCAGTTGATATATTATTAATAAAATAAAATATTATTATAACACTATTTAGAGCCTTGTTGTTAAATTATTTATAAAACCTTTTGGTAATATAGAGCTATCCTCAAGTTGGCTCATTCAAAATCCTGAGGAGAAGAAAACCACAGGGGATTCTTGAAATAATTCTGCACGGCTGGGAGGAAGGTGCTGGACTCTCTGGGGTTTGGGTAAGTCCTACACTCGCGCCTTTGTCAGGAGAAACACAGCCAGGGTACGGAACGTGCTTGGGGAAGAGCCAGGCCCCACATTCCAGTCCCCAGAAACAGCTCCTGCACCACCAGAGAGAACAGACCAGCAGAGAAAGCCCTGGAGTCCAGGCATCCACACAGCCATGACATCTGATCTAATATCCAAGTCACCTCAGAGCTGGGAGGAGTCTCAGATGGTGTCAAGTTTCCAGGATCGCCAAAGGAACTGAGAGATTGCAAAGGTCAGTTTCAGATGGGAAAATCCTACGATGAATCTTGGAGGGAATACCAGCTTTCACAACCGAGGCTTCCAAGTAAGTTACAGATCCCAGGCACAAAGCAAGGACATCTTTATCCTCTCCTCTCCCCGCTCATCCTGAAACTGACTTGGAGATCCCTTTCTTCGGTCTGCAGCCTGGCTTGCTGAAGACCTAAGGCAATGACCAGCAGTCAGCCAGTCCACAAATGCCAAAGAGCCAGCATACACCAGACGCTGCCACGGCACTCACAAAGTTTTGTGGTAACAAAGCAGAGAAGGCATACATACAGTCGAGTGCTACTCAAATCTTTAGTGTGCCCACACATTACCCGGGGATCTTGTTAAAAACGCAAATTCTGTTTCTATAGACCTGGGGTAGGGACTGAGATTCTCTCAAGCTGTCAGATGATGTTGATGTTTCTGGTACATGGGCAATGTTTTAAGTATCAAAGGTCCCGTGGATGAAATATATACAATATATAGAATAATATATACAAAATATACAAAAATAAGCTCCTGAATACTTACAGTGTGCCAAGCACCAAGAAGCATGTCACATGGAGTCTGTCCCTGAGTTTCTCCCAGCCTTGATCTGAGTGACACATGTCTGTAAGGACACTGAAGCCACTAGGACAGATAGGGGTTGCCTAGGGTCAAATCTGTGCCCACATGTGGATGAGCCACAGATCGGTGGGCACAGTAATCTTCCACGACACGTCAACCCCGCCTTTGGATTCTCAACACAAAGACAATGGTCCAGTAACCTCAGGAAGCGATGCTTAATCCACAGGAATGTAAGTATTACAAATGGCGCTTTGGACTAGATATCTTTTTTTTTCTTTTCTTTTTAGAAAGAGAGTCACACTATGTTGCCCAGGCTGGTCTCAAACTACTGGGCTCAAAGGATCCTCCCACCTTGGCCTTCCAAAGTGTTGCGATTATGGGTGTGAGTCACCACACCTGGTCTAGACTAGGTAACTTCTCAGGTCTCTTTCACTCCTGAGATTCTAGGAGCCAATGAACACAATAGCTGCAGAAACCTACAAAAGGCCATTAGCCAACTTCTGGCCAAGTGAAAACATTTCAAAAGCATAGACAGGCAGAGGATATTAGTAAGGGTTGCAATATTCATTTTTCACATTAGAGACTTTCCTCTGTTCACACTGAGAGTGAAGCACTCAGAGATTGGGTTAACTCTGAGGGGAATAAAGGAGAAAGGCTTCTCTATAAGTAGAATCTCAGGCCCTATCCCAGATTTACTGAGACAGAATTCCATATTCTTATATTTTTATTTTTATAAATGGGGTCTTGGCCGGGCACAGTGGCTCATGCCTGTAATCCCAGCACTTAGGGAGGCCAAGGCAGGCAGATCACTTGAGGCCAGGAGTTCGAGACTTGCCTGGCCCAGATGGCGAAACCCCTTCTCTACTAAAAATACAAAAATTAGCTGGGGGTGGTGGTGCACACCTATAATCCCAGCTACTCAGGAAACTGAGGCATGAGAATCGCTTGAACCTAGGAGGTGGAGGTTGCAGTAAGCCAAGATCGTGCCACTACACTCTAGTAGCCTGGGCGACAGAGAGAGACTCTGTCTCACAAATAAATAAATAAATAAATAAATAAATAAATAAATAAATAAATAAATAAGTAAATGGGTCTTGCTCTGTCACCTAGGCTGGAGTGCAGTGGTGCAATCATAGCTCACTGCAGCCTGGAACTTCTGGGCTCAAGCAATCCTCTCACCTCAGCCTCCAGAGTAGCTGGGACTACAGGCATGCACCACCATGGCCAGCTACAGAATTTGCATTTTTAACAAATCTCCAGATGACGTGAGAAGCACTGGACTATATGCCTTTTCTGCCTTGTTTATCACTGCATCCCCAGAACCTTGACAATGCTTGGCATATACTAGTTGCCCACTATTTATCGACTGGCTGACTGTTGTCCATTGTCTATAATGAGTAATGTGTAATTTACAGCGAAATTTCACATTAATTTTTTATTTTTGAAGCAACACAATTGTTGACCTCAACAGCTAGAAGTCCTAGGGCACCAAAAGGCCTTGACATTCCTTCTGGTGGGCATTGTCATATTAGGCTATCTCTGCTTTCTCCTAGAACCCTACTAAAATAATAAGCAAAGAAATATACAAAAGACACTGAAAACAGGAAAGGAGAAGACAGCAGACAACAGATGTCTCCAAATATTTGGAGGATGGAAAGTGGATATATGACTGATAACTGGCTTAGCGGAGTGGAAAAAACATGAACCCTAAGAGCCTGTAGAGGGGGCGCCCCTGACATGGGATTGCGTCACAGTAGAGAGCCCCAGAAAGGCTCAGGGACCTTCTTCAGGAGGCAGGGTGAGGGTGGAGTGTGAAGAAGAGGATCGGCTGATTCCCCACCCTCCCTGTGGCAGTCAGGAGACCATTCCTCCCAACCCAGCAAGCCCTGGGAGGGTGATTCTTTGCATAATTAGATCAGAGAGTCTCTGGTAGAGACACCAGAAAGTTGTTTTACTAAAATGCTGATATTTGGCGAACATTTAAACTGCCTCTGCCTCCTCCTCTGCCTCCAGAACACTGACAGCGGGGTTTATATATCCTAAGGAGACTGGCTGAGCCTTCTCAGAAGAAACTGACCTAAGAGAAACAACCAGCAGATGCTGACCTGTGGTGAGTTCCCAGCAAGACGACCTGGCCCCTGTCAATCACCCTTCAGCGAAGCCTACCAAAGACAGACTTCCCCCACACACAGAGCCTCCAATCAACCTCGAAGAGCTTCAGTCTTAATGTGAACACATTAGGGGAAAGTCTCTGCCATGAAATATAGAGACCAAAGCAAATAAACCAGGGAAAAAGGGAAACTCAGAGGGTGTGGCAGGTTGCATTTTCCAAAAACAGCCACAATACTCCTGCTTCTTTTCTTTAAAATATTGTCCCTTCTCCCATTAAAAGCTGGAGTTTACCCTCTTTGCCCTTGAATCTAGGTGGGACTTCAACCAACAGAGTCACACCACCCAATATGGTTGCCAGTGGCCATTAGGCACCTGTGTGGCTGTTGAATAAGTGAAAAGTTGCTATTACAGCTGAAGACCTGAAAGAATCATTTTATTCAATTCTAAATAATTTAAATTTAAAAACTGAAGCAATGTAAAGTGTTTTTCTTCTAGCTTATGTTTTGGCAGGACTATATTTCACATTAACTATTGGAAATTCAGCATCTGAAAAAAAGAATTTAGCGGCGGGGTGCGGTGGCTCACGCCTGTAATCCCAGCGCTTTGGGAGGCCGAGGCAGGCAGATCATGAGGTCAGGAGATCAAGACTATCCTGGCGAACACGGTGAAACCCCGTCTCTACTAAAAATACAAAAAAATTAGCCGGGCGTGGTGGCAGGCACCTGTAGTCTCAGCTACTCGGGAGGCTGAGGCAGGAGAATGGTGTGAACACGGGAGGCGGAGCTTACAGTGAGCAGAAATCACGCCACTGCACTCCAGCCTGGGCGACAGAACGAGACTCCGTCTCAAAAATAAAAATAAAAATAAAAAGAATTTAGCATCTGAATTGAGCTGTGTTGTAAGTATGAAACTTACACTGGACCTTGAAGACAGTATGAGAAAAGAATGTGAACTATCTCATTAACCATTTTCTATTCATTACATATTTAAGTGATATTAAGTTAAATAAAATATATTATTAAAATTAACTTTATTTCTTTTTATATTTTTAATGTGGCCACTAGAAAGCTTGAAATTGCACATGTGGCTCACGACATATTTTTTTTTTTTTTTTTTTTGAGATGGAGTCTCGCTCTGTTGCCCAGGCTGGAGTGCAGTGGTGCCATCTTGGCTCACTGCAACCTCTGCCTCCCAGGTTCAAGTGGTTCTCCTGCCTCAGCCTCCCAAGTAGCTGGGATTACAGGTGTGCACCACCACACCCAGCTAATTTTTGTATTTTTGGTAAAGACAGGGTTTCACCATGTTGGCTAGGCTGGTCTTGAACTCCTGACCTCAGATGTGATCCACCTGCCTTGGCTTCCCAAAGTGCTAGGATTACAGGCGTGAGCCACTGTGCCTGGCCACAGTATATTTTAATTAGACAGCACTGCAATATAGAAAAAGGGAAATGGCAGTTATGTGATTTCTGCAGCTAGGTCATACAAAGAATGCAGCTTTCACTCGGCTCTTGCTTTCCTGGGATACACATCTTAGGAGCCCTGAATCATCAGATTAGAAGTCTGATTCCCATGAAGCTTCCATGCTTTAGGGACCACATGTTGCTAGAGACAGATGCCCCAGCTGTTTGAATTTGTCCAAACCAAACACCAGACGTGAGTGAAGAAGACTTCAGGTGATTCCAGCCCTACCTGACACTGAATAGATCAAAGATGAGCTGAACCTGCAGAGCCCCGCTCAGGTTGAAAGTTCATGAACAAAATAAATGATATTGTAAGCCATGAAGGGGAGGGGAGAAATTTGTAACACAGCACTTGATAACCACAACAGGGGGGAATCATGCTGGAAATGGAAAAAATAAAAACTAAAACTGTGGTTTCTCTCTCCTTAAAAGGATTAAAAAATTACATTATAAAACAAGAATAAGATGCTATAAAATTGGTATATTCAAATAAAAGAAAAGAATTATTGAAATTAAAAAGATGATTGCTGAAAGAAAACTTTATAGAAAAACTGGAAGACAAAGAAATTTCCAAGAAATAATAAAAAGAGCAGAGATAAAAAAACAGAAAAGAAAAAAATTTAAAGATCACTCAAACAGGCTCAAACTTAGCTAACAGAAATGCTCAAAAAAACAGCAAACATAAGAAGTAATACAATAAACAGTATCTAGGCTGAAGAACATGAGTTTCCAGGTTGAAAGTTCCTACTAAGGGCTCATGATTGGGAAATTTAGAATAACGAGCATTGAGAACAAATACTAGAAGCTTTCAAAGAGGAAAAAAAATAAAGGGTTGGCCAAAGGGTCAGAAATAGAAATAGAATCCAAGATAATTGCCTTTAAAATTCTGAGGAAAATAGTTATAGTTTAAATGCTATACCAAGCCAAACTATCAAATTTGAAGGAAGTATATACATTTAGGCAAAAGATACACGCAAAAATGTATTTCCTGTGCACCCTTATTCAAGAATTTGCTAGAACGTAGAAGACGAAGGTGTGGAACACTGAAATTCAAGAATTCCCAGCATGATGTTGAAGCAAAGTCTCAGGACAGTGGCTGAGCTCCTGCAGCCAGGCTGAAGATGCCCCCAAGTTGAACCTCACCCTGTAGCTGCTGGTCTGGGGGTGCTCAGCTTGAAGCAGGGACTGCAGTGCTCAATGGAGATGACTAATGCAAAGCCTAAGAAAGAAGCAGTTTCTTAGCTAGGGAGTTAATGAAGAAGAATGGGAAATTAACATCAAAACCAAACCTTAGGGCCCTGCATGGTAGCTTACACCTGTAATGCCAGCCCTTTGGGAGGTGAAAAGATCATTTGAGGCCAGGAGTTTGAGACTAGCCTAGGCAATGTAGTGAGACCTTGTCCCTACCACAAAAATATTTTATTTTTTGTAAATTAGCTTAGCGTGGTGGTACATGCCTGTAGTCCTAGCTACTTGGGAGGCCCAGGAGGGAGGATCACTTGAGCCCGGGAGCTTGAGGTTACCACTACATTCCAGGCTAGGTGACAGAGTAAGATCCTGTCTCTAAAAAAAATACACACTAAAATAAAAACCCAAACCACATATAGTTATTTCTAGGTATGTATACTTACACTTAAATTACTTATTCATTAAATGGCATCCAGTTCCTTCCATCATGTGGACTCAAGTATTCTCGGCTAATCCTTTGCATTGACTTTATCCTAAAAAAGGTAAAGAGACTGTTTCCAGGCACTGTAAGCAGAGGTACCTGGACCAGGCAGTCACAGTGGACATTTGTGTTCAGATTCACAAGTGACTAGGCCACGGTTCACACACAGGTACATGAACAAGGCCTGTTCCTGTTTGTATTTCTCACATTCCATAAGCAAATGCTCACATGCTAGTATGGCCCTAGTAGTACAACCAAACAATGCAGACCCGTATTCAGTCATCATCTAAGTGAAGCTACATGATCAGTCTGTGTGAGTTCTCAGTCCTCTGTCTGCAAGGGCGTGGGCACTTCTGGTTCATTACTGTGGCATTCTGGAAGCTTAAGGAGGTGTGGTCCTGCCCACCGCCCTCTTTAAGACTTTGCACGCCATTGTCATCTGCTGCTGCTTAGATATGACTGCATTTCTCCCTACTGCTTTGGTTGGTTTGTGAGACAAGCAGGGTAGAAATGGGGATGGTGCATCGGGAAGAAAGGAAGAATCAACAACCTCCTCTGCTTTTGTAAAGAAAACAACTTCTGAGCAGAGGGCCACCTGGAAGATTCTTCCCCACCTTACTCCTTACTCATCACACTAGTGACTTCCTTTGTCACTGTAGTAAGCACCTTTAAAAAAAACTCTAAAAGAACTAAAAATGTTCACTCTGACCCTCACTTGACCTTAGTCCATAACTGTCTGCCTGATCCCTTTTGATAAGCCTGAATTGCCCAACCAATGGCTGCTAAACCACAAGAATGATCTCTCCTGCTTCTAAGAACCATCTCTGACCAACTAGTCCCCAAAACAGCTGAGCTTCAGCTGGCTCTTCCTATTCTGACTCTATAGAAATACTACCCTTCCTCCCCAAGACAGAACATCCTTTAAAGTCTTCTCATGCTGTAGCATTCAGAACAAAGGTTTATGCTAATAATGCTCTGGCTGATTATCTTCTACAGTTTTTGATGCCAAGACACTAATCACTGCCTGGACCCACTGCTGAACAGCTTAGCCACTCTGATGAGGATAGAGAATGCAAGAGACCCCCAAGTCTCTTCTGGAGGTCCCAGGGAGTGCACAGTAAAGCCCTGCCCCCAACTAGTACTTGGCTCTCTTTGCATTGAAGTACCACCTAAGCCTTTGTTCTTCCTCTTAATTATCCTTGGTGAAAAACTTTCATTCCATTTGTTTCTTAACTCAGGGCTCTCAGCAACAATCTGGGTGTGTATTGTCGAGATTCTGAGGGCCAATCGTGAGCCATTCAATGAAACACCAAGTCTTTTTCTGGCTTCTTACATGTACAAACATGATGCCAACAGCACCAAATATTTGAAGCTTTGATGGAATTTTACCAAAAACAATTTAGAACTTCAGTGGCCACTCTGATCAATTTGGGATATGAGTAAGATAATCCATTTGCATGGCACTTTACAAATGATTCAAAGATTCCAAATATTCAATGACTGGCATTTTTTTTACTGGTATAAAAAAGCCTTTGAAAGACAGAAATATTCTAAAATTGCTTCCTTTAAGGCCTCCTTAAGAAAGGCTAATAAAAACCTGGATGATCTAAAATCTAAACTTAGAACTATCTTCTCCCTCTCCTAACACAATGAATTGCACATTGGCCTTCCTCCAGTTCCCTGAACCTCGACTTCCTCTTCCCTCTTGCTCTGCTGTTCCTCCTTCTCCAGATCCTCTTTCCTCTCCTCCATTGCCCCTTCCTAAACACATCCCTCTCACTGGACAATATATCCTTATAATGTTTTCCTGATATAGGTAGGAATGAAGGTCACCTTCAAGGTCAATGACGTGTTAACTTTAATCCTTGGTCAAGATCAGATTTGCATGATCTAGTTAAGGACTTCCCAACCCCTAGCAAGGAAAAACAAAAATTCACTTAAAGAATTAAGAATTGTCTTTGGAACATATATTCTGAGCTCCTTAGTCTCTAGCAAATAATTTGATTTCCAAAACTATATCCAATATATGAATCAAAATTTGACCATGATGGATACAAAAAGAGCATAAACATATGACAAGATATCTTGGCAGCTCTCCCTGAGATCCTTCACATCAAAAATCCAGTTTTACAAACTGGGAAAGAAAGAAGACATCCCAATCTTAGAGATCATTAACTACCTTACCTTCCAGGGTTACTCTGATCTTTGTATGATAATATCACAGTTGCCTTATCTACTTCCTGTTGGTCATGGTCTTACGCCTGAGGGGTACCTCTTGGAGGAAACATTATCAGGTAACATAAAATACAAATACTGCAGTGAAATTCCAAGAAATCATCCCATTGGATTCCTGTTTCACAAGATATACACCCTCATCCTGAACTTCCACATTGACAGGATATCTAAAACTGATTTCAGAATTCTTCTGAAACAAATGGCATCACAAAGGAGACAGCTTTCCAAGGATTTTCAAACCAAGTAGCAGACAACTAGATATGGAGTGCTTTTGCTCATGACCTCCAGTTCAAGACCCCCAATCACAGGGAGCCACTGAGTGCCATACCCTTAATTGTCTCTTTCTTCTCCTTCTTTTCAAAACTATCTTTTCCCTTCTCCATTGGTTTAGCACTAAACCAATGCCTTCAAAAAGATAGTTTTGAAGAGGAGGAGAAAGAATAATTTTGAAAAGAAGGAGAAGAAGCGTTTTTGAAAAAAGAAGAATCTTATTTTAACAAGTAAGATTCTTAAAATTCTTTCCTGTAACTATGCTATCCTGGATATCAGAGATGAAACCTTGGTAAGTCAAGAAGATGAACAAATTGCTAGGTGAGTTTACTAATAACAAACTTCTCTTCTCTTTGGGTTGGGCATGGAACTGTTCTGGCTGATCCTAGGTAGGGCAGGATCTATCTAGGAATATGGGCATTATCCAAGGCCTTCTGGTAATTCTTTTAATAGGTGTTGTCCCACAGTCACTGACTGTGCTCTCTCCAGAGTCTTAAATGCTCTGGTCAGCTACTCACTCAAAAATGACTGAAATTCAGCTATGAAGGCAAAAATCACCAGCACATCCAATAGGAGTCATTGCCAATGAGCCTGAGTCTGCAACTGACATCAGTTATGTATTTGGAGGAGCGAACAAACCAAAATCTGATCAAATTATGAGACTTGGCCTCTCTATTGACCAAGAGATAAGAGGCCCTAAATGACTGACAATGTTCTGCTGTGACCCCTTGCAGCTGTTTCTCCCACCCTCCTTGGCAAAACTCAGATTTCTCATCCAATGGATGGTAAACTACAAGATCAATTCTTCCTCTTGTGAGAACCATCTTTGATCAACTGTTATCAAAATTAGCTGAGCTTCAGCGGACTTTTCTTGCTAAAGGTCTATAAAAATGTTGCCCTTCTTCCCCAAGGCAGAGCACTCTCTCAAGGTCTTCTCATGCTGTGGCATCTGAATAAAGTACTCTGCTGTTTAATGGTGCTCGGGTTGCTTTCCTTCCACACCAGCTGTGGTTTTACTGGTTAGCAATTTCAAGCTCAGTATAAACAAAGAATGCAAGGAGATTATGAAAAATTAAAAACTGTCATTGTGTTACGGTAGTTAGATTATTAAGAATTGTTTCCTATTTTCCAAATTTTCTCTAAGGTAGTTATGGTATCTTAATAGTATCACCTAATGAAAAAGAAGAAGGATGCATTACTCAGTTCCTACATAATTATAACCAACTCCAAGAAAAGATTTCCAAGATCTTTAAAATTTGATATTTTCCAAGAAGATACTTTAAAATTTGATATTTTCCAAGAAGGCACCTATGAAGACTTGAGTCACCTGGGGTACAGTTTCTTTAAACTTGTTCTTTTCTTTTCAAGACAGCATCTCGTTCTGTCACCCAGGCTGGAATGCAGTGGTGCAGTCATAGCTCACTGCAGCCTCAAACTCCTGGGCTCAAGCAGGAAACTTTACTTTAAAAAAAGGAAAAAAGAAAAATAGCCTATTTCCCCAGCAGATATGTGAGTATTTGGTTTAGAAATGACCAATGTCTCAAAAAGCTTTGATTTCCTGCCACCTACTCTTCTCAAAAATGCCAAATTAATGGCATCTGATCCTAACAAAGTGAGGCATCCACAGCTAAAAATGTCTTTATAATGGGGGTAGAGAGAAAGGGGGAAAAAGCAGGGGTAATTTTTTCCCAATATGTTTGTCATTATTATAGGTTATATATACAGAAGGAAAGTTAATTAAGCTTTAAAAAAAATCCATCACACATCAATGGCTGCATTTTAATGAGTACAAAAAGTTGAGGTGTTTACTACCAATTAAAGTGGTTTTTAAATAAGCATTAATTAACACAGAAATTCAGAAGAAAGTTATACCTTGTCAAAGAAAGGCCAGTGCAGGCTATGCCCACTTCTGCTCCCATTCATATTCAGATAGTAATTACCACCAACCCTATATTTTCCATAATAATGAGGAGATGCTGTCATGTCTATCAAACAACAACACACACATACACACACAAAAGTGGTGGAATTAGAAATTCTAAACCTGAAGTAAACTTTTCACATTTTTTTCCTTCTGGGTTTTTCCCTCATCCATGTCAGAGTGATTCAAAGAGGAGGTCTGCCTGATTTTAACAGTGACTTTCTTTCTTTTTCTCCTTTTGTAGGAAACATTGTGGGGGAGCCCTCATTGGCCAGAGAGGTGTTATTCAAGTCTACACCAACAAATCAGAACAATTACCCGATCATAGTTTAAGAGGGCCTGCAGTTCTTCCTTTGTTTCTTAATAATTATGTGAATTTGCATAATCCTACCGCCTCTATTCCACTTCCTTTTAGAAAATCACTGTCTATCATAAGTGGTAAGGAGAAAAAAATATATAAAATCTTTAAAAACCCTCAACCTAACCAGCACACAGTGTGATGCACGGTCTCCTCCTGGAGTGGAAGGTAATGTGAAATGTGCTGGACTTTGGAGAGGCACCTATGAAGATGCCAGGAGGGGTGTCACAGGAAAGGGTTTCTCAAGCACCTTGAAGCAACGGGGCCCAGATGCTCAACCTTACTACTCAGACACTGGATTTTCTTAGTGATGACCTTTTTGTAACCAAATTCACATACGATTAAACAATAAATCAGCATATTAATTTACTAATTTATAATGTAGGGGTTCAGATATTCCCTTGCTGGAGCTTGGAGTTCCCAGGCTTCCTATCAACATGATCTTTCCAATGTCAACATGTTTTTTTTGTTTTGTTTTGTTTTTTAATTTAATTTAATTTTATTATTATTATACTTTAAGTTTTAGGGTACATGTGCACAATGTGCAGGTTAGTTACATAGGTATACATGTGCCATGCTGGTGTGCTGCATCCATTAACTCGTCATTTAGCATTAGGTATATCTCCTAAAGCTATACCTACCCCCTACCCCCACCCCTCAACAGTCCCCAGAGTGTGATGTTCCCCTTCCTGTGTCTATGTGTTCTCATTGTTCAATTCCCACCTATGAGAAAAACAAGCAATGGGGAAAGGATTCCCTATTTAATAAATGGTGCTGGAAAAACTGGCTAGCCATATGTAGAAAGCTGAAACTGGATCCCTTCCTTACACCTTATACAAAAATTAATTCAAGGTGGATTAAAGACTTAAACGTTAGACCTAAAACCATAAAAACCCTAGAAGAAAACCTAGGCATTACCAGTCAACGTGTTTAAGAAAGGAAGCTGGGTTACTAATCAGAAGTCTCCTTGGTGAACACAAAATCAGAAGAGGGAAGCAGAATGGTGTGGGAGGATTCTGCCCCAAGGAATATCCCCACTACACCTCTTTATTGTTAGCAACTCACTCGGACTCCCACACACAGAGCCTTTCTTCCTTATGCAGTGCTGCAAACACGCTGACTTTGGTCTCTCTGGGCTCCAATTTTCAGTGCAGATTCCTCCCCATTTCACTGACACATATTTTTCTTTACCTGACAGAAAAGCACCTCCCATTGTGGTCAATTAATTAGTCAACTTCTCACCACGCAAGGAACGCTGTGCAGTCACAGTCTTTAAGGATCCAAGGATAGAACACCAAACAAGAAAGATCAATTCCAGGTGTTTGCATCAGAAATGTTTCAAAGAATCAAGTTAGCGAAGTTGCTGTAAGGTCAATTCTTGAAAATAAAGTGCGAGAGGCAGCAGGTGAAGAGATTTCATCCTCTTGCAGAGAGGGGCGGTTTCTCCTCAAAGTATAAAAAGGTGGTAGGATGCTTCCAGAACCTCACACAAAGAAGTTGGAAGGAATCTACCCTTCTTCTTAGCCTGAATTTAAGCCCTGCATCATACATGACTAGAGAGATGGATGAAGTGAATGGTTTGATTATGTGGCCTTTTAGTTGCCGGAGTACCTTTTCAGTGTATACTGGTAAAGCTGTGGTAGCTTCAGAGTTGCTATTTAAGCCAGGCTTAGGGAGCAATCTAGCTGGAAAGGGCTTAAAGAACTTGCCTGGGAGCCACATTTGCAAGGCAAACATCCCATTTTTACTTAGGTTAAGTGTTTCTTGGCGTGGCCGGGAGTCCTGGTGGAAATTGAAGGAGGAGGTAAACACTGCCATTTGCAGTGAGATTACTGAAGGGTGAGGGGGCCCAGGTCTAATTTATCTTTGAATCATCTACGCTGCCTAACAGGATAAGTACAAGACAGGTGGTCAAATGTTTAAGTGAATGAGAAGTGGGTTTTCGTGTCCTACCAATAAGTTCATGCCTGCGTTTGGGTCCCTCACGCACCCCATGGTTTTCCTGTTTCTTGACTAGTGACCAGGCTCTTACTTTGGAGCAACCAGCTTGCATGTCTGCCCTTGTCACAACTAGACCTAGGAAAAGACTGAAAGTGGAACAGCAAAAAATTACAAACAAAAATCTAAAAAACAAAAACAAAACAACAACAACAACAACAAAAGCCCTAGGAATTTAGTTTGGAAAGAGAATAGGCTGAATTGACATACCAGAAAAGGAAGGGCTGGAGTCAGAAGCAGAGGCTTCCACATCACTGAGGAGCCACAGAACACAAACATCCTGCCACCCAACGTGCAGGCACCCCGTATCGTTCCTTCCTCCCCGCCTTTTAAAAATATAGCTGTTCACTGCTGGCCCTCACCTCAGTCTTACCTATCCATTTGTACAGAAATAAACAGCCTTCAAAGAACAGTTAAGTACCAATGTGCATCTCAGGAGAGAACAGTAAAAGGTTGGCAACTGGCAACCCCAAATTCCAGAAGCAGGAAGATCTACTGCCTAACGTGGCTCACGTTGGCCTTTGCCTCTCATCCCTTTCACTGCTATTGCCTTTACAGGAAAATGCCCATTGAGGCATGACCGATTGATTCTTTTTTTTTTTTTTTTTTTTTTTTGAGACGGAGTCCCGCTGTTTAGCCCAGGCCGGATTGCAGTGGCGCAATCTCGGCTCACTGCAAGCTCCGCCTCCCAGGTCCACACCATTCTCCTGCCTCAGCCTTGGAGACTGAGTCTTGCTCTGTCTCCCAGGCTGGAGTGCAATGGTGCGATCTCGGCTCACTGCAACCTCTGCCTCCTGGGTTCAAGAGATTCTCCTGCCTCAGCCTCCCGAGTAGCTGGGATCACAGGCACGCGCCACCACGCCCAGCTAAATTTTGTATTTTTAGTAGAGATGGGGTTTCACCGTGTTGGCCAGGCTGGTCTCAAACTCTGACCTCAAGTGATCCACCCGCCTCGCCCTCCCAAAGTGCTGGGATTACAGGCATGAGCCACTGCACCTGGCCTGAGGCATGATTTAAATATGCAGTTTATTGTAATTCTTTTTGGAAAAGCACATTTTCCTCATAGAGTAGATAGAAGTAACATGCCTCCTTGGTCAAGTCTGCCAAAATGAAATGTCCCTTTTTCTGAAATTCTTCAGTTATGCTACACCCATTATCTTGCCTTATTAAAATGGAAACAACTTTCCCCTATGCGTGTCCCATTCTGCCATTTATCTGAATTGGGATAGATTGTGCCTTTCCACTCAATTTGGACAATGAAATGAGTTTCATTTTTATTTATGGGCTTCATAAATCCGTTTCACTTGCTGCTTTTCATGCCCCAGTTCCACGCTGTTGTGTTGGGATTTCCCACCATGCCAGGCAATTAAACCAAAAAGTCGTGGAAAAAAAATTTCTTTACAAAACTCTTTTAAATCCAAAATATACATAAATCATCTCCATTCCAGGTCCAATATATTTAAGGGATGGGATCTTTAAGTCTTTTTTTTTTTTTTTTTTTTTTTTGAGCATCCAACTCCCCAGATTAATTCTTTTGCTGTCATCATCCAGCCCTCATTTGAGCTCTAAAGGTTAGTTCAAAATTCCAGGACGGAAAGAACTCTTTAATTTTAGATACTATGTTTCCAGACCTGATGCCAGGCATGTGAGAAGATAATACAGTGGCCCTGTGGTTGTGGCTGGGGGCGCCTGAGGAACAGCAGGGGGCTCACAGACCAGCATCGCCGAAGTTCAGAGCAGGATGCGCTTCGGAAACCTGAAGCAGCAGCACTAAGAGTTCCATGTTCTGTGTCAGATTTAAAAAACAGACAAACAAACAAACAACAAGCCAATCCCAATCACACAGACCTACAGCATTAAAGGAAGGGTGGAGAGATGATGTCCTCTCTCTCGGTACTTTGCCATTCGCACAGGAAGTTTCTGTTGTTTCTCTAAATACAGAACTGAACAGCAGGCTTCTACCTGATAAGGCTACATCCAGCAGGATCCAATAGATCCAATCCAATCTGATAAAATGTAGGGATTGAGTTCAGGTATAGTTCAGTCCTGTTATACAACCACCCAAGGAAAGAAACTCACTGAAACTTTACTTACACAGAAATGCAATAATATGAATTTTGTGATAGTCCAGACACAAGCCAAATCGAAGTTTACTTTATGGCTTTCTCTGATTCAATCACACCATATATCTATAGGTATCAACTAGTGGAAGCAAGCAAGGAATGTTTAAATCTGGCCCTACTAGGTTATAAGTTAAAAGCAGGAAACTAATAAAAATGGGAAAGGAATGTTTGAATCTGTCCCTTCTAGACTGTAAGCTACTTAAGATCAGAAACCATTGTTGGTTCATCCTTTTGTCTAGTCTATGGAAAGTGCTCCATGTGAGTTAGATTTATGTACCTGAAATTCTTTGTATGCAAGGTGAGCTGGTTGCTTCAACTGTCATGCCACTAATCACTAGGGTCGACCCAGATGCTCAGGCTGACTGGGATGGTATTCCCTTCCTCCCCCAGTATGAAGTCTGGGAAGATAAGCTAGCAAGTAAGAATGTGTAAGTGTGTGCATTGCGCAATGTTGACACGGTTGACACAAGTGTTTTGGTCCACCTGGCAGGTTTCTCCCTGGAGTAGTGATGGGTGGAACAGAATAAGATGAGAATGTCACCAACCATTAGGATCATCCGCCTCACTCTGCAAACCACACAACCTCCTGGCTTCAAAGCTACCTGCCTAGTGCGGAGAGAATAGGTGCTAACAGGAGCACTCTGGTTCATTTAGCAGTTACTATTACTATGAAAGATTAATAAACAGATATTCTGATTTATATCACACCTTTTGAACTTTTGTTAATGTGGGTCTATTTCACTGAATCTAATTAATTATGGTCAATCAAGTTCTAGACTTAGCCAAGATGAGGTCTAGAGCCCCAGTGGTGCTAGCCACAGCAGGGGTATGCCATGGAACTTCCTGCCTCAGCAGCCAGCCAGCCCTCTTAAACATTTTTAATACTACATAACATCTCACGAAGTACTTAATTCTACCTCAGGGATACCGCATGCTAAAATGAGCAAGAGAAATATTAGCTAGAAGAGCGCTTTGTGTATCCCACCGGATTGTAAAATTGCATTGCCATAAAGTTCTTGAAAGAACAAAACGGTGCTTGCAAAAAACAATAACAAAAAAAAATCCTTTCCTTGATAACACTGAACAAAGATGAGCTTGAACCAGAGACCCAAGTCCATTTCATAAAGTTGTACATGTTGTACACCGCACAAGGACACCATCAAAGAGGCACTTGCTACATCCTAGGCATTGTAGATTTATATTTACTGGCCAATAGCAGTAAATGCCTTGAGGAAGAGTGGTCGTTTCCTAAGTTGCACAAAGATACCAATAAAGGCTAGCAGTAGCCCTGTAGAAATGACGTCTGGTAAATGGACACGATAGCCAGCATCCAGATGCTTTTATCTTTTCCACTTAAAAAAATACACACACACACACACACACACACACACACACACACACACATTGTATAGGCACCCCAGAAGTTCCTTCACGTGCCCCAACCAATCATAATCTTCCTTCCCCCAATGCACCAATGATCCTGTTATAGTTCTCATTTCTTTGCATTTTAAAAATCATTTTATCACCCAAATGTGCATCTCTAGATACTATTGTTTAGTCTTTCACTTCTTAAAAATACTTCTTAAAAATATATCTTTCAATTATTTCTTAATCTATTGGTTCCTCTTACCTACTTTTCATTTCTTTACAAATTACCTGTTAAAGAACCCAGACTATTTGTCCTATAGTTGCCCACAGTGTCTGTTGCCAACTGCATACTCATGGTGGCAGTCAACATGTTTCTGTGCCTTCTGTATTTCCTGCAAGCTAGCAGCTTGATCCACATCAGTTTCAAACCCAGATTGTATCCCTTTAGCAAGGTGGTGTCTGGCAATACTACAGGAGGCTCCTGTCTGATTGTCTTTTTGTGATCTTACCAACCACTGATGCTTAATGCCTGTATCCATCCATTGAAGACTGCAAAATGGGAATATTCTATCACTTCTTTTTCATTCTGTAGCTGGAATAGTTTTATAAAGACACTCTACCTCTCATTATTTGGATACTCAGTGGTATAGTTCACATAAAAATCAGGATAAATGCTTGAATCCCTTCATTTCCCAGATTTCAAGATAGCGAATTGGTTCCCTGTAATTCTCCAAAGGTGATCAATTCTTTTTAATGTCAAGTTGTGCATTTAAATATATAGGATGTATCAATTATTATTTTTGAAGGTCAAATTGTCCCACCTGTGGCCAGTAGGAGGCTCTGAGTCCTTTTGCCATGACCCCAAAAATCTTTGATAGTTTCTGTGTTATCTTATAAAATGTTTCAGCTGCATTTTGTAAACTTCCTGCACCACAGTTATTGCTCCAAGAAGCCCTAATTTCTTTTAGAATAAAGCAGTTTTTCAAAACCACAATCTGGGTTCTAGATACACTCTCTGCTAAGTTGGACACTGTTTCTAAGGGCTTTCAGTAGGATAAACTAGGAAATATTATTGATTCAAAGATAAAAACATCTCATACATTTATATTGAGAATTTCTATTCAAATTCTATCCTCAGTTTTTACATAACCACTTCTCGACAACATCAGACTCTTTCATTCTGGTTCTTAAAAGCAGAAGACATGGCAGAATTATGACATTCCAATATTATCTGTTTTGTCCCACGTCAGACGGTTCTGCCTTAGGCTGGGTAATTTATAAACAACTTAATTCTTTTGCTTACAGTTCTGGAGGATGGGAAGCCCAGAACCAAGGTGCCAGCAGATTCAGTGTCTGGTGAAGGCTTGCCCTCTGCTTCAAAGACGGTGCTCTCTTGCTGCATCCTCACATGGTGGAAGGGGCTAGGCAGCTTTCTTTAATCTCCTTTATTAGAGCACTAGTCCCATTTACCACTTAATTATTACTTCCCCCAAAGCCCCACAGCTTAATACTACTGCTTTGGGTATTAGGTTTGAACACAGGAATTTTGTGAGGACACCAAGATTCAGATCATAGCACCACATGACACAGTAAATCTCAAAATAACAATACCACCACCACCAAGATTACCAAAAACATTGCAAATCGTTTGCATATACTCTTGCTACTTTCTCCATTAAGAAAAGCAGTTCTATTACATGGTCAGAGCATATAGCCATTACACACTGTGCTGTCTCCTTCTTAGTCCTCCTTTAGTCATATTTCTACAGGTAACTTTAATTCTTTAGTTTGTATGCTAAGGTCTTTCTCATTTCAGTTGTCTACAATACATTCTCTACTAGGTTTCTTACGAAGAACTCGTGGGAACTGCAATAGACTGAATCTTTGTGTTCTCCCAAAATTCATGCTTAAATCCTACCCCCCAGTATGACAGCATTAGGAGATGGGGCCTTCAGGAGGTAATTAGGATAGATGAGGTCATAAGGGTAGAGCCCCCATGAATGGGATTAGTGTCCTTTTAAGGGTCACAGAGAGCTTGCTTCCTCTCTCTGCTCTCCCCTGTGTGAGGACACAGCAAGCCGGCGTCTACAACCCAGAAGGCAGCCCTCACCAGAACCCAACCATGTTGGTACCCTTATCTGACTTGCAGACTCCGCAACTGTGAGAAATAAATTTTTGTTGTTTATAAGTCATCCAGTCTATGGCGCTTTGTTATAGTAGTCCAAACTAAGACAGGGAAAAATACTTTCTGAGTTTCTCCATGTTGATAACCACATGTGCCCTTTATACTTAAAAGTCAGTTTTGCTGGATATAAAATCCTTGGCTCTCTTTCTTTCACTGAGTATTTTAAATGTTCTTTTACTTTTGCCCTTCTATAAAATGCTGTTGAGAAGTGTAACTAGAAATGTTTTCCCTTGTAAATCATGTGCTTTTTCTTCTAGAAGCTCAAAGTACTTTTTCCTTTTTTTGGTATTAGTCATACTGTAAACACTCTCAGTTATGCAGTGTGCTTTTTTCATATGGTGCTTTTTTTTAAATTTCAGAAGTTTTCTTGAATTAGTTTTTATTAGTTCAGTTCCCTTGCATTGGTTTTCTTTGTGATCTACTAAACAAGTTCCATCTTCTTGCCTACTTCAATATCTGGCACTTTCTTTTCAATCCTTTTTACTTAAAAAATTTTTTAAATTCCTTTTCAACTTATATTTCTGTTGTGTTGATTCATACTTCTGTTGTATTTATTCACTTTTTTTTTTTTTCTGAGACCAAGTCTTGCTCTGTCACCCAGGCTAGAGTGCAGTGGCAAGATCTTAGTTCACCACATCTACCTCATTGGTTCAAGCTATTCTTGTGCCTCAGCCTCCTGAGTAGCTGAGATTACAGGTGTGCACCACCATGCTCGGTTTTTTTGTACTTTAGTAGAGACACGGTTTCGCCATGTTGGCCAGGCTGGTCTCAAACTCCCGGCCAAAGCAATCCACTGGCCTCAGGCTCCCAAAGTGTTGGTATTACAGGCATGGGCCAGTGTGTCCAGCCTATTCACTCTTTTGCCCTCTAATTTAGTCTTCATTTCTGAAATAATATTTCTTTAATTTCTAATTTTTTCCTGAGTTGTCAACTCATTTCTGAGCTTTCTAATTTTTCTTGGTTCATGTCTTCTATACTTTTTAAAATATCTTTCAGCTCATTTTGTAATTATTAGTTTTACTCTGTTTTGTGAACACATCTTTCTGGAATGCTACCTTTATTTGTAAAGGTATTATTCTGTTCCTATTTCTCTTTTTTGTTATCTTTGAGTGGCACTTAATGTTGATTCTTTTCTGTTGTGCATTTTTACATGAAATTAGTTTTCCTCAACTATGAGAATAAAGTGAGTTAAGTAAAAAAAAAACATTTCTAACTTCACCAAGCTCCCTCTTCTGTTGTTTTGGTGGTTTTTTAAAGCATGACATCTTGCTTTCTGAAATTTCCCAACTGTTCTTCCCTTCCTTTGCTCTGGACCCTTCTCTTGTCCCTAGACTATTCCCTTTTAATTCCACTCCCAGCAATCTCTCCTAAGCATAGGGCCCAGCACTAGAAGGCAGTGCTGGCAGGTCAATTTTGAGAGTTCAAAGGTCAGCCCTCTAATCCCCCCTATCTCGAGCTCTTAGCACTTACCAGGTGTTAGAGTGGGCAAAACACCTTCCACCTTCAGTTGCTGCTCTCAAATTGGGCCACTGAGCTTCCCAGTGAACACCAGTTGGCTATTTGGGGTTCTCCTGTTCTCAGGTCAAGTTAGAAGTTACACTATTGCTTCCTTCTCTCTCTCACATACCATGCAAGTCTTGCAGGTATTTCGTCCCCAACTGCTTGTACTTTGGGATTAATGTTTTGTCACCTAGTTTTGTTGCAAATGTTGTCTACGAATTTATTTTGCTATCCAGTTGCTCTGCATGCTTTTGTGGGGGATTATGTGGGCAGTATGCTACCGCCATCTTTGCTATCTTCCCAGCAACAGCAGGAGCAGCAGCACATCTTTTAATTTGAGCTAATTTTTGCTTCTTCTTGGTTCCTTCCCTCAGTCTGTCACAGGCCTCAGTTTCGCAGAGTCCCTGTATTATAGCATGTATGTGTTTGGGAAGGGAGATGTACGGAGCGAGTAGAGGTTGTTAGTTGTGAGCAGAGCTGCCGAAAGTTAGACACAGTTCCTGCCCTTAGGAATGTATAACCAAGAATTCAATGTACATCCACTTAGTGAAGCAGAACTACAACCATCTAGTTTCCAATCACAGATCTTATTAGCTGGCCATGCCAACTGGAATAAGTCAACTTCCTAGGACCTTAGTTTCTCCATTTGTAAAACACAGAGCATATCATTTGCCCTAATTGTACAGGTTGTATAGAAATCAAATAATGAAAGCATATGTAATCTGGTCACCAATAACCTGCATCCTCGAAGGCAGAAACCCTGTGTTCTTCATCTCTGTCTCTACCCCTCCATGCCTTGGACAGTGTTTGACACATTTCAGAGCACTCAGTGTTTGCACCTTGAAAAAAGTATTTAAAGCCTTATTATGTGCTAATTAATTTTAAAAGCTCCAGAGCCTCATCAATGATGACAAGAGTTAATATGGCCATGCTTGAGGGCTAGAGAGGCTAGCCTCGGAAAGACCCTTCGCATAGAAGAAATGGCCTTCACTCCAAAAGTCAACCATCAGAAGAAACGGAAGAGCTGAGTTTTTAAAATGCATTTTTTATTATTCAGCCTTCAGCAGAAATGTCACCTTTCTAAAGCAAGCTGTTATCATGCACTCCCTGTGCCAAGCAGGCGCCTCTGAGGAGCAGGATTTTATCTCAACATTTTTAGTGATTTGTGTTTCTCTTTCAAGGAGTTCCATGCCTTAAGGCACCTGAAACACTAACAGCACAAGAAGGTAAGGTTACACAAGGAGCCGTCTCAACAACATGAAACAGAAACTTTTGCAAAACAGGTCCAGGATCAGCATCAAAGCTATAGTCCGCAGTCACCCTGCCCAATAATTCATGTCCTCTCCGCACAGCTCATTGTTTTCTGGTGGGCTCCTTGGTTGAAACCATATTCTCAAAGAAACTCCGTTTTGTGACAGGGCCCCCATCAGTAGGCTCAGCCACATGACAGGCCGAGGAGCAGCCAGCACAACTGCCGGCAATGCTTGCCAATAAGCCAGATGCTGCCACATATTGGCATCTGGGTCCTGGAATAGCAACCATGTTCTCAGTCTGGCTAGGGATTCTGACCCTAGCTACGGAAGGAGACAAAGGAAGGAAAGAAAGAGACGGAGCAAGGGGAGGGAGGGCAGACTGTGGAAGAGTCTCTTGGTAATTTCCCTACCATGGATTTAGAGCTTCCACAACAAAAGACTCGTTGGAAAGCTGCTACCAATGCTGCAATGGGCGGGAGAGGTAGAGACGGGAGCATTCTAAACCCAGCGAGTTGTTTTGGCACCTGGGGAGTGGGGGTGGTTGATTCAAAAGGAGACAGCTGCAGCAGGCAGCAACTGCTCTCCCCTCCTTTCCCTCAAACCATGATAGCCCACAGTGGAGATAAGCTACGGGATATAGCTTAAATCTGCAGCAGAGGGACAGAGAGTGGCAACATCAGGATGGCTGTCGCTCCCTGCTCTCTGGGTGCCAAGATTTACCAATGCCAGCAAGGCCAACTAAATGGCAAGGGCGAGATGCAGATCACAGTCTATAATCAGGAAAGGTATGATCAGGGGTGTTCTGCTCACAGGAATGGGGTGCAGGCAAAAGGCAGCCCTGTGCCTTGCTGTGACTTCTGCTGGTAAGGAAGTACCTGCCTGATAGAGGCTTCAGGCCCTGCCCTAATCACATTAGGTGGAGGCATGGCCCAGAAAGGGTGGGCTGAACCCCAGTTTAGGGTTTGAAGGAAGAGATGACAATAAAAAGCATGTTCTCAAAATAGCAAATTCTATCCAGTGTCCCCTTTCCCCCATATCATGTTTATGAAGAGTTACTCGGAGCCTTACACTTGAAAGACAGGTATATGCGCAAGTGAGAATAAGAGACAGACTATGTGGTGAAAAGCACCTGGGCCTCTGCAGTCTGAAGATGGGGGAAATAGCCCCTTAAGGTCATTTACCAGCTGGAGGGTTGCTTCTCCTAGGATCAAACTGGCCTCTCTCTGTTCACCAGATACTACATTTCCTAACCAGAAACACTTGAGTGTGCCTCTGGTCATAATCAGTGTGTGTGTGGGTGGGGAGGGGAGGGGAAGGATATTTAGTGGGAATCCCTGCCCACCACTGGAAGAAAGCAGTGCAAAGCCTGTTCTATCAAATGGTGATTTTGGCAATAGTGTCACTTTAAAAAAAGAACAGCACATTATTATTAAGGCTGAGTTCAGGCACAGCATAGAGACAGATGAAGGAACTGCTGACTCTGAAATCCCACCTGTTAAAGACACAAGATTATCTAAACATTTTAAAGGTGCCCATTGAGAGGTCAAAATATACTTTATTAAAAATCTCATCTAATAATCTTGGCCCTTTATAAACAAAAGATCCATAATTTAAAGTGAAAGATAATCACCCACATTCCCCTCACCCCACACATACACACTTAACCTTCAGCAAACATCTAATTTCACTTTACTACTATGAAGTCCATTTTTAAAAGGTAAAACCAAGCCTACCCAGAAACCATCCCCCACTGAGTTCCCCAGTTTTAAAGAAAACACAGAGCAGCTCTGCTACAAGGTCAGAATCCAATGAGAACATTCTGGTATCTTTCCCAAACTTGGTTTTGATTCTTTGCATTCAGATTTTGAACAACACAGGGACTAAATACTGAATTTCCACTGTGGTTTTGCTTAAGCAGCAGCAGAAAACCCAACACTATACAAGTCATCAAAGGAATTATAACTATAATTTGATGTTTATGCCATCTATTTCTGAAATGGGTAACAGAAGCTGTCTACAAAGGGTGAGTTATTTGATTACAAGTAACTCTGACAGACTGCCTGAATCTCTTTGGGGGAACTGAACCACTGCCCATCAAGTGCTCTTCATTTTGCCCCGATTTTCTCTTTATCCAACTGCCTGATCCCCTTGTCTTTTCCCTTCCTCCTTGTCTTCATTATCTATCTTCTCCTATCACCCTTTCCCACCGACACAAGGACTCCTGGGCAAGCTTCCTAGGAAATATGATAAACACTGAAAATGTCTTCAAACTCAAAACATATACCACAGGGTAGGATGCCCATGATCAGGCAAGGCAGAGGCGATAACCTGAATTCAAACAAAGCCAGTAGCTCCCAAACTTGAGCAAGCATCAGAATCATCTGAAAGGGCTTGTTAAAACACAGACCGCTGTGGCAGCCCTCAGAGTTCCAATTCAATAGGTTTGGGATGAGGACAAGCATTTGCATTTCTAACTAATTCTCAGGTAATCCTAACGTTGATGACCTGGGGATCACTTATTTTTTTCATTTTCCTAAAGCTTTTATTTGGAAATAATTTCAAATTTAAAGAAAAGTTGCAAGAAGAGGAAAAATCATCCATATTCCCTTGACCCAGATTGGGGACCACTTTTTGAGAACCACTGAGCTAAGCTAAATGTATGTCAGAGGTCTGGTACAAAGAGAGAAGTCACCTGGCAGGATGTAATGTCTTCTAAGAGCAAAGATCAGAACACTATCCAAATAGAAAGCAAACCAACTATTTAAAGCAAAATGTGGGAAAAAGTGCCACAAAATGATCAAAGAGTGAGTTAGGACCCAGGGGTTTTAAGCTCTGAATAGTGAATATCATTATCAACCAATGGGGGAAAAAGTGTATAAGTTTTCCTGGTTTGTCTCTCTCTGGTGATTCCTTGGGGGTGATTTTACAAACAACAGTCCATAATCTCCTAGTATAAACTGACTTCAAGAAAAAGGGAAAGCAATTATTTGATAGGAACACTCTACCTCTATACACTTGAGAGAAATAGATGAGGATGATTAAGTACCCCCTCATTTATATTCTACCACCTTAACTGCGGACTTTATCTCTTGCCTGAATTTCTGCAATAACTCCAAACTGCTTTCCCTGCCTCTAATCTCTCTTTCTCCAATTTATTCTCCATTCTAACCCTAAAATTATCTCTTTTAACTGTAGGCTGCAATAATGCCAGCTCTCCAAGAAACATCACTAGTTCCCCACAACCTAGAGAATGAAGTCCAAATGTCTCAGCATGGCATTTAACCTGGCCCCAACCTACCTTTTAAATTCACGTTATCTACGAACCAGCCAAAACAGAATACGCATAGCTTTCCATTTTCCCATCTCCATGCCTTTATACACAACAGTCTTTTTGTCCCCCCGAGAACTTTCCTTCTCTCCAAACAAAATATAAAAAAAGGAAAAAAAAATCTTATGTTTAAAAATCCTATCTACACTTCAAGGTCCTGCTCCTATACAGGAAGGCTTCCTGCAGCTCCTCAGATCTCTCCTTTGTATGCTCACCATACTCCAGTTGTACTTTATAACACTTGCCACATTCTGCCCTACTTATTATTTATGCTTCTTTCTTTCCCCTGTGTTTTATAAGATCCTTGAAGGCAGGTGCCATATCTTTTGTTCAGAGACCAGAGAAGCCCATAATGGGAGGGAGGGGTGGATGAAGAGGGGATGAAGAGAGAAAGAAGAATTGAGAGAGCAGTAGAAGCATACGGTCGGGGGAAGAGTTCAATTTTAAAGAAGTTTTCTTAGTCATTTAGAATCCTTTTGCTAAAGACAGACCCTTCAAATATCTAACACATTTTCTTCCTATAACAATCCTGAGAGACTCAAGTGTTCTACAAATTATCTCAAATGTCTTGCAAACATTACCTCTCCTTTTCTTCTTGTTTTCCATTGGATCAATTTTATATGTATATCCCACATAATAAGGGCAACAACACACTTCAGTCATTATATTGGCACTGAAACAGGCTCCAATTCTTCTACAGTCCCCTTTGACATCTGTCTCTTGGTGGGGTTAATCAAACATCTGTCTTGTGGATTCCTAACCAAATACCCAAACTTTAGGAAGATTTTTTTTTTTTTTAAGTCTAGGTCACAGTCTGTTGCCCAGGATGGAGTACAGTGGTGTGATCGTGGTTCACTGCAGCCTTGACCTCCCGGGCTCAAGGAATTCTCCCACCTCAGCCTCCCAAGTAGCTGGGACTATAGGTTCGTGCCACCGTGCCCAAGCTAATTTTTGTATTTTTTGTAGAGACAGGCTCTCTTCATGTTGCCCAGGCTGGCCTCGAACTCCTGGACTCAATCAATTCACCCGCCTTGGCCTCTCAAAGTGCTGGGATTACAGGCGTGAGCCACTGCACCCAGCTTTAGGAAGAATTTGATCAACAGAGTTGATATGAAATTTTTGATGTGTTTCAATTTGACATTTACAAAAGCAAGATGCCAGCAATTCTAAATGTACCCCAAAGCTGGCTCATTTGTCATTCTTTCCTACCACATTAAAGAGGCATTCCTGCCCAAAAGAAATCACAACAGCCCTTCGCAAACACTCATGGCCTCTGCCTTAACTACCAGTTGTACCAGCTGTCTTTAGCAAGGAGATGGAGATAGAACTGACTTAGGATAAGCATGTCAATTAATTCTTTCCTAAAAGGCAGGTTGGCCATCTCTTTTCCTGGGATAGTAGAAATAGCGTCAGTTTTTGCCTCACCCTTCCTTGGGGAAGAACAAAGAATTAGACTTTAAATCCAGATGAATAAAGAAGGCTCTCTATTGCTCCAGGTACCTGGGCCAACATGCCTGCCAAGTGCTCTGCTGCATCTCCCTGGCCCAACTTACTCACTCAGGTTACTTTCTCTCTTACACCGCCACAAATTCTCTCTGCCTCCATTTCTCCCTGAGATGAGACAGCTAGATCAAGGTGGCAAATCATGTGATAGGGACCAAAAATACAAGGCCAAACCATCTGACTACATATCACCAGCAGGATCATAAATCTTACCAAAAAGGAAGCTTGCTCTCCGGTTTCCTATTTACTGTCCTTGAGAGAGTAAGTGATGCTGAGTCACAAAAACCTGTAGTACTTTGCTTTCCATTTCCCTGCTGCTATTCTGTTTACAACTTTATTTAGAAATAGCTGACTTCACAGCTTTTGCCATTCAGTAACCCTTCAACATGAGGGCTTAATATGAAATCCTTAAAATGAGCCTAGTAGACATAAAATAATCAAAAATCTAAATTACCTAGACTGGTAGAGGTTAATGTTCTGCACTAAATAGGAACAGAAAGTATCCATTTTTTACTCTGATTATGCCTGCCAAAGGACTGAGTCAAATAAACACACAAAATATGACAGATGAGGGCAACAGGTGTACAAATACCACCATAGTTACTGAGAAAGGTCTAGGAAACAGGCAAACGTAGGTGTGGTCCTAACCTCCTTTCACCTTTATGTACTGCTATCTGGACCTTCAACTCTCCTTTTCCAGTGTAGAACTGAATGAGAAACAACCTTTTAATATCTCATTTTAATTGTAATTTTACAACTATATAACCACCAAGGGCTATGCTACTGAGCAGATGTACGGCAGCAACCCAAGCATCTAGGATTACTAGAAAAACAATAAGAAAACAGTTAAGTACCAATTTAAGACTTTCATTAACCTTGCCTTTCCTATAATGTTGTTTTATCAAATTAGCTCACTCTGAAAAACCAAAAATCCATCATATACTTGTAAAGCTTAGAACTCACCTACCCTCTCATTCTATAGGTAAGGGAACAGGTCCAGGAGAGTGTTATTTGATTAAGGTTACATGGCTAATTAGTCACAGAGACATGACCAGGACACCACTCTAGACTTTGCATTATTGCACAATTCTCGAAGAAAGAGCTTGAAATACCAGGCTCCACTGCCCAAACCATTTAGATATACCAGAGTTTAAATCAAGTCCTCTAAAGAAAAAAGATGATCAGTTTTATGCTTAGAAACTGATCATCTTTACTAGAAAGATATCCCTAAGTGAATCCGATAAATATGCTCTGAGGAGCCCTTGGGAGGCAGAATCTCAGGGCTCTAGTCAGACCTCTTGCTATTTGGATTCCAAACTTGTGGGCAAGCAAATTCAATCAAGGCATACTAGGTGTGGAGCTCTAATATAGTGTTACTGGTTATAGCATGAGTACTATCTATACATTTTATGCTCTTCAGTACATGCACCATTTGAAAGCAAAGGTCAATCAATCTTGGTTCACACTGACCTTGAAATAAGTGAAGACAGGAAAAGCATGAAGGTCAAAACACAATAGGTATTGCAGCTGTTTAAAAGACAGGTCTAAATATATTATCAACAGTTCAGTTAATTAATAGAAGTAGAAAGTAAAATGGTGCTTACCAGAGGCTGCGGGCCAGGGGAGAATGAGGTAAGGGGAGACGTTGGTCAAAGGGTAAAAGTTTCAGTTAGACAGGAAGAATAGGTTCTGGCAATCTACTGCATAGCATGGTGACTACAGTTAACGACATATTGTATATTACAAAATAGCTAAAAGAGTGGATTTTAAATGTTCTCACCACAAAGAAATGATAAGTATTTGAGGTGATGGATAAGTTAATTAGCCTGATTTGATCATTCTACAATGTATACATGTATAGAAATATCGCATTGTACCCCATAAATATACATAACTATTATTTGTCAAATAAAAAAAAAATGTTGTCATTATAACAAGTTGAAAAGGTCCATGTCTCAAATAGTATTATTTCATGTCACAGTTAAATGGCTAAAATGACATTCTTTTCACTCTTGGGAAGCTTAACTTATCCATCTTTGACATAGAAACAGTAGATTTTTATATTATATCTTAGGATGAGTGGCACTGCACCATAATGGCATTTGCAATCTATCTGGAAAAACCCTTCTATAAAGATCATGGTAGAATAATAGTGAATGATATTGGTAATTTTACATAAAAATAAAACACAAAATTGAATGACAGAAAGCAGACTCAAATATCTGTACATCAATATTCATAATGGCATTATTCACAACAGCCAAAATGTAGAAACAATCCAAATGTCTACTGACAGATGAATGGCTAAACAAAATGTGGTAATACATATGATGGAATATTATTCAGCCTTAAAAGGGAGGAAATTCTGATAAATGCTACAGCATGGACGAACCTTGAAAACTTTTTGCTAAGTGAAATAAGGACAAAAAACAAATATTGTATGATTCTGCTTATATGAAGTACTTAGAACAGTCACAGTCAAATTCATAGAGACAGAAAGTGGAATAGTGGTTGCTAGGAGCTGGAGTGTGGAATGGGGAGGAGTTATTGTTTAGTGGGTACAGAGTTTCCATTTGAGGTGCCGAAAAAGTCCTGGAGATGGATAGTGGTGATGTCGCACAAAAATGTACTTAATGCCACTACTGAAGTGTATATTTTAAAACGGATAAAATGGTGAATTTTATGTTATGTATATTTTACGATAAAAAAATCAAATGAGAAACACTCATGGCAACTTCTTTTATGATTTTGACCCCATATTCCACTCTTCTGCTTAAACAAACAAAATATAAAAAAAAAACAACCACAAAAATCAGTACCATTCACAGAAGTACAGCTTAAAATATGTACACACCATAAAATAAAAACAGACTCTGGTTCATCACCCCAAAGCTATTTATCCTGTGTTTATTACTAAAATAATTAATGTCCATTCTAATTATGAATGATGTATTTACATTAGGCACAAGCTCCAACCAAACATATAGAGAGAAAAGGGGAGAAACTGAAGCAATGGAATTGTGTCAACAGACTGACATGGCAACCATCTGTTGACATTAATGTCCTTTGAATCCAAGAGACTCAAATCATGTGGTAGGGCAGGGATCTTCACCTTAGTTGTGAAGTCCTACTTTCATGTCACAGGGCACTTCTGGAAGGAAGTTCTGTAATGGCCAGCTCTAAGTACTTGCAGATTTCCTACTAGTCCTACACAGGAAGTCATTCTTGTGTCTCACCTGCATAAGTTCCTGTTATGAGGCCAGGGGACTAGTGAGTTGAAATCTAGTTCCAGGGAGTGATGTCATTTTGACTGAACTATGATCCTGGTGACCTGCTCCCCAACCTGGTGTTGTTGCAGCCTTTCAGCTGGGGTTTGGATTATAAGGGGGCCAAAAAGGAAAAAGGGAAATAGAATAATAGAAAAAGGAAAAATGCTTGCACATTTCCTTTGTTTCACTAGAGCATTTTCTGTTCCATTTAATTTGATGAGAGGACCTGGTCGATGGCAGATGGAAGCTGTACAGATGCTCCTGGAGTGGGGTTGGGCTCTCACACAGATCTCAAAAATGCAAAGAAGATTAGAACATATCAAAAATTTCAATTATTTCTGGTGGTTTCTAACTTGGAAATAGTGACTTCTTCTTTGGCTAACGTTTAAAAAAAAACAGATGTTAACACTTTTAAAACATTTGTAAATTTTTGCAACAATGCATAACTACAGGAGCTACCTTAGCAACAAAAAGAAGTAACAAATACAAATGTTTGGAGATGTGTGAATACTTACATTCTTTCTAAATCACGTCAAATAGATTAGTTCAAATCTGAAAATCTCATCACCATAAGTAACAAACTAGGACTGCCATTCAATTCCATTTAGATGAGATCCTTTGCTTCTTAGTATACCAAGCCAAAAAGTAAAACAAAGTCAAGCATGAGAAGCAATGGTAGAAACTGATAATATTTCACAAGGAAAGGAACAGACGCATTTCTTCAAGGAAAAAAAGGGGGGAGGGTTATTAAATGAAGAAGAGATCTAATGTTTCACCATGTTTATTTGATATCATGATTTCTTAGTCCTTACACAAAGGGAAATAAGCACTCCCTTCCCTTTTTTGTTGCATGTGTGTTAGCAGGAGTCGGAAGAACAGAATATGAGGGAACAAGCAGAGGGTGCAGAAAATAGAAAGATGGGGAAAGAAAGATGCTGTTGAAGACACAGAGTGAGTGTTTATATGAACCCTTCTCTAAATAAGCAGTATCAACAAAGAGTACAAAGCTGACAACATGGAGTGTCTTCTTACAGAAATAATCTGGGACCACATTCAACATACATTATACAGCATCAGGGTACAGGTTTTCCGTCAGAAATTATGTGTATATTCTTTTTTCTCGCTTTTAAGTTTCATTGATGACATTGTTCATATACTTTTAGTGTATTATTAAGCAAATATTAATTTAATCATATAAACCAATCCTGGTCAGCAAAAAGCACTGTTAGCTGCCATGTAAAGGTCCTTCTGTCAAGTAAAACTTCATTCTACACTTCTAGCTTCCTATCAGAGGAACTTCTTGAAGGAACTCTTTCAGTTGGCTTTACAACTCATCTGCAACACCAAATGTGGATTAAATTCAGATCACACCTTGGTTGTGTATATATGTATATAACAGCCCCTGGCACAATTAGCTAATATCTTGTAATTGTAAACGAATTGTTCTCTTTTAGCCATTTCCCCCCCATTTCCTATAACGGTCTTTATCCAAATGCTTTGGTGCTCCATAAGTAACTGTGAGTCAGAGGTGCCTCAGTGCTGGAGATGCCTGTCACAGAGAAGATCAGAATGTGTGAAGATAACCCTGCATTACGTTCATCTCATCAGTTCTGCCCAATCCACAGGGGTAAAAAATGGATGAGATTTGATATCTTCAACACCAGCAACTCCAGCACCAAGTCGTTCCAGAGGATTGAACTGCAAGAGCTAAAAAAAGACGGACTTAGTGAGTAACAGGAATCCAACTGGCAAATCAAAGGAAAACCAATATTTGAAAAGAAACAACTTCTAAATTCAACCCTGGTAACAAGCAGTCTTGATTAATAGCCAAGTGACCATTTTTCTTGAAAGGGAGCTATGTCTAATACCATTCTAGCTGTGGGGTGTGAGAGACACCTGAACTGAGTTTATGGCTTTTCAACTGATGGGAAACATGGCCTTGAGTAACTTACTTTGTTTCCCTCATCCTCATGTAATATAATAGGATAGTTATACCTATCAATTTCCTACCCCAAAAGTACACCATGACATTAATTAGATATTGCACTAGATTCTGAGATAGCCAGTTACTTCCTTCATGATTAGAAAATTTGGGAAGCACAGTAAATCTTTCGACCCCTAATCAACTATGTATGTATTGAGACTAAACTTTACCTAAAGTGTGAATAAGCTGATTAGTATTCCAAAATCACTAGTCTTTGGCATAGTTGACACAAATGAAATAATTTAATATAATGAATGAAACAAGTTTTGGTTTCTTCAGAAATAGGAATCATGTGTAAAATAAGTAAAAAAAAATTTTGTGGTTTAATAATGTCAAATTTTTGTGTTAACAACTTTACTGAAGGATAATTTATATAAATTCATCCCTTATAAGTGTACAATTTGATGACTTTTAGTAAATTTAAAGAGTTGTGCAACTAGCATCACAATCCAGTTTTAGAACATTTTTTTTTTTTTTTTTTTTGAGACGGAGTTTCGCTCTGTCGCCCAGGCTGGAGTGCAGTGGCGCGATCTCGACTCACTGCAAGCTCCGCCTCCCGGGTTCACGTCATTCTCCTGCCTCAGCCTCCCGTGTAGCTGGGACTACAGGCGCGCGCCACCATGCCCGGCTAATTTTTGTATTTTTAGTAGAGACAGGGTTTCACCGTGTTAGCCAGGATGGTCTCGATCTCCTGACCTCGTGATCCGCCCGTCTCGGCCTCCCAAAGTGCTGGGATTACAGGCGTGAGCCACCGCACCCGGCCTTTTAGAACATTTTGATTACCCTAAAAAGTTTCCTCATGCCATCTACAGTTAATCCCCACCCCCATCCCCAGCCCTCGGCAACCACTGACCTGCCTTTTGTCTCTATAAAGTTGCCCTTTCTGAACATTTCATATAAGTAAAATAATAAAATATGTAGTCTTTTGACGCTGCCTTCTTTCACTTATCATTATGTTTCTGAGATTCATCCACACTGTAGCAGGTATCAACAGGCCATTCCTTTTTCTTAGTATTCCACTGTTTGGATGTCCACATTTCATTAATCCACTCACTAGTTTTTAGATACTTAGACTTTCCAGTTTGGGGCTATAATGAATAATGTTGCTATTAACGTTCATGTACATGTCTTTGTGTAGACATATATTTTCATTTTTCTTGATTACATTGCTAGAAGCAGAATTGCTGGGTCACATAATGAGCTTATGTTTAACTTTTTATAAAATTGCCAAACTTTTCTAAAGTAGTTGTACCATTTTACATTCCCACAAACCTTTATGTATGAGGATTTCGGTTTCTCTACATCCTCAGCTCTTGGTACTGTCATTTTGATAATAGCCCTTCTCCTGATGTTAGTAGTATCTTGTTATGGTTTTAATTTACATCCCCTAACAACTAATAATGTTGAGCATCTTTTCATGTGCTCGTTAGCCATTCAAATAGCTTTCTTGGTGAAATATCTAACTTTCCGCCCATTTTAAAACTGAATTGTCTGTCTTACTTAATTACAAGAGTTCTTTATATATTCTGAATATAAGTCCCTTATCAGATACATGATTTGCAAATATTTTCTCCCAGTCTGTGACTTGTCTTCATTTTCCTTCTTTAAAATTTTTATATTTTTATTATTTATTCATAGAGGCGGGGTCTCACTATGTTGTCAAGGCTAGTCTCAAACTTCTGGGCTCAAGAGGTCCTCCTACCATGGCCTCCCAAAGTGCTGGGATTACAGGTATAAGCCACCACACCCACTCTATTGTCTTCATTTTCTTAATGGTGACTTTTGAATGCACAAGTTTTTAATTTTAAGGAAATCTACTTTATCAATTTTTCCTTTTATGGACCATGCTTTTGGTATCACATCTAATACTTCTTTGCCTAACTCAACATCAAAGATTTTCTCCTTTGTTTTCTTCTACAATTTTTATGGCTTTAACTCTTATATACAAATATATGAGCTATTCTGAGTTAACCTTTGCAAACAGTATGAAGGGTCTAAGTTCATTTTGTTTTTAGCATGTGCATATTCAATTTCCCAGTGCCATTTGTTAGAAAAACACTGTGGTCTTAAAACTATCGTGGTTTTATAGTTGGTGTGGAAATCAGATAGTGTAAGTCCTCCAACTTTGTTCTCTTGCAAAATTGTTTTGGACATTATAGCTCCTTTGCCTTTTTATGCACAGTTTGGAACCAGCTAAAGGTTTCCCAATTTTGCTGATCTTTGCAAAGAACTACCTTGTGGTTTTACTTTTCTTATTCTTCTGTTTTCTATCTTACTGATTTCTGCTTCCTTTCTTCTGCTTGCTTTGGATTTACTTTGCTTTTTACAGTTTCTTTTCATAGTTTCTTTCTTTTTTAAATTTAGAGACAGGGTCTCACTGTGTTTCCCAGGCTGGTCTTGAACTCCTGTACTCAAGTGATCCTCACACCTCAGCCTCCCAAGCAGCTGGGACTACAGGAGCACACAACCACATCTAGCTTTGTTTCATAGTTTCTTACGGTGCAAGCTAAGATTCTGATTAAAAACCTTCCCTTTTTTTCTGATATAGGCATTTAAACTTAGAAGTATACTGTTTTAATTTTCAAATATTTGTGGATTTAGCAGATCTCCTCCTCTTGTTGATTTCTACTTTGATTGTTATGGTTATTATAATCAGTGTACAATGTAATTCAGAATACAGTGTATGAATTCAATTCCTTTAAATGCTAAAACTTGTTTTATGGCCTAGCATGTGATCTATCTTGGAGATTGTTTTGTGTGTACTTGATAAGAATGTGTGTTCCGCAGTCACTGGGTGAAGTGTTCTATACATGTCAGTTACAGTTTGTTCAAGTCTTCAATGTCCTTGCTAATTTTCTATAAATCATGGAGAATGGGGTATTGAGCCTCCACTTACTATTACTAAATTGTCTATTTTTCCTTTCAATTCAGTTCAGTTTTGTTTCCTATATTTTGAGGTCATTATTAGTGCATATACATTTGTAACTGTTACAGCTACCCCTGTACTATCACTATGAAACATGTGTCAGATCCTAGTAAATCTATCTTAATATCCATTTTGTCTGATATTTAATATTGCCACTCCAGCTCTTTCGTGGTTACTGTTAGTATGGTTTATCCTTTTCCATCCTTTGTCTTTCAATCTGTTTGTGTTTTTGAATTTAAGGTGTGTCTCTCACGCACAGAAGATCCAGCTTAACAGAATCTGCCTTTGGTTTGGCATGTTTAGATATTCACTTTATTGACACGGTGGGTTTATATTTGCTATTTTGCTACTTGTTTTCTAGATTTACTGTCTTATTTGTTCTTCCTTTACTGCCTTCTTTTGTGTTAAATGCTTTTTGCTGTACCATTTTAGTTTCTCTACTAATTTTCATTTAGTATTTAGTTTTTAGGTTTTTTTTTAAGTGGTTGCTGTATCCCTACAATATGCATCTTATCACTTAATATATCACTTATCTTATAAGATCATTTATCTACTTCAAAATAATAGTAACTTTAATTTAGCAAAAGGTAGAAACTTTGCTCTACCATAGCCCCCTTCCTTTGTCTATTATTGTCATATTTAGATATTGCTTCTATATATGTTAATCCCAATAGCATGGTTTTATAATTGTTGCTACATGCAATTTTATGTCTTTTAAATAAAAAATATATATTTATATATACAATATATAAATATATAAATAAATTATATATAAATAAAATATATATTTTTTTGTCTTTTCTATGAACTCATATCTACAATTTTCAGTGTTCCTCATTTCCTCCTTGGACTTAAGTTACTACCTGGTGTGTCATTTCTCTCCAGCCTGAAGGAATTCCTGTGGTATTTCTTGTAAGGCAGTTCTGCTAGCAATAAATCCTCCCAGTCTTTCTATATTTGGGAATGTCTTTATGCACCTTCATTTTTGAAGGATAATTTTGCTGAATTCTTGGTTTACTGCTGCTTCTTGATTTCAGCACTTTGACTGTGTCATTCCAATATCTTCTGATCTCCATGTTTTTGATAATTAGTTAGACATTACTGCTTCCTTCTATGTAAGTTATTTTCCTTTTACTGTTTCCAAAATTTTCTTGTTTTTACCTTTCAACAATTTGGTTAAGTGTGGATATGTCTAAATATGTTGCAGTGTAGACCTCTTTGTATTTTCCTACATAGGGTCTGTTGAGTTTCTTGGATGCATAAGTTAATGTTTTTAATCAAATTTGGAACGTTTTTAGCCATTATTTCTTTTTGCTGTCCCTTTCCCTTTCTCCTCTCCTTCTGGGACTATCATTATATGTATACTGGTACATTTGCTATTGTCTTACAGATTTCCATAGTCCTGTTCATTTTTTTCAATTTTTGTGTCCATTTTTCTGATTCAATAATTTCTATTAATTTAAGTTCATTTATTCTTTCTTCCTCTATCTCAAATTTGCTGTTAGCCACTTCAGTCATTTTTTTTCTAGTGAATTTTTCATGTCAGTCATTGTATTATTCAACTTGTGACTTCTACTTAGTTCTGTTTTTTAAAAATATACTTTCTGTCTCCTTATTACAGAATCTCTTTGTTGATTCATTTTTGTCATACTTTCCTTTAATAATTTAAACACAGTTTCATTTAGTTCTTTGGAAATATTTACAATAGCTGCTTTAAAGTCTTCATAAATCCTGTGTCTGGGTACACTCAGAGACAATTTCTACTGATTTTTTTTCTGAATATGGGACATACTTTTTTTGTTTTTGTGTATGTCTTACACTACACTTCACTGAAAACAGGACATTTTAGATAGTATATTTTAGCAACTCTAGAGTCTGATTTTTTCCCCATGAAGTTTATCATTGCTGTTGGATTGTTTGTTCTTTGTTTGGTAACTTGTTTCAGTTAGATCTGTAAAGCTGCTAAGTCCCCTTCCCACTGCATTGTAATGTGCAGCTGCTGACAACTTTCCACATTTTTTTTTCTTTTTAAAGTTGGCTTTCTCGGGGTCACCCCTGTGTCTGTATAGCCTATGGGTCAACCAGTGACTGAACAGAGGTTGTATTCAAATATCTCAGCCCTTCAAGCTTCTGTTCTCTGCCAACGCATAGCAGAACACATTCAAAGTTTAGGCCACAAAACCACATCTGCCCTGGCTTTTACTTTCTGCTGGGCCCACTCCCTGTTCCTGTGCACATTTATACAGCCTCAGGATCAGTCCTCATGGTTTACCCTACCCTGGCAGAACCTTTGCACCTGACCAAGCAGGAAGGGGAGATTGAAAGCAGGCCTGAGTCAAGAGTCCCACTGTTCTTGCCCAGAGTTCGGCTGTTTTTTGTTTGTTTGTTTGTTTGTTTGTTTGTTTGTTTGTTTGTTTGAGACGGAGCCTCAATATTGTTGCCCAGGCTGGAGTGCAGTGGCGCGATCTCGGCTCACTGCAACCTCTGCCTCCCAGGTTCAAGCAATTCTCCTGTCTCAGCCTCCCAAGTACCTGGGACTACAGGCACCCACCACCACGACCGACTAATTTTTGTATTTTTAGTAGAGACAGGGTTTCATCATATTAGGCTGGTCTCGAACTCCTGACCTCAGGTGATCCACCCGCCTCGGCCTCCCAAAGTGCTGGAATTACAGGCATGAGCCACCATGCCTGGCCAGTTCAGCTGTTTTTTAAGCATAAACACCTTTCAGATTGTTGTATCCTTTGATCCATTTCCAGAGCACTGAAATGACTGGTTTTTTACCAAATCTGTCTAACTTCATACTTTTTGGGGGAAAGAAACTCTGCCAACTAACTCATGAAGCCACAGCCACTCAAATTTAAGAATACTCACAGTACATATTTTTTTTCCACAGAAAGTAGTCAAGTGCAACTGAAATATTAAATTATTTATTTACAACATTTGTAGTCCAATATATAGGAAATTCCACTCTTGGATGTTAACCAAAACTTCTATTTCTTCTCTTTTTCATTATTTCTAATTTTTCTTTCATTCATAATTCAATTATTTGTATAAGTATCAATTGTTTGCCTATTATATGCCAGTCCACTACTTTTTTGGAATTTTGTTGACCTGTGTCAATAGCAATAGCCTCATTCTTCATTAGTAGCCCTATAATTCCAATATATGCTTCATCAAATTGCAAATTACTGTGTCATGAATGTTCGTCACTGTCCTATCAATAATAATAACAAAGATATACACGACACTTATCACATGCCAGGTACTTATTCTAAGTGCTTATGATAGGTTAACTCATTTAACTCACAACTCTATGAATAGCTACTATTATCTCCATTTTATAGTTGAGAAAACAGAAGCTCAGGGAAATTAAGTAACTTGTTTAAGATAACACAGGTAGTAAGTGGCAAAGATTTGAATTCAAGCATTCTGATTCCAGAATCCATGTCTTAACAACAACATTACACTGCCTCACAAAAGTGAGATCTGCAAATGCTAAGAATCTATTACTTCACTTGGGTATTACCAAATCCATAAGGGGAGTGAAACATACACTTCAAAAGACTATACTAACAGTCTTTTACCTGAAATTATTTCTAGCACTCAAATTGAACCATACTACACTGTTGATTAAACCTAATTGCTCAAAGAATTTTTATATTAGTAGTTGCTACGATTTGTTAAGAGAAAAGCTATTGTTATAAAACAAACATCACAGGAATATCCCACATATATCAAATCCACTTTCACAATCAGACAATTTATGTCTACTGACTAAAATGTGGAAGGCACCAAACATTTTAATATAAATCTAACATTTCAAATATTTTTAAGAATTAACTGCAATGACAATTATATTTAGTATTTCAGGAAACACATAAACATGTAAGTTCTTTCTTCTTCATTATAAATAACTGGCTTCTTTCTAAAATATACTTTAAATGTGAAATTCTAAAGGTTCATATTTTGACTTTTACTAAAGTCAATTTAATTAGTTCATGAACTCCTCTATATATCTGCAAGTATAAATCTATAGGCAAAAGTATAATTGTTTTAACTATGACTATCTTGCTTATTCTGCCATTTTAAAGGCTATAGCACACCTCAAGAGAGGTCACACAAAGATTCTACTGCTTAAGAAAATGTCAGCCAGTGGCACATTCAAGTTAATGAATCCAAGACAGCAGCTGCCAACCTCCTTTCTCCTGAAGAATAGGCAACAGAGCTGAGCAATGAGGGCATGAAAATTTGTTTTGGTCTTTTCCTCACATAATTTCTTAAAACTGACCAAGCAACTGTGTCATAATTAACTAATGTACATGCTAAAGCACAAACATACATGCTCTGAGGGACTTTTTTAAGATTGCATTTAAAATGTAATTATGTTTACTTTGGCACCATTTGCTTGACTTGGACAGATAACTGAACCAGGGGTACAGGGGATTATGAGATCTAAGAACAAAGCAAGGAGCTAAAAGACCAAAGAGGAGAAAATTTCCCCCACGTAGAATTATTTCCATATAAATCATTTTGTGATTTTTTTTTAAAGTGACCTCTATGACCTGTGAGGTAGTGGAAAAGGAAAGTCAAAATGACAAATTGCTAATCATGCCAAGAGACCCCTTTTCCCTTTCCTGATGATGTTTCCTCAACATGAGTGGTAGTTTCCTTAGGCAGGCCAATGACACAATGCTGATTTACTATATAAGCTATACATATCTGAGTTTGGGGACTTACCATATCTTAAGCCTAGATTCCTTTACAACCTAACTTCTAATAAAGACAAAAGCAGAACTTGGTAACTTATTATGAGGAATTCCATTTTTAATATTATATAATAATGACTACTTCTTTAAGGAAGAGAAACAAAAAATAGCAGTTGCCAGTCTTTCCTAAACTACTTACTAAAAAATACTTGGAATTTATCTCGTGCCACAACGAATAAGATGAAATCAAATGAATAGCTGTTCTTTTTTTCTCCATTAGAATGAAATGTTTTATGTATCTCTTCATTACCTCTTAATCTAAAGTGCTCTAGGTATTCTCATCTCAACATTTCCAACCTGATTGTTTCTTTATAGTTTGCATACTCTGGGCAAATTAATCTTCCTGAAGTACAACTCTAAACTGTTTACTCTTCTCCACAAACTCCAAATCTCAAATTTTAATGAATTAAATATTATCACATTACTCTTGTGTTTGTGATGATAGAACCCCATAAGAAAACCCCAACTTATTTTTTTATGCTCACCTATCACCCATACCTTTATTTATCTCTCTATTCCAGATAAATCAAACTTTGTTTCCTAAACTTGGGTCTTTCAGACTCCTTCCTTGCCTTTGTTCAAACCATTCATTCCACCAAGACTATTCTCCCCACATCCTTGCCATGCTGAAATCCTAAGGCCCAGCAAAAGTAGCATCCATTCCACAAAAACTTCCCCTAATACTACCACTCCACGGATTATATCCGCCCCCTTCTTTTGACTTGCCACAGTATTTTTTAAAACTCTTTGACAGCCTTTATCAATTTCCATGTGGTATGGTTATTTACCTGTCTTACCTTTGTAGCTTATAGCACTGTGCCTTGTATATAATATTTGTTGAATGAAAGCAAAATCACTCTTCAAGAGAATACTAGTCAATTATCTTCCTAATATATGCTCCCCTGCCCTCTTTTAATTTTTGTTTTCCCTGACTTTTTTTTTTAAATCCATGTTTCATTACATAATTTTAGTTCTTGATATTTTTCAAGGAACTTTTTCCATTATATTTTTCATAAAAGCATAAGGATCCCAGGCCTTCTTGTTCCTGCTGATAGCCCAGCAATGGGCCTGTCACACCAGAGTACTAACAACCCTCAATATCAGCAAAATTCACTACACGAAACTAGAAGAGTAATTTAAGTATGAGGAATCAATCTAAGAAGTTCACTGGAGTTCCAAGCCTGTCTCTGGGATACTGAACTTTAATTATCAATGGTCTCTTTCTTCAAAGCCACCAGAAATATAATCACTGACACCAATGCCCAAGTTCCACCAATGATGAAGTATCTAACTTGACAAGATTTTCTAATATGTCTCTCCTAAGCAACCTGAGTAGCTTTATAAATACCTGAGTAAACTTATAAGTAAGAATTAAAAATTGAAAATAGCCATTCATATACGGTTACAAAATGTAACTGCAAAATTAGAGCAGCCTCAGACAAGCTAAAAGCAATACTCAAATCACAGAGTTACACAAATATACAGAAATGACTGTGAGCCCTAAATTTTTGGGAAAAAAATTAATACCAAGAAGTTTTAACTATACTCTCTGACCCCATCAATACTTTGATGATAGCAAAGCCTGAAAATATACAGTATTAATTCTGAACGTGTCTTTGTTTTACGTTAAATGGGTTTTTCTTGCTCCAAACTAATCTCTTTTTAAGGTTTTGGAGTTGTGGGCTCTGCTAATCTGCATGGTTGATAAACCTGGCCAATAGGTCAGTTAAATTACCTGTTGAATGAGTGAGCGAGCCTCTTCAGAGACACATTCTGGCATGTTCAAAGTAGTGTGAGTATTTATTCCTGCTGGATGGCATTCAACCAGAGTCTGAAACAATCAATCAGGTACACTTCTTATCCCAAATAACATCATATTTTGTTCTATCATAGGATTTATGGACAGCAAGTACAGAGAGCTCAACAACCATTTTAACTGGAAGTGTAGTAATCAACACAGTGCCGCCTAAGCAGTTTAGGATGAGGGCTGTGAGCCTATAGAACTTTTAACTGAAATGAAGACAATCACCATGATCACATCATAAGCTTATGCTACTGTCCCGTCGTCCTTAGTTATAAAATTAATGGCTCAGAATATTATAGAAAAGCTTAAATTATACGCAAAACTAAAAAGAGATTTGATACCTTTAAAATGTTTTAATGTTTTAAAAACCCTACAGAGTTTAGAATTTGTTAGTCATAATACTTTACATACATATATAGCACTTTACAGTTTAAATGTATGTAAAGGTGATTTGTAAACTCCCCAGCAATCTTAGGTCAGTATTATCTACACACGTAGGTAGATGACTATTTACAAAAGTGTAACTGTTCATTTCCTTCATTTCCTTCATTTTCTTCCCAGGAGGCAATCTGCACAATACTTTATTAAAGTCTACTAACTCAAACATCATATTCAAAAGTCATTCATCTGAGAGTATAATTTCTGTCCTTAAGCTAGAACAGATAGGAAAAATTTATGGTACTGAGAAAAAGATAATGTTAACTTTAATATCTACGTTAATTTTCTTAAATAAGAATTCTCTCCTGGTTTCAGACAATATGTTTAAAACATCCAGAGAATTTTAATACATCCTTACATAAACCTTACAGATTTGACCCTGTTAAAGCTGAATCATGGAAAATTAAAAGAAAAAAGTTTTAGTCATATTTCACTATGAAATATTGTGACATAAAATAACTTTACCATCAATTTATTCAATGTAATGCAATCCAACTTTTAAAAAAAATCTGGACTCTTGATAAACTTGCATTTCTCTACTTGCTTTCGATATCAAAGTTTTTCTTGCTTAGTCCCTGATTTAAAAACTAAGGGTGAAGGCTAATGTTCTTAATTTGAAATCAAGGTAGCATCTGAGTAAATTTATTAAACGTCCAGGCCACTGCTTACCTTGCCAGTGAGAAGTTCAAAGAGGACAGCACCCAAACTCCACCAATCACAGGCTTCAGTTTCTTCAGTGATTGCTCCAACCTCTAACCACACCAAAAAAGGTTGATATTAAAATTCCAAAGGTCAATTAAACTTTCAAAATTAACATGTATTAGCAAGGTGACCTTTTTAATGCTGAGAGAGCATATACTAAATACTACTGGGCTTTCAAAATTCCTGAAAGTTACTTATCCCTTTGGTCACCTACTGCGGTTGCATATATTTTTTTTTTTGATGCAGTCATATATTAAACTCAGACATTTGTTCTTCAGTTGATAGAGGGACACCTTCAAGATGCTTTACTTAAAAGTTATGTGAACCTACTAGATCAGCATTTTGCTTAATTTTTTACATTTGAGAATGTATAGCCAATTCTACCTCATGGGTGATTTTTTTGTTGTAGAAATAAAGACCCTTCAGGTTCTAAAGGAACTTTAAAAATTATCTAAACCAATATTAATCATCCTTTTACTTGCAGGTTAGAAACCAGAGAGACGAAATGCCTTGTCCAATGTCACATTGTAGGAGAACGAAGACCTAGTTTATAGTATCATCTTCCCTTTCCTATGTAATCAGTTGTTTTCAACCAAAGGAGGAGCATGTGAAATGCAAATCCACCCATTTTGCTAAAGTACAGATAGATATATTGTTTTAAGCCACGGCTGAAACTATTGGCTAAGATAAGGGATTTTAGAATATCTACAAATTACACTTTTATCTGTGTTATCCCTATCTCTCGCCAGCACAAGTTCCTGAAATGTAATTTGAGTTTTCAGGTGTCATCTTTCAGGTTCCTGCACCAATCAGCAACAACTCCTCATTTCACCTTTTTTTTTTTTTTTTTTGAGGCTTTTAGCCCTTACATTATCTTGTGCTTTCCTAATGGCATTAAATTAGTCCCGAAGCCTTGCCAATACCTGCCCTTTCATTTCCAATTGACTGAAAAAAAAAAAAACCCTACTATTTGACTATAGGTAACCCACAATTCATAACTACTTTCAAGTTTATAAGTAGTTAGGTTGGAACTTGGAAAGTAAAACATGTAAGTGGTACTCAGGTGCCTAGCCTTTTAACCAATGCTTAGTCAATGTACTTGTGTGGGAGAACCCCAAACTTACAAAATAGCTTGAGCAATAGTCTTAAAGCAAAAGTCATACGGACCAGAAAAAGAAAAAGAGCCATTCCTGTGCAAAACACTGAAATTACTCCATTCAGCAACCTTTTTCTACATCCCTTTTTCTGAGGTTCAAACAGCCTATATGGAACTCTACCCCTTCACAGCCCTTCCCAAGCCCACCCTCTTCCTGAAGTGCTTCATGCCAAATCACAATTTCCATTCTCCAACTAGCTGCTCTCAACTAGGTAGTAAAAAGAAACCAGATATTAACTAATTCGAACTAGTATGTGAATGACTCGAAGTCTCCTAACGTTCTTAGAACTATTTGCATTTATAAAATAGTTGCTTGTTTGAAAAATTGAGAACTACCTAACAATAGAGATTTAATCATATATGTTGTGGCACATCTGTATGATGGATTACTACTACATAACCATTTTAAATAGGGCCAGGCGAGGTGGCTCACGCCTATAATCCCAGCACTTTGGGAGGCTGAGGCAGGCGGATCACCTGAGGTCAGAGGTTCAGGACCAGCCTGGCCAACATGGCGAAACCCCATCTCTATTAAAAATACAAAAATTAGCCATGCATGGTGGCAAGCGCCTGTAATCCCAGCTACTCAGGAGGCTGAGGCAGGAGAATCGCTTGAACCCAGGAGGTGGAGGTTGCGGTGAGCTGAGAGCAGGCCACTGCACTCCAGCCTGGGCAACAAGAGCAAAACTCCAACTCAAAAAAAAAAAAAAAAAAAAATTAAAAAAACAACACCTACATATACTTAAGTGAATGTTTGTATATATAAACATATAAAAAGCTATAAAACAATACAATTCTAATTTTAAAAGTACACATTTAGAAAAAAGACTGGTAAGAAAACATGACAAGATGTTTTACTGATTTGCCTCTGGGGTGGTGAGTATTTTTTGAGACGGAGTCTCACTCTGTAGCCCAAGCTGGAGTGCAGTGGCACAATCTTGGCTCACTGCAACTTTCACCTCTGGGGCTGAAGCAATTATCCTGCCTCAGCCTCCCAAGTAGCTGGGACTACAGGTGCGTGCCACCACACCCAGTTAATTTTTTTTGTATTTTTAGTAGACACGGGGTTTTACCATGTTGCCCTGTATGTTCTCGAACTCCTGAGCTCAGGCGATCCACCCGCCTTGGCCTCCCAAGGTGCTGGGATTACAGGCATGAGCCACCGCACCCGGCCAGTGAGATTTTTTTATTACCTACATGAATATGTAATTGACACAAATGTTTAAATTTTTAAAGTACAGCAAGATGATATGAAAACATTCAGGCTTGTTGGAAAAGTTACTCTGGAGCAGGGAAGAAAAACTACGTAAACCAATCCTCCCTTCTGTTCATCTGCATAGTTTTTTCCACAACTTTAATGCATGAGAAAGAACAATGAACTAGGAATCAGGAGTCCTGGGTTGAGTCAAGGAATTCACTTGATGTCATCTATAACATGAGGGTTAGAGCTGAGGGGCTCTAGGAACTCTATGATTTGATACTCAAGGATTCTCTAAAATAATGATACTCATGAAGGACATATCCCTGGGTGCTCTCTTTCAAAGTACATATGCTACCCCTCCCAGATTCAAATACATAACCCTCACCCCCATTCCCATTTCACAGGGAGCCACTATCACCTTTGGAAGTGTACTCTTAGACTTTATAAAGGGTGTGTGTTATTAGAAATGTTAGCAAAGTAAAAGGGAAATTTATCATAGTTCTATCATAAAATATAACCTTTTGTACATTTCCTTCCAGTCTAAAACAAGCGATGAATGACATCATTTCCCTGCTCAAAATTCTCACTGACCATTAGATAACATTCAAATTCCTTGCTTAATCAGGTATATATATACAATTCGGCTTCCATAATAAGGTATCAACCCATCATATTCATTCAACCAACACACATGAAGCAGCACAAATTAGGCACTGTACTAGGCACTATTCCTCCATAGAATTCTATGCTTTGGCCACACTGTTAAATTATGTGAAGCTAAAATCAGTTTTTCCCCTAGTATAGTTAGTGGTTTTATTTCTTAAATATCTTTTTGTTCAAGAATTTCATTTGCTCCATTTTCTTTAATCATATCACAAGCAGTGTATACTTCTTAGTATTATAAGGATCACCTGAAGTCAGGAGTTTGAGACCAGCCTGGCCAACATGGCGAAACCGCATCTCTACTAAAATACAAAAATGGGCCAGTGCGGTGGCTCATGCCTGTAATCCCAGCACTTGGGAGGCCAGATCATGAGGTCAGGAGATCGAGACCATCCTGGCTAACACGGTAAAACCCCGTCTCTACTAAAAATACAAAAAATTAGCCAAGCGTAGTGGCGCGCATCTGTAGTCCCAGCTACTCGGGAGGCCGAGGCAGAGGAATTGCTTGAACCCAGGAGGCAGAGGTTGCAGTGAGCTGAGATCATGCCACGGCATTCCAGCCTGGGCAACAGAGCGAGACTCCATCTCAAAAAAAATAAAAAATAAAAATACAAAAATTAGCCAGGTGTGGTGGTGTGCACCTGTAGTCCTAACTACTTGGGAGGCTGAGATAGGAGGATCACTTGAACTTAGGAAGCAAGGGTTGCAGTGAGCCAAGATCACACCACTGGACTCCAGCCTGGGCGACAGAGTAAGACTCCATCTCAAAAAAAAAAAAAAAAAAAAAAAAAAAAAAAAAAAGTTTTACCTGTTTACAATTCAAGATCCAAAGTTATCTGTCAGCCATCAGTTTTGAATGTGCCACCAACCAGCTTTACTTTCCATTTATAATGCTGCTTTGTTCACAGTAGGTACACATTGCAATAATGATAGCAGCAATAATAAAATAGCAGCTACCATTTCCTGGCTGCTCACTACATGTAAGAAACCATGTTTAATACTTTACATGAATTATTTACAATCTCTAAGCAACCTTATGGAAGAACTTATTTGGGTATGGTGACTTTGGGAGAGAATATTGTATTTATGTGCCCAGGAAGAAGCAGGACATCTGATCCAGTTAGCTTAGAGATGTAAAAATTAATGAGATGGTTTATAGGGTCTAATAACATGTGCTAAGGAGCTCTAGACTAAAGCCCCATTCTAAGTCTCTGCTCATGAGGTTCCTCGTTAAAACTGAGCAGAGGATTGCCCAGATGGGTCTGTCTAATCGATGGCTAACATACTTATAAAGGTACCTTTTAAATTCAGCAAAAGGTCCAAAGTGCCACCAACAACGTAGCCTAGATCCTCAAAAGCTACATGTTATGTTTGTTTTCCACAGCACTGCAGGGAACACGCACCCCAGATGAAATGTGTTAGTGGGGAGGCCGAGGGAGAGTGTGTTCTTGAAGCCACAAGATAAGCACAGTCCATATTCCTGAGCCTCAGAGACTTTTGTATGTGGGGAGGGGATGGAGTATTGTTTTACTATTACTATTTTTTAAAATAAATAGACCTATTATGGAACACAATGTAAAATTTGCATGGATTTGCAAGATAAAAAGACTTCAAAGAAACCTCAGAATCTTATTTCACTGGTCCCCTGGGATACTCATTTCGTATCACCTCTACAGTCAAGTACATAAGCAGAAAAATTTGAGAGGCACTTCATAAGACAGACAAGGTGGATTCCTGTATTGGTTTCTGTGAACTTGCTCAACTGCAGAGTCTAAGAAGTAGGCTTTATGCTGCTTTGAAATCCCTAAGTAATCTTCTGCCAGGGTCCATAACAGGTAAATAATGACCAATGTACTGCTCCAAATGTGGATTGCCACAGTGTCTGATGAGCCCCAATCTGAATGGGAGGCAACACAGACAGCAGCAAGAGACCTAAGAATCCCCTAGAGGAAGCCTGTGCAACCCACAACCTGTGGGCTGAATGCAGCCCAATGCAAATTTGTAAACTTTCTTAAAACATCATGAGATTTTTTTTGCGACTTTTTTTTTTTTTTAGCTCATCAGCTATCGTTAGTGTTAGTGTATTTTATGTGGCCCAAGACAATTCTTCTTTCAATGTGGCCCAGGGAAGCCACAAGATTGGACACCCCTGCAAAGCTTACTTACATTCCCACTCCTCAGTGGGCTTGCTAGCTAGTCCAAGACACGAAGTGGCACCTGAGATAACTGCTGGAGACACTTTAGCTAAGCTGTCAACCACAGTCTACCTCTTTCACTCCCCATTTTCCATCTTTCCTGGATCTTCATCTCCTCTCTTCCACGGACAGCCTGCTTCATTTCTTCCCCATTGACTTTCTTTCTTGCCTCCTCTCAGATATGATTAGTTCAGCTTTCTAACACACTTAGGCCTAAAGACACTGCTGGTCCCATCTAAGGAAAACTGCTTTTGAAACTATGAAGGCAGCTAGGCTGAATGTCATCTTTAATCTGACTGGAGTAGTAGAGAAGGATAAGAACTGTAAAAAGGTAAATTGGTTTTTCATGGAAACCAGAAAAGAAGACATTGAATAATTTTTAAATCCATCCCCTTAACAATGCAGCTTGAAACTGTTCAAAATGACTTTATATCAAGCAGTGATTCATTAATTAATGTGAAATTGGTAACATGACCAACTGTCCTTGATTTTCATACATGACTCTAAGCTACGACAAAGAGTTCTGCATTTAGGCTGTATTTAGGTAAGATATAAAGAAGAACTTCCTAACAGCTAGGAAGCTTAAATATTAGAACAGGTGAAGGTAAGCAGTTGTAGAATTTCTTTATAGGTGTTAAAACAGAAAAAAAATTCTTTCAATTATCAGAACAAAGGACTTTATTTGGTTGCCCTTTTAACATCCTTAAATATCAGTAATTCTTAGATTAAAAATTTTAAGATACACACTGAAACTGTATTGCCAAAAAGAAGCCTGAGGTTGTGTGGCTATCAAAACTACTTTACTTGCAAACTCTATATAAAAAATCTAAGCATAAACCAACAACACTGATTTATATATAAAGCAACACGATAGTTACTATAAACATCAGGTATATGTACCTAAAATCAAAAGTAGAGAATGAAAAGAAATACCATGTAAGTCTCTGAGGCTATTTTAAAAGACTAACACAGTGAATTTGAGAAATCCCCTTTAACTCCTACCTCAAATTTGAAAAATCTCTAGAAACAAGTAGAAAAACATTTTGTTTTCTTTTCCTTTTTTTTTTTTTTAAGGTTCTCATCCTGTCACCTAGGCTGGAGTGCAGTGGCAGGATGATGACTCACTGCAGCCTCGACCTCCTGGGCTCAAGCAATCCTCCCATCTCAGCCTCCTAAGTAGCTGGGACCACAGGCATGGGTCCCAGGACCACAGGCATGGGACCACACTTGGCTAATTTTTTTATTTCTATTTTTTGTAGACAGAGGATTTCACCATGTTGTTCAGGCTGGTCTCAAACTCCTAGGCTCAAGTAATTCTCCTGCCTTGGTCTCACAAAATGCTGGAATTACAGGCACGAGCCACCACGCCTGGCCTAGAAAAATATTTTAAAGGATAAATTCTACCACTTTTTTTTTTTGCCAATTTTCAAAACATTTTTCCTATAAAACACAAGGTGTTAAGTTTCTGGGCATGCCCCATTCCCTACCGCTACATTCTATAATTGCAATTTCTAGGCTTGGTAAAACAGTATCCTTATTCTCCACAAGTGTAGTGGCACACTACAGGCATTAAGAAACATGATCAGAGAAAAACAAACTATTACCTCAGAAAACAATTTCTCAGTTTATTCCCACAAAAACTCAAAAAGAGATGGTGATATCAAAGAATCCTGGATTTTTGTCCTTAAGTCAAACAGATGTATTGCCAGGGCTCTGGTTATGCTGCTGCTTGAGCTTGGCTGAGTATATCACTATGCTTCTCTGAAAATGAGAACAGCCAGACCTCTAACATTCTTTCAGCCTCTTATAATCTGTAATTTTATGATCCTGAAAGTGTTTTCAAAAGCACTCATGAGCCTTTCTCATAACTTCTTCTCCCTCCATTAACCTAAGATGCCCAAAAAGTGGATTATGCTAAGATGAGCAAGCATTCCTCAATCTTCTTCCTTTTCTCCTTTCTATACATAGCCACTCCTCTCTTTCCCTAAAAGATTAATTACCTGGTGGTAAGTGAAATGAATCAGGGTCACTAAATCTAACCATTATCATCTTTTAATGTAATGGAGACACAGAATCAGCTCCTGATTAAATTTCAACTCATCCATAAATTTTAAAGGACATCAAACATGTGCAAACTGTTTAGTAAAATTCTAGAAATTTCACTTCAGTATTCTGATATTCTAACTACAATATAGACTCTTACTGATTAATACTAATGATTCAAACTATGATATTTCACAAGTGAATAAATAAGATTAAATAAAACAAAGATATCAAAACATAAAATGTGCTTTGCCTACCTTTGCTTTACTCATGTTTAACACCTCATAGAACACTCTTCAATAAGCCAAGATATTTTTCAGAAAAATAATGCTGTCTTGGTAGCCCATATTGCCAAAGAGCTTGCTAAAACACAGAATAACAAAGTTTTATAGTCCTTATGATATTCAGAGTCTTCCAAGTCTCCCTCTTACAGCCAAAATAATAATGTTTACCCTAAATCCAGAACTGCAACTATAATAAGCTTGGCTCCCAAAAGTAAAGGAGCAAAAAAGCAGAAAGCTTGGACTCAACCATAAGATGTCTATATAGCGATGGGAAAGGAAAGGAAAGAAGAACAGTACACACTCTCAGACTTGAGGAAGTCTGAAAGACATTGGAGAGACTATGTGATTCCAACATACTAAAATCATGATGTATGCTTCATGACATACGTTTATCTAAGGGTACAGGCCTTGCCTTTTAAGATTATACAATTTAAACTGCATGGATTTGTCAAAGACATGACGCAAAAATAACCAAAGACAGATCTAACATTATACTGGAAATTGAATCGAAAATTGAGAAAACTAGAAACTGCAAGTTAAACTCAAGCTTTAATCGAAAACGTTTCCATAAAGTTTTAAAAACATGAACCATCTTGCATTTTAAGCAATTGTGGGGCCTTCAATATCCCAAATTCAGAATTTACTTTTCTTTAAAAGACATCACTTTTAAAATGCTTAATAAGGAAATCTGATATTCCACATTTACAGATATGTGTTAAGACACACCGTCAGACTGGTGAGGCCATCTGACTCAGTTCCCTGGTTTTTCCACTAAAGGAGCACCACATAGATCATCTCATTCTTCACTTTACCTTTACTAACAATATAGTTACCCATCCCCATTCCAAAAATTCCCAGAGACAAGTCCATAACCTCCTTCTGGCAATATATTCTGTTGTTGCTATCTTCTCTCCCCAAGATACAGCAGGAAATACAGTATGTTCAGAATCTTCTTAGAAGAGAATTTCACTTATAGAGAAATTCTATTGTAATTTAGAACTCCTAAACTATTTTTCTTAACTAGGCTTTTTTAAATGAAAAGACTCATTTCTTTTTACTCTCAAAGTTATAGCAACTGTGGAACTGTTATTAAGAAGTCATAGAAAATTTAATTAAAAAGCAGCCATCATTGTAAATAAAGTGTTTATGTAATACTCAAAATAAACCAATAGTTAGATGCTGGAAGAATTTATCACATAAGTAACATAATGCTTTATCCAAATAGCAGAATGATAGGCCAATTTTAAGGCCACAAGATCCATACAACACATTAAAATGATAATCAGTAGTAAATACACTAGGGAAGAAGGTGAAAGATAAATATAGTTTTCTAATGCCACAGGATTTTTTCTCAAAATAATAAAAAATTTTCACTTTAAATATCTGACCTTAAGGATTCCAAAGTTCTCTTTGGGGGAAAAAAACCATAAGGAACAAAAATATATTAACTTTCAGGATCAAAAAAAGATCTCTGGTAAATAAGACAACATAAGAACAAAGGCAAATTCTTACAAACCTTAAAATTAAGCACAATGTATACCTTTATACTATCAGAAAGGCAGCTGGAATGTCTAAACTTTCTATAAATTCTTTAAGTGTTCAATTAGAAATGTTGTTACAATTGGTCAAGAATTTAACTTTCTTCCAAGGGAATCAGACTTCATTAATGGATTTAGGAGTAGAGAAAGGTTAAAAAAATCTAATCTGTCATTGGTGACAACTTCGACCAAGGAAAAGAACATCTTTCTTTTTGCAATGAGCATTCCATGTCAGCTAGGGCACAGAAACATTAGTACTGTGTTCCTACACAGACAATCTTTCCCTGCAGCATCTGTTGCTAATTGAAAGGGACTAGAATTACAAAATCCTAGTCAATTTCTCTCACCAGCTCTTGCTGTGTATAAAGATTTTCTATGCAGGGGCTGAGCATTAGTCTTCCACTGCAGCCGATGACTAAAGAGCAAAGAGAAAGAAACACAGAAGAAAGCATTTTTTGTATCCAACAATATATGGAACTAAACTGTGGGAAGGGGGACAGCTAAGCATGTCTTTTGTTTGCTCAGAAAACTACCATTCTATAAATACAACTATTCACCTATAAAGGTCTATTAACATCCTAGTTAACCAATTGTATATTTCTTCTGTTTGGGTAGACTCCTTTTCATGTAAATCTTCAAAAGTAACTGTCAATATTATACCAATTATGTCTTTTATTTCTGGCTCCTAGGCACAGTGCCTGGGACACAGGAGGCATTTAATAAATGTTTGTTGAATAAATATATCAATCTTGTATTTTGTAGCACTGTCCATTCAAGGCATTCAAAGCACCTCCAAAGCCCTCATCACATTTGTTTTCTTTAAGTTCCATTGAGCATGCAGATCTACATCAAGTCCTTTTGCACTTTTACAAGTTGTAGGCTAAAGAGTTTAAAACATTATCTAAAGCATACTCAGCAGCAGGAAGAAACAAAGATTAGAGGGTGAGAGTGGAAGCCAGTCAGCTGACTGCACTATTCCAGGCAAGAGATGAAGGCAGCCTAAACTCAGGTGGTGGAATGGACACCTTCCAGTGCTCCCCATGCAAAGCACAATGACTGCCTCTGGAAGGTACAGTTTGCTCTGGCACAGGTGGCGTGTGCTACATCAAGAAAAGAAAGCTGGGCTGGGAACGGTGGCTCACGCCTGTAATCCCAGCACTTTGAGAGGACCAGGCAGGTGGATGACCTGAGGTCAGTTCAGGACCAGCCTGGCCAACATGGCAAAACTCCGTCTCTACTAAAAACACAAAAAATTAGCCAGGGCATGGTGGTGGCCATCTGTAATCCCAGCTACTTGGGAGACTGAGACAGGAGAACTGCTTGAACCCAGGAGGTGGAGGTTATAGTGAGCCCAGATCACACCACTGCACTCCAGCCTGGGTGACAGAGCAAGACTCTGTCTCAAAAAAAAAAAAAAAAAAAAAAGCTGAAAAACCTGGGCGAATAAAGAAGACAGGACTGGGAGATAACTCAAGGTTTTTTCTATCCCTGTTCAATTAAAGGAATTTAGGCACCTAATTCCATAAAATGTGCCACAAATTTGTAAGCTGGTTCTATTTGGCTGGTGGGCTGGTGAGATCATTTGTATCAATTACAAATATTTTTTAAATGTTATCAAAAACAAATTCATTTAAATGTATTGTAGGACAACTACACTACCTAGCCATGGTATTATTTTAAATACAGAGACAATTTTTTTTAAGTTTTTGTATATGACAATGGAAAATGTTACAACCGAAAGCAAAACTAAAAGCCATAGCAACTATGAGAATAAAATTTCATTTTAATTCCAGGTTCGGAATGCTCCTCTAATAGTTATAAACTAAAACATCAAAGTTTAATAGCTTAAAGTTTACAAGTTCAAAGGCGCAAAGCTGTTCACAGGGACCTTGTACTTGAAATGAGTCAAGTCAGACAGAAGAAACTTCCCTATAGTCTCACATTTCTGAGGCAGATCTTCATTCTTACATGATAGACTAACTAGAGCCTGGAATTTTCATTTCCTAGCCCATCCTTTCAAATGGGCATTTTGCTCCTTTTTTCTTATTTTATACTATTTCAGAAAACATTGACTGCCTAATTATCCATTCTATATTCCATAAAGTCCTCCAGCATTGTACTCAATTGCTTATTCAAATGCTGTATTTGTTGAGCAGGGTACATGAACTGTTTGAAAGTTCCTGGAATCACATTACTCTAATTAGCGTATTATCCAGAGAAGACCAATGACAGAGACTGGCACTTTCCAGAGAGAGAAGTCTGCAGCAGCTGGGGCCCCCACTCTTCTCCCAGTGCTGCAAGGTGACAGGGGATATGTGGTGCTGCTCCACCCTAATACGCATTCGCTTTTTCGGCTCACCTCAGTCTCTAGCCTCGCTTCCTGCCACCACCTCATCATTTATTCAGTTGGTTTTTAGGTAATTCAATTACCTGAATCCCTGGGCCTGCTGTATTGTGGGGAACTGGACGTGAGTGCAGACCACACTCAGCTAGTTCAGGCTAGGCTTGGCTACATGTCTAATTCCACTTTTCTCCCACTACCTAGCTCTGAATTTCTTGTTGTCGTGGTGACCTGGCAACCATGTTCTGAGCTTTCCTGCAATTATCTGTACAACTTAAGTCAAAACTCCTTAATTTCACTTGATTCGGCACTCCAGAGCCAAGAATTACTTGTTCAAGGGAGTTTATAGGTATCATTACTATACGGTTTTCTTGTGAGATAAAATAAGAAACGAGTAACTACCACATGACTTCTGGTTGACCGATTATAATTCTGAGCTGTAAACAATCTTGCTTACTCTCTCACCCTGTATTTCTAGTAGGAAAAAACCAACAGCATGCCCCATTTTCCATTGATCATATCACAACAACTCCATTCTGAGTAGCCATCAGGTGTCACAGTGTTACCCAACCAAAGCCATTACAGTTGATTGATGAGAAAAAGGCTAACTGAAAATTGTGAGAATGACAGGCATAGCTCTCTCGCTTGCTTGCGCTCTCTCTCTGCCGCTCTGCTGCTGTGTTAGGCAGAGAGCTACACGCATGGCTATTAAAGGAGCTTCAGAAATCCTACTTGCCTTATCCTCACTCATTTTTAAAAACCTTAGCATTTTTAAACATTTATTCGAAGGAAGAATTTGTGAAGAACTGCTCAGAAGGAATAAGACCTGGTAACCTAATGGAGATTAAAATTTACAAAATGTTATGGGATACAGAAACTGATGATTTGATAAAAATAGTTAGCCAATTGCTCTGGTATATAATGTTTAAGACTCAGTATTACATCTTTGTTAAACATCAAAGGCAAAAGACAGTTCACTTTCTTCTTTATAATAATGCAGTGGTGAGGCCAATTACTGAATAGTTGACAAAAGTCAACTGAGATACGAAAAATAAAAAGCATTACACTGTAGCTAATACTTTAAACTATAAGTCTCTAGTCTCATGTTCCTCTTCTGAAAAAGAAATTTGCCCAAGATCATCAAGAAAAAAGGTTTGGGGTAAATAAAAGGTTAAGATTAACTTATTTTTAATAATCTAAAGCTTGACATAAACCCTTCACTCCAAATATCAGGTAGTATTATGAAATGTACAGAGACATTGTTTTTCACCTCTTCTGTATCAAAACATCAATTCATTGAACTTCTCTTGGGATGTGCTAATGTGTCATTTGCTAAGATGCCAAATAACTGGGACTGAATTCTTTGCTCTTACTTTGTCTCATTCTCACCACTAGAGACAAATCGCATTCTGGCTTGATAGGAGAATCATGATTTCAGAATAGTCTGTTTCAATATGGAGCAACCTTAACTGAGATGTGATGGTGACTGGCCCATGGATTCCAGCATTCTAGACCCTCAAGTCCTCCTAAAGTGATCCTTTAATCTTCTTTGCACCACAAGGGCCTTGCCTAGACAAGGTAAGACTTGTGTTAACTTGAGGCCTTTTTTGCTTGTACTCTAAACTCACGTTACAAGTTTCATGGATATACAGTGGTGAAGTGTATCAAGAAATTTTCTTCAGTGGAAAAGTCTCACTATTCTATGGCAAACTGAAAAATTAACTGGTTCTCCTGAAGAATAAATAGATTTGGTTTTTATGACGATAAGAACTGAGGGCAAAGGACTAAACATACTTGTTAATCATTCAAGGAAAACATTAAAATACTATGTACAAGATAGCTAGCTATTGCTGAAGTTTTGCTTAAGGGTAAATAAAACAGTTACTGTCTGAAACATAATATTTAAATATTAACCATAAATATTTTACTCAAAATTATTCCTATAGTTCCCTCTTGCTGCCACCTTCTTTCTGTTTTAGGAAAAAAAGTAGTATCTCCTGGTTATGTCATTATTATTTTGAAATATACATCTATATTTATTTGCTTTCTCTATCAATCTTACATTCTTAAAATTAGATTTCTCATGTTTGCTGAAATTACCCAGGTCCCATAAATTATCACATCTAAATATTTCTTTCTTATTTAAACAATTTTGTTTGTTGAGAATCTTGACATTCAACTTTCACCCCAAACAAAAGTTGTTTTGGCTTCATTCCTCTAAATGAAAGTATTTTCCATAAATCCCTTATTTCTACATGATATACTTTATGTACAAACTCTATAAATGAGTAAAAATATATACTCAGTCATCCTAATGAAATAATTTTTTAACTCTACTAACATTAGATAAGAAATCAATATTTACCCTTGGGGGGAAAATCCTGCCTTAATATGATGAACTTCAATTTTGAGTACATTTTGTGTAAGGAGGATGTCAGATGATCTGACATCTGTGATTTTACTTATATCCAACAAATCTATTTTACTACTGTTAAACTGAGGCCTAGAAAGTCTTAAATAAATTTCCCGAGGTCAAGCAATCAGTTAATACATGATCTGGGACAATATGCAGGTTTGGTAGTTCTCAATTCCATCTAAATGTTCTAAACCTTAAAAACTTCTGATAGCCTCAAGATATTTTAAACTCCATCCATGGTCTGAGTCCTAGTTTTAATTATCAGATACATAACTATTACATGGAGCTCCATGCCTAAAAAGAAACAAATGCCATGGAAAGCATGTTTATGGAGAAGGGCAGGGGAAACTATTCCCCAAAATATATTCATGGATTATTTGATAAAGTCAGGCTAGGAGAGCAAAGAAAGGTAGTCAATAAATGTCATGCTCTAAAACTGAATTTTTACAGATAGTTTTCAGCATGATTTTTCTATGTTTCACTTTTCACCGTCAGCTGTGAGCTGTTTCCAAGTGTGAAATTGCCTAAGAGAGGAAGCAAAGCTGTCATTTGACATCTGGGAGCATGGAGATCGGGCTGCAGTGAAAAGCATTTTGGACTTCTTCAATTTACACACATATGCACCTATAAATTCTCAAGTGTGAAAAGTATTCAATGACAAATATCAATGTAAATTTCAAGCATTTAAAATTAAAGACTCATAATAGGGCAGAAAATAAAAGTGAAGGACACACACTGATAGGATACCATATCAACTTGTTCAAGACTAGAATGGGAAACTTAAGTGACTATATTAGGTTAACTAACACAAATAATTTTATGCACTTGTCTCAGATTGTATATTAAGCTTTCAAATATCATTTTCTTGTATTTTTCTTTAAGAGACAAGGTCTTGCTATGTTGCCCAGGCTGGAGTGCAGTAGCTATTCGCAGGCATGATCATAGCACACTGCAGTCTCATACTCACAGCCTCAAGCAATCCTCCCACCTCAGACTCAGTTTTTTTTTTGTATTTTATATGCTTAGTAGTACAGGTTCTATTTTCTAGCTGTTTTTGAATGATAAGAGTCAAGAAAAAAAGTAGTAAAAAAAAGTACTTTGACATTTTATTTTTCCTTTATACTTAAAACACTATAAACAAAGGTTTATTCTTTATTATCATAAGTTAATAAATCAAATGATAAAGCACATAAAATCTTTTGGCTAAAACTTTTGTGTGTATGTGTGTAAAAACAGATATAAAATCAGAGTAACCAGAAGAAAGTCCTCCAGAGAAAAATAACCAATTTACTCCAGTTTTTATTCTCTAATCCCTCACAACAAAAAAAGCAGAAGAACCTGTGTAAAAGTATCCTAATAAAGTATCTACAAGTCTCCTAATGTGGAAACCAGACAGTGTTATATTTATATTGTCATGCTATACAATCTGTTCCTACTTTGTGGACTATTTCTTTTGCCTTTTCTCTTCCTGAACTCCATTCTGTGTTTCTGTGGTATGAAAGGAACCCATTTACCATGAATGATGTTTATTTAAAATAAAACCTTTCTAGAGAATCATCCTAGATAATCTAAGGATACAAAGTGAACCTAAAAGGAATGGCTTCTACTTTGAAAACAGGGCTGGGTTTGATCAGTGAATTCGTATTCTCAAGACCCTCTTGATGGGTCTGCAGCTGCAGCCATTTATGCGCTGGCTTTTTCACAGATGTAGCCAGAGAAAGCTCCATGGTTTTTGTCTTTTTGTTGTTGGATTTGTTTTCTTTAATATAAAAAAGTGGCAACTTTTTTAAAAGTTCTCAGTTTTGTTATAGAAACTTGTGAATCTTGGGCATCCTTGGGAGTATACATTGTTGAAATAATTATGACTTTTTAAAATCTAGGATCACTAAGTTGGCAGAAACTATACTTAAATAACAGAAGGTGATCATTTGCATTTCAAAATTTATCTGTCTTGCTTTTCCCCTCAATTAGACCAAAACATGTTGATTCACAGGTTTCTGTGTGTGTGTTTTTTCTTTTTTAAACTTATTTATAGAGCAGAATAATGGCCCCCCTGCTAGTTTGGCATTTGCTCAAGTTTCTGTCCATGCAAATCAAATCTGTTACTGGAAATTTTTCTCAAAATATAAAGGCACATCATCCACAAGATAAAAAGATATACTGCTGATATTATAAAGCACAGGGCAGGTGGATAATGTTTTCAGGACAAATATGTGATAAGGATTCCCAGGAGGTGAAGTGGCAGGGTAGAGGGTGCACACTGTTTAAACAGAAGTGAGTTGCTCTCATCATAATCTTGTGACAACTTTTCTTTCTAACCAAACATCAGCTGCTTAACATGCTTTAGAGTTACTTGGACAATAATACTAAGGTTAGACTTGGGAAGTAAGAGGGAGGGGATCACATGAAAGGAAATTACTTCAACCTTTAGTGTTCCTAAGGGTAGATCAAAAGGTGGTTAAACAATCTATGACCCATGTAGTTACTGATTTGTATTTTTAAGTATTGAAATATTAACATATTATCATTGCTTCCATCCTTTGAGGAGAGGAAAACCTATCTGTAGTTTTGATTTATCAGTAGCACTGCCTATGAACTTTTGGAGCAAACAGTAATTCACAAATTTTTGCTCCAATTTCCCTTGAGTTATAAGTAAGGGGTACGAGCACATAGACTTAACCAAGTTCTATAACTCTCTAGATTTAAGGTCATCTTAATAAGAACACTGGTATTACTTTTCTGTTAAGGCCATTACTCGTTTTGTTTTACCTGGTTGCTAAAATTAACAGGCCCAATGAATGGAAAGCCTTTCCACATTGTTCACAAAGCATGCCACAACACTAGAACACTTTTGCAACTCACAAAGCTTGGAAGTACAATTCTTTTATGCAAATAATGACAACAAAGCACCTCTTCAGACTACAGCTTTTTTCAAATGCTAGTGAAGGACAACCTGGAAGAGGACAGCAAAATCCATTAATGGTAGACTGCCACCTGCTGGTCAACTAAGAGAATTGTAATTTCTGGGACAAGGCTTAAAAATTAGAACTTAGAAACCGATCTGTATTAAATTCGGTATTTCAGTATATGAAATTGAAAGTGTGTATCTGTTGATGAATGTAATATGGTTCTGTTCCACATATATTAAAACTCTCAGGATACCAACATGTTATGGATATTAAAGTAAATATGACTGTGCTTGAGAATAAAGAAAAATAATCTGCTAGAATGTTCAAGCACAAATTTACAGATAGTTTCCAATAAGTAACAATATATACACTTACTAGGAACCAGGAGAAAAAAAAGAAAGTAACAACAAAAATAAGAAATAAGAAACTACTTACAAATATTAAACAATATTCCATAAATGTGTGGTTTTGTTTTGTTATATGGTTCCCACTGTACTTCACTTTAGCATGTAACAGGCTTGACTCAAAAAAACTCCCAAATTAAGTTTGATTCTAAAACTTCCAAATTCATTATAATTAACAAATATATTTCTAAGTACACTGGAACCTAAAATGTTATTTCTTATCAAATTAGAAAGTGGGGAGGATCTGGTTTTTTTTTTTAATCGAGTAACTGTAATAAAGTGAATTCAACATGCAATTTTTTATCCTATTTACTAACATGATTTCAAAACATAACATCACATTATCTATTTGAGAAAAAAAAATGTAAGTGTGCTCTATTGTCTCTAACAATAAACAAAAACCAAACAGTCTTAATTTGAAGGAAGAAGGAGGAAAGAAAAGAAAACCCTAATAGTTGCTTTCAGGAACGTTTTAGGATATTTATTTTATAGGTTGGAAAACTTTGGTATTCTCTACTGCAGAAATAATTCTTAACAATGAAAGTTGTAACTAGAAACAATCTAGCTCTTTTAATCCTTATTATCATCACTTCCCATTATGCAGAGAAACAAGGTTAGCATCAATACACTAGTTAGCTGTTAAGTATTAAATACTATATTGATCAACACCTAAGCAGACTATATCAAAAAAAAATCAGCTTGAAACTCCTTTGAAGGCCAATGGGGCAACAGGTGAAGTGACTCTGGCCATCCAAAGAGGCTAAATGGTAAGCAAAAGGTGAACAAACTTTGGATTCATAATACAGCCCCATCTGCACTGATGACTGAGAAAAACCAACTCAAATGCAATTCATATGCTTATGCTACCTATAATTGTCAATAAAAGATCTAATACCCACAGAATAAATCTCTAATTTTTAAAAAATAAAGACAATACAGTAAAGGCAAGATAAAACTGTTTTGTCTATAAAAATTTGTTATAAAATGCCAGGTTGGCACATCACTAAAATCATATTGCATTTTTAAAACCTCCATTGTGCCAGGCACCATGGGCTCATGCCTGCAATCCCAGCTATTCCAGAGGCTGGGGCAGGAGGATTGCTTGAGGCCAGGTGTTCAGGACCAGTCTGAGCAACACAGCAAGGCCCTGTTTCTATTTAAAAAAAAAAAAATTTTTTTAATTAGCCAGGAATAATGGCATGCACCCGTAATCCCAGCACCTTGAGCCCAGGAGTTCTAGACCAGCCTGGGCAACAGAAAGACCTCATCTCTACAAAAAATGCTTTTTAAAAAAATTAGCCAGGCATGGTGGTGCACAAATGTAGTCCCAGCTACTCAGAAGCTGAGGCAACAGGACTGCCTGAGCCCAGGAGTTGGGAGGCTGCAGTGAGACATAACAGCACCACTGCATTCCAGCCTGTGTGACAGAGTGAGGTATGTCTCAAAAAAAAGAAAGAAAGAAAAAAATCATGCATCTAAAGAGGGTCAGGGTATTTAAAGGTCCTTGTAAACACTAAGAAGTTAAGACATTTCTAAGAATTCACTGCAGTTCTTAATGAGGTATTAAACTCATTTAACAATAATAAATATGTGGACACACATACATATATACACATATATACCTATGAATTACTTAATTGGTTTAGCCCCAAATTTTCTTTTTTGAAGGGTTAAACAGATAACCAAATCCAACACATATGTAAACTGCTAGTGAACAATACAAAAATACAACTTCTATAAAGAAATGAGAGCTGCCGAACCACTTTTTCAAGTGAAACATTTTAGGAGATTGCTCTAACCTGGGGCACAGTACATTCTCTCTATGGCATCGCTGTCACAGGAATCTTCAACCTCACTCCACCTGCTAAAATACGTTAGCTGAATGTGTCCTAAAAACAAAACGACAGGAGAAATCAAAACATTTTTCTCTTCCATTTTCTGCAGAAGTGAACTGTAATTACTCCTTTTGTAGCTAAAAACAGTATCATTAAGAATAATGGCATCATTAAGTACTAGAAGCTATTACTGGGGGTGAATTTGCTGCACTGATAATGAAGCTCTAGACAGGAAATGAAGATACTAATTACAAGATAAAACGCCTACTCAGTTAATTGGAAGCAACAGCGAATAAAAAGAAATGCATTTGCAAAAGTTCCTGACCTCTATCATTCAATAAGATGTTGTTTGGGTTCAAATCGCGGCACACAATTCCCTCTCTATGTAAAGCATCAAGGGCTACCACCATTTCAGCTGCCCATCTTTGAATGCAGCCCTCTGGGATGTAAAACCTGGAGGCTAGTGCTAATTTTTTATCAAGGTCCTCAAAAATCTGATGTATTTCCTTGTCTCCTTCTAGCACTAAACCACTTTCACCCTTAGTCTCAGAGTCTCTCTGGAATAAAGAAGTTGGTTCCTCTTTAGCCAAATCATCAGTCTGATCTGTAAACAGCAATACTTCTTCTGTTTTTAAAGTGTCTGTGCTTGCAATATATTCATTAGCACCTGAGAGTGGACTACAAATACGGAATAAGCTTTCTTCTGTGTTGTTTGCAGTTACTGCTGACTCAACCACTCCAAGTCCTTGAAACTTAGGATCTGAGCTGGGTAACAAAGACATATCTCCTGAACTACTATGATCAACAGCTGCTACAAATAACATCCTGGGATCCTCCTGTGCATAGTGTTTCTCTGTTATACTATAGGATTTGGGCCCAGAGGGATCACTCAGTTCCTCTATGCCTTTCTCCTCATGTGCTTGGCATTGTTCAGTACTAAGCCTGAGGCATAAAACATCAGGGGCTTCCAAGAGTTTATTTTCTATTATCCCTATATTAGTTTGTGTAAACTTAGTAGGTCCCATTGCTGCAGCTTCTCTTGTTGACTCCAATTCACCAGGTAAATTTACAAGAAGATCAGGTCTTCCTTCATCAGTACCACTGACATCATCAAAAGCAGCATCTTTAAATGAAATAACTGGCACTGAGTCATCTGAGCCCCTGCTAATGGTGTCCTGAGCTTTAAACTCTACCTTGCTTTCACTAGTATTAAAACTCCTAGAAGCACTGTCTCCATCTGGAAGAGTAAAGAATGGTTTCAAAGGTTCTGATTTTAGACTATACAATTTTTCTCCAAAGTCAAGTCCCAGGAGTTCACTTGCGCTATCCTTACTGTCTATCCTAAAGAATTCCATGGGGCTATTTTTTGATCTACTGAGGGAATCTGATGTTCTTGGAGAACTAACTGCTTCTGGGTCATCGTTGGGGAAGAACTTCAGCTCGTGAGCTCTCAGCTGTGTGCTGGGGCTGTCACTGTCAGCAGCAAGGTGTGCTGGGAAGCTTTTAATAGCTTTTGTATCAACACCATTCCCTTCAGTCTTCATGAAGGGCTCCTCATTCAAAGACCCTGGTTCAATCTTTTCTTGCCCATATTCATTGCATAATGTTAAATAACTAGTAGTACATTCTTCTTCTGAACTTGAACCAGAATCTGGCCACTTTGGAGAGCTATCTTGGCCATCATCTTCCTGGTTGCTGTCATCTTGAGAACTTGGAGTAAGACTACTCTTCAAAGGCAGAGCTTTAAGCATGCTTCCACCATCACTTCCTCTGGATTCAAAGCTACTGCTGTCCTGAGGACTAGAAGTTGGCTGCTGCAGGTGAACTTTTGCAAGTGTAGGTTTTTTCACTTCCTTGATGTCAAAGCTTTCTTCAGGACTTCTGTTTAGAAATTTACTGATATATGACCACAGTTTGCCACCTGTGAACAAGTATAACAAAACAAACAAAAGTATTAAGATCTCCAAATTGACAGTTATTTAAGCCATTAGAAAAACAAAAACTATCTTAAAAATCAATCAAAACAAGTCAATAATATCCATTAATATCGTGTGCCATAAGATAAGCATATTTAATAAAATGCTTGTTATTGCTGACTGGTGAGTACGGTTTCAAGCATATCTCCTGATATCAATTTTTTTTTTAAGTGACAACCTATTTCTTCCTTTGAAGGGAAATTAGTTATAACACATACTAGTATGAAATTTCACAGCTAAAATTCTACTCTAAAGTTAAATATCATTTAGTCTTAGAAACATCTGATTATGTTCTGTTCTGTTTATATAATAATTTTTTCACGCATGGCCCCTTGGTCAAGTGGAAATACATAAATAAGTGCTGTTTAAAATTGTATACTACAATGGGGGGAAAAATCAACAATATTATTCCATTTTGAAAATGTCCAGTCCAGGATTGGAGGAATTTGGCATGTGGTATATAATTATGCCTTTATAAATGACATATTAATATTTCCCCTTTTATGCCCAGCCTTACATGTAATATGTTATATAAGTAAAGCTACTGAGGAAAATTAATTGGGCAACCATTAATAAAGCAAGCTACGGAAATTCCGACTGTGTATTCTGACATATATCTTTAAAACTAAAATCATAAAAATCACTTTCATGTAAATCAGAGAAATAAAAAAAATCCAGTATTTTATCAGCAATACTTGTAGTTATTATTTCACCATAGTTTTCTTTTATTTTAACCATTAAAACACCTCAATCCCTTTGTCAATTATAACTTTTACGTTAAACAATTATGGCTAAGTACCAAAAACCTGCTATAACAGTAGTGATTAGAAACAGTATTATAAGAAAGAATAATTAATTAAATTTGATCCAGAAATCTCAAAAGCAGTAACTACAGAAGTATACTTTGCGGAGACAGAATTGTAGTTGCAAAGAAATGAAAAATTAAGAATAATGTGTTAAAAATAAATCCCTCTATTCATATAAAGAAGACAATTTTTCAGCACATATTTATTGTAATCATTAAGCATCATATGCCAAGGGTACCTAAACCTTAAGGAAAATAACCACTGACAGTCAATTGCATGTGTAAAAAAGTCAACGGAAACATCAAAAATACCTCTTCCTACTTCACATTTCATTTTGAGAAATTCAATAAATACACATAGCACCTGACATGGTACCTAGCATAGAATAAATGCTCAATAAAGGCTAATTGTCATAATATTAATCCTAGGATTCTCATACACCTCTTTGTAGCAGCGATCTAGTTAACCACCTTCTCTATTTTATTTATTTAACTTTTTTTTTTTTCTTAGAGTCTCACTCTGTAGCCCAGACTGGAGTGCAGTGGTGGGATCTCAGCTCACTGAAGCCTCCACCTCCTCGGTTCAAGTTATCCTCCTGCCTCAGTCACCCAAGTAGCTGGGATTACAGGCGTGTGCCACCATACCCAGCTAATTTTTGTATCATCTTCCCCATTTTGATACCAGTTAGTGGTACAGGATATTATGGCATTTAACTTTTTCCTCTCATTTTTTTCTTAGCTAATGCTTTCTGTCCTCTTTATACTCAGTGTTTCACATTTCTCCATATTTCAACTGAAGTTTAAAAGGAGCTATGCATTGAGTCTATATTCTTTAGTCTATTGACAACAATACTCACATTCTCTTACCACAAATACCTATATTGTGGCACTCTAACAATGCTTGAACCTAAAACTAAGATTCTTGTATGCAATCCAAATAAAATGATTTGGGTGGTTTTCAATTCTCCTAGATGATGACTACTTTGAGGAAAGGATCAAGTCTTTTTCATCTTTGTATGTCTACTGCCTACACAATGTGCAGGACATAAAAGTCACTGCTTGTTAAATCAGATGATGAGATGTACCGTATAAGCAATCCATAAAGTTCCACTGACCAGCAAGAAATGGTACCTTTTAATAAAGTTCTAAGAAAAGCTTCATTCATTCCTAGGCCAATTCCACCTGAATAAACTACTGAAATCTAAAATTCAATGTACTTAAAGTCTTCATTTTTGGGGATAATGCTATAACTACGACTAGATCCTTACTTTAAGTCCCTCTTGTATCACTCTACCCTACTAATTGCTGCCTAATTAATCTTCTATTTCAGCACAGATCTTATGCCATTTCTGCATTCAAGAAGCCAAGTTCCCTCCATCTACTGAATCATATACCAACTCCGCATAGGCATTTGAACTCCTGAGTAATACAGTTATCAACCCATGATTTGGTCCTCTCCCCCTACTCAACAAAGAATTCATAATGGGCTTTTCCCCATACCATGCTTGCACTTGGAATGTTTTTTTCTAATAGTTTCCCCAGTATCCACTTGTGAAAATCTTACCTATTCTTGAAGGTCCTTCAGAATCTGTTCTCTTTTACCAATTTCTTTGTATCCCTTAACTGGACATCATATATACATTCTCTCAATCCTCTATCATCCACCTTCATACTCCTTATGACATTTACATCATATTAATATTACTTTTATGCTTTTATTATCTCCTTCATGAGACTGTAAAGTCTTAATAGCTGCAGGCAGAGGATTCTATCTAGCATGTAAAACAGGTATTAAATATTTATTAAACTGAGTTATAAAAAGATAACATCTGTACAAATTTTTTGAAAACCTTTCAAGGAAAAGAATCTATAAGTAAGAATCTATAAGGATCTATAAGTATAATGTCATTTTGGGGGCCGTACGTTCTTCCAAAGACATATATTAACCTTAAAAAAAACCTGTTATTGCTAAGGTACATAAAATTTGTCTAATTTTTAACACTCTAAGACTGTAAATGATACTTTTCTAAGTCTTTTTGAAGCACATAAAATTGTAGATATTGAACCATTTTAAGATTTAAAAATTAGAATTCATAATGTTTAATTAAAACTCTTTGTCTCTCCTCAGATTTTAAGTCTATTGTTTTTCTATAAGATTGCAAAGTAAGTTTGTTAATTTGCTTGGTCAGAATTAGGACTTAAATTTCATATGTACGATAAAACACTGCTATCACAGTAATCAAAATCATCTTTTGGCCAAGCAATTCAACTTGAAAAAAATCTGTCCTACATATAATTCTCAAAAAATACAACAAAAACATGTATGTATAAATACATGTTTATACATGTATTTATATGAGTACTGGAAACAATTTAAATATCAATTAATAATAGCCATTTGCAAATACATAGTGCTTACCATGTACCAGGTACTATTCTAAGCATTTTACATATACAACTATTTAATCCTCACATCAACCCTATAAGGTAGGTAATTAATATTATCTCTATTTTACAGATGAGGAAATTGAGACACAGAAAGGTTAAATAACTTTCCCAAAGTCACACTAGTAATGGTGAGCCAGCATTTACATTCACATAGCATGGCTCCACAGTCCTTATTTTTAATCACTATAGTGTATGCCTCTCTTAATATGGACCTAAATATACTCATAAAGATATACTAAAGGCGTCCAAGGTACACTTTTGAGATGGGGGAAAAAATGCAAGCTCAAGGCAATATGTAACACCCATTTAAGTTTTTTAAAAACAGACAGATAGGGAGTGAATGTTTATAAACATAGAAAGTTATTGGAAGATATATAATTACTGTTAAAAGAGTACCTATTTCTGGGGAATAGGTCTGGGCAACAAAGTGAATAGGGAGGGATAATTTTTATTTTTACTTTATAGACTTCTATTTTGTTTGAATTTATTTTATAAATTAGTTTTATAATTTTAGAAAACTAATTAATAAAAGAATCATTTTACTCCTTGGGGCCTTAAGTAACTTGGAGAGAAATTCTTTTCTACCTCCTTTCTGTTTTGTATATCCACAGTCAGAGACTTTTGCAACTTCTGTCTTTTAATTTGGTCTTTCATCTTTGACTGACCCAGTATTCAACAATTATACACTGAGCACCTTCTAAATACCAAGTATTTTGCTAATTCATCATACATATGATGAATATTATATAATCCCTAATCTTAGAAACTTAAACTCTCATGGCCTTGACTGAATACATTTTGTTTCCCCACCTTTCTCTCTCAAATAGTTTAAGAAAGGGCTTTATTAAAAGCAATAGTAAATATTTTAAACCTCTCTCCTAAAATCCTGACTGATATAGCCTGTCTACTAAACATCACCTGAATATTTAATAAGAATCTCAAATTCACATGTCCAAAATGGAATCCTTGATTTTCCTTCTAAACTTACTTCTCCCACAGCTTAGCAAATGGAAACTCCATTATTTCAATTTGAGCCAAAAACTTTGAAATCATGTAAAACAGAATCATGCCGTTCTACCTTCAAAATACATTCAGACTCTAATAACCATTCTTTACGACCTACGCCAGCAGTTCCCAACCATTTTGGCACCAAGGACCAGTTTCATGGAAGACAATTTTTCCGTGGATGGGGACAGGGGTGTGGGTGGGGGTAGAAAGTGTTTTGGGGTGAAACTGTTCCACCTCAGATCATCAGGCATTAGATTCCCATAAGGAGTGTGCAACCTAGATCCCTCGCATGTGCAGTTCACAATAGGGTTTGTGCTCCTATGAGAATCTAATGCCACTGCTGATCTGACAGGAGGCGGAGCTCAGACAGTAATGTTCACTTGTCCGCCACTCACCTCCAGGTACCCGTCTGTGGCCCGGAGACCCCTGACCTACACACTAATACCTTGTCCAAGCCATCAGCATTTTCACCTGGGGTGCTGCAACAACTTCCAAATTGGTCTCCCTGCTTTTCCTTCTGCTCTCCTACATTCTGTTTTCCACAGAGCAGGCCAATGATCCCTATCTCATCACTCCTTTGCTCAGCATGCCCCAATAACATCTTATCTCATTTAGAATAAAAGTCCAGTTCTTAACGTGGCCTACAATGCTATACAGGATCTGCCTGCCTGCCTCCTCACTTCTCTAAGCATTCCTCCTACTGCTCTTTCTGTTCTGCTCCAGCCACACTGATCCTGCTGTTTCTTGAACACCAAGCACACCCCTGCCTCTAAGCCTGTGGACCTATTTGTTTTCTCTTGCCAAGACATCCTTTCCTTACATATCCACAATGCTCCCTCTCTCACTTCCTGAAGGTCTCTGGTCAAATGTCCCTTCTCAATAAGATGACCACCCTATATAAAATAGCAAACCACCCCTCTCACCCCTTTGGCATTCCCTTCCCCTTTCCTTTAATTTTTCTCCATAGCATATTTACCTCCATCTGTCATATATTTACTTAAATATTTGCTTATTGTCTGTTCTGCCTCTATAATGTAATGTAATGTAAGCTCCATGCAGGCAAAGTCTTCTGTTTTGTTCACTGCCAAATTAGAACTATGTCTGTGTCCCAGCAAGCACTCAATACATTTCTAATGAAATGAATTAAAAATGGAAAGAAAGAGTCCAAGAGACTCACATAAATCATGAGTAGTTCTGTAAGCAGTGGAAAGCTAAAGCCACAAATCGTAAGTATTCAAAGCATTCATGTTATGGAGAAAACAACTGTTCAAGGTTTGCTTTCTCAGTAATAACTATTCACACATATGAAAAGTTACTTTTCTATGACACAGGCCAACTTCCTAATCTACGGAGGTGCCACTGATGTGTAAAAGAAAACACACTGTTCATCATCCAGTTCACTGCATTGCTCAAGCCAAATCTGAGAAATTACTGTAGATTTTCCTCTTCCTAATCTCAAATCCATTACAGGTCCCATTACTCTACCCTCAAACATCTCGACTGGTGCCCCAGAAGGCCAAGCCAGCAGCACCTTTTCACTAGCCTCCTGTATTAGCCTTTTTACTGCTTCTATTCTTGCCTTTCTACAACCCATTCCCCATACAAGAGCCAGTGACCTTTTTAAAATGTAAATCAGATTCTGTCACCCCTTAAGAAGTCCAATGGTTTCCCAATGCACTTGAACAAAAGTCAAAGTCCTTACTCTGCTGTACAAGGCTCCTGCCTACTTCTCCAACAGCCTCACGTACCAACATGTGCCTCACGTTGTCCTCACTCTGCTCCATTCCAACCAAATGATACCTTTCTTGGTCATCAAACATCCCAAGTTTGTTTTTATACTCATCCCTGTACCTGTATCTTACATTCAAATGATTGTTTCTTTTGCCATTCAGAACTTCTCTTAAATGCCACCTTCTCAGAGAGGGCTCCCTCTACTACTTAATTCAACATAGTCCCCCAGTTGTTATCTATTAGATCTCCCTTTGTTAAAGATCTGTATAGTTCCTTTTATTATCCAATGTTCTCTTGCTTTTTGTTTTTCTGTTTGACTTTTCACAACAAGAATTTAAGTTTCAGGCCTGGCGTGGTGGCTCACCCCTGCAATCCCAGCATTTTGGGAGGCTGAGGCAGGAGAATCGCTTGAGGCCAGGAGTTTAAGACCAATTTGGGCAACATAGAGAGACCCAATCTCTACAAAAAATTTTAAAACTTAGCCAGATGTGGTGGTGCACGCATGTAATCCCAGCTGAGGTGGGAGATCACTTGAGCCCAAGAGTTCAAGGTTACAGTGAGCTATGATTGTACCATAGCACTCTAACCTAGGAGACAGAGCAAGACCCTAACTACCCCCCAACCAAAAAAAAAAAAAAAAGAGAGAGAGAGAATTTTCTTGTCTTGTTCACCTAAAAAGGAGCCTACTCTACAGTACATGCTCAATAAATTTGCTGAATATTTAATTAATCCAGAGTCCCTATTTGCACTATAATTTACTATCTTTATATTATAAAACCATCTTAAAAATAAACAATAGACACCTAAAATGAATGGTCAAAAGAGACAAATTTTATGGTCATGTGAGCATTCAAAGTCAGGTATGCTCGATAGTAAAGAAGGATCTAAAATAGTAGAAAATTTAAAAGTCGTAAGTCTATGATTTTAAGAGATTATACAAATTTTCTACATTATTCAAGTAAAATCAATTGAAACATCAGTTTCAAGAGGTATATGGGATGGTGAGAAGATGGTAGAAAAAAATGAAAAATGATATGGAGAAGGAAGAGGAAGAAGAGGAAGATATTGCTACAAATAACAGGTAAGTTAAGACTGAAAATTTTGCCATAGATAATCTCCAACATGAATAATCCACACTGGGTAATAGAATATTGACTATAATTACATTCATCCTACTGACCTTGTTCTAAATTATTATGGATTATTACTACGCAAGTTATTTTGTTCCACACCAGAGGTGGCTGTATTTCGCTATCAGATGACATGACCTCTAATTCAATAATGTCTGTAATGCACTGGTATCCTCAGATAAAAGCTGTCTATAATGTCTGAACAAAGGTGAATTAGTTATCCAATTCACACACACAATTAACTCTCTTAATACCTGAGAGACCACAGAGCCCCTTTTGAATTTCCTATTAAATACTGCATATGGAGGTCTTCCCTCCATCTGTAGTTATCTTGTGCTGTACTTCACAATAAACAATATTAATTGTTTACTGCCCCCATCAAAAATCTTGCATTCATTATCATGAGACCTCATTCCAGAAAGCAATGACTTCTTTTCCTAAAAAATTATATTAAATACAAATGTTATGCCTATTAGTAAAGTACAATAGTTATACAAAAATAACAATGCCTTCACGAGATACGGAAAACAATTTAAAAATTTTTTACTATTTTACGAACACCTCTTAAAAGCCAAATGGCAATATGTATTAAATGAATTTATATTTATATGCTGTTTTCAGTCATCCTAAATAAAAGACTACTTATTTAAATTCAGGTATTAAAGGGCAAAAAAAAATCAAAACATTATATTTTTTGCCACCTGTTCCCTCTACAAAGAGCTGAAATTTCATAAATAGTTTGAAGGCAGAGAACTGTGCCTCTGCTTTGTACCCATATGTGATGCCAATGGCTGTATTCATAAAAACTCAGATCAGAATGACTAGGTAATGTCAAATGTTAAGCCAACACCCTTGCCTTCTAAAAGAAGGAGGTAATTAATTAATTCTTCAGGGGATGCTTTTCATTTTAGTCATCTAACATAATGTATCCTTTTAGCAGGGAACAAGCGAACAAAATACCACTAAAATAAAATCTAGCTCTCTTAGCACACATTCATATTAAAGTTCTCATTATATTAGGTAAATTCCATGAGAAAGTAAGTAGTGAAGTAAATCTACAAATGGTACCATAGTTCACATGAAATCTGTTGTTCACCTGGGTTTTCATTTTCCCTCACAACTCAAAGTAGGGAGGTAGAGCAGAGGAATAGGAAATGGTTTCTTAAACGTGTTTCATATATTCTATCTGCTCATGAAATGACAGAGAGAAACTGGAAGCTAAGTAGGTGACATTCTTCACTGCATAAACAATCCAAACTACAAACCAACCTTCCGCATGCTGCAGCACAAGAAATACTGACTCCTCAGAGATGATGTACTTATGCAGACACACCATGTTGGGCACACAGCGGGGGATGATGGTCTTTCTGTTCCTGCTGTATTCACTGCTTTTCCTTAGACCCTGACAGAGAACAAAAAGGTCAGTTGTATCCTCAGTTGCATCCTCAGTTGCCTTTGGAGCCTGCTGTGCTCTGTGTTTATCAACCAAACTAATCTATCCGAGTTACTCTGGGCTTCAGAGAAACCACTCATCTGCTGCTCTATGCCCCCCAGTCCCTGGAGGCTCTGCTGATGGCATCTGGCGTGAATCCAGAGAAGGAAGATGCCACAAAGCTGCCATTAAAATCAATTACGTGGGTCAGTGTTTTTATTAGAGATGCTCTCAAACTAAGTCATCAGGATGACACACAGTTATTTCTCTGTGACCTTTTCTTAAGTTTTATTTTACTTATCTATATCTTTAAAGCAGTAGACATTGTAAGACCAATGCAAACTCCTGAGACACAAAAGGTATTCTTAGATTAAGCAGGCAATTTTAAAATCCTATCCCCCAAAAGTACAAACAATATTAAGTCTTCTTACAAGGAATAAGGTTTGTCTATTTTCTGGTGTCATACTCTGTTTTTAAAGAAATGTCAATGATAAAGTATATTCACACACACACACAAAATGTGTTTCAGTATGTGTCAATGTGACCTACTGCCATGCCTTATCAGCAAAAGAAAAAGCAACAGAAAAAGAAATATAAAATTAATAAATTCACCTTCTGAATGCTGTGGAAATGCTTAAATTAGGATATTTTCAGAATATGTACTATCACAGTCCATTCCAAATACAATTTCAAAATTTCAAAATTGAGGGTTCTCTCTCTCCTTATTCATTTAGTTATAAATTGCATTATGTATAGAATCAAAATTGAATTTAGATCAAATAGAGGACCAGGAATGTAGATACACTTTCCCAAAATACCTGTAACTAGATTTTAAGGCAAAATTTTAGCTCTTAAGAACTGTAGTGATAATCGAAGGTGAGACTGTGTGTAGTCTTCACAATTAAACAAAATGTTCTTGAGATGTATTTAAACAACACACTACACATTCAAACAACACAAAATGGTTCTTCAGTTTATCCAAATTATTTCCTCCATACTCTGTATCAAAAACAATGTTGTTAAATGCATGCTATCAACCGTGATGAAAGGATAGAAAGAAAAGTAAATAAACATCACCAGAAACAACATAAAAGGACATTCAAAACCTAGGGGGGGGATATATTAACTACTTAGTTAATATTAACTAAATATTAACTAAAATATTAACTTTTCTTTCAGAAGCATAATTTGAAATTCAAATTTTAAATTCATTAAACATATAAATTTTACTTACTCTTTTTTTTTTTTTTTTTTTTTGAGACAGGGTCTCACTCTTGTTGCCCAGGCTGGAGTGCAATGGTGCAATCTTGGTTCACTGCAATCTCTGCCTCCTGGGTTCAAGCGATTCTCCTGCCTAAGTCTCCCGGGTAGCTGGGATTATAGAAGCCCACCATTATACCCGGCTAATTTTTGTATTTTTAGTAGAAACGGGGTTTCACCATGTTGGCCAGGATAGTCTCGAACTCCTGACCTTAGGTGACCTGCCTATCTCAGTCTCCCAAAGTGCTGGAATTATAGGCACCGCGCCTGGCTACAAATTTTACTTACTTTTAAAATGAAAGTCTGTTCTGTCCTTGTGTCCATTACAAGTAAAACCTACATAAAAGACACGAGTAATAATTTATTAACAATACAATGAAACATTAACTCTTAGCTTTAAACTAAACTTTAAGAGTAGGGCAGGGCTGAAATTTAATCCCCTCCCCAAAATTGTTCATTTCTGAATAAATTTTTTTAAGTCAGCAAATTATAGGATCAAAATAATCTTATCCAAAATAGGTTTTATTATGGTTTCCTTTTCTAAAAATGCCGTATTTTAGAAACATTACTGTTTCCTAAAGTATTTTAAAATGTATTTCTTAGAAGTAAAGGAAATACTATTTTAAACAGAGTTTTTCCTCTTGGAACATATATGATCAACAGGAAGTGGTTCAAAAAAAATTGTTCAAGTCTCAATTTTCTTCCTAAAATCTCCTATGTAGCAACTTGCTATAATGTGATCTCAATAACTCAGGCTCTAGCCTAAGGCATCCTTTTGGTATCTCTTCACCCTGGATTCACCTTAACACCCCTTTCCACCACCGGCAAATCCTGTCAGCTCTGTCTTCAAAATGTATCCAGAATCTGAACTCACCTTACCACTTCCACAGTTATTACTCTGATTCAAGCAAAGATCAACTCTTACCTAACTTGTAACTACAGTGTTCCAACTGATCTCCCTGCTTCCATCTTTGCTGCCCTGTTGTCTATCCTCAAAACAGCGGCCAGGGTTTTCTTTTTAAAACATAAGTTAGAACATGGCACTCTTCTTATCTCACTGAGAGAAAAAGCTTAAGCCCATAAAATGACCTCAAGACCCTTCATAACCTCTCACACATTGCCCCCCTAAACTACTCATTCCCACCCCTCATCTTGATGGATAAAATAAATTAACAGAAGTATGAAATTATCCTACCCTATTAAAGCTTTATTATTTTGGAAAAACTACTGTAGCAAAGATTGGCAAACTTTTTCTTTAAAGGGCCAGACTGTAAATATTTTAGGCTCCGCAGGCCTATGCAGTCTCTGTTACAGCTTTTCAACTTTGTCATTATAGAACAAAAGCAGCCACAGACTGAAATTGGCCATGGGAGGAGGATTTGTACTACAGAAATCAGCAAACACTGCAAATGAGCCTTCTTCCCCCTACCAGAGAGCTGGCTGTCAAACATTTACCAGCCCACCACTGGGTAAGGAAAGACAGAATTTAAGGATGAAAAAAAAAGATGTTAAGCTTGAAAAAAATAGAAGAATTTTTAAAAGGTGAGAAGAAACAAGGAAGTTGAGATGGGAAACCAGTTCGAGAAGATGGAAAATTCCATTTTAGATATTAAAGTTGAAAAAATAGTGACAACTTCATCTTTGTCTTCTGTTTGACCTACACTATTTAAATTTCCATTAATTTCAATACAATATTCTCACAGGTACCTCATATCCTCTTCCCAAGGCCCTGCCTTCACCAAACAAACAAACAGCCTGCTGCTCCTCCTATAGTACTAAGACCATCTTCCATGCATGCTCTGAAACTAAACGTGGTCTAAGTTACTCTGAACTGTCTCCTGTCTCCCACCTTCAGAACAAGTGACTGATCCAGGATTCAACAATTATACACTGAGCACCTTCTGAATACCAAGTATTTAGAATCAATTCTAAATCAATCAAATCAATTCTACCTCCTAAGCACTTCTCTTATCCACCCTGTATTCTCTAATCTGCCATGTTTTAAGCATTTACTATGTGCTATACTTTACCCAGGTGTAATCAATATTAATCCTCCCAAAAAGCCAATGATTTATTTTATTTTATTTTGTTTTATCTTATTTTTATTGAGACTGGGTCTCACTCTGCTACCCAAGCTAGAGTGCTCTGGTGTGATTTTTAGCTCACTGCAGCCTCAACCTTCCAGGTTCAAACGATCCTCCCACTTCAGCCTCCCAAGTAGCTGGTACTACAGGCATGTGCCACCATGCCTGGATAATTTTTTTTTTTTTTGTAAGACAGGGGTCTCACCATATTGCCTAGGCTGATCTTGAACTCCTGCGATCGCTCAAGCAATCCTCCTGCCTTGGCCTCTCAAAGTGCTGAGATTACAGGGATAAGTCACCAGGTCTGGCTCAGTGAAATAATTTTACCATTCCTATTCTACATTAGAAGACACTACAGACATGTCTTCTTATGGACATAAGGCATTCTTATTATGTAGAAGCTATAATAGTCGGTAACAGTATCTAACACTTGTGAGGATTTCAGTAAGATAATCTTATAAAAGTACAGCTAGTTGCTATTACTGCTATCACTATTATTGCTTGTTTTTCCCTGAAATATTCCCCCAGGCACTTATCAAACAAGTATGCATCTTTCCATATGCAGCACAAATGTCACTCTAGCTCTCAGTAACACTGACTACTTTCTTCCTTTCTTCTGCTGTTTTACACAGCACCAACATCTATTATAGAATCTCTAACCCTTCGATTTGGGGGTCTGTCTCCCAGTGAGACTTCGAGCTCTTTATGGGCATGCTGTAAAGGCAGGATAATGGGCCCCAAAGATGTTCATACCCCAAGAATCCCCAACATTTGTGAACGTGTTATGTTACTGGCAAAAAAGCCTTTTCAGATGTAATTAAGGTACAGACCTTAAAACAGAGAGATTACACTGGATTATCTGGGTGGGTTCCAAAATATCACATGAATCCATTTCAAAAACAGAGAACTATCGTCTATGAAAAGAAAGGCAAAGCACAGAAATGATAAGGCTGAAAGGGAAATCATATTCAAAGCATGAAAGGGATGCATGGCTGCTGGCTCTCAGGTGGCAAAGGCCCACATGCAAGAACTGGAGAGAGGCTTCTAGGATCTCATAGCAAGCCTAAGAAGGAACCTAGGCAACTTCTAGGAGTATAGCGCAGTCCTTGGCTGACAGCCAGCAAAGAAACAGAGTTCAGTCCTACAACTCTATGAAAAGAACAGAATTCAGCCAACAACCTGAATGAGCTTGGAAGCAGATTCCTCTCCTGAGCTTCCAGTAAGGAATATAGTCTTGCCACCATCTTGATTTCAACCCAGTAACTGTGTCAGACTTCTGACCTATAGAACTTTAATAATTTAGTTGTTATAGGCTGCCAACTTTGTGGTAATTTGTTATGTCAGCAACAGAAAACCAACAGCATAAAAATTATTCTATCACATAACACACTGTTCTCACACAGTAAATGTTTAATAAACATACGGTTAGTGAATTCAACTCTAAAAGTTTGTAAGGTAGATGACGACATGGGAATAGAGCTTAGAAAATAAGTCGGTACTAATGATTTATATTTGAGCATTCTCCATAAAGATAAAAACTAAAGACACAAGAATGAATCCCACTGGGACACTTCCTTTATATCAGGCACTGTGCTGGGCTTTAAGGAATTAAATCATGTAATTCTCTCAACAATCCAAAGAGGTAGGTATCTTTTATTAATCAAGTTTACAGATAAGGAAATAAGCATAAAACTGATTGTACTCTCTGGAGTGCACTCTGAAACACTGGAACTTCTTTAACCTCAGGACTTTGTCCATACTCACAAAGATAATAAGTGGTAGAGGGTAGTCTGGCTCCAGGTTTCTTCCTCTTTAATTGCTAAGCGATACTATTTATTTCTGAATTTTGAAAATATACATAGTTGAAATATTGTGAGTAAATAAGACAATAACCAAAAGTGTAATGAGAAAAGTACAAAGAGAAAACATAGTGGTTCAGGTGACAGAGAAAGAGAATGCTTAAGATGAGTGTAATCTATGCTAAACAACAGAGAGAAGCCATGAAGAATAAGGACTGAGAAACCATCACTGGTTAGGGCAGTTAGGAAGTCATGTGTAACTTTCAATACAGCATTGTACAGTTCACTGTACAATGAACTGAGGATAAAAGCAGATTGCACAGAGTTCATAATGAGTGATAAGAAAATAGAGGTGACATATATAAGCCTTTCAATAGTAAAGTCTGTCAGAAGAAGGAAAAACACTAAAATGAAATAGTGGTATCATCAGTTGAAACAAAGGGTTTGACTTTTATTATTTTTCAGATAGGATAGACTTATTCTCTCCATAGCTGCCCTTTGAGTTACAATGAACACAAATCTTGAGCCTCCAAAACATGAAAACACATTTGTGAACTTTAAGAGTTAAATCAACATATCAAGAATGTAAAAGGAGGCACCATGGCCTTCCTTCTGCAAAGGAGAGCTCAATAAATATCTGTTGAACATCTGTTGAATCTGTGAAGACATTTAGTGTTCCTTAAGTCTCATTTGTTTTTACATGAGGTGTGACTTTTTTTTTTTTTTTGAGACAGAGTCTTGCTTTGTTGCCCAGGCTGGAGTGCAGTGGTGCGATCTCCGCTCACTTCAAGCTCTGCCTCCCGGGTTCACGCCATTCTCCTGCCTCAGCCTCCGGAGTAGCTGGGACTACAGGCGCCCGCCACCACACCCAGCTAATTTTTTGTATTTTTAGTAGAGACAGGGTTTCACCGTGTTAGCCAGGATAGTCTCAATCTCCCGACCTCGTGATCCGCCCGCCTCGGCATCCCAAAGTGCTGGGATTACAGGCATGAGCCACCACACCCAGCTTACATGAGGTGTGACTTTTAAGTCACTTACCAGAAAGCCAATTCTATTTGAACAAGACATATCTATATAAAGTAGAACACATCTCACTAGGTAAAAGGCATGGAAGCTGTATAACCAAAGGAAAGAACTTCTCCCTATTAAAAGCCCCTTAATTGACTCAACAAAATATACCTGCACAAATCAGGAGTGATACCTCCTTACTGATCTCACTTAGTCATGAAGCATGAAGCAGATCAGATAAAAAGGCCAAACCGGCTGGGCGCAGTGGCTCACACCTGTAATCCCAGCATTTTGGGAGACCAAGGTGGGTGGATCACCTGAGGTCAGGAGTTTAAGACCAGCCTGGCCAACGTGGTGAAACCTCGTCTCTACTAAAAATACAAAAATTAGCCGGGCATGGTGGTGGACACCTATAATCCCAGCTACTCGGGAGGGTGAGGCATGAGAATCACTTGAATCAGGAGGCGGAGGTTGCAGTGAATTGAGATCGCGCCACTCCACACTCCAGCCTGAGCAAGAGTGAGACTCCATCTCCAAAAAAAAAAGCAAATTAAGATGGATAAACATGGCTGGGAAATGCTGCTTTGTTTATATTTACTTTCTTCTCCTACAAAGTTTGTGTGCAACTAGACAACGTTCACATTGAGGCAATAAACACAAGAACATATGTGATTTTTTAAAAATGTGCCCTTTGACTGTCAATTTCTCCCAAACAGGTGTTGGCTAAATGATTATAAATTGGCCTCTGGATATACCTCTTCAACTGAGCCGTACAGGGCTGGTGATAATATAATTAGACCCAAAAACATCAGGCTGGTGAATGCTTTCCATCTGTTTGGCAATAATGTTTAGTTAACAATAGTCTTTAAAAGAAGCACCTTCAACTTCAGTTCTTAAAGTTATTTATAGAGCCATTCTTAACACACCAGCACTCCTGCTAACAAGAGCTTTAGCTGCTTGGAAATTATTAGCCATACAGCTGTACACAAAGAGAAACGACTGCATTTAACATCTGTATCTTTCCAAATTTACACGCTTCAACCTCATTTAAAGTCATTTCTTAATGAACAGTGCTATGGTGCTGCATTAATATTATAGTTGCATGCACAAAGATCATAAGGAGCCAAACATTTTTTTAATGCCAACAGTAGGCCAATCTGTAATGAAACTGTCAGCATAAAGGACAAAATAATAGCTTCTTTAACCCTCAAACAGAATTTGTTCATGTGTAGACTAAAACACATCAATTTAAAAACTGCTCATGGGTTTGCTCACCTTTATAAAGACAAAAATCTAATTTGTACTAGCTTGATACAATTGTCTTTCCAATAAAAGGCTCCTAAAACAATCTTTTATTTCATGATAAAACAAGTACTATAACTAAAACTGTCATGAAATAATTACCTTGGATAGCATACCTTATTGAAAGAATACAATTAATGTATTTCTCCCTTTCATTTTTCACACTTACTTATCAGCCCTATATTAGCATATGGTCTAACAGAAGAAATTACTTCATCTTTGCCCATACTAATACATGAAATAACTGCTCCTAACTGGGGGAAAAAAAAGAAAAAGCAGGCAACTTATTCCTTAAGGATTAGCCTCATCTGTTCTTCAATTCCACAAGTTTCACTTTTCCCACTTTTCTGTCATAATAGTAGTAGGAAAAGCTCCAACTGATTACAGGTTTGAGTCTATTTGTTAACTAGAATTAAGAAAGGACTAATATTTAAGTAGGCAACCATCTTTGCAAAGAAAAGAGGGAGAAGGGGTACACCAAAAGTATCAAATGATGATTATTTTTAAGCAAATAAAGAAAAATAATATGGAGAAGAGAAAAGAGATATGCTACTATGAAGGCACTACGACTGTGGTGAAGAAGTGTGGAGAGTTCCCTTCAGTGGGGATTCAGTGTCTCCCCATTCATGAATCTTTTTAGATATTTAATTTAAATGTTGACACTGGAAGTCTGGAAGTCCCTGAAAATAACTTCAGCTCCAATTCCTTTTAAAAGAAAGATTACTTGGGTAATTTCAGGGACTGTCTGTCTCTACTTTAGTGCCAGTTACTTCATGGGACTCCAGAACAATTAATACAAGTTAAAATAATGCTTAAGTCTATAGAAAATTAGTACAACCACTATGGAAAACAATATGGAGATTCCTTAAAGAACTAAAAGTAGAACTACCATTCTATCCAACAATCCCACTACTGGGTAGCTACCCAAAGAAAAAGAAGTCATTATATGAAAAAGACACATGCATATACATGTTTATAGCAGCACGATTAGCAACTGCAATGATACCGAACCAACCTAAGTGCCCAGCGACCAATGAGTGGATAAAGAAAATGTGGTGTATATATACTCCATAGAATACTACTCAGCCATAAAAAGAAATGAAATAATGTCTTTTGCAGCAACTTGGATGAAGGTGGAGGCCATTACTCTAAGTGAAGTAACTCAGGAATGGAAAACCAAATATCATGTGTTCTCGTAAGTGGGAGCTAAGCTATGAGGATGCAAAGGCGTAAGAGTGATATAATGGACTTCAGGGACTCAGGAGGGAAGGTTGTGAGGTGGGTGAAGGATAAAATACTACGTATTGGGTACAGTGTACATTGCTCGAGTAATGGATGCACTTAAATCTCAGAAATCACCACTAAAGAACTTATCTGTGTAACCAAAACCACCAGTACCCCAAAAACTATTGAAAAAAAGAAAAGAAACAAAAAGACTACAGGACAAACACAGAGCATCCCTTAATGGTGTCACATATAACCGGATTTGTGTTTGCTGCTTATAATCTGGATGAGATATCAACTGTGTAAGTCATGCTCCCCGTAATTCACATATAAATAATGACAACAGAAAGAATGAGATCAACACAATAAAGAAACTAGAGAAAATAGTACTAGACCGATTTTGCAAATAAGTTTTTCCCAACATACTTTCATGTGAACATGATTGTACTTGCTACACTCTCTTTCAAAGGTAATCCATACTTGACTAGTATTAGATCTGAATTTTTAACCAGATGGGCAAATTTACAAGAGCTGGTAATGTTATCCTTCTATAGAAATGGATTTGAACAACAAACCTAGAGCATTAAAACTTTGCTTTCCTCCCCTAACACCATGCATAATTATCAAATGTTATTCATATTTTCTGCTAAAATAAATCTCATTTTGTATTCTTAAAACATCCAAAATGTGTTTCTACTCTTAATTCCACACCTTATTCTCATGAGGCATCTTTATAAAAATTCAACTACTAGAAAACAAGGAATAGTACTCGGTGGGCTTTAATATCAACAATTCTCCCAACTGGGGTCTAACTTCTCTTTCTTTGGCATCAGAAGGCCAGCAATGTTCCCTGTACCATTGCCCAGCAACTCCAAAAGCAAAAGATGTTGCACCTACAGCTTCAGTCCATCAGAAGCTGCACCATCAAGAGCATTAGCATGAACAGACCATGCAGAGATGCTTCTCTCATGTTATGCCATGAAACCAATCTGTCCTTGGTTTCATAAGTTTTCCACTGATGAAAATTCAAGCATAAAGAGTAAAATTTGACAGGGATACTTATAACTCTAGTCTACAAGATATTTTCAGCTATTACTCTCAAGGATACATTTTCAATTGAGAAAAGTATATAAGGTACCCAAGATTTATGGGTAACAAAGAAAATCCTTTGGAGCCTTACCAATGTTTCATTTGTGCTAGAACTTCCCACATAGCAGATTATCATGAAGTGAACAAATAATCCAAAAAGGTTAGCAATGTTCCCTGTACCCACTGCTCAGTAACTCCAAAAGCAAAATATGTTGTGCCTACAGCTTTAGCTCATCAGAAGTCGCTGCATCAATTTCTGCAAAGTTAACAAAGTTAAGAACGGCAGAGTCAAGAATCACCAACTAATTTAGAACAAAAGGAAATATCTCTTTGAGGCAGGTTGAGTTCTTCAGGCTCCTATTTGATCCAGAAATACCTTCAAAGGTAGAAGAAAACAGACCAAATCTACCAGAATTATATGAAGATTGTACTTAAAATCCACATCTCTTCTTAGTTATTAAAATCCAAAATGCCATAATTCAAAATATACTTTGTTTATGCAAACACCCAAGATTCCTAAAAACAACCTATATTTCAATTTATGTAGTTATCTGATTTATCTTAACTACCAACAAACTGGGGTAGAAACAGAGGAAAAAGAACCAGGTTAGGAAGAGCAAGTAACATAAGACTAAACTGGTAAATAAATACTTCTATAAGAACACAACTAATTGTAGATTTCTTTAAATGCCCAGACATTCACAAAGGTTTTAGTATGCTAATTTTTAATTAAAAGATATTTCAGCAGTGAAAGTTCTTTCATATGCACTACTGATTCTTCATCAAACGTTAACTTTCCAACTTAACACCAGTTTAGCTGGTGGCAGCCTGAAGGTTTACCATCTGCTGCTACCCAAAGTCACTGTGGCCACCTTCAGAACATATGCATCAAAGCCCCAAGATAAGAGACTGAAGAAATATTGCCTAAGTCAGCATAAGGGGGATGACGAACCCAGAGGCAGGCAACAGGCAAGCTACCAGAAAACACAGAACGTCATGAAGCATCAGTTCGCCTATGGAAAAAGTACCCAAGGTCACAGGGGACTCCAATGGCTGAACAAAAAGACAAGAGAAATACTACTCCTAATGGAATATACTTAAGCCATTATGTGATCTTTCTATTAAAAAAAAAAGTCTAGTCATATTTAAAATCACCTGTAATTTTATTGAAAATAGGCATTATGGTGAATAAAATGAAACATAAAATGTAAGATGTTTTATTCAGTCTATGGATAATAATAAAGATTGTATTTTTTATGGAGTCATAAAAGTAGAGTATTTTGTTTTGAAAGGCCTGTTTTTCTGGGTACTATCATACCCATACTTCAAACATAACATGAGAAAATAGACTTTGAGACAGATTTAACAAAATCCACAAAATACCACTTTAAAAACCTGATGCCATATATTTAAGGTAATGATCACATTTACCATAATACTTCATATAAAAACAAAATACTGTGGTGTCTTTTAAAAACAGAATCTCAAGAATCTAACTATATTCAATTCTAACACTGAATAACTGGCATACATTTATTGTAAAAGAAATGTATTCACGGGAAATTTGCTTAGACTTCATTTTTGCTTTCTGCTTTTTAAAATGTATTTTAAATGTAGTTAGAAGAAAATAAGTATAAAAGATATTTTCTAGAAAATTATACAAAAGCATCTTTTAACTCTTAGTTTTAAAATGGCAACAGAAGGCTGGGCACAGTGACTCACATCTGCAATCCCAGCACTTTGGGAGACTGAGGCGGGCAGATTGCTGAGGCCAGGAGTTCGAGACCAGCCTGACCAACATGGTGAAACCCTCTTTCTATAAAAATACAAAAATCAGCTGGGTGAGGTGGCACATGCCTGTAACCCCAGTTACTTGGGAGGCTGAGGCACAAGAATCACTTAAACTTGGGAGGCAGAGGTTGCACTGAGGTGAGATCACACCACTGCACTCCACCCTGGGTGACAGAGCGAGACTCCATTTCAAAAACATAAAATGGCAACAGATGCAATTTTTTTGTGTTAATTCTGATCTTAATTCAGATTTTTAGATTCTACAATGCTTCCACAGAGAATTAGTTATAAACTAATTTAAAGATAGGGCATTATTAAACATTAATGTACCATAAAAATTGTTGTAATAAAGGACATTTATCTTACCCTACATTTAAACCTGATTAATACAAACATAACCTGTTGAATGTAAATATCAATATTTCTACAATACAATACTGTATTGTGTGTGTATATATCCCATCTGAATTCAATTCATACCTATAAATATTTAGTACTTTGGGTAAATATGATGGGTTTTTTTAAATTATTATACTTAAAGTTTTAGGGTACATGTGCACAACGTGCAGGTTTGTTACATATGTATACATGTGCCATGTTGGGGTGCTGCATCCATTAACTCGTCATTTAACATTAGGTATATCTCCTAATGCTATACCTCCCCCCTCCCCCCACCCCACAACAGGCCCCGGTGTGTGATGTTCCCCTTCCTGTGTCCATGTGTTCTCATTGTTCAATTCGACCTATGAATGAGAACATGTAGTGTTTGGTTTTTGTCGTTGCAATAGTTTGCTGAGAATGATGGTTTCCAGCTTCATCCATGTCCCTACAAAGGACATGAACTCATCCTTTTATATGGCTGCATAGTACTCCATGGTGTATATGTGCCACATTTTCTTAATCCAGTCTATTGTTGTTGGACATTTGGGTTGGTTCTAAGTCTTTGCTATTGTGAGTAGTGCTGCAATAAACATACGTGTGCATGTGTCTTTATAGCAGCATGTGTTATAATCCTTTGGGTATATACCCGGTAATGGAATGGCTGGATCAAATGGTATTTCTAGTTCTAGATCCCTGAGGAATCGCCACACTGACTTCCACAATGGTTGAACCAGTTTATAGTCCCACCAACAGTGTACAAGTCTTCCTATTTCTCCATATCCTTTCCAGCACCTGTTGTTTCCTGACTTTTTAATGATCGCCATTGTAACTGGTGTGAGATGGTATCTCACTGTGGTTTTGATTTGCATTTCTCTGATGGCCAGTGATGATGAGCATTTTTTCATGTGTCTGTTGGCTGCATAAATGTCTTCTTTTGAAAAGTGTCTGTTCATATCCTTCACCCACTTGTTGATGGGGTTACATTTTTCTTGTAAATTTGTTGGAGTTCATTGTAGATTCTGGATATTAGCCCTTTGTCAGATAAGTAGATTGCAGAAATTTTCTCCCATTCTGTAGGTTGGCTGTTCACTCTGATGGTAGTTTCTTTTGCTGTGCAGAAGCTCTTTAGTTTAATTAGATACCATTTGTCAATTCTGGCTTTTGTTGCCATTGCTTTTGGTGTTTTAGACATGAAGTCCTATGTCTATGTCCTGAATGGTATTGCCTAGGTTTTCTTCTAGGGCTTTTACAGTTTTAGGTCTAACATTTAAGTCTTCAATCCAAATTTAATTTTTTTATAAGGTGTAAGGAAGGGATCCAGTTTCAGCTTTCTACATATGGCTAGCCAGTTTTCCCAGCACCATTTATTAAATAGGGAATCCTTTCCCCGTTGCTTGTTTTTCTCAGGTTTGTCAAAGATCAGATAGTTGTAGATATGCGGCGTTATTTCTGAGGGCTCTGTTCTGTTCCATTGGTCTATATCTCTGTTTTGGTACCAGTACCATGCTGTTTTGGTTATTGTAGCCTTGTAGTATAGTTTGAAGTCAGGTAGTGTGATGCCTCCAGCTTTGTTCTTTTGGCTTAGGATTGACTTGGCAATGTGGGCTCTTTTTTGGTTCCATATGAACTTTAAAGTAGTTTTTTCCAATTCTGTGAAGAAAGTCATTGGTAGCTTGATGAGGATGGCATTGAATCTATAAATTACCTTGGGCAGTATGGCCATTTTCACAATATTGATTCTTCCTACCCATGAGCATGGAATGTTCTTCCATTTGTTTGTATCCTCTTTTATTTCATTGAGCAGTGGTTTGTAGTTCTCCTTGAAGAGGTCCTTCACGTCCCTTGTAAGTTGGATTCCTAGGTATTTTAATCTCTTTGAAGCAATTGTGAATGGGAGTTCACTCATGATTTGGCTCTCCGTCTGTTATTGGTGTATAAGAATGCTTGTGATTTTTGCACATTGATTTTGTATCCTGAGACTTTGCTGAAGTTGCTTATCAGTTTAAGGAGATTTTGGGCTGAGACAATGGGGTTTTCTAGATATATAATCATGTCATCTGCAAACAGGGACAATTTGACTTCCTCTTTTCCTAATTGAATACCCTTTATTGCCTTCTCCTGCCTGATTGCCTTGGCCAGAACTATTCAACAATACGTTCAATAGGAGTGGTGAGAGAGGGTATCCCTGTCTTGTGCCAGTTTTCAAAGGGAATGCTTCCAGGTTTTGCCCATTCAGTATGATATTGGCTGTGGGTTTGTCATAGACAGCTCTTATTATTTTGAGATACATCCCATCAATACCTAATTTATTGAGAGTTTTTAGCATGAAGGGTTGTTGAATTTTGTCAAAGGCCTTTTCTGCATCTATTGAGGTAATCATGTGGTTTTTGTCATTGGTTCTGTTTATATGCTGGATTATGTTTATTGATTTGCATATGTTGAACCAGCCTTGCATCCCAGGGATGAAGCCCACTTGATCATGGTGGATAAGCTTTCTGATGTGCTGCTGGATTCAGTTTGCCAGTATTTTATTGAGGATTTTTGCATCGATGTTCATCAGGGTTATTGGTCTAAAATTCTCTTTTGTTGTTGTGTCTCTGTCAGGCTTTGGTATCAGGATGACGCTGGCCTCATAAAATGAGTTAGGGAGGATTCCCTCTTTTTCTATTGATTGGAATAGTTTCAGAAGGAATAGTACCAGCTCATCTTTGTACCTCTGGTAGAATTCGGCTGTGAATCCATCTGGTCCTGGACTTTTTTTGGTTGGTAAGCTATTAATTATGGCCTCAATTTCAGAGCCTGTTATTGGTCTATTCAGAGTTTCAACTTCTTCCTGGTTTAGTCTTGGGAGGGTGTATGTGTCAAGGAATTTATCCATTTCTTCTAGATTTTCTAGTTTATTTGAGTAGAGGTGTTTATAGTATTCTCTGATGGTAGTTTGTATTTCTGTGGGATCGGTAGTGATATCCCCTTTATCATTTTTTATTGTGTCTATTTGATTCTTCTCTCTTTTCTTCTGTATTAGTCTTGCTAGCTGTCTATCAATTTTGTTGATCTTTTCAAAAAGCCAGCTCCTGGATTCATTGATGTTTTGAAGGGTTTTTTGTGTCTCTATCTCCTTCAGCTCTGCTCTGATCTTAGTTATTTCTTGCCTTCTGCTAGCTTTTGAATGTGTTTGCTCTTGCTTCTCTAGTTCTTTTAATTGTGATGTTAGGGTGTCAATTTTAGATCTTTCCTGCTTTCTCTTGTGGGCATTTAGTGCTATAAATTTCCCTCTACACACTGCTTTAAATGTGTCCCAGAGATTCTGGTATGTTATGTCTTTGTTCTCGTTGGTTTGAAAGAACATCTTTATTTCTGCCTTCATTTCGTTATGTACCCAGTAGTCATTCAGGAGCAGGTTGTTCAGTTTCCATGTAGTTGAGTGGTTTTGAGTGAGTTTCTTAATCCTGAGTTCTAGCTTGATTGCACTGTGGTCTGAGAGACAGTTTGTTATAATTTCTGTTCTTTTACATTTGCTGAGGAGAGCTTTACTTCCAAGTATGTGGTCAATTTTGTAATAGGTGTGGTGTGGTGCTGAAAAAAATGTATATTCTGTTGATTTGGGGTGGAGAGTTCTGTAGATGTCTATTAGGTCCACTTGGTGCAGAGCTGAGTTCAATTCCTGGGTATCCTTGTTAACTTTCTGTCTTGTTGATCTGTCTAATGTTGACAGTGCGGTGTTAAAGTCTCCCATTATTATTGTGTGGGAGTCTAAGTCTCTTTGTAGGTCTCGAAGGACTTGCTTTATGAATCTGGGTGCTCCTGTATTGGGTGCATATATATTTAAGATAGTTAGCTCTTGTTGAATTGATCCCTTTACCATTATGTAATGGCCTTGTCTCTTTTGATCTTTGTTGGTTAAAAGTCTGTTTTATCAGAGACTAGGATTGCAACACCTGCCTTTTTTTGTTTTCCATTTGCTTGGTAGATCTTCCTCCTTCCCTTTATTTTGAGCCTATGTGTGTCTCTGCATGTGAGATGGGTTTCCTGAATACAGCACACTGATGGGTCTTGACTCTTTATCCAATTTGCCAGTCTGTATCTTTTAATTGAGCATTTAGCCCATTTACATTTAAGGTTAATATTGTCATGTGTGAATTTGATCCTGTCATTATGATGTTAGCTGGTTATTTTGCTCGTTAGTTGATGCAGTTTCTTCCTAGCCTCAATGGTCTTCACAATTTGGCATGTTTTTGCAGTGGCTGGTACTGGTTGTTCCTTTCCATGTTTAGTGCTTCCTTCAGGAGCTCTTTTAGGGCAGGCCTGGTGGTGACAAAATCTCTCAGCATTTGCTTGTCTTTAAAGTATTTTATTTCTCCTTCACTTATGAAGCTTAGTTTGGCTGGATATGAAATTCTGGGTTAAAAATTCTTTTCTTTAAGAATGTTGAATATTGGCCTCCACTCTATTCTGGCTTGTAGAATTTCTGCCGAGAGATCAGCTGCTAGTCTGGTGGGCTTCCCTTCATGGGTAACCCGACCTTTCTCTCTGGCTGCCCTTAACATTTTTTCCTCCATGTCAAGTTTGGTGAATCTGACAATTATGTGTCTTGGAGTTGCTCTTCTCGAGGAGTATCTTTGTGGCATTCTCTGTATTTTCTGAATTTGAATGTTGGCCTGCCTTGCTAGATTGGGGAAGTTCTCCTGGATAATATTCTGCAGAGTGTTTTCCAACTTGGTTCCATTCTCCCCGTCACTTTCAGGTACACCAATCAGACGTACATTTGGTCTTTTCCCATAGTCCCACATTTCTTGGAGGCTTTGTTCGTTTCTTTTTATTCTTTTTTCTCTAAACTTCTCTTCTCACTTCATTTCATTCATTTGATCTTCCATCACTGATACCCTTTCTTCCAGTTGATCGCATCGGCTACTGAAGCTTGTGCATTCGTCATGAAGTTCTCGTGCCATGGTTTTCAGCTCCATCAGGTCCTTTAAACACTTCTCTGCATTGGTTATTCCAGTTAGCCATTCGTCTAATCTTTTTTCAGGGTTTTTAACGTCTTCGCCATGGGTTCAAACTTCCTCTTTTAGCTCAGAGTAGTTTGATAGTCTGAAGCCTTCTTCTCTCAACTTGTCAAAGTCATTCTCTGTCCAGCTTTGTTCCGTTGCTGGTGAGGAGCTGTGTTCCTTTGGAGGAGGACAGGCGCTCTGATTTTTAGAATTTTCAGTTTTTTATGTTCTGTTTTTTCCCCATCTTTGTGGTTTTATCTACCTTTGGTCTGTGATGATGGTGATGTACAGATGGGGTTTTGGTGTCGACGTCCTTTCTGTTTGTTAGTTTTCATTCTAACAGTCAGGACCCTCAGCTGCAGGTCCGTTTGGAGTTTGCCGGAGGTCCACTCCAGACCCTGTTTGCCTGGGTATCGGCAGTGGAGGCTGCAGAACAGCGAATATTGCTAAACAGCCAATGTTGCTGCCTGATTGTTCTTCTGGAAGTTTTGTCTCAGAGGAGTACCCGGCCATGTGAGGTGTCAGTCTGCCCCTACTGGGGGGTGCCTCCCAGTTAGGCTACTCGGGGGTCAGGGACCCACTTGAGGAGGCAGTCTGTCCATTCTCAGATCTCAAGGTCCATGCTGGGAGAACCACTACTCTCTTCAAAGCTGTCAGACAGGGACATTTAAGTCTGCAGAGGTTTCTGCTGCCTTTTGTTCGGCTATGCCCTGCCCCGAGAGGTGGAGTCTACAGAGGCAGGCAGGCCTCCTTGAGCTGCGCTGGGCTCCACCCATTTCGAGCTTCCCAGCTGCTTTGTTTACCTACTCAAGCCTCAGCAAGGGCGGGCACCCCTTCCCCAGCCTCGCTGCCGCCTTGCAGTTTGATCTCAGACTGCTGTGCTAGCAATGAGCGAAGCTCCGTGTACGTAGGACCCTTCAAGCCAGGCGCGGGATATAATCTTCTGGTGTGCCGTTTGCTAAGACCGTTGGAAAAGCGCAGTATTAGGGTGGGAATGACCCAATTTTCCAGGTGCCATCTGTCATCTCTTTCCTTGGCTATGAAAGGGAATTCCCTGACCCCTTGCGCTTCCCAGGTGAGGCGATGCCTCGCCCTGCTTCGGCTCATGCTCGGTGCGCTGCACCCACTGTCCTGCACCCACTGTCCGACAATCCCCAGTGAGATGAACCCAGTACCTCAGTTGGAAATGCAGAAATCATTCGTCTTCCGCGTCGCTCATGCTGGGAGCTGTAGACTGGAGCTGTTCCTATTCGGCCATCTTGGAACTGCCCCAGTATGATGGTTTTTTAAAAATCATAGTTTGTCATTGTGATAATAGCTGAAAACAGAGCAAATGCTACCAGAGTTAAGTTTATCTTCCAAGATATGAGTAGATTATGAATAATATTAGAAAAAGAAAATAAGCATATTTTGATAGTACTAAAACAGATTTACAAATAAAATTTACTCAAAATTCAAAAGCGTCATTCCTACATTGTTTCATTCCTCCAAGGGCCAGTGAAATATGATTGGCAATGTTTTTCTTTGACAGACTAATATTAGGATCATTAAAGATAAAGAAAAATTTTAAATGATTGTCTAGTGGTTATCAACGAACTGATTCTAAACTTTATGTAGAAATGCAAAAGACCCAGAATAGCTAACACAATACTGAAGAACAAAGCTGGAGGACTGATACTACCTGACTCCAAGGCTTCCTATAAAGCCACAGTAATCAAGACAGTGTGGTATTGGCTAAAGAATAGACAAACCAATCAATGCAACAGAACAGAGAGCCCAGAAGGAGACCCACATAAATATACTCAACTCGCTTTTGACAGAAGAGCAAAGGGAATACAATGGAGCAAAGAGCCCTTTCAAAAATGGTGCTAGACAGCCACATGCAAAAATGTGAATCTAGAACAGACCTTACACCCTTAACAAAAATTAACAAAATGGATCATAGACCTAAATGTAAAATATAAAATTATTAAAATCCTGGAAGATAACACAGGAGAAAACCTAGATAACTCTGAATATGGTGATGACTTTTCTGAGATAATATCAAAGGCAGAACCCACTCGTATGAAAGAAACAATTGATAAGATAGACTTTGTTAAAATTAAAAACTTATGCTCCATGAAAAACAATGTCAAGAGAATGAGAAAACAAGCCACTGCCAGAGAGAAAATATTTATAAATGATACATCTGATAATGGACCATTAGCCAAAACATACAAAGAACTCTTAATAATTTTAAAAACCTGATTAAAAAATGGGCCAAAGACTAACAGACACCTCACCAAACAAGATATACAGATGGCAAATAAGCATATAAAAAGATACTCAACATTGCATGTCATCAGGAAAGTGCAAATTGAAACAAGATATCACTACATACCTACTAGAATTGCCAAAATCCCGAACACTGACACCTCCAAATGCTGGCAAAGATATAAAGCAACAGAAACTTTCATTCATTGCTACTGGAAATGCAAAATAACACATCCACTTTGGAAGACAGTTTGGCAGTTTCTTACAAAACTAAACATACTCTCACCATAAATGAACCAGCAATTACATTCCTTGGTGTCTACTCAAAGGAGCTGAAAATGCATGTCCACAAAAACCCCTGCACATGGATGTTTATAGAAACTTCATTCATAATTGCCAAAACTTGGAAGCAACCAAAACATCCTTCAATAGGTGAATGGGTAAACTGGGGTCATCCAGATAACAGAATACCATTGAGCATTAAAAATAAATGAGCTGTCAAGCCATGAAAAGCATGAAGAAACCTTAAATGCATATTACTAAGTGAAGAAAGCCAATCTGAAAAGGCTACATACTGATTCCATACTGATTCCAACTATATGACATTCTGGAAAAGGCAAAACTGTGGAGATAGAAAAAAAAAAGATCAGTGGTTACCACATGTTGGCAGGGAATGAACAGGCAGAGCACAGAGATTTTTAGGGTAGTGAAAATACTCTGTATGATATTATAATGCTGGATACATGGTCATTATACATTTGTCCAAACCCACAGAATGTACAACACCAAGAATGATCTTAATATAAACTATGAACTGTAAGTCATTATGATGCGTCAATGAAAGGTCATCAATTGTAATAAATGTACCACTCTGGTGGGGGTTGTTGACAATAGGGGAGGCTATGCAAGGGTGGGGTCAAGGGGGCACATGGAAAAACTCTGTCTCTCTCTCAATTTTGCTGTCACCCTAAAACTGCCCTCAAAAAACAGTCTTAAAAAACAAAATGCTTCTCTACTTCCCATCTAAAAATCACTTGGCCAGATCCTTGGATTACACATCTTTACACAAATAACTAAAACAAGTCCTGCACTAAAGTGATGCAAAATCCAGGTCATTCTCCAATAAATAAACTACAAACACAAATTTAAAATCTCTCATATTCATATGAGCCAAATGTCAATGAACATAAGCCATTCCTCAATGATGTCTCATACTAAAATGTGAAGTTAACGATTTAGTGAACAATAAACCTATCAAAGAAATATCTTTTATATGTATGTAAAAAGAATTTTACTTTGTATAATTTTTCAAATTCTAGGCCAATACATCTATTACTTTATAAAACCTGCTTCCAAAGGACAATGGTGTGTCTTTGTAAGGAAAATGGATATAAATATAGCAGAAGGCAGAATATAAAAGACAGAGAAATTGGGTTTAAAACAGAATTGCTAAAGAGCTAGAAGAAACAACCACTTAGGAGGCTCTTCTCAGATCCAAATGCTTTAAAAGCTAGATCTCTCCACACCTTTGTCATTCTCATTTTGATTGTCTGTTTTCTGTTTTTGTGAAGAATCTGCCCAAGGCCATAAACGGATTATGCTAAAGAGAGGTTAAAACTCTAAAGTTCTGGTTTTATAGGCCCAAGTTCGGCTCATGCCATTCAATCCCATAATGAATACATGTATTCTATTTTTCTAGTTTGAATTCTGAAGTTCACCTGGGATGATAACTTGACACTGTTAAATTTAGATGAAAATTAATTCAATTAAAAGTATAGTCTATTGTATTTAGCTTTAGTTCCTTATTTGCATTTGCTAGAAAAACCAAATACTCTGATGCTGATGTAAACTATTTCACTGTCCATTCATACCCTAGTTTAATATTTTCTGTCCGCTGCTAGATGTGCTCTATAAATACACTTAAAATAAGTCCCTAAAAAGCACCAAATACATCCACATAGTTCTCGTTTATAGAATCAGGGCAGTATGTAGTCAGACAGTTAATAAATGTTCTCTCATAATGATAACAGACACAGAAGCAACATTCTTAAGTCGATCAATACATATCCAACTAAGTTGCCAATGTCAAAGGTAGCCTGATTCCAATTCAGAAGAAAATGCCTCAAGGGCAAGGAAGCTTTAAATGTTATTATTTTTAAATGTGTTCAGTGAGTTTGTACTTTTGTAGCAGATGGAGCCAAACTTCTGGTATTGATTAAAATTTAACATTATTTTTAAATGACCTAGAAAATTTATTGAGTATAAGAACACAATGTGTTCATGTTCTGAAAAATTCCAAAATGTTTTAAAGCACATATGAAACACAAAGGCACAATACTCATTCTCAAATTGACAAGTTCATCGACTGCAACAAAGTATTCTGTCAACAGTCTACAGGTACACTCTGTGAGAAAAGGTGGAAACAGGAGAAGCAGGAATGTTTGGACGGTTTTCAGTTTGTAATATCCTCTTGCTCTGATGCTTCAAGTGTAATATATTTTGAGGCACAGATTTACAGATTATTTGAAATGTTAAGACACAATTTTGTCTCTTTTTGTTACCTTCAAACTTACTCAACAAGTATACTTGGTCAAGTACACTTCAGAAATCTGAAGGCTTATTGGAAAAGGCACAGAAATAACATCAAAAACTACTGTATAATATAGATAAATATTATTGTCAGAGGTGTTCAAACCAGAGCAACTCCACCTTGAACAGGGGTTGGGTAAAATGAGGCTGACTCCTGCTGGGCTGCATTCTCAGGAGGTCAGGCATTCTTAGTCACAGATGAGATAGGAGGTTGGTACAACATACAGGTCACAGAACCCCCACTAATAAAACATGATGCAGTAAAGAGGCCAACCAAAACCCACCAAAACCAATATAATGACAAAAGTCAACTCTGGTCGTCCTCACCGCTCACTGCACACTAATTATAATGCATTAGCATGCTAAAAGACACTCCCACCATGACAGTTTACAAATGCCATGGCAATGCCTGTAGGTTGTCCTATATAGTCTAAAAAGAGTAGGAACATTCAGTTCTGGGAAATTCACACCCCTTTCCCAAAAAACTCACGAATAGCCTACCCCTTGTTCAGTTTCTATAATCAAGAAATAACCGTTAAGTATCCTCAGTCAAGCAGCCCATGCTCCTACTCTGCCTACAGAGTGGCATTCTTCTATTCCTTTTTTTTTTTTTTTTTTTTTTTTTTGAGACGGAGTTTTGCTCTTGTTGCCCAGACAGGAGTGCAGTGGCATGATCTCGGCTCATTGCAACCTCCACCTCCCAGGTTCAAGCCATTCTCCTGCTTCAGCCTGCCAAGTAGCTGGGATTACAGGCATGGGCCACCACACCAAGCTAATTTTGTATTTTTAGTAGAAATGGAGTTTCACCATGTTGGCCAGGCTGGTCTTGAACTCCTGACCTCAGGTGATCCACCCACCTCAGAATACCAAAGAGCTGGGATTACAGGCATGAGCCACCACACCTGGCCTCCTTTACATTCTTAATAAACTTGCTTTCACTTTAATCTGTGGACTCACCAGGAATTCTTTCTTGCGTGAAATCCAGGAATCCTCTCTTGGGGTTTGGATCAATATCCCTTTCTGGTAACACTATCAAAGATAAGTTTGAGGTGGTAAAGGAATACAGGTAAAAGATATTTAAATCAGACAGTAGATGAAAGTGAGCGGGGCTACTGAGAGAAAACAACAATTAAGAATAAGAAATTGTGGAAGAAAAGGAAAAGAAGGCACTCCAGGTAGAGGGGTACATCACATGTGAAATGTGATGCGTTTGTATCCCTCCAAGTTCAACGGGCTGTAGCCAACATAGTATGTTGTGGTGTGGTCTTAGTTCATCCAGAAGGGGAAGAACCAAGTTGAACCAATAGAGAAAGGAAGGACTAGATCACAAAGAACTTTATAGGCTTAGCTTGAAGTTCAAACTTTACCCTTAAAACTGTGAAAAGGTTTTAGATTTTAAGTATATCCTGAAATTATCTCCTAAAAACAGGAGGACATGGAAAAAGTATATATACTCTATGCCACTGCACAGCCAGCAAGATAGCCACCCTTTTCTACACAAGCAGAAGACTAAAGGTTCAACCTCTGAAGATGTGGAATGAGACAGATACTACAAACAGCTAAAGGTGGGACTGAAGAGTGGTACTGAAAACAGAGGCATTATGTGAAAACCTGTACACCAAATGGTGAGGACATCATTCCTGCTTCCACCACTGGGCTCCCACAATGATGCTGGTCTTAAACTAACTCCCTGAGCAGATTATGAGGTTCTTCTCTAAGAAAACCAATTGGCCCAAGAGATAAAACATGCAGATACTGATATTTGTTTGATCTCCCAACAAAACATCTAGATTGTTACCCAAATGGAAAAAAGATAAGCAAAGACACAGCTCAAAAAATGAGAAAGATTTCCACACCACAACATCACTGTGAAATTATAGAACACCAGGGACAAAAAGAAAATCCTACAGGCCTCCAAAGAGAAAGGCAAAGGAGGAGAAAAACAAGTCACATACAAAGAATCAGGAATTGAAAAGTAATACAGAAGACTGGTGAAGAGATTCCCAGAATAACAAAAAGTGGAAGTATAAAGAGGAGAGCTAGGTAGTATGCCAAGAGAGGAAACCAATGCAAACTTGAGCAGAATAATGAAAGAATCCAGAAGAGAAGCTTCTGAGGAAACCACATATCTGATGGATTATTTGAGGTGTTTGTACTTGAGAGATATTTTAAAATTCCATCAGAGGGTTGGGAGACAGAGATAGATACATATAAGAATACGCAAATGGGGGAAAAAGTAACATACAAGAGCAAAGAAAATTTTAATTCCTCCCCCTTCTGAAGGTTTGATAATTTGTGTCTATAAAACAAACTGACAATAGACAGATTAGCAGAAGAAAAGGTATTCAAGACCGGGTACGGTGGCTCATGACTGTAATCCCAGCACTTTGGGAGGCTGAGGCAGGCAGATCACTTGACGTATGGCGTTCAAGACCAGCCTGGCCAACATGGTGAAACCCTGTCTCTACTAAAAATATAAAAATTAGCCAGCATGGAGGTGGACACCTGTAATCCCAGCTACTTGGGAGCCTGAGGCAGGAGAATCACTTGAACTCAGGAGGCAGAGGTTGCAGTGAGCTGAGATCGCGCCACTGCACTCCAGCCTGGGCAACAGAGTGACACAGTGTCTCAAAACAAACAAACAAAAAAAAAGGTATATAAATTTATAAACACGCACATGTGCAGGGGAGCCACACAAAATATGAGACTCTAAGAAGGGACAAATGACTGAAGTTTTTATACCATACAGAAAATACAGAAAAGAGTCAGGGGCTTGGAGCTCCAGAGTGGGGGAAGATAGCTTACAGGTTGTGGAAGGGTGAGGGGAGGAAATGCAAGCTGAACAAAAGCTATTTTGTATTACAAATGAAATCTCTCAGGTAGCAGCCCTCAGAAAGAATAGATGGTAGCCTGTTGAAAAAGTTTCTCTGTCACACCTTTAACAGTGTCAGACCTTCAGTCTCTTTTCCTGAGTTAGTTTTTTCCTAAATCCAAATAAGGCAGATAAGGGATTCTCAAAGAAAGTCCATTTCTGTCTGCTGTTTACTTTCCTAGTGTGGATTTCTACCAGGGATGCAAATCTCCCCCACAAATGGACAGCTTTTCAGAGCTATTCCTCTTTCTGTAGCTTTTCTGAATAGCCATCTCAAAATATGCCAAAGCAGTGTATTTTGGGGTGGCATATTTATTCCACAGAAGCTATATATATATACATATAGTGAGTCTCACTCTGATGCCCAGGCTGGATTGCAGTGTTGTGACCTCAGCTCACTGCAACCTCCGCCTCCCAGAGTTGTGATTCTCCTACCTCAGCCTGCCGAGTAGCTGGGATTACAGGCGCACAGCAGCATGCCCGGCTAATTTTTGTATTTTCGGTAGAGACAGGGTTTCACCATGCTGGCCACGCTGGTCTCAAACTCCTGACCTCGTGATCCGCCCACCTTGGCCTCCCAAAGTGCTGGGGTTACAGGTGTGAGCCACCACACCTGGCCCTAGAAGCACTATATGAACCCCAAGAGAAAAAATTTTGTACAAGGAAGATCCAAAAATATTTAACAAATTGTAATTTAGGCCAATTTTAAGCAAGATAAAAGAAATTAACATACAAACAATACCAATCAGAAATATAACTTAACTATCTTGAAATAACTGAAAGATGATCACTGGAGAAGGGCGGTATTTAGACCTAAAGAAGCAGTATTTGGCTCAAGAGAAAAAAGGACTTTCTAAGACTTTGAACTGTGTAAAATGAAATGACTTTGTGACATTAAGTGGCTCTGTCTTTTTTCATGCTTTTTTATGGCCTCTTCTGTGCTGCTTTACAACTTATGTATTTACTTATATCTTTCCAACTAGACTAAAAAGAAGAACCATGTCTGATATACTGTAATATGTCCAGCACCTAACACAGTGCCTGCCCCAGGGCAGCATTCAAAAGGTATTTGTTAAATTGATAAATAAAAGGCCCTGAAGCTGAAGAGCCATTTAATGGGGCACTGTAGATAGACCACAAGATCTGTAATGCACTGGGTCAGATAACCTTAAAGCCCTTTCTAATCCTAAGATTATAAAACCCAAGCCCTAGGAGGTAAAAGGAAACTAGTCCTTTTATTTCAAAATTACTTAAAGGTTGTCCTATTATAAAAGTGTCCATACAATGCTATCTCTAAAAATGTTAGGAAACCGTGCTTTAAATACTAAGGGAATTTGAGCTCTTTGGAATAAAAACACCCACAAATCCAAATATAGTATTCAAATGCAAGTACAGAATGCACTGTATATACAAGTTGAGCATCTCAAATCTAAAAATCCAAAATCCAAAATGTTCTAAAATCTAAAACTTTTTGAGCACCAACATGATGTTCAAAGGAAATGCTCATCGGAGCATTTCAGATTTGGGATTTTTGGATTTGGGATGCTCAACTGGTAAATATAATGCAAATATTCCAAAATAAAGAGAAAACACACCAAAATCTGAAACACTTCTGGTCCCAAGCATTTCGAATAAGAGATATTTAACTTGTATACTCTTAACTTTAAATAATATATACATTTAACTGATAGGGATACAGAATAAAATATCAAAGCATTGAATTGAAGAAAAATAACTATAATTTATGTCAAAAATATATGGTTGCATCTTATTTTCAAAATAAGTATATTAGATGAAGTCCTTAAGATGATATCATTAATTATAATCAAATACTATGCTGATTCTATATATAAAACCTATGGGACTGCTACATTCTTTTGAAATATATATATATATATATATCTATATATATAAATGAGTTTGTTGTTATTAACATTATCTGCATAATCTGGTGGTATAAGTAACTATTCCTTAGGTTCTTGGTCGTTCTTAAAGCTTTGATTAAGAGGGCTACTTCCCACCATCCACATCATAGTGACTCAAACTGCTTCATGCATTACCTTATCACTTTCTTCACATCACAATGACTGATGTTCCATGGGACTCTTAAAAGCATGACTTATCTTTATCTAGCTTGCTGTCCTTCCAGAATCCCAATATGTAACAATTGTCTTCAGCAGAACATCTCAAGTGTCTCACCATGGCTGTGTACTAATGAATCAGTAGAGTAGATTAAAAAGTAGAAAGTACATTGTGATAGCAACTTTCTTTTGGTGATACTCAAACAGACAGGTAAAAATTTAATGGATTAAGCAAGGTATACAACACAATTCTACTTAGAGCATGGATCCAAAGAGATGTATCTGATACTATAACATACCATAAGCAGCCTGGGAGTAGTACAATGCTCACAATGCCCAAAAATACTTTGGCCACTAATCAAAATGAGATGTATTCATGTGCTAAATGCTAGGGTACTTTTAAAACAACCAAACTGATTTAAGTCCATTATAAAAAGTGAGGCCAGGCATTGTGGTTTATGCTTGTAATCCCAGCACTTTGGGAAGCCAAGTGGAAGAATCTCCTTGAGCCCAGGAGACTGAGACTACCCTGGACAACAAAGCGAGATGCCATCTCTACAAAAAATAAAATTAAAAAATTAGCCAGGCATGCTGGCATACACCTGTGGTCCTGGCTACACAGGAGGCTGAAGTAGAAGGATTCCTTGAGCCCAAGACGTCGGGACTGCAGTAAGCCGTAATCATACCACTACACTCCAGCCTGGGTGACAGAGTGATATCCTGCCTCAAAAAAAAAAAAAAAAAAAAAGTGACAATTAAATTAGAAATTGTTTAATGGCAAATTATTTAAAAATGTTTTCCTTACAGCACGTGCAGATTTAGGCTGCTATAAGTGAGAGTTTAGAGGTATTTATATTGTCTATTCCAGCATACTCTAATACTAAAATGAGATTTTTCAGGAATACCAACATGGAAAACAAACTTTATTGTACTACAAATAAAGGATACAAAAAGTTATCTTTCTGGTTATTAAAAAGAAACTAATTAATAGCATCAAAGGCAAACCATAAAGGAAAATCATAAAAAGATAAAAGAAATTGACATTATACATATACTTGGATGTATGATGGGAAAGTGTGCAAATAGGAAGGTGTCTAACTCTCCAATCGAGTATTAAAATTCAACAAAAGTCAATTCAACACATATTTACTGAATGCCTGCTATGTACACACAGATATCAGACATAAAGAAAAACCATGAACACAGCAGATAGGGTCTGTGCTCTACAAGAGCTGAAAGTTTAGCATGGAGGAGAGGCAATTAAAAACAGTTTAAGAAGTACTATGCTGAAGAATTACAGGTGCAACTGGAACAAAGAAGAGGGGTGTCTAATTCAGACATGGACCATCAGGAAACTTCTGGAGGACTGGAAAATGGCGGAAGAATAGGAGCTTCCAGCAGACACACATTCATTCTCAAACTTATTTGAGACCATGCTCTCAGAAATACTTCCGGGATGGGAAAGGTAGAAAAGGACATCCCGCTAATTAACAGGTAAAAGCTACCAAGTCTTTATAATTTATATGTTAATGTCATTATGACCTTATGTGAAAACACAGGCTAATGGGGCCCTTAACAGTGTATATATGTGCAGAAAGAAGACAGCAGGAGTATAAATCAAAATGTAAAAATAATTCTCAGTAGGTAGCAGGGTTATAGGTGAATTATACCTTTTTTTAGCTTATTGTTTGATTTTTCTATAATGAACATGTAAGAAACAGAAAATTTTTGTCTTGAAGGAAAATACCCCTGTATATTCAAGACAAAAGTTTACATATTCTTATAAAAAGAGCTTCTGAAAATTCAGTAAGAACATATAAACCTCTAATAAAAAAATTTAGGAAAAGGACTTAAAACAGGCATTTCATAAAAGAAGAAACACAGTCAATAAAAAATTTTAAAAATATATCCTATTAACAATTAAAATTGCACATTAAAATGACAGTGAAATCCAAATTTTCATCAGCAAATGGCAGATGTTGTCAGTAAGGATACGAGGAAGTAAACCTTCTCACATACAGGTTGAGCATCCCAAATCTGAAAATGCAAAATCCAAAATGCTCCAAAATCGGAAACTTTTTGAGAACTGACATGACACTCAAAGGAAATGCTCATTGTAGCATTTCAAATTTCAAATTTTTGGATTTGGAATTCTCAACCAGTAAATATATATAATACAAATATCCCCAAGTCTGAAAAACTTCAAAATCTGAAACACCTCTGGTCCCAAGCATCTCAGATAAAGGAAACTCAATCTGTACTACTAGTAGGAGTTTAAAACACTGTAATATTTCTGGAGAGTTTAAAATGTGCATATATACTGTTTGACCCATAATCTCCAACTCTGAAAAAATATACTAAAGAAAACATAAGATGACTGACCTCTAAGAATATTCATCACAGGCAGAAAAAAAGAGGAAAACAACCTAAAGAGAACGAATTAAATAAACCACAGTACATAGTAGAAAACTATGAGACCATTAAAGAGCATTTAGAATAGCGTAATAATGTTATATGTTTCCCATTTTTAATTTTTTAATCAATAAATACAATCATAATTAAAATATTTTTGTCTTTTAAAATGGTTTGAAAGCATCGAGGTATTTATAAAACACACAATGATGGTGTCTAGTAAGGATAAAATAAGACCCTAACTCAGCCATTCAATTAACCCTATTTGTCACTGTAGGGGGTTTTGACTGATGTCTTTTTTGGTTTGTTTTTTGTTTTTGTTTGTTGGTTTGTTTTTTGTTTTTGAGACTGAGTCTCACTCTATCGCCCAGGTTTGAGTGCAGTGGGGCGATCTTGGCTCACTACAGCCTCCACCTCCTGAGTTCAAGTGATTCTCCTGCCTCAGACTCCCAAGTAGCTGGGATTACAGGCACCCGCCACCACACCTGGCTAATTTCTGGATATTTAGTAGAGACAGGGTTGCACTATGTTGGCCAGGATGGTCTTGAACTCCTGATCTCAAAAGTGATCCACCTGCCTCAGTCTCCCAAAGTGCTGGGATTACAGGAATGAGCCACCACGCCCAGCTGCTGTAGTTTTTTTAAATGCTATTATTCATATTGTAAATTCATTAATTAGGGCACACTGATTTTTTAAAGGAAGTTTAATGAATAATGATACTGTAATACAGTAAGTTGAGAAGGAATATAAATGTTATAATAATCAAAGAAATTCAGTTCTGAATAATGATAAAGAGCTATAGTTTTGGAAAGAGACCTGAGTTTAAACCCTTGATCTGTAACTTAGTGTGTTTATACAAAACACTTAAGCTCTCTGGCTTCAGGTTTTTTATCTGCAAACTGTCTGAGAGCATTAAATAATTTATGTAGAGAGCTTAGAATTCTGCATGGTGTACACATAATATGTAATCCTAAGACTTTGACCCCAAGCAAACTAAAAACCACCTAGAAACACAGTGGTCTGTCCCACATCTGGAATAGCTAGCCAGCTGTCTGGGACACTCAGCTCAAAATTTCTCCTGTATCTCTTAAAATTTTAACATCAACTATAGTATCACAATTTTAGATGAAGGCACACTATTGAAGGTACCACATGCCTTTCACCAAACATGGCAGTGACTGTATTGATTTTTCTCCTTTTAAACAGACTTCATTTTTTAGAACAATTTTAGATTCATACAAATGGTGAGCAGAAAATAAAAAGTTCCTTTGGCCTCAAACACACACAACCTCCGCAACTAAGAACATTCTGTACCAGAGTGGCACATGTGTTGCAACTGATGAACCTACACCAATGACTCATTATCATCTGGAGTACACAGTTTCTATTAGGGTTCTATCTTGCTGTAGTATGTTCTATAGATTTGGACAATCCACCATTCTAGTATACAGAATAGTTACACTGCCCTAAAAATCCTCTGCACTCCACCACTCATCCCTACCTCCTGCCCAATATCTGGTAACCACTAACCTTTTTACTGTCTCCATGGGTTTGCCTTTTCCAGAAGTCATACAATTGGAATTATATAATATAAAGCTTCTTCATGTTGTCATCTTTCAATTAGTAATATGCATTTAAGGTTTCTCCATGTCTTAAGGCTTGATAGGTATTTCTTTTTTACCAGTGAGTAACATTCCATTGTCTAAATGTACCACAGTTGATTTACCCATTCACCTAGTGAAGAACAACTTGGTTGTTTCCACATTTTGGCAATTATGAATAAAGTGGCTATAAACATCCTTGTGCAGGATACTGTATGAACATAAGTTTGTTTTTTTAAAGTTCAGGGGTACATGTGCAGGTTTGTTACATAGGCAAACTTGTGTCAAGGGGGTCTGTTGTACAGATTATTTCATCACTCAGGTATTAAGCCTAGTGCCCATTAGTTATTTTTCCTGAACCTATTCTTCCTCCCACCCGCCACCCTCTGACAGGCCCCAGTGTCTGTAGTTCCTCTCTATGTGTCTGAGTGTTCTCATCATTTAGCTCCCACTTGTAAGTAGGAACATGCGGTATGTGGTCTCCTGTTCCTGCATAAGATTGTTGGCTGCATGTATGTCTTCTTTTAAAAAGTGTCTGTTCATGTCCTTTGCCCACTTTTCAATGGGGCTGTTTTTTTCTTCTTGTAAATTTAAGTTCCTTATAGATGCTGGATATTAGACCTTCGTTGGATGCATAGTTTCCAAAATTTTCTCCCATTCTGTTTGTTGATAGTTTCTTTTGCTGTGCAGTTTAAAGTTTGCTCTTTAGTTTAAATAGATCCCATTTGTCAATTTTTGTTTTTTGCCATTGCTTTTGGCATCTTTGACATAAAATCATTGCCAGTGCCTATGTCCTTAATGGTATTACCTAGGTTGTCTTCAAGGGTTTTTATAGTTTTGTATTTTACATTTTAGTCTTTAATTCATCTTGAGTTAATTTTTGAAAATGGTGTAAGGAAGGAGTCTAGTTTCTGTCTTCTGCATGTGGCTAGCCAGTTATCCCAGCACCATTTACTGAATAGGGAATCCTTTCCCCATTGCTTGTTTTTGTCAGGTCTGTCAAAGATCAGATAGTTGTGGGTATGCAGTCTTATTTCTGGGTTCTCTATTCTGTTCCATTGGTCTATGTATCTGTTTTTATGCCAGTATCATGCTGTTTTGGTTACTGTAGCCTTGTAGTATACTTTGAAGTCATGTAGCATGATGCCTACAGCTTTGTTCTTTTTGCTTAGGATTACCTTAGCTATTCAGGTTCCTTTTTGGTTCCATATGAATTTTAAAATAGTTTTTTCTAGTTCTGTGAAGAATCTCAATGGTAGTTTAATAGAAATAGCATTATCTATAAACTGCTTTGGGCAGTATGGCCATTTTAACAATATTGATTCTTCCTATCCATGAGCATGGAATGTTTTCCCATTTGTTTGCATCACCTCTGATTTATTTGAGCAATGGCTTACAGTTCTCCTTGTAGAGATCTTTCACCTCCCTAGTTAGCTTTATCCCTAGGTATTTTATTCTTTTTGTGGGAATTATGAATGGGATTACATTCTGGATTTGGCTCGTGGCTTGACTGTTGTTGGTGTATAGGAATGCTAGTGATTTTTGCACATTGATTTTGTATCCTGCAACTTTGCTGAAGTTGTTTATTGGCTTAAGAAGCTTTTGGGCTGAGACTATGGGGTTTTCTAGATATAGCACTGTGCAAACAGGGATAATTTGACTCCCTTCCTATTTGAATGCCCTTTATTTCTTTCTCTTGCCTGATTACCCTGGCCAAGACTTCCAATACTATGTTGAATAAGAGTGGCAAGGGAGGGCATCCTTGTCTTGTGCCAGTTTTCAAGGGAAATGCTTCCAGCTATTGCCCATTCAGGACGAGGTTGGCTGTGAGTTTGTCATGGATGGCTCGTATTATTTTGAGGTATTTCCTTCAATACCTAGTTTATTGAGAGTTTTTAGCCTGAGGAAATGTTGAATTTTATCAAAAGCATTTTCTGCATGTATTGAGATAACCATGTGGTTTTTGTCCTTTAGTTCTGTTTATGTGATGAATCAATCATGTTTATTCATTTGCATATGTTGAACCAACCTTATATCCCAGGGATAAAGCCTACTTGATCGTGGTGGATAAGCTTTTTAATGTGGTGCTGGATTCAATTTGCCAGTATTTTGTTGAGGAATTTGCCTTGATATTCATCAAAAATAATGGCCTGAAGTTTTCCTTTTTTGTTGTATCTCTGCCAGGTTTTGGTATAAGGGTGATACTGACCTCATAAAATGAGTTACAAAAGAGTCCCTCCTCCTCAATTTTGTGGAATAGTTTCAGTGGGAATGATACCAGCTCTTCTTTGTACATCTGTAGAATTTAGCTGTGAATCCATCTGGTCCTGGGCTTTTTTTGATGGGGAGGTGTGGTAGGCTATTTATTACAGCCTCAATTTCAGGACCTGTTACTGGTCTGTTCATGGATTCAACTTCTTCCTGGTTCAGTCTTGGGTGGATGTATGTTGAGGGGACTGAAGTTTTAATTTTATTTGGGTAAATTTAAAAACTGGTAATAGAATAATGCTGGCCTCATATAATGAGTTAGAAGTATTCCCTCTACTTCTGTCTTCTAGAAGAGATTGCAGATAACTGATATAATTTATTCTGTAAACATTTGGTAAAATTCAACAGTAAAACCATCTGGTCCTGGTGCTTTCTATTTTGGAAGGTTATTAATTATTGATTCAGTTTCTTGAAAATATACATACTTACTCAGTAGTCTATTCTTCCCATTTGAGTTTTGACATTTTGTATCTTTTCTTCCTTCCTCCCTCCTACTCTCTCTGGCATTCCTGAGGAAGAAGAGAAATCTAAAAGTTTGGAAAACTTATTTTAGGGAATAATCCAGGAAAACTTCCCCAGGCTTGCCAGAGATCTAGACATCTAAACACAAGAAGCTCAAAGAACACCTGGGAAATTGGTTGCAAAAGATCATCACCTAAGGCACATAGTCATCAGGTTATCTAAAGTCAAGACAAAGGAAACAATATTAAGAGCTGTGAGGCAAAAGCATCAAGTAACCTATAAAAGAAAACCTATTTAGATTAAAAGCAGATAGTTCAGCAGAAATTCTATTAGCCAGAAGGAAATGGGGTTCTATCTTTAGCATTGTTGAACAAAATAATTATCAGCCAAGAATTCTGTATCCAGCAAAACTAAGCTTCATAAATGAAGGAGAGATAAAGTATTTTTCAGACAAAGAAATGCTGAGAGAACATGCCACTACCAAGCCAGCACTACAAGAAATGCTAAAAGTTCTAAATCTTAAAACAAAACATCGAAATACACCAAAATACAACCTTCTTAAAGCATACATCTCACAGGGCCTATAAAACCGTAACACAATGAAAAAAAAGGCCATGGTTTTCAGGCAACAACTAGCATCAGGAATAGAACAATACCTCATATCTCAATACTAACATCGACTGTAAATGGCCTAAATGCTCCATGTGAAAGATACAGAATGGCAGAATGAATAAAAATCCACCAAGTATCTGTTGTCTTCAAGAGACTCACCTAACACATACGGACGCACATAAATTTAAGGAAAAGGGATGGAAAAAGGTATTCCCTGCAAATGAAAGCCGAAAGTAAGCAGGAGTAACTACTTATATAGCAGACAAAACAGACAGATCATATACCTAGAAAACCCTAAAGACTCATCCAAAAAGTTCTTAGATCTGATAAATGAATTCAATAAAGTTTCAGGATATAAAATCAATGTACACAAACCAGCAGCACTTATACACCAACAGTGACCAAGCTGAGAATCAAATCAAGAACACAACACCTTTTGCAACGACTACAAAAAATACATACATACATACATACATACATACATACATACTTAGGAATACACCTAACCAAGGAGGTGAAAGATCTCTACAAGGAAAACTACAAAACACTGCTGAAAGAAATCACAGATGACACGAAAAAATGGAAACACATCCTATCCTGATGGACGGGTAGAATGAATATTGTGAATATGACCATATTGCCAAAAGCAATCTATAAATTCAGTGCAATTCCCACCAAAATGCCATAATCATTCTTCACAGAACTAGAAAAAAAGAGTCCTAAAATTCATATGGAACCAAAAAAGAGCTCACATAGCCAAAACAAGACTAAGCAAAGAGAATAAATCTGGAGGCATCACATTACCCAACTTCAAACTGTACTACAAGGCTATAGTTACCAAAACAGGATAATACTGGTATAAAAACAGGCATGTAGAGGCCGGGCACGGTGGCTCATGCCTGTAATCCCAACACTTTGGGAGGCTGAGGCGGGTGGATCGCCTGAGGTCAAGAGTTCAAGACCAGCCTGACCAACATGGAGAAATCCTGTCTCTACTAAAAATACAAAAACCAGCCAGGCATGGTGGCACATGCCCGTAATCCCAGCTACTCAGGAGGCTGAGGCAGAAGAATTGCTTGAACCCAGGAGGCGGAGGTTGCAGTGAGCCGAGATCGCGCCATTGCACCCCAGCCCGGGCAACGAGAGCAAAATTCCATCTCAAAACAAACAAACAAAAAAAGGCATGTAGACCAATGGAACTTAGAAATAAAGCCAAATATTTACAGCCAACTGATCTTCAACAAAGCAAACAAAAACATGAAGTGGGTAAAGGACACCCTAGTCAACAAATGGTGCTGGGATAATTGACAAACCACATGTAGAAGAATGAAACCAGATCCTCATCTCTCGCCTTACACAAAAGTCAACTCAAGATGCATCAAAGACTTAAATCTAAGACCCGAAACCATAAAAATTCTAGAAGATAACATCAGAAAAACTCTTCTAGACATTAGCTTAGGCAAAGAGTTCATGACCAAGTACCCAAAAGCAAATGTAATAAAAACAAAGATAAATAGATGGGATGTAGTTAAACTAAAAATTTCTGCACAGCAAAAGAAATAATCAGGAGAGTAAACAGACAAGCCAGAGAGGGGGAAAACATATCTGCAAACTATGCAACCCACAAAGGACTAATACGGAGAATCTACAAGGAAGTCAAATAAATCAGCAAGAAAAAAACAAATAATCCCATCAAAAAGTGGGCTAAGGACATGAATAGACAATTCTCAAAAGAAGATATTCAAATAGCCAACAAACATATGAAAAAATGGTCAACATCACAAATTATCAGGGAAATGCAAATGAAAACCACAATGCAATACCACCTTACTCCTGAAAGAATAACCATAATTAAAAAATCAAAAAAAAATAATTTTTTGGTGTGGATGTGGTGAAAAGGGAACACTTCTACACTGCTAGTGGAAATGTAAACTAGTATAACCATTATCGAAAACAGCATGGAGATTCTTTAAAGAACTAACAGTAGAACTAACATTTGATCCAGCAACCTGAGTACTGGGTATCTACCCAGAGGAAAAGAAGTCATTATATGAAAACGACACTTGCACACACATTTATAACAGCACAATTTGCAATTGCAAAAATATGAAGCCAGCCTACGTGCCCATTACCAACAAGTAGATAAAGAAAATATGGTATATATATACACACACACACACACACACACACACCATGGAATACTACTCAGCCATAAAAATAATAAAATAATGGCATTCACAGCAACCTGGATGGAGTTGGAGACCATTATTCTAAGTGAAGTAACTCAGGAATAGAAAACCAAACATCATACGTTCTCACTTATAAGTAGGAGCTAAGTTATGAAGACGCAACAGTATAAGTATGATATAATGACCTCTGAGGACTCAGGAGAAAGGCTGGAAGGGCAGTGAGGGAGAAAAGACTATACAATGGGTACAGTATACAATGCTCAGGTGATAGATGCACCAAAATCTCAGAAATCACCACTAAAGAACTTATTCATGGAACCAAACACGACCTGTTCTCCAAAAACTATTGAAATAATTTTAAAAGACAGACCAATAAACACGTTACGAATTTTTAAAACTTTTTATTTCAGAAATAATTGTAGAGTCACTAGAAAGTTGCAAACATTGTACAGAAAATTCCCACGTACCTTCCATTAAGTTTTCTCTAAGGGCTACATTGTATGTATCTACAGTATACTATTATAGGCAGAAAATTGACACTGGTATTATGTGTGTACATATTAATAGTTCTATGTCATCTTATCAATTGTATACATTCTCATAACCACAAGCACAATCAAGACCCAGAAGTGTTCCACCAGGATGCTCACTCTGTGATTCTCCTGTTAAATAAATGTGTTTGCCTTTTCTCCAAAAGGGACAAAAACAAAAAAACTAGAAAATTAAAAAACAAAAGTGTTGCATCACCACAAACCTCTCCCTGCTGCTATCCCTTGCAAATCACCCCCTAACACACACACACCCTTCTCTCCTCCACCATCTCTAATCTAAACACTGGCATCCATAGATCTGTTCTCCATTTCCATAATTTTGTCATTTTAAGAATGTTATATAAACCAGCAGTCACCAACCTTTTTGGCATCAGGGACCAGTTTCATGGAAGACAACTCTTCCACAGACTAGTGGGGGTAATGGTTTTGGGATGAAACTGTTCCACCTCAGACAATTTCTCTTGGGGACAGGGGGTACATGTAGGGCATGGTTTTGAGATGATACTGTTCTACCTCAGATTATCAGGCATTAAGAGTCTCATAAGCAGCACGCAACCTAGAACCCTCGCATTCACAGTTCACAATAGGGTTTGCGCTCCTATGAGAATCTAGTGTTACCACTAATCTGACAGCAGGCAGAGCTCAGGTGGTAAATGCTCACTTGCCTGCTGTTCACCTCCTACTGTGAGGCCCGGTTCCTAACAGGCGATAGAGTGACACCTGTCTGTGGCCCAGGGATGGGGGACCCCTGGGTTATAAGGCAGTACTTGCAAGCCTCCTGGTAACTTCAAATCAAAAAACTTACCATAGATACACAAAAAGTAAGAAGCAAGAAATTAAATCATACCATCAGAGAAAAATCACATTCACTAACAGGAATACAGGAAGGAAGGAAAAAAGGAAAGACCACAAAATCACCAGAAAACAAAATGGCAGAAGTACGTCCTAAACTATCAACAATAACATTGAACATAAACAGATTAAACTCTCCAATGAGAAGACACAGAGTGGCTGAATGGATTTTAAAAAACCCAATGCTGCTTTGCCTACAAGAAAACCACTTCACCTATAAAGACACACAGGCGGAAAATAAAGAGATGGAAAAAGATACTCCATGCCAATGGAAACCATGCAGAGCAGAAGTAGCTATATTTACATCAGACAAAATAGATTTCAAGACAAACTATAAGAAGACACAAAGGTAATTATATAATGATAAAGGGGTCAATCCAGCAAGAGGATGTAATAATTGTAAATATATATGCACCCAGCACTGGAGCACCCAGATATATAAAGCAAATATTATTAGAGCTGAAGAAATAGACCCCAAAACAATAATAACCGTAGGCTGGGCATGGTGGCTCACTCCTCCAATCCCAGCACATTTGGAGGCTGAGATGGGCAGATCGCTTGAATCCAGGAGTTTGAGACTAGCCTGGGCAACATGGCAAAACCCCATATCTACAAAAAATGCAAAGCTAGCTAGGCATGGTATTGCGCACCTATAGTCCCAGCTACTCAGGAGGCTGAGGTGGGAGGATCGTTTAAGCGTGGAGGTTGCAGTAAGCCGAGATCTTGCCGCCACACTCCAGCCTGGGTGACGTAGTGAGACTCCATCAGAAAAAATAAAAATAAAAACTAAAAAAAACTATAGACCTCAATACCCCACTTTCAGCATCAGACATATACTTCAGACAGAAAATCAACAAAGAGGCCAGGCATGGTGGCTCACGTCTGTAAGCCCAGCACTTTGGGTGGCCAAGGCGGGTGGATCACTTGAGTTCAGGAGTTCAAGGCCAGCCTGACCAATGTGGTAAAACCTCATTTCTACTAAAAATACAAAATTAATTAGCCAGGCATGGTGGCATGTGCCTGTAATCCCAACTAATCATGAGACTGAGGCAGGACAATCACTTGAACCCAGGAGGCAGAGGTTACAGTGAGCCAAGATAGTGCAACTGCACTGCTGCCTGGGCAACAGAGCGAGTCTCTGACTCAGAAAAAAGAAAAAAGAAAATCAAAAAAGAAACATCAAATTTAATCTGTGTTATAGGCCAAATGGACCTAACAGATATTTACAGAACACTCCTTCCAATGGCTATAGAAAATACATTCTTTGCCTCAGCACGTGGATCATTTTCAAGGACAGACCATATGGCAGGTCACAAAACAAGTCTCAAAACAGTTAAAAAAAAAAAAAACTGGAATAATATGAAGCATCTTTTCTGACCACAATGGAATAAAACTAGAAATCAGTAACAAGAGAAATTTCTGGAAACTACAGAAATACACGGAAATTAAGAAATATGCTTCTGAATGGCCAGTGGGTCCACAAAGAAACTGAGGAAAAAAACTGAAAAATTTCTTGAAACAAATAATGGAAACACAACATCCCAAAATCTATGGGATACAGCAAATGCAGTACTGAGGGCAGTTTACACCTGGAAGTGTCTACATCAAAAATAAAAGAAAAATGTAAAATAAACCACCTAATGATGCATCTTAACCAGAAAAGAGCAAACCAAACCCATAATTAAAAGAAAAGAAATAATAAAGATTAGAGCAGAAATAAACTTGAAATGAGAAAAACAATACAAGAGATCAACAAACCAAAAAGTTGGTGTTCTGAAAAGGTAAACAAGATTGACAAACCTCCTAGAGACATACAACCTACCAAGATTGAACCATAAAGAAATCCAAAACCTGAAGAGATCAATAACAAGTAATGAGATTGAAAGCATAATAAAAAGTCTCCTAGCAAGAGAAGCCCAGGTCCCAATGGCTTCACTGCTGAATTATCCCAAACATTTAAAGAACACCAGTCCTACTGAAACTACTCTGAAAAACAGAGGTGGGAATACTTCCAAACTCAGTCTATGAGGCTAGTATTACCCCGATATGAAAACCAAAGATACATCAAAAAAAAGAAAACCATAGAACAACATGACTGATGAATACTGATGGAAAAATACTCAACAAAATACTACCAAAGCAAATTCAACACATTAAAAAGATCATTCATCATGACCAAGTGGGATTTATCCCAGGGAAGCAAGGATGATTCAACATATGCAAATAAATTAATGTCATACATCATACCAACAGAATGAAAGACAAAACCCATATCATTTCAACTGATGCTGAAAATGCATTTTACAAAATTCAACATCCCTTCATGATAAAAACCCTCAAAAAACTGGGGATAGAAGAAACTTACCTCAGCTGGGTGCAGTGGCTCACACCTGTAATCCCAGCACTTTGGGAGGCTGAATCGGGCAGATCTACAAAAATACAAAAATAAGCTGGGCATGGTGACACGTGCCTGTAGTCCCAGCTACTTGGGAGGCTGACTCAGGAGAATCGCTCGAACATGGGAGGCGGAGGTTGCAGTGAGCCGAGATCATGCCACTGCACTCCAGCCGAGCGACAGAGCAAGACTCCATCTCAAAAAAAAGAAGAAAAAACTTACCTCAACATAATAAAAACCATATACGACAGACCCATATCTAGTATCACACTGAATGGGGGAAAAACTGAAAGCCTTTCCTCTAAGATCGAGAATATAACAAGGATGCCCATTTTCACCACTGTTATTCAATACAGTACCAGAAGTCTTTGCTAGAGCAATCAGACAAGAGAAAGAAATAAAGAGCATCTAAATTGAAAAGGAAGAACTCAAATTATCCTTGTTTACAGAGGATATGATTTTACATTTGAAAAAAATCTAAAGACTCCCCTAAAAAACTATTACAACTGACAAACAAATTCAGTACAATTGCAGGATACAAAATCAACATACAAAAATTAGTAGCATGTCTATACGCCAACAGCAAACAATCTGAAAAAGAAATCAAGAAAGTAATCCCATTTACAATAGCTACAAATAAAATTAAATACCTAGGAATTAACCAAAGAAGTGAAAGATCTCTACGATGAAAACTATAAAACACTGATGCAAGAAAATTGAAGACACACAAAAAAAGGGAAAGATATTCCATGTTCATGAATTAAAAGAATCAATATTGTTAAAATAACTACACTAAAGGAATCTACAGATTTAATGCAATCTTTATCAAAATACTAATGGCATTCCTCACAGAAATAGAAAAGGCAATCCTAAAATTTATATATAACCACAAAGACCCAGAATAGCCAATGCAATCCTAAGCAAAAACAACAAAACTGGAAGAAACACATTACATTACTTTAAATTATACTAAAGAGCTATAGTAACCAAAATGGCATGGTACTGGCATAAACACAGACACAAAGATCATGGAACAGAATAGAGAACCCACAGATAAAGTCATATATCTACAGTGAACTTATTTTTGACAAAAGGTGCCAAGAAAATACACTGGGGAAAGGACAACCTCTTCAATACACAGTGCTGGGAAAACCGAATATCCATATGCAAAAGAGTGAAACTGAATCCCTATCTCTCACCATACACAAAAATCAAATCAAAATTGATTATTAAAGACTTTAATCCCTCAAGCTATGAAACTAAAAGAAAACACTGGCGAAACTCTCCAGGACATTGGAATGGGCAAAAATTTATTGAGTAATACGCTACAAGCGCAGGCAACCAAAGCAAAAATGGACAAATAGGATCATATCAAGCAAAAAGCTTTTGCACAGCAAAGAAAACAATCAAAAAAGTGAAGGGACAATCCACAGAATGAAAGAAAATATTGGCAACCTACCCATCTCATAGGGGATGAATAACCAGAATATATAAGGAGCTCAAACATCTCTATAGGAAAAAATCTAAGTCTAATTTAAAACATGGACAAAGGATGTGAATGGACATTTCTAAAAAGAAGACATAAAAATGGCAAATAGGCATATAAAAAGCTGTTCAACATCATTGATCATCAGAGAAATGCAAATCAAAACTATAATTAGACATCATCTCACCCCAGTTAAAATGGCCTTTATCCAAAAGTCAAGCAATAATAAATGCTGGCAAGGATGTGGAAAAAAGGGAGCCCTCATACTCTTGGTGGAAATCTAAATTAGTACAACCACCATGGAGAACAGTTTGGAGGCTCCACAAAAACCTAAAAATAGAGCTACCTTACCCTCCAGCAATCCCACTCTTAGGTATATACCCAAAAGAAAGGAAATCAATAAATCAAAGAAATACTTGCACTCCCATGTTTACTGCAGCACTATTCACAATAGCCAAGATTTGAAGCAATCTAAGTGTCCATCAACAGATGAACGGATTTTAAAAATGTGGTATATATACAAAATGAAGTACTATTCAGGCATAAAAAAGAATGAGATTCAGTCATTTGCAACAACATGGATAGAAGCTGAGGTCAAATTACATTAAGTGAAATAAGTCAGGCACAAAAAGACAAACTTTGCATGTACTCACTTATTTATGGGAGTTAAAAATTAAAATAATTGAACTCATGGAGACAGAGAGTAGAAGGATGGTTACCAGAGGCTGGAAAGGATCGTGTAGGGTTCGGAAGGGGAAGTGGGAAGGGACAATGGGTACAAAAAATAGAATTAATAACAACTAGAATTTGATAAAACAACAGAATGACTATAGTCAATAACAACTTAATTGCAGATTTTTAAATAACTAAAAGAATATAACTGGATTATTTGTAACACAAAGAATAAATACTTGAGGGCATGGATACCCATCTCCCTTGATATGATTATTACACATTGCATCCCTGTATCAAAATATCTCATATAACCCATAAATTCATACACCTACTATGTACCCACAAAAATTAAAAATAAAAAAAATTTAAGAAGTGTGAGGATATGTCAACGTACACTTTTTTTTTTTTTTTTTTTTTGAGACAAAGGCTCACTCTGTCACTCAGGCTGGAGCGCACTGGCATGATCTCGGCTCACTGCAACCTCTGCCTCCTGGGTTAAAGCAATTATCTTGCCTCAGCCTCCGGAGTAGCTGGAATTACAAGCACCCATCATCACGCCTGGCTAATTTTTGTATTTTTAGTAGAGACAAGGTTTCACCATGTTGGCCAGGCTGGTCTCGAACTCCTGACCTCAAGTGATCCACCCACTTCGGCCTCTCAAAGTGCTGGGATTTCAGACGTAAGCCACCATGCCTGGCCAAGGTACACTTTTATTGCTAGAGAATACCCAGTTACTCTAGCAATATTTGTTGGAAATATTAACCTTCCTACATTATACTGATTTGAACCTATGTCAAAAATCAATTAGCCATATTTGTGGGACTATGTCTACATTTTGTATGCTGTTCTCTATGTGTGTGTCTCTATACCAGCACCACAAAATCTTGATTACTGTAAAGTCATGAAATCAAACAGAGTGACTCTCCCACCTTACTCTTTTTTGAAAACTATTTTAGCTATTATAGTTCCTATAACTTCCCAAATAAGTTTTAGAATAATCGGGTCTATATTTACATTTAAAAAAAAAAAAAACCTTGCGGAAAATTTGATAGAAACTCTGTTTAAAACTGTGTATCAATTTGGAAAGAATTTACATCTATGGTGAGTCTGCTAATAAATATGTTTCTCCAATAATTCAGACCTCTGATTTCTTTCATCAGTGCTATGAAGTTTACAGCATAAAAGCTCCTATGTCTTGTTATATTTACATCTAGTAATTCAATATTATTATAAAGGTATTGTATTTTTAATTCCAGTTTTTATGTGTGCATTGTTCATACATAGAAATATAAGTGCAAGCTGTTTTCACGCCCCCCTCTCCAATAGAAAAACAAACAAACAAACAAATATGTAAGTGCCAAGATTTTTACCAGTAACAACATGGAATTCAAATATGAGAATGAGATAATTCCTGGGGCCGTGGAGAAGTAAGAAAAAAACAAACAAACAAACAAAAAACAACTCTGAACAGATGGCAAGGGAATCAGACCTCCACATCTGTGACACCCCTCCCCCTCCATTCTGCCTGGCACCAAGCAGAAAATCTCACCCTCCCTCCACCCAACTACATTTCTATAACTGTAAAAGGTAAGACTGAGGGGGTCATCCAGGTTCCCCAACATCTTGGGTTCCCAAGCAGGAGACTTGTCCCCACCTTAATCCATGGGAAGCATCGTGACTGCCTAAAGGGAGAAATACTCCTGAGGACAGGCAGAGACAAAGACAGGAGGTGGGACTATCACCCCCAACCCTGGAAAGTCTGCTCTGCTACTCAGCAAACAGAGATGCCCAATCTGAGAGGCTGCTCAGCAGAAGAGGTATGGACTCCTGGGCACAAACCTCTAGCTAGCCTTAACACACTGCCAGCCTAATCCCTTTGGGACCTCTCACCTTCAGAGCAGGCATCACTCTGATCATTTACCAGAGCTGAGGTCAACCCAAGCTTAAGGTACCTCCTAGAGCTAAAAAGAGGCAGTTACCTAGATGTAAAGATTCACTAAGCAAATATATCCAGTAGAAACCAAAACAAGATGGACAGAAAAAAAACTAGAATAAATAACTATTCTATAAATATCTATTAATAACTATCCTTCAATGCAAAGACATAAAATATACCCACAAGAAACAACAGCAAACAGGGAACCATGACCTCCCCAAAAGGACAAAACAAAAATCCGGCAACTGATCCTAACAAGAAAGCAATTTGTGAGTTCTCTAACCACAAATTCAAAATAGTAGTTATAAGGAAAGTCAGCGACCTCCAAGATAACATACAAAAGCAACTCAAAAATTTATCAAAGAAATTTTAAAAAAGAAATTAGGCCAGGCACAGTGGCTCATGCCTATAATTCTAACACTGTGGGAGGCCGAGGCAGGTGGATCACTTGAGGCCAGGAGTTCAAGACCAGCCAGGCCAACATGGTGAAACCCCGTCTCTACTAAAAATGCCAAAAATTATCCAGGCATAGTGGCGCATGTCTGTAGTCTCAGCTACTTGGGAGGCTGAGGCACGAGAATCACCTTAACCTGGGAGGTGGAGGCAGCAATGAGCCAAGAACCACTGCACTCCAGCCTAGGTGACAGAGTGAGATCCTGTCTCAAAAAAAAAAAAAAAAGAAGAAGAAGAAAAAAATTTAAAAAAAAGAAACTGAAATAATCTTTTAAAATCAAACAGAGGCTAGGCATGGTATAATCCCAGCACTTTGGGAAGCCAAGGCAGGAGAACTGTTTGAACCCAGGAGTTCAAGACCAGTCTGGGCAACATAGGAAGACCCCCATCTCTACAAAAAAAATTAGCCAGGTATGTTGGCACAAGCCTGTGGTCCCAGTTACTCCGGAGGCTAAGATGGGAGAATCACTGATCCTAGGCAATAGAGGATGAAATGAGCCATGATTGTGCCACTGCAGTCAAGCCTAGGCAATATGGTGAGACGCTGTCTGAAAAACAAAAAATCAAACAGAAGTCTTCGAACTGAGAAACACATTTGCTGAACTGAAGAACTTCCTGGAGGCTCTCAAAGCAGATGAATGAAGCAGAGGAAAGAACTGGAAAGCTCAAAGACTGGCTATCTGAAAATACATGATCAGAAGAGAAAAAAGAAGAGTAGAAAAGAATGAAGCTGCCTATAAGATATTAAAAATTATCTCAAAAGACCAAAGCTAAGAATTATTAGTGTTCAAGAGGGAGCTGAGCAACACCAAGGGCTAGAATGCTTACTCAAAGAAATAACAGAAATTTTTCCGAAAGATATACATATCCAGATACAAAAAAATCTCAGAACACAAAATAGGTTCAACCCAAGTAAGACTACCTCAAGGCATAATAATCAAACCCTCAAAGGTCAAGGGCAAAGAGAGGATCCTAAAAACAACAAGAGAAAAGAAGCAAATAACATATAAAGGACCTCCACATTGTCTGACAAGACTTCTCAACAGAAACCACGCAGACAAGAGTGAAACAACATTTTCAAAGTGCTTAAAAAACAAACCAAAAATAAAACTGCCATCCGAGAATACTGTATTCAGCAAAATTATACTTCAGATATGAAGGAGAGAGAAACTATTTCTCAAACTAAAGCTGAAAGAATTCACCACCATCAGATCTACATTATAAGAAATGCTAAAGGGAGTTCTTCAATTTGAAGGGGAAAAAAAAAAGGTTTAAAAAAAAAAAGAAAAAACACTGGTGAAATTAAGTATATAAACAAACCCAGAATCCTATACTACTGTTAACAGTGATGCAAAATCCACTGATTTTATCAAATTACCTGATTTTATCAAATCAGGTAATATAGAAAATGAAAAGTGAGACAACTAAAACTCAAAATGTGGGGGTGATGATGTTAAACTGCAGATTATTTTTGTGTAGTTTTTTTTTTTGCCTTTGTTTCTATTCTTATTATTTGTGACCTAAGATGAACTGTCTCTTGTTATATTTGTAAGATATTTTTTGTAAGCCTCATGGTAACTGGCAACCACAGCACAAAACCCATAAGACACTCCCTAAAATAAAAAGCTACAAATTAAAACATACTACCAGAGAAAAGTACTTACCCACAAAGACAGACAGAACCACAAAGGAAGACAAGAAAAAAGACAGGAGTGTCAAAATAACCAGAAAATAAGCAGGAAAAAAAAAAGATTGTTAAAATAAAGTAAGTCCTTACTTATCAATAATAATAATAATACTGAATTTAAATTTTTTTTTTCTTTTTGAGACAGAGTCTTGCTCTGTCACCCAGGCTGGATGGAGTGCAGTGGCGCAATCCCAGCTGACTACAACCTCTGCCTCCTGGGTTCAAGTGACTCTCCTGCCTCGGCCTCCCACGTAGCTGGGATTACAGGCATGGACCACCATGCCTGGCTAAGTTTTGTATTTTTTAGTAGAGATGGGGTTTCACCATGTTGGCCAGGCTGGTCTCAAATTCCTGACCTCAGGTGATCCTGCCCACCTTGGCCTCCCAAAGTGGTGGGATTACAGGCATAAGCCACTGTGCCAGGCCTTAATTCTCTAATTAAAAGGCACAGAGTGGCTGAATAAAGAAATAAGACCCAACTATATGCTGTCTTCAAGAAACCTACCCTACCTATAAAGACACATAGACTGAAAGTGAAGGGGTGGAAAAAGATATTCTATGCAACTGGAAAACAAAAAAGCACAGGAGTAGCTCTACTTAGATAAAACAGACTACAAATCTAAGATTGTAAAACCAAGCATATAAAATAAACATAATAGATCTAATAAAGAAAAGACAGATTGCAATACAATAATAGTAGCAGACTCTAACTGCCACTCTCAGTAATGGACAGATCATCCAGCGGCAAATCAACAAAGAAACCAGAGTTAAACTACACACTAAATCTAATAGGCCTACTGACATTTTCAGAATATTTCACCCAACAGTTAGAAAATACACATTCTTCTCATCAGCACATGGTACATTCTGTAGAACAGACCACAAAATAGGCCATAAAACAAGTATGAGCGAATTTTTAAAAAAATCATGTCAAGCATCTTTTCTGACCACAATGGGATAAAACACAAAATCAATAACAAGAGGAACGTCAGAAATACAGAAACACACGGAAATTAAACAATATGCTCCTGACTGACCAATGGGTCAATGAAGAAATTGAGAAAATTAAAAAACTTCTCGAAACAAATGAAAATGGAAATACAACATACCAAAATCTGTGGGCTATGGCAAAATCAGCACTAAGAGAAAAGTTTATAGCAATAAATGCCCAATTTTTTTAAAAAAGAAAAATTTCAAATAAT